>NC_000007.14:139381779-140006779 GCF_000001405.40 Homo sapiens | reverse complement strand
AGCATAGACGTTACCGCATTTGATGCTCCACTAAGCCAGTGTGGTGACTGTTTCCCCATCTCTTAGATGAGAAAACTGAGGCTCAAAGAGCCTGTCACATGGGTAGTCATGGCACATTATGAAGTCAAAAGGCAAATAGTGAAATAGCAAATAAAAAAGTTTGCCACATCTATAAAGGACTAACAGTAACAAAAACCAAAGAGCTACTATCAGTCAGTAGGAAAAGACAACTAGCTAGAAAAATGGTCAAAGGCTATGAACAGGCGAAACACAGAGGCCATATGAGTTACTATAATGAAAAATGCAAGTTCCAATGAGATTCCATTTGCACAGGTCAGATTAGGAACAGCTGGAAAATGCTGATTAGATTTCAGGGGGTGCAAATGTGGGGATCCTAACACCCCCGGGTGACTCTCCTGGAGTGACAGTCTGTCACTCCCTGGCTCCCCATCTTTGGCCTGAAGATGAACACGTGCCCATGAGCTCTTGAGCAGGGTGTGGGCGCACTGGGATTAAGGAAGCTTATTTGCTGCTCTGCCAGTTTGCCCACAGAGGTGGAATGAGTTATCTGGTTGGTAGGTGATGGTCTCACTTTCTTCACCTAGATAATGCTAATCCAGGAGGAGTCCCCAAGGTGGCGGATTGCTTTCTTCTGTTCCCTCTTTTTCCCAGAGCAGCAGGAGGCCGGCCTTCAGGGCAAGTCCATTCTCAAGCCGCCAACGTTCCAGTTACAGGCGCTGGGAGGCCTAGTTCCTCCGTCTGCAGGGGGAGCCCTTCACAGCCCTGGAGCAGCCACTGGCCACCCTGCCTGGGATCTCAGCCAGCTCTCAAAGTGAGCTCCGGGATGGGCAAGGGTCAGCAGCAGCAGCATCACCCGGGAACCTGTTAGAACTGCATCTCGGGTCAGAGGGGTGGAAGGGCAGGGGCCAGGACACATGGAGTCTTGAAGTCCATAGCCAGTATCGTAGCTAATCTATGATGACATAGCCATTCAACATATTGCAGCTGTTTAATGATGCCTATAAGCCACGTTGCAGAAATTATATGTAGTTTAATCCCATGTCTGTGACTGTTTATGAATTTAGAGGGCCAGGGTGGCATTCCTACTTTGTCATAAAAAATAACAAGGTTTGGATGGTTTTCCCAAAGCTCTCCCGTCTGCATTTCTGGGAACGGTTCTAACTTTAGAAGGTTATCACCCAACCCCACACTTCCCACTCCCATCACAGGCCACTGGGGCAGCTGGCTGAGCAAGTGACCAATGAAAAGGGCTCTGTGCGGGGGTTAATCCTCTGTGGCGCTGTCTTGAGAGTCTTCATAACTTTATCTTTTATTTATTTATTTTTTTTTTGAGACAGAGTCTTTTTCTGTCGCCCAAGCTGGAGTGCAGTGGTGTGATCTCGGCTCACTGCATCCTCCACCTCCCGGGTTCAAGTGATTCTCCTGCTTCAGCCTCTCAAATAGCTGGGATTACAGGCATCTGCCACCATGCCTGGCTAACTTTTGTATTTTTAGTAGAGATGGGGTTTCACCATGTTGGCCAGGTTGGTCTCCAACTTCTGACCTCAAGTGATCCGCCTGCCTCGGCCTTCCAAAGTGCTGGAGTTACAGGCGTGAGCCACTGCACCCGGACGTAACTTTATCTTTGAATCTGTGCTTTGGAAGCCTGGCTTATGCATGGCTCCACCTGTGGCTGCCTCCCACGACCAGCTCTCAGCTGCCTGTGCTCTCCACCTGGCTTCCCCCTTTCTGCCCTGACCTATGGCCACTGTTGCTGTCCACACTTCACAGGGTCCTGGGTACAGGCACAGAGAGGGCCAGGATAGGGTGCATGCACCCTGCAGCATCTCGGGTTGGCATGGTGGTGGCCGTCCCTGCCCTAGGCTGGCAGCACACAGTGTATGTGGCGGGGCCGGCCGGAGGCTGTTTCTCGATGGGGGCAAACCTCTGCCCACCCCTAGCCCAGGTACTGAGGGTGTCATAGCACAGAGGTTTAGAGATCCTTGGAGGTTAGTCTGCTGTGGCTGGCTGGGGAAGGCTGTGGAAAGGGGAGACAGCTGGACCAATTTCCCTAGATCCTGCCTCCCTGGCTGGGTCTCAGTGCATGTGTCTGGTGGCTGACAGGGCCCTTGGATGCCTGGAAGGGTCTGGACTCCCCCCGCTCATCCAGTATGTCCAGGCCTGAAAGAACATCCCCGTTGGGCAAACCTGGAGGCAACTTGTCTTCCTGCTTCCAATCTTTATGAGTTTGGTTTGTGTTTGTCTCTTCTGGCCAACAAGTCACAAACACCAATTGTGTAATTTCAGTGGTTCTGCATATAAGTTAAACGCTCTGAAATTTACATTTAAAACTGGCATTGTTTGATATAAAGATGAATGGTAAAATGCTTGCTAATAATTTAACATTGAGTTTTCTTTACTTAGAACAACAGTAAATGGAAAATAAAAAGCACCATGACAAGTCGAAAAAGAGACTGCAGAAGAAACAAAGAAGCTCGCTGAGTACCACGATGGACACGTCCCCCTGCTTTGGGAATAAAGGCTACCACGCTTTTATTTCTCACTGGGCCTCACAGATCCTGTAGCCAGCCCTGCAGGCCAAGATTGACTGGCCCAAAGGGGCCAGTCTGGAAATTTCGATCTGGGACAAAGAAAAAAGTTTTTCTCCAGCAGGTGGCGATTGAACACAGGGAAGTGGAGACCCATTGTTGGCCACATTCGGCCTTGTGGATTAATGAGCAGAAAACAGCAGTTGGCCTCAAGAAAGAAGAAATGAATCAGATGTATACAACAAAGCAGAAGCAAAGGACAGAGAGACCATTTCTCGGTGCCCCATGGAGTTCCAGTTCCTGTTGCCATCTGCTCCTGGCAGGTAACCCTGTGGGTGGCATCTTGGTCCCTTCCAACAAGTTCTCACTTGCAGCTGAAGTTAGCAACATTCTGAATTCCATTGTCTGCAACCAAACGAATCTTAACAAATGCAGGAATATGCATGTATCAAACAAGAAACAGAGGTGCGGTACACAAAAATAGGGAACTATATCTCAAAAAGAAAAACTGGATCTGGAAGCAGCATCCCTAATGGGTAAATGGTGTTGGTTCCCCGAAGAAAACTGTATGGCTTGTAAGTTGTCACGGTTTGTCAAAGAAAGAAAATTTTTAAAGATAGGCTAAGCGAATTTTGTATTAGAAAATCAAAGTCTTTACTCTTTCCCTAGATAGGCTTTTCTCTTTTTAACTGTGCTTCTAGGCTTTTAGATCAAGATGCACATGTAGGCCAGGTGCGGTGGCTCACGCCTGTAATCCCAGCACTTTGGGAGGCCGAGGTGGGTGGATCACCTGAGGTGAGGAGTTCAAGACCAGCCTGGCCAACATGATGAAACCCTGTCTCTACTAAAAGTACAAAAAATTAGCTGGGCATGGTGGTGGGTGCCTGTAACCCCAGCCACCCTGGAGGCTGAGGCAGGAGAATCGCTTGAACCGGGAGGTGGAGGTTGCAGTGAGCTGAGATCACAGCCTAGGCATCAAGAGCAAAACTCCATCTCAAACAAACAGACAAACAAACAAAAAGATACGTATGTAAAGACCATCTTGGTTCAGCAGTTCTCCATGTGGCTGCATGTTAGAAACAGCCAGCTTTTTTTTTTTTTTTTTTGAGACGGAGTTTCGCTCTTGTTGCCCAGGCTGGAGTACAATGGCCCGGTCTCGGCTCACTGCAACCTCTGCCTCCTGGGTTCAAGCAATTCTTCTGCCTCAGCCTCCCGAGTAGCTGGGATTACAGGCACCCACCACCACGCCCGGCTAATTTTTGTATTTTCAGTAGAGATGAGGTTTCACCGTGTTGGTCAGGCTGGTCTCGAACTCCTGACCTCAGGCAATCCGCCTGCCTCGGCCTCCCAAAGTGCTGGGATTACAGGTGTGAGCCACCGCGCCCAGCCAGAAACAGCCAGATTTTTATATGTTTTAGTATAGATGGATGCTTGGGCCCTACTCCCCAGTGTTGGTCTGAGGTGGGGCCTGGGCACCAGCTCTCCCTTTTTAGCCCCCTGGCTGTCCTAATGTGCACTCAGGGGCATAGGTCTTTCCGACTGTCTGTCTGAGACCTACCCTAGCGCTTCTCCACACCTGAGGAATGAACGGATGAGGCAGAAGGACGCACACACCTCCATGTCTTAGTCGAACCAGCGAGACAACAAAACTCAAGTCCCTATCCCACTCACTGGCTGGTCCACCCAGCAGTTGCTGGCTTTGTCTGCAGCTTTCAGGAATAGCAGGGACAGAACGGTCCTGAGCAAATTCTGCCAGCAGAGGGCAACAAGCGCATGCTAAATGAGGACTCCCCGTCCCGGGAAAGGACCTTGGAAATCCTCCCAGCCATCCTTCCTTGACAGAGAGGAGAAAAATGAGGCCCAGAGAGGAAGGCCTGTGAACCCAAAGTCTCAACATAGAATTTATTATAAGTCCTCTTTCATTCAGCAGTTCCTCAGCGGGCACCTTGGATGGGTCAGGTGCGGGACCAGGTGCTGGGGGTCCAAGGAGGCTCTGTCCATTGAGGAAACCGATTCCTAAACAAATCATGACATGGATGTGTAAAGTGTTATCGAATGTGCTTACGAGGAATGCAAAACCAGTTCTGTTTAGGAGATCCTTCATTTACATATTCAAGGAATACATATGGAATTGGCGAGCATGATTCACCAGGCACTGTGCTAGGCCCGGGAGACGTAACTTTAAAATGCACGGACATGTCCTAGCCTCTCGGAGCTTCCAGTCTATCAGGATGCAAACAAGTGGATAAGGGTGAGATGGGAGAACAGATGAGAGACACACATCTCCCACATTTGGGATCAGGGACTCTGTGAGGAGGAAGCGACAATGTCCAGGCTGAGATTTTTAGGATGAGTGAGAATAAGCCAGTGAAAAGTGGATGGCCTTGTTCAGAGGCTGCTGCAACCAACCTAAAACAAATATGAATCAATCAGGGAACTGTGAATCCAACAGGATATTTGATGCTCTCAAGGAATGAACATTCATTTTGGTTTTAGTTGATAATGGTATTGTGGTCATGTTTAGAAAAGAATTCTTATCGGCCAGTCACGGTGGCTCACGCCCATAATCTCAGCACTTTGGGAGGCCAAGGCAGGGGGTGTCACTTGAGGCCAGGAGTTCGAGACCAACCTGGGCAACATGGTGAAATCCCATCTCTACTCAAAATAGAAAAATAGCCAGGTATGGTGGTGGGCGCCTGTAATCCCAGCTACTTGGGAGGCTGAGGCAGGAAAATTGCTCGAGCCTGGGAGGTAGAGGTTGCGGTGAGCCGAGATAGTGCCACTGCACTACAGCCTGGGTGACAGGCCCTTGGCACACCTGGTCCTCTGTCAGTACATCCAGGCACCAACGTTACCAACAGCTAGTGAGGGTGCTGTGGGTCTGCTGGGCCTGGAGTGTCTCAAAAATGTGGGGGACTGAGCAGAATATTCTCTTATTTCAAGCCAGGAAGCACCTGAAGCTTCTATGTTTCCAAAAGATAACATGAAAAGCCATCCCCCAGGGTTCTCTCTGCCTCCTGTTTCAAAGGCCAAATTACTGAGAATTAGAGCTGGGGGGAAATCTCAAAATCAACCTTTGCTGTCCACACCCAATGAGGAAGCCCCCCCTGCAGCGCCTCCCCTTGACCTTGGCCTGGCTTTGGGTCCCACAAGGGAGGCAAAGGGCAGGGTTCTGTTCCGGGTCTGTAACCCTTAGCCATGGCCTTGGGCCAGTCGTCAGGACAGTATCTACAGGACCCCTCGTCTGTAATGCTGTCCCACCCATCTTGCAGAGTAGAGTGAACAAGAAGATGAAGGTGGAAGTCTTTGGCAACTGGAAAGTACCTCCTAAGCAGGTGATATTTCTGTTTGAACACATTCAGTGGCGGGAAAGCTTATTTCAACATGAGGCGCTCTGCTCTCTCTATTGAACTAGGCTAATAGGATGTGTTAAGGGAGAAAGAAATTCTAAAATCCTATCAAATTCATTTCAGCTGGGACTTATTTTATAAAATAACTGCTCTTAGAGGGTTGAAAATTAAATATTGGGAAACATGGAAATAAAATAAACAGAATCTTTACCTAGTGATTTACATTCTCAAACCAGAGTTTCTTCATTTTGGGGGAGACTTTTTCATATGTAGTTGATTTTCAATGGGCAGTAACTTCTAATTTTATTCCTAAGATTCTTGGTCTCTTAGTCTTTCCATCATATAGTTTAGGATCTAGAAACCAATATGTGTTTGTTTATTTTCTTGCTCTGTGGCCCAGGCTACAGTGCAGTGGTGCTGTCATAGCTCACTGCAGCCTTGAACTCCTGGGCTCAAGCGATCCTCCTGCCTCAGCCGCCAGAGTAACTGGGACTACAGGTGCAAGCCACCATGCCTGTCTAATTGTTTTTTGTTTGTTTGTAGAGATGCGGGGACATCTCACTATGTTGCCCAGGCTTGTGTTGAACTCCTGGACTCCAGTGATCCTCCAGTCTCAGCCTCCTAAAGTACTGGGATCACAGGCATGAGCCACTCTGCCTGGCCCAATATTTAAATACATTTAAATACAATAGATTAACCTGATGGTTTAGGGAACTAACTCTATGGGCAATCTATCGATAAATCCTTTTATGTAGGAAATAACAGTACTGCCCTCTCCTATTAATCTCTTTTCTATATTTATCATTTTGTGTATCATTTTCTCTGAAAGCTAGACACACACACACAGTCACACACCTACACATACGCCACACACTGGGTGTGTGTGCAGATGTCATCTGGAGTATAAATGAGAAAAAGAAAATAAAAATGTCATTGCTTTCACAAAGATTTTTCCTGGAGATTCACGGACCTAATAGAAAAATTATCATTTTTCTATGTTGTTAAAGGAAATAGAAGCAGAGGTGGCTTCAGTTTTCTTCTTCAGAGCAGTAGGAACAGCAGCATCTGTAGTAGTTATGCCTACCCAGCTGTCACTAGACTTGGTCTTATACTAAGAAGTAGGCCAAGTGATGCTGGCCCTTGCCCTCTAGAAGCCGGAGCTGGAAATCCCTTAAGCACGAGGACAGCTTGGGGCAATACAGCCATATGAAGAATAAAGATTTCCATTCACTCTGATTCTCCAGGGACCGTGGGACTATAATATGAAACCAAGCCGTGGAAAATGGGGTGACCTTCGCTTTGCCCTTCTGACCATAAACCAGAGGCAAAGCCCCTCACCCTTGCAACTGGTTTTTTGGAGACAGAGTCTTGCTCTATCCCCCAGGCTGGAGTGCAATGGTACAATCTCGGCTCACTGCAACCTCCACCTCCCGGGTTCAAGCGAGTCTCATGCGTCAGCCTCCCAAGTAGCTGGAATTACAGGCGCTCACCACCATGCCCACGTAGTTATTGTATTTTTATAGAGACGGGGTTTTACCATGTTGGCCAGGCTGGTCTTGAACTCCTGACCTCAGGTGATTCACCCACCTCGGCCTCCCAAAGTGCTGGGATTATAGGCGTAAGCCATGGCGCCCGGCCAGCCCTGAGTTCTTATGGCAAGGTTGGGAGGGAGCTGAGGTTCTCTGAGCTCTGACATTTCACCTTCTAGATCCCATAGCTCTGTTGTCTGAGTGGGTCCAGTGAGCAGTTTCAAGGCTTGCAGGGAGATACGATGGAGGTTTGGTTATGAGAGGGGGTGATAAATCTTTCCATCCACATTGCTGGCTTCCCTGGCCAATGCCCAGAAAGTTCTCTGTGCTAGCTTCAATAATTTGGCAGATTTAGATGTTGAAATTCATCCATACTCGAGAAAAAGTAATTAAGAGAGTGTACATGGCATCTATTTATACCTGCTTTAGAAGGGGACAGAACCCGTCTCATAAAAACACAGAGATTTTTCCAGGTGTTTTTGTACTCTGAGGCCCAGGCCATTAAGGGATTAGGTGCAGAGATGTAATGAAAAAACATAAACCAGGCTGCGTGCGCACACAAACACACAACCCACGGGGCATCAGTCTTCTCCATGATGGCTCTGGGCTGAGCTTCACTGACAGTGCTGACCTGCTGCAGAAATTGCTGTCTGCAGAGATCTAGAATAATAATAGTGTTTTGCCTTGTGAAACACTTTATTGCTCACCAATGGATTTTTACATCCATTATACCATTTGGTCTTCACAACCACACTGTGAGGTAGGTAGAGCAGCTTTTATTGTCTATTTTATAGATGAAAAAAAACCAGATATTTGGAGAGGTGAAGTGACTTGTCCCAGGTCGCACGGCCAGTTAATGGTAGAGTTGGAACTGAATCCAGGTCTTCAAATTCCAAGCCTTTTCCATTACCTGGGCCTACCTGGTCTTACCTTCCCTCCCTCCAGCCTTCCCTCCCTTCCTTTCCTCTTGTACATTTTATGGAAGAATAACACGCATATGGAAAAATATGACACAAACACAAACTTAGAGCTCAATGAATTTTCACACTGTAAGCATTCCTGTGTAACCAGCACTTAGACCAAGACAGAACCTTCCAGCACTTGGAAGCACACCCGTGGCCTCTCCCGGTCACATGCCCCTCAGTAGTAACCACTGTCTTGACTTCTAACACGAGAGATTACTTTTGCCTCTTTGTCTTGAACTTCCTATAAATGAAATATTTCCATGCAGGCTTTTCGGTCTGCCTTCTTTTGCTCAGTTTCATGTCTGTGACAGTCACCCATGTTGTGTGTTGTGGTGTGTTCATCCTCATGATTTGGTGCTCCATTGGGTGAGCTGCCCCGATTTATCCATCCTTTTCCTTGTCAATGGACATTTGAGTTGTTCCCAGGTTGGGGGCCATTATGAATAAAGCCTTATGAACATTCTTGTTTATGGCTTTTGGTGAACAGAGTACAGGTTTCTGTTGGGTGTACATCTGGGCATGGCACTGCCGGGTCATGAGGGATGTGTATGTTCAGCTTTAGTAGATATTGCAAACAGTTTGACAGACAGGTTGTTCACACTGCCTAAAATTTTAACAGTGAATCAGTTGAAAAGCAGCCTGTTGACATCCTAGTTTCTTCTATTTACTCTAACTGCAGGCTCCTCCCCAGTTTCTTCTCCCTTCCTTGCTAATATTCTGAAATGTAACCACTATCTCTATTCCAGGAAAGGACTGAGAGAAAGAAATAGGGCATTGTTTTGGGAGCTGAGTTATTTATTCATATAGTGTGTGTGTATAGTGGGGGGAGGGGGAAATAGGAACAAATAAAACACATCTAATTACCTAATTTTTAAAAATTGCCCCAATTATCAGACACAAGCACTCAGCACTCATAAGCAAAAACGCATTCCAACATCAACTAGATTCGAGTCTTTGAATTATCTGCTGTTTGGTAATATTTAGGATTCTGTTTTTTCCATTAGTATGGAACATTCACAGCTGACTGTATATGATGTTGAAAGAAATAAGCCCCTAAGTAAGTGATAGTTAAATCACCTAGCCCACTTTCTCTGCACTGGGAAGTGAGTGGACCACATTTAATTTGCAGAGAAAATGCTTTTGTTCACTCACCCCACAGATCCTGGTTCCCTCTATTTACTCCGATTAGCAGAGTGTGTGGGGTGAGGGGCAGGGAAAGAGAGGGGATAAGATACGGTTCTGTGCCATATAGAACTTACTCTGTATTTGGGAAACCATTTATTTGTTCATTCACAGATTTATTTTTATGGTAATAGGGAGCCACTGAAGGTTTTTGATGAGTCAAGATAACATACTGAAAATGGCTTTGTGTGATCTGACAACGACATGTAGGATGGCTGAGGTAGAAAGAGTTGGGAAATAGGTCAATAAGACAGGAGGTTCTTGCAATAGTCCAGGCAAAAGTGAGGTGCTCCAATCACAAGGCCAGTAGTCAGAATGGGAAAAGGGGCTGAAAGAGAGAAGCCTTATCAGCAGTGGCTGTCTATCTTGGCTGTTCCCTATTGATGCTGGGGCCCATCCCAAAACATTTCCACTTAATCGGTCTGGATTGGGGTGCAGGAATTGGTATTGTTTTAGAAGTCCCCCAAGGGATTATCACATGCAGCCTGGATTTCAGAATCACTGTCATAAAGGAAGCTCTACCAGGGGAGGTGAGGGTGTTGGGATTTAACGGGTCAGGGAATGAAGAGAGATGAAAGGGATTCCCTGGTTTCATTCCTAAGTGGCTGAGAGAAACACAGAAAGAGGACCACATGGGTGGGGCAGCATCTTCCAGGGGAAGGAGATCAGCTTTTGCAGGATTTTGCTGGAGGCCCCCTCCACCACCCCACCTGGGTGAGACCGTGAGCAGCTTGGCGTAGAAGTGGGGAGATGGTATCGCACAGACGGGGATGAGTCCTCTGGGATAGGGGTAAGAAAAACAAGCACAGAGCCAAGCATTGAACCTTAATGCTTCCCAGGGGAAGGTGGCAGGGCAACTGGAAAGTAAGGGACCCTGGAAAACATCTCAGATCTCCTGGACAGTGCCTGGGAGATTCAAGACTAAGAGAGACCATTGATGGCTGGCACGGTGGCTCACGCCTGTAATCCCAGCACTTTGGGAGGCTGAGGTGGCAGGATTGCTTGAGGCCAGGAGATCGAGACCAGCCTGGACAACATAGTGAAACCCCATCTCTAAAAAAAAAAAAAAAATGCCAGACATGGTGGTGTGCACCTGTAATCCCAGCTACTCGGGAGGCCGAGGTGGAAGGATCACTTGAACCTAGGAGTTTGAGGCAGAGTGGACTATGATTGCCAGTAATAATAATGATAATAATGAAGAAGAAGACGCGCCATTATATTTGTCAACTGTGGCAGGGACAAGGCCAAAACCAAGTCAGTGGGGTCGCAGGATGAGTAGTTAGAGAGGGGATGAATGAGAGGGAGCGAGGGGAGACTGGCAGACTGCTTCTACCAGGCACACTGAAAGAATTTGGGAGAACAGAACAAACTGAAGGGAGGCAGGAGCGCATCATCACCCATCTGCAGGGTGAGCCCATGGCCAAGGAAAAGGCAGTGCTGTGCCATGCAGTTGTGGGGGTGGAGCCAGGCCCCATGGCATCAGTCCCAGAAAGAAAGATTCTGACTCCACGTGGGGCAGGATTTTCAAAGGACTACAACTTCACAATGCAATAGGCAAGCCCAGGTCCACCGGGGCTTTTCACACGAGGTTATGGAGCATCTGAAAAGGTCGCTGTGGGATATTCATAGGTCCCTCATCAACAGGAGAGCCACACGAGAGACCCCAAGGTGCCCTCCACCTCTGGACCGGTCTGATGCAGCATGGCCACGCCCCCACCCACCCAGGGACAGCCTCATGACCTTAGCAGATCCTGGTCACTCTGCCAGGCCAAATAAACGTGACGGGAAGGCGGAGAGCCATCAACTTGCCCTCCGCACACCCCTCCTGCATTTCCCATCCCTCATCTTCGTGTGCATCTTGTTGATGATTTGCTGTAGGAGTCAGAGAGCAGGTCACTAGCTGTTTGGGGAAATGGTAAACAAAGATAAGAGCTTTAAGCACTGGAATTTATTTTTTATCCACTGGCCTAAAAGCAACTGCATGTTAAATTTAGAAAGCTGGTGCCAGACCCCTCCCCGCCCCTCCTGCTTCCTGCTCCTCTTACCGCCCATGCTCAAAGCATGGTCTCAGCTGACTATAGAATACGAGATGTGTTTGTAAAGCCCAGGAGTCTTCAGAGGCTGCCTGCCTGGATGTTTATAAAAATGTCTCATCTGAGGGCCTGGGAGAAAGGGGCCGTTTCCTGCGCTCCCCAGCTCTGCTCACCATTCTAGCAGCAGCCATCTCTGCCCAAATATTTACCCAAACGTCCTCCCTGGTCAGGGCCCTGGGTGCATCAGTCCCCCACTGTCGTCAGGTGGGATGCCCGCAAGGGAGGGGGCAGCATTTTCAGCAGACCACCGATGGATTTATTAATAAGGCCTCCCTCACGCCTGGGAATCTATTATTGAACAGCTCTCTTTTCTCCGTGGGTTAAATCCCTTTGCTACCAACTCTAAGAACCTGCAGAAATCCTTCTATTGACCTGGAATTCTGTTGTATTGAATATTGTCTGAAATAAATGAGCCATTGTCTGGGCTCAGAATTTTCTGGGTAGAAAGAGATCTCCACTGTGATGTAATTTATTGCAGCAGGAGTTTTTTTTTTCTTTTTTTCCAGCTCATCCTGAATTCCCTATTGCCCACTCGGTCCATTTTCACAGTCCAGGATATAAGTGGGGAGGGCTAGGCCCAAGCTTAAAAAAAAAGCCTCCTTTGCCCAAGGATGATGTCCAGAGGCCTAAATGGTGACTGGTACCAGATTTTAAGGGCTACTGAGTAACTGAGGTCCATTTGTGTGGCCAGCTTAGAAGAAAAGAGATCAGACCAACACTCTCAGCTGGCATTGGGAGACCAGTCATAGGACAGTAAAAAGGGAAGAGCAGCTGGGCACAATGGCTCACGCCTGTAATCCCAGCACTTTGGGAGGCCAAGGCAGGCAGATCACTTGAGGTCAGGAGTTTGAGACCAGCCTGGCCAACATGGCGAAACCCCATCTCTACTAAAAATACAAAAAATTAGCCAAGTGTGGTGGCAGGTGCCTGTAATCCCAGCTACGCGGGAGGCTGAGGCAGGAGAACCACCTGAACCTGGGAGGCAGAGGTTGCAGTGAGCCCAGATCACGCCATTGCACTCCAGCCTGGGCAACAAGAGCAAAACTTCATCTCAAAAAAAATCAGCTGGGCATGGTTGTGCACACCTGTAATCCCAGCTACTTGGGAGGCTGGGGCAGGAGAATCACTTGAACCTGGGAGGCAAAGGCTGCAGTAAGCCACTGCCCTCCAGCCTGGGTGGCAGAGTGAGACTGTGTCTCAAAAAAAAAAAAAAAAAAAAGAAAGAAAGAAAAAGAAAAAGCAAAGCAAAGCAAACAAAGAGCAGTTCAACCCTCCCATTGGATGGATGAGGAACCACAGCCCAGAGAGGTGAAGTGACTTGCCTAAGCTGCACAGCAAAGGAGGGGGCAGAGGCAGCGTTAGACCTCAGGCCTTGGGATGCGGGTCCAGAGCTGTGCTCACTGCTACATTGCATTGGAGACAGAAGGGTTTAACCACAAAATCCAGGAGGAGAAACTAGGCATCCCATAGCTAGATGGGATTTTTAGTGTTCAATTGATAAGAAATTGTGGAGCATGCTTCTCGGGTCACACTGTGAGAATCTCAAGAAAGACAAGGCCTTGTGGAGAAGTGCGTCCATTCTAGGCCCAGGCAGCAGGGCCGCAGGGTCAGCAGGAGATGAACTTGAGCAGTAAGCTTTGGCATTTCTTAATACCCTGTATTCACTGATGGATACCTTGATTTCTCCGGCCTCAGGGACTTCGCTTACAATTGGGCAGTGTAGGCTTGCCCAATACAATTAGAATTTTTGATACATTGTGCAATGGACTGAATGTGTGAGTCCGGCCTCCCCAGGTTTATGTGTTGAAACCCTATTCCCCAACATGATCATATACTTGGAGACGGGGCCTCTGGAAGGTTATTAGGGTTAGATGAGGTCATGAGGGTAAGTGGGGACCTCGTGATGATATGACTTCCCATTTATGTATTTATTGAGACCGAGTCTCACTCTCTCCCAGGCTGGATCGGCTCACTGCAACCTCTGCCTCCCGGGTTCAAGCAATTCTCTTGCCTCAGCCTCCCAAGTAGCTGGGACTACAGGTGTGCGCTACCATGCCCAGCTAATGGTTTTTGTTGTTGTTTGTTTTTAATTTTTTTATTTTTAGTAGAGACGGGGTTTTTCCGTGTTAACCAGGCTGGTCTCAAACTCCTGATCTCAGGTAATCCACCCACCTCGGCCTCCCAAAGTGCTGGTATTATAGGCGTGAGCCACTGCACCAGGCCTAATTCCCTTTTTAAAAAGAGGAAGAGACACAAGATCCAGTCTTTCTGTTTCCTTTTAACTCTGAGAGGGAGATGCCTTCAGCGACTTCTCTACCTTACATGGCTTCTCGTGAAACTACCAGGTTTGTGCAGAGCTAATCACTCCCCATGCCAAGAACCGAGCTGAGTGCTTCTGAGGGCAGCTCCCTTTGCAGGGAGGAAACGAAGGCCCCCAGGGCTTGGGGAGCTTGCAGAGGCCACAGGCAGATGGTGGGAGAGCTGGGATGGAAACCAGGCCTCTCTCCAGGGCCGCCTCCTCCAC
Organism: Homo sapiens; assembly: GCF_000001405.40. Classification (NCBI taxonomy): domain Eukaryota; kingdom Metazoa; phylum Chordata; class Mammalia; order Primates; family Hominidae; genus Homo; species Homo sapiens. Next base: position 139,992,587 of record NC_000007.14, on the reverse strand, counting down.
CTGATGCTATTTCAGCCCTTTGCCTTCTTCTGCAGCTGATGGCTTTTAGTGAAAAAGGCTTCTTGCCAAGAGTGGCCTCTACAGTGGCAAAACAAAGTAAAAACGGCCCCCAGAGACATGGCTCCGCGAGCTTCCCCGCTAGTGTGGGCCTTTGGACCCAAGAGAGTGGCCCTCCCCTCTGCTGGGAGCTGGCGGGGTGGATTAGGATACATGAGAATGAAGTTCTTGAGGAGGGAGGTTTTTTAAAAAATTAAATTTGGGGGTGGGAAGAGATTTACTAAATCGCAGATAGCACATGCCTCAGAGCCTTGATAGCCAATTTCTTATCTTCCATGGACCTGGAGTTTTCATGATTGCTCAAAGCAGCGGAGATGCTGGTCCATGCCTCACCCCCTGGCCTGCTAGTTGTGAGCAGGTGAAGGGGGGCTGCCAGCTGGCCTGCAGGTGGTCCCCACCAAGCCTCTCAAGGGAGAACTGGCAGATCATACCCCCTTGTGCCATATTGCTAGAGCGGACAGGGAGGGCTTGCCTCCCTTGGCTGGGCGTTGGGGGAGAGAAAGGCCATTCCATGCCATCCTTCTTCCCATATGAGGGATTCCCACGAGGCTCCCCTGCAAGTGAGACCCATACTCCATCTCTCAGGGAATGGGAAGGGTCTCCCCTCGAGCTCTGGTGCCTAGGCTGGGGGCCAAGTGCTCCCAGCTAAAGTCCCTCTTGCCCCACCTGCTAGAGAGCTGCCCGTGCTCTCCGGGGCTTCAGTCCAGTCCTGACTCTGTGCCCAGTTTTTGTTACCCTTTTTTGGTTTTCTTATCTCTGCTATGGGGCTGCTCTTCTAATGTGGGACAAAACCCCAAAAGGGTGATTATGGCCCTATGAGGCCAAGTCACCACTCCCCATCTTCCATGTAAAACGATTCTCTGTTTATGTGTTTCTATGTCTTTATGCTTTTATTTTATTGATTGATAGATTTTTTGAGAAATCAACACTGACTCTTTCTAATAAGAATTTCATCTGTTCTGCAAGGGTCCCCTTAGCAGCCTGCGTGCCTCCCTTGATGTTCATAAATGACCTCTCCCTTAACCTTGACAGTCATTCCATTGGGCCTGTGTCACCTGCTGCCTGCTGTCTGCTGTGTACAGAGCATTGTTCTGGGGTGGGGTGGAGACGGGTGATGCACAGTCCCTGGGGGTGGAGAAGCCAGGAGGACACTGGTGGTGACAGGGAAGTGTGGGCACCGTGGCAACATAGGGGGGCAACATATGGGGGCATCGTGGGGGTCACGGACCTGCATGGGGTAGGGATGGGAGGGATCAGAAAGACTTTCTGGAGAAGGTGAGGCTTATGCTGAAGCAATTTTCAAAAAGCATTTGTGTTCTTTCACACAGAAACAATAAACGCACTTAAACAAGGTTTTGGAACAAAATCGAAACGAGTTCCATCACAGCCGTGCCATTTAGTGCCGTTTTATTGGAGCGCACGCTCTCTGTGGTTTCTGCTTCTGCGTCGTTCCAGCCACGTTTCAGCCCATAGATCGTGGCAGTGGCACGTGTTAATTGCGGCAATTTGTTTTGGCCATGGATCTTAAGGAATCATTTGTTTCTTTTGTCTTCGTGTCTCTGCTCCTGCAATGTCCTGCTGCCTCTGTGCCCCCGTGCCTGCACCGTCGGGAGGCTTCTCCAAGGGGGTTAGCCTGAAGGTGGGGACACACTGGACTGGAGTCCCTCCAGGTGTCACAGGTGACTCTGCCACAGGAGGGAAGTCCTGAGGGGTGGGGCCAGCTGGTTGGAGGGGTTTTTGCAGGATCGTAGGCCCAGGCAGCCAGGGGTAGAGGTCAAGTTCACAATCATGGACTGGGCAACCAGATGAGAGTGGTAGTGGGGGCAGGGAGAGCACAGTGCCGGGGGTGGGGAGGGTGGCAGCAAAGAAGCCACCAGAGCGGCCCCGAGAGGGGGCACAGCTGAGCTGGACCCTGCGGGCTCCAGGACAAGAGGTCTCAGGGGTCAGAACCAGGGGTAGTAGATGACTGCCCAGCAGAGATGAGGAGGCTGGGGTCCCTGGAGGACAGGAGGGTTCCCGTGCCCCCAGACAGGAAACAGGTGCTCGAGGCTGGCTGGCTCTGGGCGTGGCCAAGTCAAAGCTGGATCCCTGAACTCCACACTCCTGAGGCTGCCCCTTCCGCCAGGAGACACAGGTAGCTGCAGTAGTCATGCTGGAATGAATCTGCTGCCCTTCAATACCAGGCCCTGTGCAAGCTTAGGAAGGAGGAATGCTGCGCTGGGGCGAATGCGCCCTCACGTCCCCTGGATGCCAGCCACCACCGCCAGCTGTGCTCACACTTTCAGATGGCCTCGGGGTCTCCCTTCAGAGCCAAGGCCCTGAGTGAGGGGCAGGGAGGTGTGGGTATAAGATGAGGACTAGGGAGGGGAGGCCTGGCCTGGGGGAGGAGAGGAGAACAGAAGCAATGGGCCATTTATGAGAAGAGGGCAGGCACCAGGTGAGTTTCACTTGTGTCATTTCATTGAGTTTTATTTTACAGACAGGAAAACTGAGGCTCAGAAGGGTGTGTGCTTAAGGCCGGCGGGCAGGCCTGTGGTGTTTTGCATAAGGAGGAGCTCACAGTGTTAAGGGAGTGAAAAGCCAAGTCGGCTTGATTCTAAAACCCATGACAATGATGAGCAAAGATGGGCAGGACACAAATAATTGTCTCTTCCTTATAAGGCAGGACAGGCAGGGACTCACTCAGCACCCTGATTGCTATAGGACCATGGCATCGGAGTGACCAAGGGAACAATCAAAGGTAGAAGCCAGATAGGCAGGGCATCCACCAAGCTAGGAATGCAGAGATGGGCCCGCATGGGGCCAGAGATCTCAGGAACAGGAAGGATCTGCGTAGGCCACGGAGGACAGGACTATGTGTCTTCAGTATTCTAAACCCGGGCCAGGGAGATGGGGAGGATGCTGTGAGGTCTCTTCCCAGCTCAACTGGGTGAAGCCCCTGCAAAGACCACAGGGGTCCTCCCTGTGTCTTGGGCAAAGTGAACAAGGTAGATTGCTCTGGCTAGTGAGGGCAAAGCGGTGGGGCAGCCCCTTGGGAAGGAGGAGGAAGCCATGTGGGAGCTCTGCAGCCACGCTCACGATGTCGTTAGACATGGGGAGTTTCAGCCTTGTTGTTTTCCTTAGGCTTGGCCCTTCAGCCCTCTCTGAGCCTCTGTGGAGCTGTCTGGCACTGGGCCCACGGAAGTGGCCATGACCCTTGCCTGTCTTTGCAGTCTGATTTGGGGGTAGCAGCTCCCCAACCTAGCTTGCTTACCCCTCTTCTCTGACTCCCTCTGATGCTGACTTCTTCTCAAAGAGCAGTCGCTCAAAAACTGTCCCCAGGCCAATGAGGGCAACCCCTGAGGGTCTTGGCCAGACCCATGGGTCTCTTTGGAAAGTTTCTGGAAAAGAGCTCAGTGCCCACGTGTTGTTGATTTCTGCTATGGGCAGGGCAGGAGCGGGAGGAAGAACACCGGGAGGATCTTCTAAAGGTTTGCTAACCCTGCAATGCGCTGCCTCCCTCCTTAGAGATCACGGAGAGCTCTCCCTCAGCCCACTTCGGGAGTTGCCCTGCCCGGGCACAGACAGCTGGGTGAACCTGCCTCTCCCCTCACACACCAGACCAGCTGGGACTACCTACCAATGGCCCATCGCACAGCACCCTGAGCAAGAGTGTTCCTGCTCCCGCCACACGGGATGCCTGCTCCTTGTCCTCGACTGTGCCTTTTGCCCTCTGGCCTGGACTACAGATTTTCAAGTGGCTGGCTGGGGTCTGGAGTTGATTGGAGGTGTGGTGGGACCACTGGGGCAGACTACTTTGTAAACCAAGACCAAGAAAGTGCTGTATGTGTCCCGGGCATCCATGCAAGCTGGGCTGATGGTCAAAGGAGGCTTTGGAGGGGCCAGGCAGCTGAGGCAAGCAGAAGTACCCCATCCTGCAGCGTGGAAAGGTAGGAAGGAGAAGCCGGAGGGGAGTAGGGAAGAGAAACAGCCCTCAGGGTTCTGGGCAGGACCACGGCAGAAGTCAAGATGCAGAAGCAAGGAGCTGGGGGCTGGTCAAGGTGAACACAAAGGGAGCTGGTAGGCCAAGGAGCTTCACTGTGTCATTAGATGATGATGCAAACCCAAATGTCCATGGGGCCAGGTGGGACCATGACTGTGAGTCTGTGGTCAGAACAGCGCAAGTGTGATGGGTAAGGGCCACTGCATCTGGGCCTTGACGGGGCAGGTGGAGGCGCTCGGGCTAAGCTGGAGCCACGTGCTTGGCAGGTGACTGCCAGAGGTGATGGCCTCAGGGTGGCCTGAGCTTCCGTTGTCTTCAAGAAAAGCTGGTACCTAGATTTTTGCGGAATTCCCCTGAGTTTAAAAGTTTGGCAATTAATTCAAATGTAGTAAGCAAGCTAAAACCTCTGCAGCTGTGCTCAGCTTGTGGGCTGCCTCTTTCTGACCCTGTCCCCTGGCGTCCTGCTGGGACAGGCCTCTTTGGGCTGGACTGCAATGTCTGCCCACTTTGGCCCAGTCCATAGGATGCTGTGATTGTTTTTCTAATGAGCTAAGAAAAGAAGGACCTTTCCCAAAACTTATACTAATAACACTAGGTACTGGTGGAGTTCCGTTCTTTTGTGGAACTGGTGATCTGCATGGTGGTGCTACTGCCCCCTAGGGCCTGGGAGGTTCCCGTGGCCCCCAAAGTCTTTTGGGCCCCCAGATTACTTAGTGTCCCAATGTGGTTTTTCAAAAAGTAAATTAAAAATAGGGCAGCCATAATACAGATTTAAGACAAAAAACGTCTGGAACTAATTTTAGAAAGCTCTTCATATCCCTGCGAATTAGCTTCCTCTCTGATGAGTAGTCTTGGCGGGAGGGTTCCATTAGAATTAAACATGATTTATCATTAGGTGACTGTTTTAGGGTCGGGGGTCCTGACAACTGATTTATGGCAAGTGAAGTTGGAAGACACAGGGTGAGATGGGACATGCGTGGTGCTGAGGAAGGGGACTTTAGTCCTGCGTGCTCCTGCAAGAATAATGGCCAGACAGGCTGGAAAGAGTAAAATGCAGTTAAACCAAAGGGCCACGTCCAGTCCCCACCCCAGGGGAACAGAGCTGTCGGCCAGTCTTAGCCAGAGCACACTCACTCTGGTCTGACCCATTCTGGCCTCTCAGTGTGTGGGGATGTGAAGCTCCCGTCTTGGTTGGGGGAATAGAAATAGACCCCAGCTTTAGTCTCCCCGGGACCCTGGGGCTCTGGTGTGGAAAGGGCAGGTGAGAACAGCTTCCTCTTGCTTTTCTATTCCCAATGGTTCTCAACCTCGGCTGCACCCTGGAGTCACCAAGGAGCTTGTGAATATCCCAAATGCCAAATGCCCAGGCCGATGACACTGGAATCCGTGGGGAGCCCCAGGCATCAAGCTCCCCAAGGTGGCTCCAGGCTGCAGCCAAGCACGAGAAACTCTGTGACAGAGACCCAGGCAGAGTGCTGGCTCATGACTGCACTGCTAAGCTCTCAGGGCACTGCCCAGGCCAATTGCTTCTAGAACATCATACCGATTCTAGCTCTTACAGATAGCCTGGGGGATTCTTCCAGGGCCTGACTCTGCTTTCCACATCAAATTTCCACCTTGAGAGCCAAGATCGCATAGTGGTTAAAAGCAAACTTGCACACAAATTCGCAATTGCAAAAATGTGGAACCAGCCCAAATGCCCATCAACTAGTGGATAAAGAAACTATGGTGTATATATATATATATATACACACACACACACACACACACACACACACACACACACACACACATATATATATATGTATGTATATATATATATATATGATGGAATACTACTCAGCCATAAAAAGGAATGAGTTAATGGCATTTGCAGCAATGTGGGTGGAACTGGAGACGATTATTCTAAGTGAAGTAACTTAGGAATGGAAAACCAAACATGGTATGTTCTCACTCATAAGCGGGAGCTATGAGGATGCAAAGGCATAAGAATGATACAATGGACTTTGGAAACTTGGGGGGAGAGGTGGGAAGGGGGTGAGGGATAAAAGACTATAAATTGGGTTCATTATATACTGCTTGGGTGATGGGTGCACCAAAATCTCACAAATCACCCCTAAAGAACTTACTCATGTAACCAAATACCACCTGTTCCCCAATAATCTATGGAAATATTTTCTTTTAAAGTATATGGGAGTCAGACTGCCCAAGTTTCAATTTATGCTTCACCACTTCTCAGCTGTGTGGCCCTAGTCAACTTAACTCTGGCAGCCTCAGCTTCTCACCCAGGAAAATGGGGATAATCCTAGTCCTACTCCACAGAGTTGTAGTCAGCAAAAAGCGTGGCCCATGGACCTCACTTAGAATAACACTAGCGCATAGAGAGAACTCAACAAACATTCACTACCTCTGCTACTACAGACCTTGTAAGGCCTCCCCATGTCCATTCTGTGGCACTCCTCCGCCCGCCAGCCTGTTTAGGTGGGCCGCTGTTCCGGTGGGCCTGGCCAACACTTTGTTTTCTCCCTGAAGATGCTCACAGAATGCTCATGTAGCACCTCATGCCACACCTGGAGACCAGGCCCTGCCATGGGGCCATGTTGGGAACAGGCTCCTGGGTGCTACCAACCAGGACCTCAGTTCTAGGCCCCCGATGGTCCACACACTATGGGGGAGGGCATGGAGCTGGACAAGAGGAAGTGGCACCCGAGTCTGTAAGCGCCGTCCACCCATTCATTCCTCAGGGCACCTGTGATGCTCCAGTTCCGTGCTGGACATTGGGGGATGCTATAGTGGGTCTCACCTTATGGGGAGCTTCCAGTCTAGTGGAGGGGGACAGATGAATCCCATCAACAGACGTGAAATCACCAGTGCTGAGTTTTGAAGATGTGAGGAGGGTAAAATAAGAAATTGGTCACCAAACTCTAGATTACTTGAAGGAGTTAATTTTTTAGAACAAATAATAGGAAGTAGCTTTTTCATCCAGTGTATTTTATACTTATAGGGCTTATCAGTCTACAGGGTTACAATAATTGAGATAAATTTAGATAAATTCAGAGATGACAACCCGATAATGGGTTATTAATGATGCACTAACGACCACCCTGGCCTTTGGAAGCAGCTGATAACAGGGCAGCGGCTACCGCTCTGTACTCCACACCATCAGCCCACACCAGGGTTCGCTGCCATTCAAGGCATGTCACCCTCTAGAGGGACACAGACAGTCAGGCTAGAGGGGTGGGGGGTGGATGGGCAGGGGACCTGAAACCCTGCCACATCAGGAAAAGCTGCAGAAGCCAGAGGGACATAGCCTTCAACTTTGTAAAGGGCCACTGTGCTTTGGGGTCCCAGAGTTTGAAACCATGGATGGAAGACACAGGGAAATGAATTAATTGGAGGACACTGGTCTGGTCTAGCCTCGTGGAAAGTCCTGCCTTAGGAAGAGGTGAGCCCCTCGCTCCTGGAGTGACTGGCAGAATGATCTCCAGCAGAATCCTGGGGAGGGCATTTGAGCCTTAGTTGCTGGGACTGACCAGCGATTTCTGAAATCCTCCCAGGTCCTCAGATCCTGGTAATTTGATCTTTTCTTTCTTTCTTTCTTTTCTTTTCTTTCTTTCTTTCTTTCCTTCTTTCTTTCTTTCCTTTCTTTCTTTGCTGCTTTCTTTCTTTTCTTTCTTTCTCTTTCTTCTTTCTTTCTTTTCCTTCCTTCCTTCCTCTTTCTTTCTTCTTCTTTTCTTTCTTTCCCCCTTCCCTTTCTTTCTTTCTTTTCTTTCTTTCTTTCCTGCTTTCTTTCTTTCTTTTCTTTTTCTTCTTTCTTTCTTTCTTTTCCTTCCTTCCTCTTTCTTTTTCTTTCTTCTTTCTTTCTTCTTCTTTTCTTCTTTCTTTCCCCCTTCCCTTTCTTTCTTTCTCTCTCTCTCTCTCTCTCTCTCTCTCTTTCTTTCTTATTTTTTTATTTTTGATCCCTAGGACAAAATAGTGTCCTGGGGAAATGGGACATCAAAAAGGTAATTTTGGCTGGAGGGGCAGGAGGGTAGAAAAATTTCTAGTTCAAAAGGAGAGAGCAACCCAGGAGTGGCAGGTGAGGGACCCTGGTTACTGAGGGGGCAGAACGCAGGTGCTGAGGCTCTGGGTGGAGCAGAGGCATTGTGGCAGGTCAAGGAGGGACATGTGGAAGGGACACATGGAAGGGACGTGAATCTAAGGTTTCTGACATGGCTCTGTAAAAAAGGAATAATAGGAAGATTTGAAGATTTGAAACAAAGTAGCAAAATAAAAAAAATAAGTGGGTACCAGGCTATGTGCTAAGTATGTTATTCCACTTAACCAGCCCTCAGTCTAACAGAGCAGATGCTATTATTATCCCCTTTAAACAGTGAAGAAGCGAGGCTTAGGGGGAACTGTGTCATGCCCCAGGGCCACATGGCCGGGTAAGGGGTCCAGCAGCTTTAAGCCAGGGAGGTGGGCCCAACGTCCATACCCTCAGCCATCTTCATCCTACTTCATCACAGGGTCGGGGAAGATACAAGTGATGAAGGCATTGTGGTACCTGCAAGATGCTGTTTGTGCATCTCACTGGCCCTGAGTGGTGCTGAGCCTGAGGGTTGGAGGAGACTTTCTCCACTGGCAGCTCCAAGGGAAGGGGAGCTCCAATCCACTTCTCTGTGCAAACTGATCGACTACTGAACTAATAAAAATATTGGAAGGAAGCCCTGAGTTTGGATTCTGCAAACCAGGATGAACTGTGGTAGAGTCACAAGAAAGGGCTCTGGGAAAATGGCTTTCTTTGAAATTTGTTTATGACAACTAGAAAAAAAAATGTGTGCGGAGTGGGCGGCTCCTGGAGAGGATCCAGAGGACAGTACACTGAATGATGACAAGATCCCAGAAAGTTCTGTATGTTGTTTGAAAATCTAGACTGAGTAGGTGAGAAAATATATAAAATACATGGAGATCTATTGGGTTGGTGTCTTTCTTCCCGCCAGTTTACTCATCTGCAGGCATCTCAGCTCAGCAGCCCCTGCATCCTGATGACAGAGGGTAAGAGACACAGCAAGAAGACTGGAGTTCTGTATTTGCTGTGTGACCCTGAGAAAAACACTTAACCTCTCTGAGCCTCTGTTTTCTCGACTCTAGAAGGGAATCTTTATAACAGATACCCTACCGACTTCATAGATTAGGGAGAACAAATCACAACAAATAATAGTTTTTCTTATGTTTTTATGTTTCTATGTTTTTCTTATGTCACAGATGGCACCAATCCCAGTGAGAGCACATGGAAGGTTCATGGTTGAGACCTCCTGAGGCACCAAAATAGTGAGCCGAGGTTGAAGATGGGGCAGGGCAGTAAGATGCCAAAGATCAGAGGGTGCGTACCAAGACAATTTGGTTTAAAATGTTGATATCAGTCAAGAATGTGCCATAAGCAATGATGTAATCAGTTTGCATCAGAAATGATATAAAACATGGAAATTTGAGAAGAATATGAAGTATAAGGAAATAGTATACAAGTAATATAATTATGTAAAATAAAACAAGTAAATGTGGATCCCAGAATGTGTATTACAACTTGGAGACCAGGAAAATGGATACTAGAAAGAGTGGTGGAAGGAAACCAGAAAACGCAGGGTTGGGAGTTGGGGGACCTAAGTTTTATTTCGAGTTTGGCCACAAATGAGCAAAAATTTTCCTGGAAAGGCTCTTAAGGAACCCGATACATTTCCTCGTTTGTAAAGTAGATTTTAAAAAACCTCCTCGTTCATTTTCCTGAACTGTGACCCTCTAACCCAGTGTTTTTCAACATGTGGGCTGTGATCCTTTAGGGGACCATGAATTCAATCCATGAATTCAATTTAGGGGGTTAAGAGTGGCATTTAAAGAAATGAAATCAACTAGAACAGGATGTCGAGCAGATTGTACATAGAAGGTGACATGTTTCCTAAAACTTTTTGTTCCATTTATAAGGGATGTGTGTTCTGGGTTGAATTATAAATTATATTTCTTATGATGAGATTGTAGTCCAAAAAATCTGGAAAACAGGGCTATAATACCCCTGGTACTGTCAAGAAAGCCCAGGCATGCTGCCTGCCTCAGTTTCCCCCTTTGCACTGGCACCTCTCTTGTCTGATCTCTTTGACTCTGTTAGTGTTCCTAGGAGAGCCAGCCTCCCCCACAGTCTAAAGATATCAAGGTCCCAGCAGTAAGTGCCTTTCTCCATAAAACAGCACCCCTCTGCCCTGCCAGAGAAGAGCCAGTAGAGAGAGGTTAAACTGCTTATGAAATACAGAGTTGCCTGATTTATCAAATAAAAATATTAATATAACCATTCAGTTAAATGTGAATTTCAGATATACAATAAGATTAACTTTTTAGTATAAGTATGTCCCAAATATTGCATGAGATACACTAAAAAATTATTTACAGTTTATCTGAGATTCAAATTTAACCAGAAGCCTGTATTTTATCTAATAACCCTAAGTAACTCATAAACAAATAACAAACAAGAGGGAAATTTTCAGAAGATTAAGACTTTTAACTGCTTCAAACTACAAAACTTTGTGTTTTAATATGATCATAAATTAACAGCTGTATTGTATTATGCAAATTTATGTTAATTTATTCACTATCTGTCATCACACTCCAATAAAAATTGTATATATGACATTTAGGGGAAAAAAATGACATCTTTCTGATAAGAGTTTTCTCTGCATTTTGGTGGCACTGACACCTTTGGCTCGCCTGGATGCTGCAGCCACAAACCTTCAGGGCCAGGCCCTTTGTGAGCGACTCAATGAATTACTTATGGTCTGTCTGGAATCCTCAAGAACAATCCCAGTGAGGGGCCAGTGGTTGCTTTCCCTCCATTTTAATGCCTAAGAAACACAGCTTGGTACCGAAATAACAGGGGAGACTGTCTCTGCCTTTCAGCTAGAGGTTGGCGGCCTCCAACCAATCAACCCTGTGCAATAGGAAGGTGAGCTTGACCAGACGAGCAAGGGGAATGCATTGTATTTTGAATCTCTGTGCTGTCCTGTGTCTTGATGATCATACACAAGGGATAAAAAGCCATTCTGCTTCACTTTTCCACAGCACAGCTAATGTCCACCGGTCAGCTAGTTTAATATTCAGAACATCCTGGCCGGGCATGGTGGCTCATGCCTGTAATCCCAGCACTCTGGGAGGCCGACGCAGGCGGATCACCTGAGGTCAGGAGTTCAAGACCAGCCTGGCCAACATGGTGAAACCCAGTCTGTACTAAAAATACAAAAATTAGCCGGGCATGGGGCATGGGTGGTACAAGCCTGTAATCCCAGCTACTCAGGAGGCTGAGGCAGGAGAATCACTTGAACCCGGGAGGTGGGGGTTGCAGTGAGCCGAGATCGCGCCACTGCACTCCAGCCTGGGTGACAGAGCAAGACTGTGTCTCAAAAATAACAATAACAAAAACAAAACAACAACAAGCCATCCGTAGATGTGTGCTTTCAGCCTATCTTCAGGCTGCTTTGCTTAGTTTTTTGTTGTTGTGGTTTTTACTGATGATTATCATTCTTTTGAAGGGAAAAAAATATACTACCAGTATTTTTGGTTTCGCTTTTATAATTTTTTTTTTTCATCTGTGGAATACTGCTTGTGGAAGAAATGCCTGTGTCTGTTCTGGAAGGGAGGGGTAAAATGTTGCTGAGGGCACATGACAATTTCCACTCTGGTGCAGACAGTGAAGCCTAGAGGCAGACCGGAAGCCAAGTGGCCTTAAGGAGTCTTTGGAGAATGCCAGGCCAGGCTCAGGAGACAGGCTGGCTGCAGAAATGACAGGGGGGGAAGGCAGGTGAGGCCTGTGCAGGTAAGAGGGACTCTTTGTTTATCCTGAACAGAAAATAGAGACATTGATGAAGGACTCCAAGGAGAAGACGGGGAGGAAACGAGGGGAGGAAGTGGAGGAGAGATGATAGGAAACTCCTCCTTAAGGTTGCCGACTCCTAACTTTCTGAAAATGACTAAGGAAGAGAAATTCCAAGGGAGAGAAACATGTTTCTTTCTTGGTCTCTGGTTATCCCACCTGAGGAGAGAGGCCTCTGATGACCAGACATGGACAACAGGGAGGTGCTGGTTTCTGGAAATGTGTAACCAAGTTGGAGCACCAGCAGGGATGGATTACACCCACGGGCCACCTCTCATTTCAGATGATTCGCATTGATTCTCAACTCATTAGGGAAACCCGCCTTGCATCTCCAAGGGCTTCGAAATTTGATACAGGAAATAAGATGTGGAGGTAGGGGTGATGTTTCATCCCTTCTTCTAGTTGTAGGCCATAACTTTAGAAAAGAAAAGCATGTATGGAAATTTAACAGGATACCATTTAGATGCCCGCAATGAGCAGGATTTGTTTTGCTAAATTATGGCTCATATCAGCAGAAATCTCTGGAGTCTGAGGACCCGCACAGGCCTTATTAAGTGGTCTTTAAGCTAAATTTTGAGGGCAGGGAGAAAAATGCTGCTAGGTACAGCAATAAATCGATAAATGACAGGTTTGACATATAAATTATTCCCAAGGAAAGAAACCCAGGCGACGGAATAAATAGAGGAATTCCTGATATGTGGATTTTACGTGAGGAAAAAAAAAAGCAAAACCCAATGTTACATGGAAATATTGACAGAGTTTTATTTTAAGGCACCCAAGGCAGACAAGGAAAATGTAAACTTGTCAAATGTTACATAAAAAAAACCCCAAAAAACACAACAGTATACTTCTTAGCTGAGGGTTTTTTCTTTCTTTTGCTATTTATTTATTATTATTATTATTATTATTATTATTATTATTATTATTGAGATGGAATCTTGCTCTGTTGCCCAGAATGGGGAGTGCAGTGGCATAATCTTGGCTCACTGCAACCTCTGCTTCCTGGGTTCAAGCAATTCTCCTATCTCAGCCTCCTGAGTAGCTGGGACTACAGGCTCACGCCACCAAGCCTGGCTAATTTTTGTATTTTTAGTAGAGGCGGGTTTCACCGTATTGGTCAGGCTGGTCTCAAACTCCTGACCTCAGGTGATCCACCCACCTCCGCCTCCCAAAGTGCTGGGATTACAGGTGTGAGCCATCGAGCCCTGAAGTCTTTTGCTATTTATTTTTCTGTTGTTTGATCTGTTTATTGGTTATTGAAGCAAGTTTTTTGTTTTTTTTTATGGTAAAGATGGACACATCTTGACTTAATAGTATTTCTTTGTTGCTTAAAGCTGAAGTTAAAAATGCCATTTATTCGCTCTAATGTCGTTAGGGATTTAGTGGCAGCAGACAGAGAGGGGACACCCTAGAGAGGAGAAATGACTTTGGGAACTTCTCATCACCGTGACAGAGACCTGGCTCCGGTGGTGGTAAGAAAACAGAATTCCTAGTGGTGTGCCAGTGGGTGCCATTCCACTGTATATAAGCACCTGCTCCTGGAACGATCTACCTCAGACCTTGCAGTCATTCCCAAGATAACTCCCAGGAGCTCTGGAGCCAGAGGATCGAATTCAAATCCAGCCTCTGTTTCTGCCTCTACCTTGAAGTCACTTACTCTCTGAATTTCAATTTCACTTTAGTCTTTTTTAGTTTTTTTGAGACAAGACTATTGTTTTGTCGCCCATGCTAGAGTGCAGTGGCACCATCATAGCTCTCTGCAGCCTCCAACTCCTGGCCTCAGGCAATCCTCCCACCTCAGCCTCCTGAGTAGCTGGGAGTACGAGCACGCACCACCAGCCTCAGCTAATTTTTGATTTTTTTTTTTTTTTTTTTTTTTGTAGAGGCAGGGGTTTCACTATATTGCCCAAGCTGGTATTGAACTCCCTGCCTCAAGTGATCCTCCCACCTTGGCCTCCCAAAGTGCTGGGATTGCAGGTGTGAACCACTGCGCCAGTTGCTTTAATCTTTAAAATAGGGGAAAATATCTAATTGGTGTTAGAATTGCCTGGAATAACACCAAGAGCACCAAGAACAGAGCGCGTGTTCAATGACTGATAATTCTTATTATTCTTCTTTATTTCTTTTTTCTTTCTTTTTTTTTTTGAGACAGAGTCTCACTCTGTCACCCAGGCTGGAGTGCAGTGGTGCAATCTCAGCGAACTGCAACCTCTGCCTTCTGGTTTCAAGCAATTCTCCTGCCTCAGCCTCCCGAGTAGCTGGAATTACAGGTGTGCACCACCATGCCCGGCTAATTGTTGTATTTTTAGTAGAGACTGGGTTTCACCATGTTGACCAGGCTGATCTCGAACTCCTGGGCCCAAATGATCCACCTGAACTCTGCCTCCCAAAGTGCTGGGATTACAAATGTGAGCCACGGTGCCTGGCCTCTTATTATTTCTATCATAATTATTATCAATATTATTTGATATTGAAGACTTGACCCCACAGGATCACTGCTTGAGAAAAACATGCTAGAAATGAGATGTTTCTGCAGCAGGCCTTAACACAGCCAACATAGACCCCACAGAGGAACAGCTGGCCACAAGCCACAGACTGAGCACTGGGAGGTGGACAATACCCCCGACATCGTTCAAGTGACCCACAGTGAATCAAGCCCAGAAACAACACCACTGAATGGTCCGTGTGTTATGGAACTTGAGATCCTTTCATCAGATGCTTCTAGGAGACTTTTAATTTATCCAATATTTTTGGTTAACAGGGCCTATTTCTTTATAGAGCTAGGTCAGATTTGTTTAACACATAAAAATTATTATGAATAATTATGGCGCTCCATAAATGTTTACTGTTACGATGGTGGTGGTGGTGCTGATAACCATCGGTAGCATCTTTCAGGTCTACAAATCTTTAATTTGCAGCCAGGCTGGGGAATCATCAAATGAGATTTTCAGAGAAAGGGAAAAGGATGGAGGTGGTGGTGGAGGGAGAGGCTCTGCATCCTACCCCACCCCACCCCTGGCAGCCAGAAGCATTTCCTCTTAATTCTGAGACAAGGTGTGGGCCTGTGATGGAACGTCCCTAGGCTTCACGTGCCTTGTCTGTAACATGGAGAAATAGCCCCTCACCCTCTGATATGGTTTGGCTGTGTCCTCACCCAAACCTCGTCTTGAATTTTAACTCCCACAATTCCCTTGTGTTGTGGGAGGAAACTGGTGGGCGGTAATTGAATCATGGGGGCGAGTCTTTCCCGTGCTGTTCTCGTGATAGTGAGTAAGTCTCACGAGATCTGATGGTTTTAAAAAAGGAAGTTTCCCTGCAAAAGCTGTCTCTTTGCCTGCCGCCATCCACGTAAGATGTGACTTGCTCCTCTTTGCCTTCCACCATGATTGTCAGGCCTCCCCAGCCATGTGGAACTGTAAGTCCATGAAACCTCTTTCTTTTGTAAATTGCCCAGTCTCGGGTGTGTCTTTATCAGCAGCGTGAAAACGGACTAATACACCCTCCTAGAGTCGATGCATAGACCAGATGACCTCTTGGGTTTGGGTCTGGTATGATTCTGAGATGATTTCAAACAGGCTTGTCTGCTGAATGTTATCAGAGCAGTCATTTCGTGGGGCTTGCCAGGGATTTGGGTTTTGTTTGTTTGTTTGTTTGTTTTGTATGTTTGTTTTGTTTTTGGCTCTCTGGTTGGGCTGGATCTGACCACAGCATGATCACGGAAAACCCACGACTTCCTGATAATCTGATGAGGGACTTTTCTAAAAAGCAAACAGCAGCTCCAGTAAGGATGTGGAGGTTTATAAAGTCAGTCCTGCCATTGATAATGCAACCCAATGTCACTATGCACATTTGCATCTGTGCCTCATGGGATTCTGGCAACGTTCTTCCTCCTGGCTGCATTTTAGAATCCGCTGGGGCTTCTAAGAAGCCCAGGCCTCACTCCAGACCCACTAAATCGAATCTCCAGGGGCGGAACCCAATCAGCTACAGTTTGTAAAAGTTCTTGAGGACATGGAAACACCCCTGGCTGATCTTGGGCCTTGATTGGCGTGTGGCCTTTGGTCTGACCGGTGGCATGCACAGGAGAAGGCATATACAGGAATTTAAGCTGTTTTAGAGTCTTTTGCTGTCTGAAGTCAGATTCTACCTACAAGAAGGCTGGCGTCTATTTTATAACCCTGAGTTGATTCCCCATTCAAACCAAGGACTGGCTTGCTTCAGTCAGAGAATCTGGGAATTTGGTGAGGGTGGCCGATCCAGTCTCCTTCCAGCTGGGAGTGCAGGGAGAACCTCCCTGATCTTAGGATCTCAGGATGCAGGGCTGTCCCCCGGCTCCCAACCATTTCCCAGGGACTTGTCTCAATGGATATGAATATGGCACTGGGCAGCAGTGAAGAGCTGGCTGGTGACAGCATCAAGCCTGGCCCCTGACAGAGGCCCTGGAGTGGGAGGAGAGTGACTCCTCTGTGCAGAGGTAGCTCTGGCAATGAGCAGAGGGGAGGCCGGGGGCAATCAGGCTGCATGCCAATGTCTCAGGTGCATTTCCCTAACAAGGAAAATGATGAAAATGAACTACAAGGAAATGCAATTCGTGGAAAATCCCAGAGGGATGGAACCCAAAGAGAAAGCCTGGAATGGCTGAAAAGCTTTCTACAAGGAAGGAGACAAGATCATTTACAAATGGAAGTGAGAAAGGCACGAAGCAGAGTGCCTGCTGTGGCAGAAAGCAACCCTGGGTGACGTCTCTGTTTCAGGAATGTTCTTCCCTATGTGGGTTAAGCGTCAGGGAGGTAGGGATGTCAGGGGAGAAGCTGCCCATGCACTCTTCATCTTGTGCCACATGGGCCACGAAGAAAGATAATTCACAAACTCAGAGGATGGACCGTGAAAAGGACATGGCAAGAGGGAGAAAAAGCTCCAACAAACCCAGGACCTTCGAGGGAAACTTATTATCCTCAGGGCTCAGAGCCTGGATGACAGGTCACAGATGATACCTGCAAAGGTGAACCAATGAAGATGCGGGCACTGTGGCGAGGACAGGGCTGCCCTGTCCTCCTGAATGACTGGCATTTTCTCAGTGCTGTGAAGATGCAGTGCAGACACAGCTTCAAGCCTCCCTCCCCAGCAGGCAGCCCTGAAATCCCCTTTATAGAAATGCCAGAGCCACCATTGATCCACTTGGTCAGGCAAGAACAGCAGAGCGCTGAGGAATGGCATCAGAACCATGGAATCATGGAATATTAGAGACAAGGTTGAAAAGAATACAGACTAAGGAGTCGGGAAACGTGAGTGCCAATCCGACCTAGGCCCTGTCCTAGGGTATTATCTTATGTTCTCAAGTTATTTAGCTTGGTTAGTCTTTTGTGTCAACTTTGCTAGGCTATTGTGTGCAGTTATTTAATCAAACATGAATCCCAGGGTTGCTGGGAAGGTCTTCGGTAGATATGGTTAACACTTAAAATCAGCTGACTTTGAGGAGATTATCCTCAATAATATGGGCGTGCCTCATCCAATCGGTTGAAGGCCGTAAGAGCAAAAACTGAGGTTTTCTGGCGAAGAAAGAATTCTGTGTCTAGACTGTTGCATTGACTCCTGCCTGGTTGTCCAAACTGCCAGCCTGCCCTGCAGACTTCACACTTGCCAAACTCCATAAATTACATGAGCCAATTCCTGAAAATGAATGTCTTTCTGTCTCTGTCCTATTAGTTCGGTTCCTCTGGAGATCCCTGACTAATCCAGCCTTTCTTTCCCCACTGATGAAATGGGGATGGTGATAACTCCCACTTCATACAGCCATTGTGAGTATCAAGTTAACTTTTGTTTAGTTTAGGATCTGGCACAGAAACATTCATTTATCATCATCATCATCAATAACAGTGGAGAAGAGGTCTAGTCCAACCTTTTTCTTTTACAGATAAGGAAACTGAGTCACAGAAAGGCGAATGAGAGTAGCTATATGTACGTAATGCTGGCGCTGTTCAAACATTGCACGTGTATTCTTAACTCGTTTAATCTTGGTGACAACCTTATGAGCTACACAATGTTACTATCCCCATTTTACAGACAGAAAAACTAAGGAAGGGATTATGTGAGTGATCCACGTCACATTGCCAGCAGGTGTCAGCTCAGGGGCCCCGTGTGCTCTCATGGCGGGGATGATGCTAGCACCCAGGTCTCGGGGTTCCCTGCCAGGATCTTTCCACCTTCTCGCTTGGTGGGAGGCATATGCTCTTTGGTCAGAGAGAAGTCCAGGTTGGCCCGGTGTGAGGGGAACCATCCCTCAGCACAAGCTTCTTTGCTCTGGTGCCAGCCGAGTGTCCCAGAGAGAGGCAGTGCCTGCCTCTGGTGAGGGGTGAGAACTGCCTTAAGAAGTGGGACTGCAAAAACAGTGACTGACTGGGGGCCGGGATATCTAGCTATGCCATTTTCATGAAAAAGTTGGTTCATTTTAAGGAACCACCCTCCCTCTGGACCTCCCTCCTTTTCAGCCACTTGAACCAGTTACTCATCCAGTTGAAGTTCTTGCCTATAGCCAGGGAGGTGAGGAGTTTATCCCCTTCCTTCCAGTCTTAAATTACTAATTAAAATGTCTTGGAGACTAAGCCCATTGCAAAAATAGCCTGGGTGGCTTTCTAAAGCTTCTTGTTCATAACCAGAGGGAAGTTGATTCTCTTCTCATCTTTATAATAAGGATTCTTTTGCAGGATATCTGTTTTATGCTCCCTACAGCTCTGGCCCCTGTTTGGTCCCAGCAGGGGGAGGCCAGTGGAGTTTAATTACATTCCTCCTATAGGGAACATTCGAGGAATGAGGCTTTGAAAAACAACTTGTGCGACCAAAAGAAAAAAAAATCAAATTAAGTGAGTGAGAAACAGGAATTGCCTTTTGTGTCCTAGCGACCCAATCTAAATATTTAAATTTTAAAGACAGATTTCTAAATGATTAACTTTATAAACCTTCCGCATTGCAATTCACAGGGGAGTCACACCTCCCTTGTGATCTGGAATATTCATACGCCTGGACTAACAGAGTCTGGTAGCTGATATTTTCACACATGCCATATTCAGTTATAAAATACAACCTAAAAAAAAAAAAAAAAGAAAGCTCACCAAACAAACCATAATGCTGTCCACAGTCCTGGGGCAAAACAGACTTTCTGGAAAACCTAGGGTTAAAGGAGTGTCTGGGCCATAAGCACACATTTTGGAAAGGCCCCTTATTCTAGACTCATTTTCCAATTTTCCTTCCTCTCTCGGCTCTGAGATGCCCAGCGATTGGCTATTAGTGGAGTGTGGAAGCAGCCCCCAGGCAGAAGCTATTAATTTGCTGATTTAGTAGGTGCTCAAATACCATGAGCTGACAGAGGAGGCGGACCATAGCAGCGGTAGGGGACATAGGTAGTAAGTTTCTTGTTGTCAGCAGGATTCAAGCCCAGCCTCATGATCTTTCAGATATCTGTCCTGGATGGGAAGCTGCCCTAGATGTCCCCAGAGGTCTCCTCGGAGGCCGAGGGCTGAGGCTCCCTCCTTTTCTTAGCATGATATCTTCTGGGCAATTGCACTGCAATTGTAGGACTATAGGGACTCCAAGTGTTGCCTTCAACCTGCCTCCATCTCCCCACGCAGTGCCTTCTCTCTTTGACTCCACCGACCCCTTTCTCGCTGGGCGCAGTAACTCACAGGCTTTATCTACTGTGCCTCCCTGCTCGTCCCCCCTCAAATCTGTGCTTGGAGTTGGTTTCCAGTTAGAAAAGGAAGAGTGAAATAACTTTTCTCAACACCTATTTCTCACGTGCCAGGCACTGTGCTCGGCCCTGGGACCTACCAAGGTACCCAGCGGACGAGGCTTCCTAGTCGTGGGGTTTACATCCTGGCTGGGACTTGATGATATTCCCCTCCCAAAATGAGTGGTGTGTTAATAACGGATCATGTGTCAAAACAAAGCCAGGGCCTCCCAATGGAAAATTTTAAGCCTAGTGACGAAAAGGTTTTTTGGGGACAAGAAGTCTTTAAATTCCCACCAGATGATACCATTTTGGAGCTTCCACTCCACTGGTGTGAAAGCGACTTTGGTCAACAGAGTCTGGGGAAGTTAAAAAAAAAGTATGTTTATTCTTTTATTTCAAGAGCTAATTGTTGGGAATAAAACCCATTCTTTTGATGTTTTAAGAGCCCATAATGTGTGCAATAGTTAAATAAATGAGCCATTCAGTTGCAAATGTAGCTCCATGCCAAGCAGATGCACAGAAGGTTGAGCTTCACCTGTGGAGCTGACTTTCCCAAGTTTATTTTTCATTCTTGCTTTTCTGGATGGATGTGAACCAACCCCACAAGCTTATTTGCTTAGCAAAGCTTGGTCCCTCTAGAGGCCCAGCTATTGAATATGAAAGACTCTGATTTGCTACATGAAAGACACCACATACATGCTGATTGGTGTGACCCATTCCTGGGAGAGACTTCTCTTTGCAGGTGCCCCTCCCTCTGCTCTGCAGGGACTCAGGGGGAGGGGGACTTGGGGCATTAATTGCTAAAAATTCAAAGTGCTGGAGTGTTGCAGTTGATGAAGCCAGGCAGCCCAGAAAAAAACACCTGCAAGTCTGTCCTGCTCTTCACCCTGCCTCCCCTGTGCCACCCCCATTGCAGGCATGTGGGTCTTGGCTGCTGTGTGCACTTACAGGCTTCTGGGATGACCAGGGGCTCCCAGGGGGCAGTGGGTCAGGAGGTGGAGCAGGAGCAGAGAAGATTCTGGGCCTCTCTGGACCTGGGAATAGAGTCAGAACAAGAATAAGGGAAGAAAGAGGGGAAGGAGATTAAATAGTGCTGTGAACAATGAAGAGAGGAAAGAGGAAAGACAACAGAGAAATGGGGCAGGATGAGAGGGAGAGGGTGGGCAGGGAGAGGCACAGCGGTCTCTAAGCTCCTGGTTGCCACTGCTGAGGCTCCTGGGAGCAGCTCCCAGGCAGAGCGGGTCAGTTTCCCTACGGGTTACTGTGGGCATGGGCTTTGAGTATCTCCAGGGGATGTGGAGGAGTCTGGAGTCCTGAGTAGGGGCAGAGGAAGGTCTTGGCACCCATTTGCAGCCCAGATGACCTCTGGGAGGCACAGCCTGCCTTCCCGCAGGTATCCCCAGGACGGGAACAGGCAGATGGCCGGATCTCTAAGATAAGTTTGTGTGCATAACAATGAAATGGACAGTTAAGATCCGAGGCCCTGCCACCTGATCCAGATCGATTGGTCACCCTGCTTTGGGAACTTGTGACTTGTCCACTGATGGGGCACAGAAGTCCCTAGTATCCTGTGTCCTGGGAGTTGGTGTGTTGGTAGCAGTGACCACAAAACTTAACTTCCAAGATAGGGTTCCAGGTACACACCCAGAGAGGCCCCTCTTCACGGGCTGGGAGGAGGGGCCTTTCTGATATTAGTGGTCAGGATGCAACTTTTCCTCCCTTTGCCTGATATTAGTGCCCTGATATTAGTGGTCGGGATGCTACTTCCCAGGGCCAGATGCTTCCAGAAAGAAGGACAGGAGGTGGGTACCTTGGATACATTTCCAAGGCCCCCTGCTGAAGCTCCTATTCCTCTAGTGGAAATAGCTCAGATTCTGTCCTAGGCCACCAAAGAAATGGCATCAGAGACATGCTCTTTGGCTATAGTTGTTTGGCATGGCCTCCCACCTGGCACCCGAAGCTACTGTCTACAACCAAGGGGCTTAGGGGAGTAGGGAAGCTAAGGGGCTGGGTGGAGCCCCCTGCTTAAAAGGATTGGCCTGAGGGTCCCGTTGGATGTGATAGGTCTCCAGTCTACACACATGTCCTGACAGAAAGCTCAGGTTGCCGTCTTCATCTGCTTTGAAAATGACTTTAAATCACCTCAAAAGCTCCCCCTAACCTCCCACCATGGAAACAATTACTGAAGAAAATAGATGATTTTAGGCTTTATTTAGGATTAATACACTTCTAACATGTATTAGGATTGGCTCATTCCTGCATCACTTCATCTCCCACTCAATAAAGTGAATGCCATCATGATTATGGAATAATCAGGAAACCACTGAGATTTATTAGCAAAAGGTAAACCACTGAAGAACATGAGCACATTAAATGTCATGAGGAATACATACTTGCCATGTCCAGCACACGTGAGAGAGACACAGTACGTATGGTTCAGAACCTGGCTCCTTGTACATAGTGTGGGCCATGGACTGGCTGTATCAGCATCACCTGGGAGCTGGTTAGAAATGCAGACCCTTGGCCGGGCACGGTGGCTCACGCCTGTAATCCCAGCACTTTGGGAGGCCGAGGCGGGCAGATCACCTGAGGTCAGGAGTTCGAGACTAGCCTGTCCAACATGGTGAAACCCTGTCTCTACTAAAAATACAAAAATTAGCTGGGCATGGTGGCGTGAGCCTGTAATCCCAGCTACTCGAGAGGCTGAGGCAGGAGAATCACTTAATCCTGGGAGAT
Organism: Homo sapiens; assembly: GCF_000001405.40. Lineage (NCBI taxonomy): Eukaryota > Metazoa > Chordata > Mammalia > Primates > Hominidae > Homo > Homo sapiens. The sequence goes on along the minus strand of NC_000007.14, from coordinate 139,970,192 downwards.
GGAGGCTGCAGTGAGCCAAGATCGTGCCACTGCACTCCAGCCTCGGGGACAGTGAGACTCCGTCTCATAAATACAAAATAATAATCACAAAAAAGAAATGCAGACCCTCAGGCTCGTCCCAGACCTGCTGAATCAAAATCTGCAGATTTAGTGACTCCCAGGTGATTCCCGTGCACGTTAAACTTTGTGATGCCCTAACCAAGGGCCGGTGCCACAGCCCGTTGCCACTTTTCTCACGCTGCAGTGACGCTGTTCTTTGTTTTAGATTCAACATTAGGGCTGTAAGGCGTTCTCTGTTTTGCCTCTTCCCTTGTCCCTGTGGCTTTGTGCTCTGTTGTCCTGTTGTGCTGTTGTGGGGTCTGTCAGAAGGCAGAGACTCAGCAGCACCTCTGACCCCTGTGTGGCTGGGGGACTGAATTGATGGGGAACTCCTGAACTTACTCCTCACCAACTGTGGGTAGCCCGACCCCAGCAGACCTGGGCAAAGGGGAGGAAACCTTCCCCATGGGGAAAAACCCATTTCCAGTTTTCTACTTGATCTCAAAGCCAACCATGCCCTCCTCCCTGGGTGAGATCCACATGGGAAGACATTTTTTTTTTCCATAGTGAGGATAGATTTGTGTTAAGCTATTCACTTTTTTTCCTGCTCAACCCTTTCCCTGTGACAAAGGATGTGTATTCATGAAAAAGCTAGTTGGGGGTAAAACGGCTTTTTTTTTTTTTTTTTTTTTTTTTGTAAGCACATAATATGCTTTTTTTTCTTGGAGATCCTCTGACTGCTTCAAGGAACAAATCCTCAACCTTGCTCACACAGCAGCATGAGCTAATAAGCTGAAATAACCAGCACAGAATGTTCTTTTATCCTTAAGAGAAAAAGAAAGAGTAAGTTGTATTTTAATTAGATATTTATAATGGTTACAAAGCAGCTCTTCAAGAGAAGTTTTAAGAATTTGGCCTTCCTTCTAAGGCATAACTGTGTTCAAATTATCCTAAAGAGAGGCTGTATATCAATCCAATCCAGTCTGTGATAAATTTACAACTGGGTTCTGCACAGCAGATTTATAACAACAATTAAGCAGAAGGAAAATGGGTCATAAATTTTGGCTGGCAGAGTCCAGCACCAAAGAGAAGAAAAGAGAATGGTTTAGCCAGATCAAAAGTCAATAATTTCAACATAGAACACTAAAGCTATAGAAGACACAATTTATATGAAAAGAAGTTGGTTTTTTTCCTTTCTCATCCTTTTCAAAATTACATGAGAACACAATGAAGCAGCCATATAACAAAGGTCTCATTAAATAGATGGTGTGGTTTTTTCAGCTTTACGAGTGGTACAAATGGTACAAACCTTTTCCCACCCATCCACTATTGAATTTACTGAACGTACTACCTCCTTTTCCATAGACCAAGGCAACATGGGAAAAGAGAGACTTCTCCAAGAGATTGGGGGACTTGAGAAAGAAGATTTTACACTGAATTTTGATGGTGGGACAAGAGGAGGAGAGGCCAGATAAAATTCCCAAACAAGACGATTTGGAAGAAAACACATGTGGCCCAGAAAGAATCAGTCTGGGGGCATGAATTAAAAAGTGGATTGAAGCCGGGCGCGGTGGCTCACGCCTGTAATTCCAGCACTTTGGGAGGCTGAGGCAGGCGGATCACTTGAGGCCAGGAGTTCAAGACCAGACTGACCAACATGGAAAAATCCCATGTCTACTAAAAATACAAAAATTAGCCAGGCATGGTGGCACACACCTGTAATTCCAGCTACTTGGGAGGCTGAGGCAGGAGAATCACTTGAACCTGGGAAGTGGAGGTTGCAATGAGCCAAGATTGCACCACTGCACACCAGCCTGGGCGACAGAGCAAGACTCTGTCTCAAAAACAAAACAAAACAAAACAAAAACAAACAAAAAAGTGGATTGTAACTGTTTTAGAAGCTGGAACCAAAATCTATACCCTGAAAGGAGAATGCAGTCAAGGCTGTATGGGATGAGAGATGGGATGTTGCCAGACAGGATGTGCGGAGGCAGATCCCCGATAGTGAGGGAGACCTTTGAGTATCTTTATATGCGCCAGGGGTTTAGAACTGCTAACAGTAGAGAATCTGAATTATTGACTTTCATGCCTGACATTTTCACTTCTCAAATGGTGAAGGATGCAATAAGGCAAAACTGCTGAGCTGGACCGACTGGTCCTGCAGAAATCACAGGGAACTTGGGATGATTTGCAAGAAACAGGCAAGAGCAGGCTGTTCCAGGCACTGCCGGACTTATACCTTCTAATTTGGCAAGCTGGATTTTAAAAGTTCAGAGGGAAGGTGAACATGATCACATAACAGGAAATTGAGAGGTGGGAACTTCTAATCTGGGGGCCACAGATTCTATGTACAGGGGTGGGCAAACACACTGTTTCCTGGCTACCCAGAAGCCATTTACCCCACTTTTAATAAGAGTGATTTGGGGATCAACCTCTCCTCCGCTCGAGAGCTCAGTGGTTTGGGTAAGGCCTCACCTAGACACCAACTCCAAGGATGGGGCACATGACCCAAGTCTAAGCCAATCAGGGGATCATATTCCTCTGGGGTCCAAAGATTGGTTGAGGGGGCAGGTGCATGACCCTCTCGAAGTCACTGGGATGCCAGGAGGCTTTTGCTGAGACTTGCAGGAAAGAGACTCTTGCTTCTTCCCGTTGAACTTGAACCTACTCTCTCCTACCCCCATCCTCAGCCTATAAAGACATTAGAGGGATTTAAAGAAAACTTAGAGCAAGGAGTCATTGGCCTAGGGAAGAGGGTCCTCCCTACTCCCAAGCCAAGGAAGAGGGTCTTCAGCAGAGCCACTCATAGAGGTGGGCCATTCTCCTTGGCCATCTGCTCATGCAGCAGAATTGCTGATGTGCCCTCTCTGCCTATTTGAGCAAAGGAAAAGTACTTGGAGAGACATGACAGGGTGGAGGGAGGAAGGAGAGGGCAGAAGGTGGCCACTGTGGGTGTGGCCCAGTTGTGTGTTTCCCATAGGCTGGGCGGACACTGGGGAAGGCATGGAAGCTGGAGCCATCTAGCTGGTATCCTGCTCAAGATTCCCCATCAAGCAGCCTTGGGGCAGGAGCTGGTGGCAGGAGCTGGAGCCTGTCTCCCTGGCAGGGAATTATGCAGTGAGGACTTCAGACCTGGGAGCCCTCCGAATACGTCTTGCATCTACCCCACGTCAGAAGCCCCGCAGGGAAGGCACTGAGGGCAGCTCCAGGTAGGCAGGATTTGGGGATCCGTTCACAGGCCCCACTCCTGGAGGAGAAAGGGGCCCAGCAGGGGTGGGGGAGGGGTAGAAGGAGGGGAAAAAACAGACCTCTCCTCCCGCAGGGCGGCATCCTCAGGCCACAGGTCAGCCTGAGCTAAGAGAACAGAAGGGCACTGATTGGATTTGAGCCTGAAGTTTTCATCTGGGCCAGACTGGCCTGGACTTTTTAATGCCCCCCAAAATGACCAGAAATCATTGAGATCTGTCCAAAGTATCATCACGGACAGGGAAAGGAGATTCATCAGAGCACATTTAAGGGAAAAAAATGAAACAAAAAACACCAAATGGTTTCAAGTTGGTACCTCACTGAGTTGAGACTGTTCAAAACACTGGTTACACAGCTGGCTTGAGACCCCTAGGGAAGATGTGCCTGAGAAGGGAGTGTGCCCAGAGAAACCGGAGCTGAGAAATGGGGAGAGAGAACAACTTGGACAGGGCTTGAGCCCCTGAATCAAGCCATACCTGAAGGCAGCTCTGCCCTCTGGAGTTTTCAGTTATAGGGGTCAGTAAACTCCCTGAGACAATCTGGGCTGAGTTTTTTTTATCACTGTCCACAGAAGAGTCTGAACTGATGCCATGCACATATCTGCTCTTTCTTGGAGGAAGAGATGTAGCTCTCATCAGATTCCCATGGTGCATTGCTATGAAAGAAATTGCTCAGGGAAAAGAAACTCTAGAGCTCAAATTAAGCAATCTCATTGACAAATACAAGGGAAGGCCATCTAATGAGGCATGGGGATGCTCTACAGGGATGTCACAGAAGAGCTAGACCAGAACACCCTCGTGCGTAGGGCTGGAGCCCCGGAGTCTGGCATTAACTGGCACTCAAGAAATATTTGTTGAATGGAAACCAGCAGGAAAATTATAACAAGTCATACTTTACATGCAAATTTTCAGGAATATTTTCAGGAAAATATCTAATGTGTGAACATCTAATCTGCATTTCCATGTCCTGACAGATGGCCCATATTAACAGAGCTCTGATTATAGTAAAAAAAAAAAAAATTAAAAAAATAAAAGAAGGAAAGAAAGAAAAGAAAAAAAGAAAACCTACCAATATTCATTGAGTGGGTGCCATGTGCAAGGCTATGCAAAGCAACATTATTGTGACTACCAAATGTATGTTTTTAAAAAGACAGCTGTAGATATTCCCATTTTTCAGAGACTCCCCCCCACAACCAGCTATCACATAGGGGAAGAAAATCACCTTGTGGCTTGCATGGCTTAGGAGGGCTTTGGACCCTGATTTTTTTTCTTGGAAGAGGGATCCGAGCCCTTGAGAGTCTAAGGCTGTCTTCTCAAAGTGGAACCAGGGACCACCTGCATCAGAATCACTGGAAACATTTATTTAAAACGTGGGTTCCTTAGGCGGCGGAGTTTGCTGTGAGCCAAGATTGTGCCACTGCACTCCAGCCTGGATGACAGAGCGAGACTCCATCTCAAAAAATAAAATAAAATAAAATGCGGGTTCCTGGGTCCCAGCCCAGACTTATGGAATCGGAACCCCTGAGGTCAGGACCCTGGAAAGTGCATTCTAAGCAGTCTTCCTATATACTTTTATGCACACTAAACTCAAAAATTTGACCTGCTGTAATGTGTTTATTTGACCAAGGGGTCTCAGTGCTTTGCAACAGTCTGTACAGCCCCATAATAACATGTGGTCCTTTTTTTTTTTGAGACGGAGTTTCTTTCTTATTGCCCAGGCTGGAGGGCAATGGCACAATCTTTGCTCACTGCAACCTCCGCCTCCCTGCTTCAAGTGATTCTCCTGCCTCAGCCTCCCGAGTAGCTGGGATTACAGGCATGTGCCACCACACCCAGCTAATTTTGTAGTTTTAGTAGAGATGGAGTTTTACTGTGTTGGTCAGGCTGGTCTTGAACTCCTGACCTCAGGTGATCCACCCACCTCGGCCTCCCAAAGTGCTGGGATGAGCCACTGGCATGAGCCACTGTGCCTGGCCTAACATGAGCACTTGCTGTGTCCTCCTGGCAGACTGACATAACTGGATGTGACTATGGTTATAGCTGGTGGGACAGACTCCTATCGCCCCATGGCTCTCTAAATGACATCACACATTCTAGACCTGATTATCTTCTGCCTTCTACTGCCCTGCAGGCCTGTGTTTGGAAGGAAAATATTGTTTCATAGACATAACATTGCTTCTCAATTGGCGATGGAATTCCCGCAAGATGAGGACCTGACTTCTATCTCTTAGAGCTTCTGCCCCCTCTCCTAGCCTCTGCTGTGTCTACTAAACTGCTGGACACTCATTAGATGCTTCAAAGCCCTTAATTTGGTGTGATTTCTGGTTTACTGAGACCAGAGCGCTGGGCTTCCCTCTAATGCCTTCCTGGGACAGCATGCTAAGCTTCCCTTGAGAAGTCACCTTCCCAAGTTCTCAGTCATGTGACTTGAGCATGATTGACTGAGGGCTAGAGTCTGATTGGTGTAAGCCTATCAGGGACCCCATTCCCCTTGCTTCAAGAGTTGGTTCAAGAATGGGCAGCAGGCCAATCGTGGTGGCTTACGCCTGTAATCCCAGCACTTTGGGAGGCCGAGGCAGGCGGATCACCTGAGGTTGGGAGTTCGAGACCAGCCTGACCAACGTGGTGAAACCCCGTATCTACTAAAAATACAAAATTAGCCAGTTGTGGTGGTGAATGTCTGTAATGCCAGCAACTCGGGAGGCTGAGGCAGGAGAATTGCTTGAACCTGGGAGGTGTGGGTTGCAGTGAGCCAGGATTGTGCCATTGCACTCCAGCCTCGGCAACAAGAGTGAAACTTCATCTCAAAAAAAAAATAAAAAAGAATGGGCAGCGACCTAAGCATTCCCGTCAGAGTGACCCTCATGACTCTTTCTGGGAATTTTAGGCCACAGACCCTCTCTTCTCCATTGGTTACAAGCAAGGAAGTATGGAGTCCCAGACACTCTTGACAGGCTTCTTGGGGCTTTGAGAGGAGAGCATGATGGAGGATGGGGCCAATATAAGAGAGCACAGCCAAGAACTGGCGAGAGAGAAACGGACCTGTGCACCAGTTTGAGACCTAGACAAAGATTTGCCTGGAGCCACATCTATTCCTGAGCTGCTCAATTAAATGTACTCAGAAATACACATTTATGAGTCTTTTTGTTTGTTTTTACTTTTTGTTTTTGTTTTGCTTAAATCAGTTGGGTTGGGGTTCTGTTATCTGCAACTAAATGTATCCTAATAGATTGCCTCGCTTCCAGCTCCTTTTACTTCTTTTGCACTAATGCACCCCAGTCACCGTTGGTCCCTCCCTCTACCCTTTCCTCAATTTAAGAACAAATACACAAACCACTACATATAAAACAGAATAAGATGGGTGGCAGGGTTATTTGGATTCATGGCTTGTTGAGATTCCATGCCCAAAGAATATTGATTAATGGATCAATGTCAATCTGGAGGGAAGTCCTGTCCTGTTCAACATTTTAATCAATGACTTGGATGAAATAGGAGACATGCTTAATAAGTCTCAGATGACACGAGGCTGGAGGAATTGCTAATATAACAGATGGCAGAATCAAGATTCAAAATTATTTTGACTGACTTGAACAGTAATAAGGATAAATATAAACTCTTCCGTCTAGGCTCAATAAATCAATTGTGTAAGCAGGGTTTGGAAAGGCCCAGCTTGGCAGTTGTCATAACTACTTAGAACTTGAAGTTGACCATAAACTCATGTTGAGCCTAAAGTTAAGACAATTAATTAGTAACACAGTGAATGCAGTTTTCAAATATTTAAAAACTGCTGTGAAGAAGAGACATTGACTTTGCCTTTACTTCCCCAGTAGAATAAAGAAGTAGAATTTCCCGGGAAGTGGTTTTCAGTTCATTGTATGAAACATTTTTTAATGGTTCCAGTAACAGAACAGACCACCTTTCAAAATGGTGAATGTAATAGCAATCATATCAGAATGTAACAGAAAGGATTCCACTGTGGTGGTCTTCCTTTTAAAGTACAGATTTTAAAAATGAATCTCTTTGACAACTCATGAGTCAAAGTTATACACACACAAGCATCTAGAAGAAAAAATGAGGTGATAAAGTAGCCTTGCTCAGCACCCTCGTTATATCTGCTATAAACGATCAAGAGGGGCCTCATCTAGAAGAAAATGCCCTGAAGCTGGCCTGGGCGCTGACGGGCCCCATCTTCCCTTATTCCATTTGTGAGCCTCCTCCTCAGCTTCCAGTCTTCAGTCCAGCTTCAGCTTGGCCTGTCCTTTTGTCCACTCCTGCCTTCTATCTTGGCTCTCCTTTCTGGCTCACACCTGCCTCCCTCCGTGTGGCAGCTCCAAGTCAGATATTGGGAAGCCATGACTCCTTCCCCATCCCTGCCCTTTGGGCCTGACACCTTCCTGGGCTTCCACAGCTTCCTCGAGCCAGGCCTGGCTTCATGGACTACCCCAGACAGTGAAGGTGCACACACAATTTGTCTTTTTGTTGTGGTTATTGTTCTCAACATTTCATTTCGCTTGCTAACCCGGAGAGCAGGAGAAGCCAAGCAATGACCCTATTTCATCTTATAAGCTTAGAATGTGATATTAGCAAGTCATTAAAAATAAGTTTCACTCCCACAAACACAAAATCAATTGTCCTATGGATATCCCATGGGTAACTGGATCCAACTTGTACTCACGTGTTTCTCCTTAAAAACGTCTACCTCTCTCAGAAGCTTCTCTTGGCAGTCAGGGTTGGTGGCCAGTAGGTAGGTGGCAAAAGAAAGTGTGTTGGTGATGATTTCATAGCCAGCGATGAGGAAGATGAAGGCCTGGCCCACAATCTCATCCACAGTCAAAGGCCTGGCCATAGGGCTGGGCTGGTGTTGCCGGGAAGGGTTCGGCTTGCACCCAGTAGAGGAGAAAACGTCTCTGACGATGTCAAAGTCTTGCACGCCCATGGGACTTGCAGAATGTCGGGCATCCAGGACCATTTGGAGGAAGTCTCTCCGCCTCTAAGGAACAAAAGGAGAAAAATGCACATTTTGACCTTACAGTCATGAAGAGTGAGGCTTCCTGGAGAACAAAGGAGGAAGATACATGGGCATAGCTTTTGAAGAGCTCAGTAGCAACAAGCTTCCTCATTGCTGGGTTATCTGGGACGGTGAGAACCTGGAAGCCACCTGAATGTCCCTTAGTATAGCACTGGTCAGGCAGGTTCTGGGGCAGTGAAGAGCAGCCTGGGCTGCTGCCCTGAGCAAGGCAGAGGCCATTCTATCTGGGCTGATGTGAAAGTCATTGAGCCACTTTGTTAAGTAAAAACAAAGCCGGTCATGGAACAGTATGCACTGTGGCTCTCGTTTCTGCAAAAACAGCAAATGTACTAAATATATCATCACCTATATCTGTCTACACATAGACGATTTTAGCAATGTCCCCACCCAACAGTTCATAATGAGCTGGAGGAGGTGGGAAAACCAGGAGGGGGGCTTTTATTTTTTACTTTATACATTTTTGTACTGTTGGTTGGTGGTTGGTTTTCCAACAATAAAACAATGGCAACATCACATAGATAGATTTAAAACCAAGCATGTGCTGTACTGCTCACTTCTGTGCAGCTTAGGGCTTAGATGGGCAGCCACCAGTTTTTCTCACACAGTAGGAAGTTAACAGAAGTGAGGGCAAGGCGAGGGGACTAGTTTGGCGGCGCCTGTCTTCAAAGTCTCCAGGCTTTGCCTTCTTCATCCCCTAGCCTTCATATCAGATCTTCACATCGGTTCCCTCTATTTCTCAGTAATCCCCTGCCCCCGTTTAAGTAGTCAGAGCTTTTTTTCCATTTCCCCCTACCTTCTTTATCAGTCATTTGCATATTCTTTATATTTTCACTATTACTAATTGTAACAATAGGAGTGTTTCTATATCGCCTCTGTGTTAACAAAGCTTATTCCTAGAACATCCCTTCTTTGAAATGCTCTTTAATGTCATGAAGGACAACCAAGACATTTCCATTTTCTGAAGTTTATGGGACTAAAATGGCAAAAGGAGAGTATCAGAATCACCAACAGAAAAATATTAGAATTTCATGCAAAGTACTCTGCTAGCTGCAGCATTTTCTCAGTTCACTGGCTTCTGAATTTCGATTGCATTAATAATCTATGCCACACACATGAGCGTCTGATTTCATCTTTTTTTTTTTTTTTTGCTCTGTCACCCAGGCTGGAGTACAATGGTGTGATCTTGGCTCACTGCAACCTCCACCTCCCAGGTTCAAGTGATCTTCCTGCCTCAGCCTCCTGAGTAGCTGGGACTATAGGCATGTGCCACCACACCCGGCTAATTTTTGTATCTTTAGTAGAGGCGGGGTTTCACCATGTTGGTCAGGCTGGTCTCGAACTCCTGACTTCAGGTGATCCGCCCGCCTCAGCCTCCTGATGATTCCATCTTTTAAGATTGTTGTCATTTCATGTGTGGTTGCTTTTCCTCCTCCATAAGATTATAAGCAACTCCAGGGCAGGACCCCACCCTCAACCCCTGACACCGTGCCTAGTTTTATGCTGAGCACATGTTAAATCTGCAGTCCATGACTCAACAGATAAAAATGTAATGCAGTGCGTGCATTTGGAGGATGGGTATGCTGAGTTTGATGACAAGTGAATGCTCTTTAGAGCGGGAGTCTTGGCTGCTGACACCTTTGCAGCTCTACTGCACCCCAGCCTTGTGACTTTGGAAGGTGCCTACTGGGATCCTAGCAGTGCTCAAGGTTAAGACTATGGGTGCCACAGACCTTGAGTCTAAGGAAGCAAGGCCTCAGCTTCCCAACAGCCTGCTGGGTTGTAATAGCTGAGAAAATGGTGAGGGTCGGGGGTAGTTGGTGGCTTCATTCCACCCTGGCCCTGCTCGTTCTGATTTTCAAACAGCATCCTCAAGGGCTGGCTTTCCCCAGCTTCCTTCCTGCTGCTCGGTCAATGGGCGCTGGTGTGGTCCCACTGCTGGCCCTGCTCCCATGGAGCAGAGCTGGGGCAGGGTCAGGCAAGATGGCACGCAGGGGAAGTGAGCATCCCTTGCTCCCTCAGCTCTGGGACACCAGCACAGGACCCCAGAGCACCCCCAGACCTCTCAGTCAGTCCCTCTGAAGGTCCTCAGGGTGTGATATCATTGTGGTCCCTGAGGCTTGGCTATGGCTTTGCTGAGGTAGTGTAGGAGTAATGATGGGAGGGAGGGCACAGCCACCTCTACACCGGGTATTTTTCCATGGGCAAAACTGCAGCCAGCATCCTTTCCTCTTATCCCAGCCCAGACAGACTGCTAAAGGGCTGTCAGAATCTTGCAGAAATCTGTCTTAACCTCCAGCTACAGAGGCCAGAGGAAAGGCCACTCTCCAGGGCCCGTGCACTGGAGAAGAACATTAGTATAGATGGGTTTCTTTTATTCACATGGCATCAGGGAGGCTATCTGAACACTGCCCATTGAGGACTGAAACGGTGCTGGTTTATGGTCCTATCCAAGGAAAATACGCACCCTGATAGATGTAGGTGTCTAATCCACCCATCGGCTAGAGCTTAGAAAAATATTTACCTTTTAACATCTGTGCCGCATTTTCACTGCGCAAACACACATCTGCTTGATGGAATGTATACAGACTTTAGATGGTTTTAAAGCAAGTTTTCTTAGTAACCGTATAGCTCTGTCTTGACATGGCTGTCCTGGATTTGTGGTTGGGAGATTTTTCTCAGATCAACTCATTGTTTGAAACAAATAGCACTAGAGTTTATAAAAGGAAAAGCTCTAGGCAATCCCAGTAATTGGATCTTTAATAACCTCTCACCTCTTAGTAAGTCATTCGATGCAACAGTTTTAAAATTTTTAGCCTGATTCCACAGCCAGGCTAGGGATGCGTGTGTGTGTGTGTGTGTGTGTGTGTGTGTGAACACTCTCAAAAGGTGGCCCTTAGTAGCAATGTTGAGGGTTGAAAATGGTTCTTTCTTTATCCCTTCTCCCCCTGGCTCCAGCCTCACTCTGCGGAGAAACATGAACCTGGATCAGAATGTTCTGTCCTTTTAGGCTTCAGAGCTGGGGCAGGGATGCCAGTTAGCTGCTTCTTCCCGCACCTCCAAGGACATGCGAGTTGAGTTCACAGTGGTGTGGGCCGAGGGGGCTGCAAGCTTGCCTACACCTTCCCATGCCTTCTGGATCTAGACACGTTTGCTGCACAGTTCTCCGGGCGTGAAGCTGCACAGGACGCGGCTGCTGCCCAAGGCCGCTCGGTGTATCAAGCCACTAATTGACCCCTGATTTCATTTCAGGCCAGTGCCTTAACAATTGGCCCTCACCAATTCCTCTGAGCCATCCAGTCTTTGAGACAACCCTTTTAAAGTTGCATCTTGCACGAGCCAGCTAAGGAAAGGCCATTTCAGCCCTGTTTTCCTTTTTAGTAACTTTCTTTAATGTGACAAGGGCTTTAAAGCCCAGATTTACATATGCATATGCATATCCAGTATTGAAATGACCTTTCTTCCCACTGAAAACTCCTCTTTCTATTTTAGCCAAGTTCAATCAACAAATATTTACTTGATTCCTACTATGTGCCAAGCATAGTGCAAATCTGCAAGGAGGAAAGAAAATGCTACGTCTCATATGAATCGTGCCAAGGAGTCCAGGGGGCCCTCAACCACGAGTTCTGTAGCGACATCCTCCATGCTGAGTGGGAGTGTGGGGTTAGTGACTGACAGTTGCCGAACTCTCTAATAAGCATGCTGTTCATGCTGGAGAACTCCATCTTGCTGGGTTTTCAATATAAAGAATATGCTCATGAAAATTGCATGTGGGCACACTTACCCAGAAAATTCTTCTGGGCTATTCTAACCTGTGCTTGGGTTGATGCTTGCACTAGGGAGACAGTTTTGGGGGCGGCTTTAATTCTACCCGTCCGTGTCCGAGGATGTACACATTGCTGTAGGCTTCTCTCTGCCGTCCCACCCTCCCTTTCTTGTCTGACCTTCCTCAACCTTCCTCTGTTCTCTCCACTGTCCCTGGAAGCTGTAAGTGGTGGGTTGCTGAAGGACGGCACGGTGTGATGTGCGGGGCTGAGAGGGAAGAGAAAGAGCAGAGACAGTGATGCCAAAGTCGGCTCCATTCCATTTCAAGGCTGTGTCCTATTAAAATACGTTACCTCTTCGGCAGCTTGCTGGTCCCGCAAGGCAATCACATTCCTAATGAGTTTGTTAAAAAAGCCATTCAGTTCGTCTCGGTTCTTATTGGGCAAAATCCGGGCCAGTGGGACCATTATGGATGGAAATGATACTTGAAAGAGAAAAACAAAAGTGGCATTGAAAAGGGGGTGATAATAAACCAGGGCCATTAGACGCCTGTTCCCGGGAAGCAAACGCGGGCCTGGAATCGGAGCCGTTTTGGAGTCCTGCCCTCCCCGCCGCACTGCTGCTTCTGAGAGCAGGGGTGATGTCTCACTCCCTCTCGGTACTCCTCACCATTCCTGGCACATAGTAAGCACTCAATAAACATCTGTGCAATTAATCGAGTCTGCACTTCCATCTGGCCCTCAAGAGGTCAAGGTCACCCTCATAAATTAATGTTTCAGGTCCTGGGGATGAGACCTGAAGGTCTTTGTACTTCATTAAGAGAGAAAGGATTACAGGCTGTTTCAAGCCTTAGCAAGTGGTAGAAGCTGATTTACTTTTTACAAACTTTCTGGTCATTTGAATTTTCTTTCCAGTGGATAATTGTTCCCAGCATGACCTCCTGAATTGCTCCCAAGAGCTGCCACTGCAGCTGCTGACAAGGGTACTGGCTGTTGCTGCTGTGGGTGCCTCCCTTGCCGGCCCCTGGGTGCAGCATGGGCCCTTGCTGCCATGTGCTGGGGATCGGGCTGCCAGAGTCAGGAACCCCTCATCTCCCCTGGAGAGGGGCACTGGCTGGGTTCAGCTTCTCAGCTTCCATTGTGGGTTCACCCTGTACCGGGCTCTATGGGAGCTGGGCTGGGGAGAACATCTCCAGACACACATGCTCTCAGAATGCGCAGGCCCATTTTCAAGAGCCAGAGTCCGAACCAATGTGACACAGCAGCAGGAGGGCCCTGCAGAGGCAGAGAGGAGAAATAGAAGGGATGGCACAACTGAGCCACCTGCCCCACAGGCCTGGGCCGTGGTTGAGGCACAAGGGGCAGACACAGCCTGCGCTGCCTCCAAGATCGGTGGAAAGGGTGCAGGAAGAGACTGCTGGACACTCAGAGTGACTCTGCCTACGATTTCAGGGCGGAGCCAGTGAGGTGACGGGCTCCCATGGACATCGGCTCAGAAACGGGAATGAAACTGGTCAAGGAATGAATGGAATTTACCAGCCCAGCAGAATGGTTAGAAATCATGGCAATAATCAATACCAAGCATAACAACACGTCAATGCTCCTATAAAAGCAAGAAGATACTAGAATTGGCCAGAGGGCAAAATCTCACTTCTACAATAAAAATAAAATAAGTCCTGGTGTGGTGGCTCACGCTTGTAATCCCAGCACTTTGGGAGGCCAAGGTGGGCGGATCACCTGAGGTCGGGAGTTTGAGACCAGCCTGACCGACATGGAGAAACCCCTTCTCTACTAAAAATACAAAATTAGCTGGTCGTGATGGTGCATGCCTGTAATCCCAGCTACTCAGGAGGCTGAGGCAGGAGAATCGCTTGAACCCAGGAGGCGGAGGTTGCGGTGAGCCGAGATCGTGCCATTGCACTCCAGCCTGGACAACAACAGCGAAACTCCATCTAAAAAAATAATAATAATAATAAATAAAATAAAATAAATAGACTGGTCCTCGTGCATTGGGTGACCTAATCCTCATCCACCACACAGGATTTCTGTGTGTTGGGCTTCAAGTGGAGAAGTCTTGTGAAGAGGATTTTGCTGAAGGAAAGAAATATGCCCTAGGAAATGAAAGGCTTTGGGTTCCAGTCTCAGCTCGGCCTTTCTAGGCCTGTTTCACACCTGAGAAATAGGGACAAGAATATTTTTCTCATAGGGTGAGTACTAGGACTAAGTGAGGCAACGCACACCCCGTGCCTAACACGGTGCGTCCCAACCGTTCTCACCATGGCGGTGGGGCCACTTATTACCAATGCCAGGGCTACAGCATTGCTAATAAGTGGCCCTAGGCGGGTGACAAGAGGAACCCGGTGGCTCCATAAGACAAAGCCTCTGCAGGGGAACAACCCGAGTGCCCTTTCCCAGTGGCAGGGACAGAGCCCCAGAAGCCACCCCAGGTGTCATGGGGTCTGCCCAACTTGCTGGAGTCATCGCAGCGCCCCGGGCTGCAGCCGCACTTACAGAGTAAAACCAGGATAGGTCTGGGGATGCAGAATTCGAAGAAACGCTTGCAGTGTTTCACAAAGGGATCCTCAGGGGCCTGCCAGGAGTCCACCGGGGTGCCAAAGGCGACGCTGGCAACCACATCTGTGGTGTAATTGCAGTAGCACCTACGGGAGATGGGAGCACAGAGATCTGAAAGGACTCTGGCAGGGGCTACCCACAATGGCCCCCTCCAGAGGAGGAGGGCCTGAATTGCTTACACTGGCTTGCCCAGCCCTGCAGATGTGTCTGGAAGAGGAGCTTCTGCAGATCTGGGGGGAGGTGGAGGGAGATGGGCTCCTGGATGGGGCACTCTGAGCAGTGACGGCAGAGGGTGGGAGGAGACACGAAGACCTGGCGTCTAAACAAAGACCTGGGAGGAGAGGAGGGCACAGCCTCTTCCACCTTCGAGCCTCAGGCAGCTGTGGTCAACCAGAACACAGCCAGGTACTAAGAAGGACACTTTATAGTTTCCTCCCTGGGAAGGAGGGCACACAGGTGACCCAACGCCTACATGCTGTACCCAAAGCTCTGCACAGCCCAGCTCAGGCCAGAATCTAATGATTGACTGATAGACATCAAATTGTCCTTGATGAATTAACAACCTAATTATCTAGTTTTATTAACTTTGTCTCCCTCTTCCTCTTAATGATTTTACAGTTTTCTTAATAGCAATGAACAAAAAGCAAGGGCTCTTAGCACTCAAATAAACACAAGACAAACTTTAAGGCAGGCTTCATGAACATCTGTATATTATTACAGAAAACATACATTGTGCTTTAGAAACAAACAGAAGGAAAAGTGTCTGGCAGGAGCTCCAGAAAATTTAACCTCTTAGGCTATAGGAAAGCTGCCCCCTCAAAAGGCCATTTTAAACTCAAATGATTCTTTTTGTTATCTTATAGGAGTAGTCAGATTAAGTTCTTTTCCAAAAAGCTAAAAACTGGGTTATTAATATCTTTTTATAATTAAAAGGCCAATTTTTGTTCTCAATGTAGGCACACACTTAACTCCTTTTGTACATGAATTCTATAACCACTAACTTATCATTAAGGAATACATGACGTTTCCAGATGACTTTTAAAATTCACACTGCTTTTATTGAAAACGTTTCTACAACTGATTACACGTTTCCCTGCTAGAGTGAAAACAAGAATGAGACTACTGAATGTGATTTCATCTGATCCTGAAGGTTGAAGATTTAAGGGTCTTGAGGGTTATTTACTTTGCTTTTATAGCTGATGAGGCCACCTTATCTTTAGCCAACTCATGCATCCTATAATAATCAGAGACAATGTGGATGAAAAGACTGTGTAAACTGGTGCAATACCAGTGTTGGTGATGATTATGTTATTATTTTATTAGCAATGATAATAATGAATAAATTTCTGGATGATTCACCATCCCACTTTATTCTTTATCTGCTGTAAGCCATGATTTGGCATAAAATGACTAAAGCAAAGGTGGCTAAATCTTTTGGCTTGCCTGGGCCACGTTGGAAGCAGGAGAATTGTCTTGGCCACACATAAAATACAGTAACACTAACGATAGCTGATGAGAAAAAAAAAAACTGCAAAAAAACTCACAATGTTTTAAGAAAGTTTATAAATTTGTGTTGGGCCACATTCAATGCCATCCTGGGCTGCTTGTGGCCAGCGGGCTGTGGGTCGGACAAACTTAGACTAAAGATGTTTTTTTAAAGCAAAAACCTTTTAGTTACAAAATGACGAAAAGCCAGATAATCAGTTATTTAAATTTGGTGTCCACCACTAAATTATAGCTTCTGGGCTGAGGTGCACCACAATTTTTCTTGAAGTGAAAATGCTTGAACTTTCCCCCCATCCCTGTCCTTAGGCGCAGGCCTGTCCTGCCCATTCCTGGGTCTGTGGAGGTCAGAGGGTGGATCCATCCACAGGTTCGACAGGACGCACGTACCCTGGCTCTGCTCACATCTCTTTCCCATGTTAAGTGGGTTTCTTTTCTTTTTATTAATCAGTCCATCCATGCTTTTATGAGCTTCTAGCGTTTCCACAGTTTGCTAGTCCCAAGGTAATTGTCAGCAATTATGGACAGTTACAAGAAGCAGTGATTCAAAAACTCGATTTCTCATCTGTAATGCAGCAGCCTTACCTCTGGATGTCAAATGCGTCCCCAGATTCCGCATAGCGTTTTAAATGAGCCAGGAGAAGGTCGCAGGCTTGGCTGATGAGGGGAACCATCTGATAATGGATAACAAAGGTGTAATTAGGGCACCATGCCGGGAGTACACCTAAATTGGCTGCAGATGAAGAGGTTATATGTAGTGCTTTCTGGGAAAATGAACACTGTTTGGAAGATATTTTTCACACAGCTAAGATTCAAGAAGAAGATCCTAAAATTCACAAATATTCATAAAATACAATAGCTCTAAACGTCTATTTTAGCTTAAGCATTTTTTATCTTTGGAAGCAAAAAAGAAGAACAGATTTACAGTGAATACGGTGAAATAATTATGAAAATGATCATTAAGTGCTTAGACAAAACTGAGAATCAGTACTCAGTTTCATGACATTTGGTTAGCATTAGCAAGTAAATAAAGCCTAATCCATATGCACAATCCCTGGAATTAACCCAAGTCTATGCTTGTGTATTCCGATTGTATTTTAGATCTTTCACTAGAATATTGAATCTTAGTATCCAAAGGAACCTAAGGTCATCCATTTCAACTTCTTATTTAACACAGAAATTATTTATAGAGCATTCCTGATGGATGGTTATTCTTTTGTGCTTAAGCCGCTAAGCTTTCGAATACTGGGAAAACCTTGACTTCAAGATGCCTCCTATGCCCACATGGGGCAATTGTTGGGTTTCTTTTTTTTAATAGGAAAATACTTTTATGTTAGAAAATTCCTAACTTACACAGAAAGGTAGAGTGGCATAATGGAGATTCACATAGATACCACTCGGCTTCGACAAACGGGTGGGTGGAATTCTTTGTGGAGCCTGCTGGCCACCCATGTGACCTTTTATTCTCTCTTGCATGATTAAAAGGCCAAGCTGAAAATATCGAGCAGAATCATTTTATTCGCTGCCCATTCTAGAATAGCATCACAGCTAAAGCAACGTGCTCTAATACATCATTCTGAGCATTTCTCATGAAAGACATAAAATGTAACCTATGTTTAGATTTGATGATTTTCACACTAGAATATTGAGTTCTCGAGGTCAGAGAGATCTTAGTCTGTTTCTTCATTTTTATAAACCCAGCACCTAGAACAGCGCCTGGCTCATAGTAATTATTTGTTAAGTGAATGAACGAATCATGGCATCGTACTGATTATGTAATACCCACTCTTTCCTCTTAAAGTCTTGAGGCACTGGGAAAAGTTATAAAGTTAATCTGCTTCTCAGAAGGTATGTTGTTGTACTGAGGCAAAATCTGACTTCGTCTAACAATCTTTTGCTGGTTTCATTTCTGTTCTCTTCTTCATGACAGTGCACCCGACACTCAGACAGCAAGTACCTATCTGCTCCCCATCTTCTCCTAGACAACTGTTCCCATCCTTCCTTCCTTCCCTCCTTCCTTCCTTTCTTTTTCTTTCTTTCTTTCTTTCTTTCTTTCTTTCTTTCTTTCTTTCTTTCTTTCTTTCTTTCTTTTCTTTCTTTCCTTCTTTCTCTCTTTCTTTCTCTCTTTCTTTCTCTTTCTTTCCTTCCTTCCTTCCTTCTTTCCTTCCTTCCTTCCTTCTTTCCTTCCTTCCTTCCTTCTTTCTTTCTTTCCTCTTTCTTTCCTTCTTCTTTGTTTCTTTTTCTTTCTTTCTTTCTTTTTTTTTTTTTTTAGACAGAGTCTTGCTTTGTTGCCCAGGCTGGAGTGCAGTGGTGTGATCTCGGCTCACTGCAACCTCTGCCTCCCAGGTTCAAGTGATTCTCCTGCTTCAGCCTCCCAAGTAGCTGGGATTACAGGTGTGTGCCACCATGCCTGGCTAATTTTTTTTTTTTTTTTTTTTTTTTTTTTTTAGTAGAGACGGGATTCCACCATGTTGATCAGGCTGATCTAGAACTCCTGACCTCGTGATCCACCCACTTTGGCCTCCCAAAGTGCTGGGATTACAGGCGTGAACTACTGTGCCTGGCTGCCCCCATCCTTTCAATGGGGGACTGAACCATATGGCTTGCATACACCCCTCCTGCCTTATTGCTCTCATCTTTATCAGGGTCACTCCTAAAGGTGGCCTCATAAGTGGAATACAGTATTTCAGGTGTGGATTGGTGTATGGTAAATGAATCACTTCCTGAGATCTGTACCCTACACGTCAATCGCAAAGCCAGTTTTATGTTGACTTTTCTAGAAGACAAACAGTGCAGGCAAATATTGAGGTTCAGGTTAATGAAAACCACGAGGTCTTTTTCCATGGATGATAACCAGGTACAATTGCTATTTCGATTTTTTTAGGGACCATTCATTAGAAAGGCACTAGTTGTCCTGCCGTGTGTTCTGAGCAGAACGATCTCTTATCTTCTCTGGAATATTCAGTTGGTTGGAGACACCTGGTAGAGTGGGACAGCTGGCCGGCTATTGACAGGATGTTGGGAGGACATGAAATTTTATAGGACCCCTCTCCTCTGCAGTTTCCTCCGAGTCAGTCCTACGTGCTCTGGGTGTAAGGAAAGAATTGTGTTACCAGGGGCCCAACTCCTCTGCTGAAGGAGTGGGTCCTGTAGATGGAGGGCGAGGGGGTCCCGTAGATGGAGGGCGAGGGGGTCCCGTAGATGGAGGGCGAGGGGGTCCCGTAGATGGAAGGCGAGGGGGTCCCGTAGATGGAGGGCGAGGGGGTCCCGTAGATGGAGG
Source organism: Homo sapiens (assembly GCF_000001405.40). Lineage (NCBI taxonomy): Eukaryota > Metazoa > Chordata > Mammalia > Primates > Hominidae > Homo > Homo sapiens. The sequence goes on along the minus strand of NC_000007.14, from coordinate 139,950,761 downwards.
GCGAGGGGGTCCCGTAGATGGAGGGCGAGGGGGTCCCGTAGATGGAGGGCGAGGGGGTCCCGTAGATGGAGGGCGAGGGGGTCCCGTAGATGGAGGGTGAGGGAGTCCTGTAGATCAAAGCTGCAATGGCTCCATGAAGGCTGCCACGTGGAGGTGGTAACCAAGGCAGGGACAATGGCCTGGACAGCGCTATGGACGGCTGAACAACAGCTCAAGGAGCAGAATGTTCACAGCATAACACACCCAAGTGGAGAGATAGCAGAGCATCTGAGACTCATGAGTGCCCTGTTGCCAAGGCTCATGGAGGGAGAGCCATCTTGGGAAAATAGATTTGCTGTTCATAAAGCCACAGGGCTTAGAGCACTGGGGTGTTTGAACACTGTGGGGGAGCAAAAGATGTACTCACTCATTAAAATCCCATTACCTGGCCAGGCGTGGTGGCTCAGGTCTATAATCCCAGCACTTTCGGAGGCCAAGGCAGGCGGATCACTTGAAGTCAGGAGTTCAAAACCAGCCTGGCGGGCCAGCAGAGTGAACCCCCTCTCTACTAAAAATATAAAAATTAGCTGGGCGTGGTGGCAGGCACCTGTAATCCCAGCTACTCGGAGGCTGAGGCAGGAGAATCGCTTGAACCTGGGAGGTGGAGGTTGCAGTGAGCCAAGAATGCATCACTGGAATGACAGAGAGAGACTCCGTCTCAAAAAAAAAAAAAAAAAAAAAAAAATCCCATCACCTGCAACACTGGGCTATTCTTTCTTCGTTCTATCTGCAATGTAGTAAGTGTGCCTTCTAAGCCTCCCTTCAGTTCATTGGTCTGTAGGCAGGCCCTGGTGCAGAGCCTTGTGCCCCTCCACTGGACAGCTGGTTTAGGTAGCCGCAGAATCATTCATCATCACTGTTTTTGGATCTTGGGCTATCTGTGCATGAACCTAAGTAAATACTCAGCCAGGCACCGCTTTACTGATGAGTCAGCTGGGGAAGACTTTGTCAAATGATTTGTAGAAACAGAAATGTGATTTACCTCATCTACCTATCTGGAAGTCCACTCAAAAAAGAAAAATAAGTATGACTATCCTGATTTATTCTTAGTATCTCTGTGTTGATGCTTCATGACTACTGTATGCTTTTCTAAATTCTCACAAACCATCGATTTAATAATCCATCAGTACAAAAGGGTGTGCCAATGGGTCACTTAAAATGGTCTCTAGGCCCCAACTTCCAAGAAGTCTCAGTCTACCCTTAACATTGGAAAAGTCAGTACAGTCTAAGCCACATTTTTATAACTAGCTTTACTGGCTATCTTCCTTCGATTATCTTAATAAGTTTAGTGGTACAACTGAATCCTAGTTTAATAAAATCCCATAAACCTAAATACCTTTTAAATTTACTTCAGAGGAATAGTAACATGGTAAAAGAAAATCTGTCTATCTATCTACATATATATATGTACTGTTTGAAAGGAAGTCTTTTTAGATATCTAGCTTGAAGCTTTCTTAACATAACAAAAGAGATGGAACATAAAATGTGATTTACACACAACTCTTCAGAGGCATGCCCTGTGTATAAAGAGGGGGCCACCCATTCTGAATCCAAACATATTCCTGGACAGTGTGAAAGAAAGCCCAGGCCAGCTGCCCACCATCGGGTCTTCTACGTGCTTTTGACTAGAATCCTTTGTTGCTGCCTGACGTGATTGTAATTTTCTGCGATACTCTGCTTGCTGTCTGTCGAACTGAATGGATAATGACATTTTTATTTGGGTTAATGTGATATGAGATGGGGCATGTAATATGAAAAATGTTTTAAAAAGCAATGCAGAGAAAATATTATAAGACAGCCGAGCATAATCTGTATGTTGGCCAATAGCCATCATTTCAGGTTTTCTTCCTTGCATTTTACACAGCAGTTACGGAATATTTACTTTTACATGAGTTGCATACAAACAAAAGCTGTCTTTGATGGGCTTGCATAATCTTTATACAATCCACAAACCCCGCAGTTCTTCTCCTAGATTTTTGAACAAGCAGGCAAACGTGGCATGTGCACACACACACACATGCACAGATGAATACACAATGCTATTCTCACTCAGATCTTACTAAAAGATGCATTCGGTTGTTACATTTCATCTTCTTCATGGGATAATGAGTAATTTTTATTTTTTGTTTTATTCCAAATTTTTCACAATGCACATGTATTACACTTATAATCAGATAAAATATTAATGTTATTAGGTTTAAAAAAAGTGATTTATTGGGAGTTCTTATAGACTGAATGTTTGGGTTGCCTCAAAATTCATACATTGAAGCCCCAACTCCCAGTGTAGCTGTATTTGGAGATAGGGCTTCTAAGGAAGTAATTAAGGTTAAAGTCACAAGGATGGGGCCCTGATCCAATAGGATTGGTGTCCTTATAAGAAGAGACACCAGAGCACTCATGCTTATTCTCTCTCCCTCTCTCTCTCTCTCATGCACAAAGAACAGGTCTTGTGGGCACAGAGCAAGATGGCGGCTACCCACAAACCAGAAAGAGAGGCCTCCCTGGAAACCAACAACGCTGGCACCCAGCCTCCAAAACTGTGAGAAAATACATGTCTGGGCCTGGCACAGTGGCTCACTCCTGTAATCTCAGCACTTTGGGAGGCCAAGGCAGGTGGATCACTTGATGTCAGGAGTTCAAGACTAGCCTGGTCAACATGGTGAAACCCCCTCTCTACTAAAAATACAAAAATTAGCCAGGTGTGGTGGCCCGTGCCAGCAATCCCAGCTACTCGGGAGGCTGAGGCCAGAGAATCACTTGAACTTGGGAGGTGGAGGTTGCAGTGAGCCAAGATCACGCCACTGCACTCCAGCCTGGGTGACAGAGCAAGACTCCATCTCAAAAAAAAAAAAAAGTCTGTTGTTTAAGCCACACACTCAATGGTGTTTGGTTATGACAGCCCAAGCTAAGACCGGGGTTGCAGTGCAGTAGCCAAGCTAGGGGAGAAAGTTTCCCATTTTGTTCCTCTCGCCTCTCACATTGGTTGTCCCTACACAGGTGATGCCGAGTGTGAGGCTGAGCAGCTGTCTGGCAACCAGTGGTAACCATTCAGGGGAAATCACCATCCCCACCCTGGGAAGCAAATTCCCCAAGGAAGGAAGGTTCTGCATAACCTGGAGATTCTTATGTAATTAAAGTACCCAGTTTTTTAAAATTTTATTTTATTTTAAGTTTTGGGATACATGTGCAGGACATGCAGGTTTGTTACATAGGTAAATATATGCCATGGTGGTTTGCCGCACCTATCAACCCATCACCTAGGTATTAGGCATTAGCTATTTATCCTGATGCTCTTCCTCCCCCCTCCCCCAACAGGCCTCAGTGTGTGTTGTTCTCCTCCTTATGCGCATGTGTTCTCATTGTTCAGCTCCCACTTGTAAGTGAGAACATGTGGTGTTCGGTTTTCTGTTCCTGTGTTAGTTAGCTGAGGATAATGGCCTCCAGCTCCATCCATGTCCCTGCAAAGGACATAATCTAGTCCCTTTTTATGGCTGCATAGTATTCCATGCCATATATGTACCACATTTTCTTTATCCAGTCTGTCATTGATGGGCACCAGTTTTTTTTTTAATGGATTTTCTACCAACTGTGTCTGTGAAATTTTGAGTCAAGGTGCAGACAGAGGGCAACAGAGTGAATTCTAAAAGGAGGGAGGGCCTGATGAGTGGGCAAAGAGAGTAACGACCAAGAAGGGCTGAGAGCTTCTGCTCAAAGGTCTTCTTCTCCTCTCCTTTTGGGTGACTCACAGAATCTCATCACTGAGTTTCCTTCCTTGAGTGTAAGATTCCGACCTTGTTGGAGAATACTTGCCCCAAGCATAGCAAATACTCAAAGGCACTGCAAATTAGTAGGTTTCCTTCCCCTGGCACTTTATAGCTGTGTGATCTTGGGTACATTGCCTAACCTCACTGAGTCTAGTTCCTCATCTGCAAAAATGAAAATAATACCTCCCTTGAAGAGTCGTGACAAAGATTAGAAACAAAATATGCAAAACACTTGGCACAGAAAGCAGGGAGTGGTGTAAACATGGTAGTTGTCCTCTGGAGGGATCCGTCCTCCCAGGCTGGTTTGGACTACTGGAATCATTCTCTTCTCTTTTCTTGTTCCTCAGGGACAACTCCCCATTGGAGCCATCTGTTCTTGCCTCATCATGTTAACATTGCTTCCTTTCTTTCATCTGTTCTTTCATATTTATCTCCTCAGTCACCTCCTAGTTCAGGTGTTGCTACTTGTCACCTGGAATATGGTTGTCATCTTCCTTCTTGAGAAAAAAGACTATAGCCTAAGCATCTTTGTAGTCTTAGGACTTTGATAGTGCCTGACACCCAGGTGTACTAAAGAAAGTTCTTTGAAAGAGCTTCCTGGCCTCTTTTCTTTTCTTTTGAGACAGGATCTCATTCTGTCACCCAGGCTGGAGTGCAGTGGCATGATTACAGCTCACTGCATCCTTGCCCTCCTGGGCTCAAACCATCCTCCCATTTCAGCCCCTCAAGTATTAATATCTGGGACTACAGACACACACAACCACAGCTGGCTAATTTTTTTAATGTTTTGTAGAAACGGGGTCTCCCTATGTTGCCCAAGTTGGTCTTGAACTCCTGGGTTCAAACGATCCTCCCACCTTGGCCTCTTGAAGTTCTGGGATTACAGGCATGAGCCACCATGCCTGGCCAGATCTTCCAAAAATACTTGTTATTTCAGTAATGCTTTGCTGAAACATTTGTAGATCCCCACTGACTGAAGGACACAGTACAAGATTCTTATCTTCCAAAGTCCATTACGAATTGAATCCTGCTAATAACCGTGTGATGAGGCTTAGAAGCAGATCTTCCCCCAGTCAAGCCTTCAGATGAGACCACAGATCAGGCCAGCCATTTGACTACTACTCCAAGACACCTTGATCCCTCTGGCCTCAGCCCTCAGTCCCTCTGGACTCAGCCTTTGCACTCAGCTAAGCCATGCCAGGATTCCTGACCCACAGAAACAATGAGCTAACAAAAGTTTGTTTTAAGCCACTAAGTTTTGGGGTAATTTTGTTACACAGCAATAGATAACTAATACACTCTCAATATTGCTCTTTTGTGGTAACTATTGCATGTTGTCATGGATTAATGAAGTTTTTGGTATTTGTTATATCAAGAATGAGCATAGCACACCCCATTCTGTTGATTTTCTAGAAATACCTGTGTGATGACTGATTGATCAAATGTTCCTTGAGAGCCTTGACATAGAAGGTACCCAAGAAACATGAACAGATTGAGGCACTGTCTCTTAGCATGAATACAGTGTGGTTTGCTGAAAACTGGCTCTGAAGAAGAAAGCTGAGACTCATGCTGGTCCTATGTGTTACTTTGGACCTGGCATTTGAATCTCTCTGAACGTGGGTCCTCATCCCTAAATGAAGGGCTGATCGCAATGAGCTATAATGTCCCTTTCCACTGACATTTGAAGATTCCAAGGAGGTCACAAAGCATCAGGTTGAGACAGTTGCTTGAAGCCATGGAGAGAGCAGCCAAATTCTTAGCTCAGTGCAGGGAAGTGTCAGATCATTGGTCCATGTGCTTTCAGCAACACATCCCATTCCCAAGAAAGCCTTTTGTCATTTCTTTGACACATCAACTTCAGAATACATAGGGACCTAAAGGGCAGAATCTGGTTATTTTTGTGTTCAAATGAGAATTGGAACCCCAGATATCCTGACTCCTGGCTTGTTGCTTTCCCACAAAACTCAGCCTCCACATTTCCTTTGCTCCTTAGTTTATTCACTTCTAGGTCATTCTGTGCAGATCTTATGTCATAAACTTGAGAAAGAAAAAACCCACCATCTTTAAGCCTTTGGAGTTCCTGAAAGTTTGGACAATGCTGAGTGCTAGGGAAAACATATTTCCTACACAGAGAGAGGGAAGGAGAGGGTCTTTTTTACATAACCCTATCCATCTAAACAGAGATAAGCCCCAAACGTTGATGGTGTGTAGCTTGGGTGACTTGTTGATCCACACACGAAGAGGGACTCAAAAGAGCCACAGTGGACACCGCTGCCTTGATGTCATAACATGGCCCCTGGGAGCCTGCCCATACTTGGGGCTACTACAAAGAGGAGACTCCTCCAGACAATTCACAGTTCCCCTCATCTGCACCAGAAAGATTTGCCCCATGGGTCTGGGAAATGGCTGGCTTGGGGGCTAAACAGCTGAAATGAAACCCTTTTTCCTAACACAGAGTTCTGAGCAGGTCACTCCCTCACTTTCAAGTATTTAATAGCTCCTCGAGCTCTAGTGAAGTGTGCACCAAACACTCTCTCGGCACAGAACAGTGAACTGTACGTGCCTCAACCTACTTTTTCAGCTTTCTTTCTCACTAATCCCTTACATGTACTCTGTGTTCCAGCCAATTTGTACTCCCCTATTCCCTGAACATACCCTGTACTTTTCTGTCCAGATGCCTTGATTCCTGCAGCTCATTCCACCTGCAATGCACCTTCTCCCTCTGTCAAAACAGCAAAATCTTCAGAGCTCAATTCCGGTGCTACTCACTGCTTCCTCCCTGCCAAAGTGGCTTCTGATGCTCAAAGCAGGACCCCAGCTCTGTCACCACCTTCCACGATTGGTAATAATGCAGTGATTTATGTACCTTGTTTCTCTTCTACATTATAAACTCCTTAACAACAGGAACTAATTAATAAATATTTGTTGACCTTTATAAATTGAACATTTCATCTGATTTGGCCCTTGGTGGACCTGGGGGCAATATTTTGGGGCTGATGTCAGAGGAGGGTTTTCTGAATAAGTAAGGGTCAGCTGCTGGGGGTGGGGGAAGGTATTTAAACGTATTTCTGGGTTTTTTTTTAAAATGAAAAAATTAATGCCTTAAAGTGCTCTAAACTGGTGACCAACAAATGAAAAATTAATTTCCACTAATGAAACTTATCACTTCCTTCTTCCACTACACCATCGCTAAAAGCCACCCAGATATTAAAAACATCCACGACTCCTTTTTATGCAAAATTTCCTGCTGCTAAGTATCAGCTCTAGCCATCTAGGTGAATAATCAAGTGTCATTTCTAATAAGTCAGTGGCTCCTGTCAAGACTTGTGACCAATTAGAAGTCACCCCAATGAGGAGGTGGCTGCTGGCGTTGCCAAGCAACAGCCAAGCTGTGAGGCACATTTAGATGCTCTTTTAGATTTAACCAGCGGCAAGTCAGAGTGACATTATAATTCTGGCAAAGGAAAGCCAAATTATAACCCAGGCTGGGGTGCCCATGATGAGGAGTGTGTTTTCTTTTAAATGCAAATGCAAAAGGAACATTTAAACCAGAATTTAAACAGTCCATCATGATAGTGATTTTAATTAGTAGATCAGGTGTCGGTGGAACACGACTGTGTCTCAGGATAATGGTCTCTCGCTGCTAGATAAATACCCAGCTATTCCAGAAAATGGGCAACTGGTCAGGCAAGGCCAATGTATTTTTGGACTCTGAAGTATTGATGACTACAGCCACACTTGGTTATAATGACGTTCATTTTTATTGTTCAGGAGGATTAAGAAATAAAAGCAAATATTAAAAATAGACTGCTGGAAATGGATGCCTCCTAGAGAAGGCTGCTTGCTCTAATGTTATTGGGAAGCGTGTTCTGCCTTAGAAGCCCCCATATGTGACCATCTGGAGAGTTTACAGTGAAAATTTAAAGGCCAAACTAAACTGTGATGATGACTGTAATTCTGAAAAGACTTTTGCACTGAAATGCATTTACTCATAAGCGGGCTATATCAACTTAAATTTTTAAAAATTGTAGTCATTCTCGAGTAACATGTCGTCTCCAAGTCAGGAAATGCCTACAGGGAGTAATAACCACATCTGCCTCTGCCTTTAAGATTCATACATTATTGACTGTGCCTTCTTGACGGGGAACATCTGGATGAAAAGTGAAAAATTAGGCAGAGAGCCGGATCAGTGCTGTGCGAGATACCAGCCTCCCATTTTATCTGACTTTTCTTTAACTGAGTCCCTATGCATAGCAACATGATTGGTTCATTTACTCTTGAGTGACACATATATCCTTAGGCACTCATCTATGAAGATTCATTGTCTCCCATATCTGCTCAATGGGGTACCATCAGCTCTTAGTTATCTGGGTGAATGAAGAAAGCCCATCATTTATATTGGGCTTTGAGAATGGAGAACATACAAGCTGCCATATTGGATTGGATCCATGGTTAATGAGGTTTGAAGCTTAGTCTCTGCTAGAGGCACTCAAAAACTGGGTTCTTCATGGAAGCTACCTGCAAAGGATAATTGCTCAAGAGACTCATTTCTCTCAGTAGCCAACCAGGAAGTTAACAACCCACGTTCTCTCCTTTTGAAAACCTATTTGAGCCCAGAATAAACAAAGTTAAGCAGGTTTCTTTACTGCAGGCCTTTCTCAAGCCTTTCATATGCTCAGGTACATGGTGAATCTTGAAGAATATAGTTTGTAATATTTCACCAAATTATTTGACTATGGGGCCTTTTCGGTCCTCCATATTTCAAATCCTTTTCCCTGGTAGTAATTCATAGCTTGAAATTCATCATCATATAAGTACAGTTTAGATGCCTTTCTCCTAAATGTATTCTTTTATTCTTGCTTACACTGAAGGTTACCTGCCACTTTTGTGCTGACTTATGCAATCTTACAAGAGTCTCAGAAAGTTATTCCTATTGATTTAATATCTTTCAAATCAGAACAGCTTAGAGGAATATACAAATATATAGATTCCACTGTGTTCTCTCTCTTTCAGATGAGTTATAAAATTTAAAAATAAATCTAGTGCTAACCTGGGTCCCCAGGGGATCACATTATTTATACATTTTCCGTCAGAGAAGTACTAATTTAGCCCCAGTTTTATTTCCTGAAATTAAACCTATTTATTCCCTCATCCTTAATAAAGTTTTACACAATCCCAGGGTTACTACTCACTAATAGTCTTTGGTAAAGAATCTAGCAAAAGACTGTGAAAATCTAAATCTACAGTTGTGCTTTTTAAAACGTCAATTCTTCGGGGGATGGAGTGAAAACTCTGGCCAGTTAAGCAGACAAAATCTTCCCTAACAACAGCAACAACAACAAAAAGTCAGTTGTTTTTCCAGGAATGCTCAGCCATCCTTTTCTATAAATCCCAATAACTTGTTTGTCGCTGGCTATGATTCCAATAGTCTCTTTTTCCTGACTTGGAGATGCATGAATCACATTTTCCCTGGTTCTCTGTTGCTCTATATTATCCCTGGTATGACATAGGCCAAAAAAAAAAAACAATTTTAATTTAAATACAAATATGGCTTCATGATATGATGCTCATTTTAAAGCCATTTTCAAGCATTGTTGACTGAGGCAACCTAATATCCGCATAAACGAAGACAACGCCATCCAAAGCTTTTGAATATTGACCATACTTAAAGACACAGGTAGAGAGGGACTTAGGCTGCCAAGGTTCTAAAGGAGAAAGCCTCAGAATTCCAAGGGGAAACAAACTTTTATTTCAAGAATAAACTCTGATGTTTGATAACAAAAGTCCAAAGACTACTTACAAATTCAGAAAGGACTAGAGATGCTGGTATTTCAAAGCTATTTCCAGGAAAACTGACTCAGATACCCACAGCCGAGTATCTGTGGCTCAGAGTCTCTGAGCTATCTCCTAACACTGTGGCTCATTTCCCTCTTTGTGTCTGTGACTTTTTGTATGTGTATACGTATATGTGTATATATATTGGTGACTCTCTAAAGGAAAAGCCAGTTTGCTGTATCCTCTTATTTAATTTTTTCTTGATAGAATTATTTCCCTTTCATTTTTTTAGCTTAGTTTCATCATGTATCCTTAGGCAGAATAGGTAGAAAGCTTCTCGGTTCTTTGATTCTTCATACATCCATTCATTAATTGTTCCTGAATGTCTATTATGTACCTAGTGTGTGCAGTTAACCATAAAGAAAATAAGAAAAAAGCAAAAAGACTTTGTCCTCCTGAAGCATCCATCTAGCAGAAGGGGACATACAATAAACAGGTAAACAAAATGGAATGTTAGCTGGTGATAGTTCCACAGAGAAAAATAAAGCAGTGGAGGGTGGGGGTTCAGGGGCCAGGTCCTTCGAGCCTGGAGATGTAGTCGGTCTGAGGTGGTCAGAGAGGGGACCAACAGGAACACTCACTGTGCCGGGGCTTTCCACGCTGGCTCTCAGCAGAATCTTTCCAGGGAACTCGTGACATGCGAATTCTCAGTTACCCTTAGAAATTCTGACTATATAGATCTTGAGGTGGCTGAAATTATGTATTTTTAACAAGGGTCCTAGGTGATTCTCATGCAGCCCTTGGTCCCACAAGGTTTGAGAACCAGTGACTTAGAGAACAAAGGCAGCTGGGAGATTAAAGTTTGAGGAAGCATCCAGAAACCAGGAGGTTTTGGGGAGGAATATAGGACACTTCTCATTTTGTCCCCTCCACCCATCTTCCACAGCCCAGAAGCAGCCCCCCTGTCATTTCCTGCATCCTGTCTACACCATGGCTTAGAGCCTCAAACCCTCTGCTCTTCATATGCAAAGGGGAGCTGCTTTTGGAATTAGGAAAACTCTTTCCTCTCCTAATAAAGCTTGCTAACGTACAGTTCAAAATCAAGCAACTACTTCCTTGTTCTGGATGGCACCTACTGTCTTCCTCAGAGGCACCTTCAGGAGCACCCACTGGTGCCATTGATTCCGCGGGTGCGGGAAAATTACAGGGAACACGATCTATGGAGCATGAAACAGACATACATTGGTTTCACGTTTCAGAAATATTATCTTTGCTGTGCACTTTTTCGTCCTCGTGTTTCTTTCCATGTGAGCAGCATTTAACACCTCTGGCTGCTCCTTCCTCTTTGAAATGCTTTCCCCTTCCACATTCTGCTGGTTTCCATTTCAGGCTGTTCTTCCTGAGTCTTCTTTATAGGTTTCTCCTCCGCTCCTCCCTTAAATATGGTTCTCCCCAGAACCATATCTAACACATATGCTACACGTCTCTGTGTTTTGAAGACCATCTTTCTTCCCCCTCCCACCTGAGTGCCATCTGCACAGCCAACTTCTTCTTGAAGGGTCTCCTTAGGGGCCTTCCAGTAAACTTCAACTCGCCAGGTCTAAAATCCCCAGAGGTGGGGAAAAAGTTAACTTCTCCTGCCTCTGGGATGGAATCCTTTCAAACGCAAACCCAAGAACCTAAATTGAACTATATGGAGTAGAAAAAAATGCCTTTCAAGGGAATTTCAAGGTTATTGATAGTGTATGGTAAATAATGGGCTCTATGAAATCTCTCTCTACCTCTTGGCTTTTTTTTTTTTTTTTTTTTTTTTGAGATGGAGTCTGGAGTCTTACTCTGTCACCAAGGCTAGAGTGCAGTGGTATGATCTTGGCTTACTGCAACCTCTGCCTCCTGGATTCAAGCGATTCTCCTGCCTCAGGGTCCTGAGTAGCTGGGGTTACAGGTGCCTGCCACCACACTGGCTACTTTTTGTATTCTTAGTAGAGACAGGGTTTCACCATGTTGATCAAGCTGGTCTTGAACTCCTGACCTCAGGTGATCCACCCGCTTCGGCCTCCCAAAGTGCTGGGATTACAGGCGTGAGCCACCTTGCCTGGCTTCTCTTGGCATCTTAATGCCGTGGACATATTGAGGAACTCTATTTTCTGCAATTAATTCAGGCACTATGCATTTGATTTCTGGACTAGAGGGAGAAGACTGGACTCCAGGAGCACTGGATTTGCTTGGGAAACGACAATGTGTCACTTTCTGGAGTATCCCCTGTAAGGGGTTAAAGGAATCTAGACCATGATAAAATTCCTTATCAAAGAATCATAGCCCAGGACTGCTAAACCTTATTTTCCTTTCCTTGCTTCCTTTTCTTCTTTCTCTTTTCTTCTTTTCTCAGATACTCTTTACCAATTTCTTTTTCACACATGAGGTTCTTTCTACTTCTATAGTGCCATGAAGCCATTGCTTTTGAATACAGACATATACGCTAGTGATGCCAGCCCTAGGCTCACCTACCTCTCCTCTCTTCCCCCGGTCTTCTCTTGGCTGACTCAACCTTTTAGTGGCTGGATGTGATAAAGGGGCACACTCCAGGCAGCTAGTCTACATGGTTTAGAGCAGTGGTTTCTAGCTTTAAGATGCAGGCCCTTCCTTCACATTCTCCTGTGAATCCTCAATAGATAACAGAGATCAATGTGAGCAGGGCTAATTGTTGCAGTGGAAGCAGGTGCCCCTTTCCTCTCATGTCCTTGTGGGGAACTTCTACTGGTGGTGGTTCCCAATACTGGCTTTACGTGACAATCACCTGGGGAGCCTGAAAAAAATATCCTCAAACCCAGGCTGCATCCCAAAGCAAACCAAGCGAATGAGAATTTCTAGGTGTGGGACCCAGGCAGCAACAGTTTTCAAAGCCCCCCAAGTGATCCCGGTGGGCCCCACTGGCCAACCGCTGCATCTAAGTCACTCTCCATCTCCTGCTGTCTACACTGTATCAGACCCAGTCTTGGAGGAAGGAATTGAGCACATGTGGGCCGCGGGCCAGCCCCGATGGCATCTGCCACCCCCCTGCAATTGTCCCATTCTGGGTGAAGTATTAGCATAGCAAGCCCATGTGATCAGATGGGGACTCTATTTTTCAAACAGCTTTACCAGTAAGATAAGAGAAAATTTTATTTCCTTTGCCTAAAACCTCTTTCCATACCTCAGTTGGTTCCAAACTTAGGCAGAAAATAGAGAAGTTTTGCTTCTGACCCTCCCCCACCCCCCAGCTTTCCACCGAGGCCCCATTTGCTACACTTCCCCTTCCTGCATCCTCCAGACAGCCCCTGGCACAGTCCTACGTGGCCTCCGAGCACCACTGGAAAATCACATGGAGGTAGCAAGCAGTCAGGCAGAGAGGTGAAGAGCGCTCCGGAGCTGGATTCTGATTTTGGCTCTGCTGCTTACTAGCTATGAGACTTGGAGCACGCTACTTAATCTCTCCGTGCCTAGTTTCCTCCTCTGTAAAATGGGATGGTAATAATAAGGATGATGGTATTTATCTCGCAGGAATGTGGTGAAGAGGCAGTGTGTTAGTCTAAACAGGCAACCCTTGGTACCTGACTCTGAGCTGTGTGAGTGTGAGCAGGTGCTGCATACAGAGACAGGCTCTGCCCCCAAACACCAACAGCTACCCATGGAAATGCAAATCAAAACCTCATAAAAATGGGGGGATCACTAGCTTCTGAGTGAGTTTAATTGGATATAATGAGGTGTGGAACCCCCTCCTCTTCTGGGGGACTTCAGAAGATTTATAGGAATTCAATCAGGACCATATGGATGAGCATCTTGAGCTTAAGCTAAAAGTAGCTTTCATTTTTATTGAACTGAAGACAGGCTACTCTGGAACATCCAGACAGGGTGGATGGCAGAAGCCCAGGGCACTCAAGCCAAGCTTTGGAAGCTCCCTTGCTCTAGAGATGCCTGTGTACCTGAGACTGGAACTAAAGAAGCCCCTTAGCCCCTTCACATCATAAGGGCTCAAGTTCTCTCTCCCTTGTGGTTGCACAATTCAGAACAGCAAACACCAAAGCCAGACCAGCAATTGAGGGGGCTGTCAGGCTTAGATACAAAACACAGCAGTCAGGATCTGTTGTGTGAGAAATTGGTCTGGAGGCTGTACAAACACCCGGTTTTGGGTGCACAGCTGATAGGAAAGAGTGAGTCACTCAGTAGGGAAAGGAGAGTGTCCAGGGCCTTAGAGAGCTGGTAGCATCCTGTGGAGCCTGCCCTTCCCTTGAACTTGGCCTAGAGGTTAACCTGGGTGTCCCTGCCTGACATGATCGCCCACTCCTCCCCAGTCATTCACTGCAATCACCTCCCTATTTAAGACTTGATTGGTAGGTCACCTTTGTTTCATGCTGTTCTCTAGTTTCTTGCTATGTAAAGTGTGGTTCATTGTCCAGTAACAACGAAATTACCTGGCCGGGTGTTATAAATGCAGATTCTTAGGCCACCCTGGCCCTCTTGAATCAGAGCCTGCTTTGTAGCCAGATCCCTAGGTGATCCATTATGCATGACAGTCCAACAGACACTGTTGCAGTTGTCTCCTGGGGCCCCCAAAGCACCTCAAGCTCTGTCTCTGGACACAGGCGAATGCCCTGTGTACTTGTTGACTCACAGTTCATTTATGGCAAGTGGGGATATGGGAGGCTGGAGAGACGAAAGACGCTCAACACAGAGTCCCGTGCTTTCTGCATAACAGAGAGGTCTGAAGGTCCCAGTGGGAAAGGCATTTTGATGTGTCACCTGGGCAAGTGATGCAACATGAACTGGCTCTCATCACGATTTGGAGAGAAGAAACCTGCTCCGTAAGAGAAGAGAGTTTGCATTTCTCATGTCTTACCTCGTTCAGCTTTTCAGGACTGAAAGCAGACATCAGGGCACCTCTGACCTCTTCCCATCTTTTGTCACGTAAAAACAGAACGCTGTCGGCTACCGACTTGAACTCCAAACCCGACGCCTGTTGGGAAGTAACAAGCAGAGGGTCAGGACTCAGGGAGCCAAAGCCACCTTGGTGGCAATACAGGTCCATGACAAACACCCTGGTTAAAGTCCATCAGTGGCCAACAAGTTAGGAGGTTTCTCTTGCAAGGAGAGAGAGGAAGACTATAAAGGCTTACAGGCAGTGATAGAAAGAATCATGGCGGGGCCCAGAGGGAGCAGATGGGCAAGCTCTGGTGGCTCAGCTGTACCCTGCTGCGATGTGGTCATCATCATAGAGACAACTCAATGGCTTCTGTGTGTTCTGCAGTCCCCCTACTGAGCAGGGGTTCCCTGAAGACAAACAAGGAAGGCTTCCTGGAGATGGCCTAGTCTTTCCTGGGAATTAGTATCATGTCTGAAGTTCATGGCACAGGGTTTTGTGTGACTGGATTGGTTAGGTTGGACCCGAAGTTGACAGAAGACTCACTCGTCTGGACCCTTGTATGGGTGGAGGGAGAGGGAAGGGGGAAAAAGGAAAGGCCTTCAGAAGCGTGTGCTAGGAGAACTGCTTCCGGGAGCATGCCTGCCATAATGTTTCTGTGTTCTATTGGTCATTCATTTTTTTCTCAGTCAGCAAACAGTGGTTGATAGCCTAATACTGTGTTATGGGATGAATTCGGCCCCCCACCCCAAACTTCATATGTTTAAATCCTGACCCCAAGAACCTCGGAATGTGACTGTGCAGTCAGCCTTCTATATCTGGGCGTTCTGCATCTGTGGATTCAACCAATTCTGAATCAAAAATATTCAGAAAAAATTCCACCAAGTTCCAAAAAGCAAAACTTGAATTTGCTCTGTCCAGAGAACTACATTGAATCCATGTACATAAAGTGATGTGTAGGCATTGTATGAGGTATTATAAGTAATCCAGAGCTGATTTAAAGCATACAGAAGGATGTACATAGGTTATATGCAAATACTATGCCATTTTATGTCAGAAACTTAAGCATCCACAAATTTTGGTGTCCTGAGCAAGGGTGGGTCCCGGAACCTATCCCACGAGCTACTGAGGGATGGCTGTATTTGGAGATAAGGTCTTTGAAGAGGTAATTAAGGCTGAGAGTGGTGGCTCACGCCTATAATCCCAGCACGCTGGGAGGCCAAGGTGGGTGGATCACCTGAGGTCAGGAGTTCGAGACCAGCCTGGTCAACATGGCGAAATGCCCTCTCTACTAAAAATACAAAAATTAGCTAGGTGTGGTAGTGGGTGCCTGTAATCCCAGCTACTTGGGAGGCTGAGGCAGGGAGAATTGCTCAAACCCAGGAGGCGGAGGTTGCAGTGAGCTGAGATTGCGCCACTGCACTCCAGCCTAGGCAACAGAGCAAGACTCCGTCTCAAAAAAAGAGGTAATTAAGGTAAAATAAGGTCATTAGGGTGGGCCCTAATCCAACATGACTGGTGTGCTTATTAGAAGAGGAGATTGGGACACAGACACACACAAAGGGAAGACCATGTGAGGATATAGGGAGAAGACAGCCATGCACAAGCCAAAGAGAGAGGCTTCCGGAGAAACCAACACTGCTGACACCTTGACTTCAGGCTTCTGATCTCCAGCACTGTGGGAAAAGCAATTTCTATTGTTTAAACCCCCAGCCTATGGTTGGTTGGTATAGTAGCCTAGCAAACTAATACGGGGTTCAAGAAGTTGTCTATACCATGTTGAATGAAAAAGACTTTGCGGCCAGGCATGGTGGCTCACGCCTGTAATCTCAGCACTTTGGGAGGCTGAGGCGGGTGGATCACCTGAGGTCAGGAGTTTGAGACCAGCCTGGCCAACATGGTGAAACTCCGTCTCTACTAAAATACAAAAATTAGCCAGGCGTGGTGGCAGGCACCTGTAATCCCAGCTACTTGAGAGGTTGAGGCAGAAGAATCACTTGAACCTGGGAGACGGAGGTTGCAGTGAGCCGAGATCACACAACTGCACTCCAGCCTGGGGGACAAGAATGAAACTTCATCTCAAAAAAAACAAAAGAAAAAAAAAAGACTTTGCATTGGCCCTCATGGAGTTGGCAGTCTAGAGGGGAAGCAGAGAGTAAGCTCATAAGCTAACAACTAGATGGAAAGTGAATTTTCCTGGAGGGAAAGTGTATTTCTTGGAGAAAGTATATTTTCCTGGAAGGAAAATGGGGCAAGGTGGGACATCGGTGGGGGACATATTTGGGAGGCTTCTCCGAGGTGAGGACTTTGGTCTCCTCATCCCTTCTTCTCAGGCCATTCTGTTTCTTTCTAAAACCAGCTGTCCCACTAAGTGGTCAAAACTGGAGCCCCCACCATTGGTCAGAGTGTCCCCAGCCTGCAGGTTGCGGGGTGTGGGGAGACAGGCGGTTGGGGGACCAAGCAGTCTCAGAACCACATGTGATGCATGGTGATGCTATTTCATTTCACTGTTTTAATTATAGCTGAAACATGAAGCCAGTCATCAGAATTCAAAAGCCTTGTAAAAACTCCTATTTAGAGGAAAATTATAATTTTCTGATAAAATATGAACACTCAAAATAAGCCATAAAACGTAACTGCAAAGTATCTAGAGAGGAGTTAATTATATATTAGAACCAAGATGCTGGGATATTTTTTTCTGCAGAGGAATACCTCTCTATATTTAGAAAGAAATTCTTTGGGAGCGCCATGGCCACTCAACAGAATTATGGCTTTATGGAATTTGGGGAACATAATCCATTTGTTTAGGTTCCAGAGTTGAAGGAGGAAATCATATATTATGTGTATTTATGTAGTGGCAAGATGCAGTCCTGTGGCACACTACATGGAATAAAGCACTTACCTCCAAGGAAAGTGCGGTGATGTTTTCTGGTTCTGATGAGACAGAATAAATTAGAGATAAGAGTGAAGGCTGATTGGATCTCGTACCTATCCTTAAGACTTAAGGGTGAATTTACACTATTTTTTGTCTTGCACCTGAAAGACAAATGTAGTCCTCCTTGCAATATGTCAGCATGGCCTTCACATATCTTTCTCACCAGCATGCCATGACACTGTGCTCACTTGGGCCTGGAAATTCCATTAGAATCTCCCATTTTTTGATGAAATCATTTGGGGCTATTGATTATTGTAATGTTTTTATTTCTGAAAACATTTTATTTATTTTTTTTGAAACAGGGTCTTGCTCTGTCACCCAGGCGGTAGTGCATTGGTGTGATCGTGGCTCACTGGAACCCCAAACTTCTGGACTCAAGCGATCCTACCCTCTCAGTCTCCTGAGTAGCTGGGACTAGAGGTACATGCCACCATGTCAGCTAATTTTGAAGTTTTTTTGTAGAGATGGTGTCTCACTATGTTGACCAGGCTGGTCTTGAACTCCTAGCCTCAAGAGATCCTCCCACCTTGGTCTCCCAAAGTGCTGGGATTACAGGCATGAGCCACTGTGCCTGGCCTCTTTTTGTTTATAGATGTCCCACAATAAGAGGAAATTGATGATTTCAAAAGAGCAGTCAGATGGTAAGGGGACATTGAATCATGTCATTTAAGAAATAGTTGTCAGATTTGGAATTTTTAACTGGAAAAGAGAAGATTTGGAAGATCAGACAGTGGTACTTAGGCATATGCCTAATAAATATTTATTGAATACATACTGCATGGGAGAGGGAATTTAGGTTTTGTTTTTTTTTTTGTGACCCTGAGAAGTGGAATTGGGTTTAATAGAGGAAGCTATGGAGAAAATTTCAGCTCATCTGAAGGAGAACTATCCCAATAGTCAACAGACAAAATTATTCAGATAAGATAACCTGCCTTGAGCGATGAGCTCCACACCCCTGGAGACTGTTCCACTTCTTAGAAATCCTGTACCCAAGGCTTGAGCATGCAGAGGGGTTTGGTCTAAAAGCCTTCCAAGGACTCTTTCAACCCTGAGACTTCATGTCTGGAAAGCCACTCCAGACACTCTTTTTTCTATTAGTTTGCCTACACATTGATTTAAAAAATTGTGGCAAAATACATGTAACATAAAATCCACCATCTTAACCTTTTTTTTTTTTTTTTTTTTGAGATGGAGTCTCGCTCTGTTGCCCAGGCTGGAGTGCAATGGTGCGATCTTGGATCACTGCAAGCTCCGCCTCCTGGGTTCACTCCATTCTCCTGTCTCAGCCTCCCAAGTAGCTGGGACTACAGGTGCCCCATCTTAATAATTTTTAAGAGTACAGTTTGGTGGTATTAAGTACACTCACATGGTTGTGCTACTATCACCAGCATTCCTCCACAGAACTTTTCGCATCTTACAAAAGTGAAACTCTGTGCCTATTAAACAATAGCTTCCATGACCCCTCCACACCTCCTGCTTGTCCACATATATTCATTGATGAGACTTACTGAGAGATGCCTTGAAAGAGACAAAGGATTTTCCCCAAAGGAATGAGTGATATGGTTTGGTTGTGTCCCCACCCACATCTCATCTTGAATTGTAGCTCCCACAATTCCCACGTGTGGTGGGAGGGACCTGGTGGGAGGAAATTGAATCGTGGGGTCACGTCTTTCCTATGTTGTTCTCGTGGTAGTGAATAAGTCTTACAAGATCTGATGGTTTTATAAAGGGGAGTTTCCCTGCACAGGTCCTCTTCTCTTGTCTGCTGCCATGTGAGGCGTGCCTTTCACCTTCTGCCATGTTTGGTAGGCCTCCCCAGCCACGTGGAACTGTGAGTCCATTACCCCTTTCTTTTGTAAATTGCCAGTCTCAGGTATGTCTTTATCAGCAGTGTGAAAATGGACTAATTCAATGAGTAACGAGACTGGTAAGTGTGATGGGAGCCAGACTGTGTATGTCATGCAGGAAGGGGACTCTGCAGAAAGGAGGTCCAGGGACACAGCTTTCGAGGCTCCTGTCTGTCAGCCTAGCTGTGTCCCAAGCCTCCAATCACTCTCTGGTCAAGGGCTTCCAGACTGCAAGCCATGATCAGTCATGAAATCAATGTCATGAGTGGCAACCAGCATTTAAAAAAAGGAGAGAAAGAGACAAGAGATAGACAAGATTAGGAAACACAGAGGAGCATTTAACGTCAGGGAAAGTATTCTGTGGTTATTGAACTTGTTCAAGATATGTGTGTGTGTGTATGCATGTGTGTGTATGTGTGTATGTACATGTATGCGTGTGTATGTGTGTATGTGTGTGTGTGTATTCTGTATCAAAATGTGAATGTGTTTCTTACTGTAGATCATAGTCAAAAAAGCTTGAAAAACCAAAACTAACCCAAACCCCAAACCTAGGAGTTGTTCTCTCTCTCTCAACTACAATCCTGTCAGTCACAATTATTAAATCTCTCTTTGGCCAACTCTTTCCATCCCCACAGCTGCCACCCTGGCTGAGGTCACCATTATCTCAGCCCCTAACTGATTTCCCTGCCCGCAGCCTTGTCACACCCATCCGTACTCCACCCTGTAGTCAGTGGGATCTTTCTAAAGACAAATCTAGCCCTATCCTGGTGCAAACTCCCTAACTTGTTTTATGAGGCCTGGTATGTGCTGGCCAGTTCCCCACCCCTTTCTGAACACAAAGCCTGAAGGAGTGCCTTAACTTCCCAATCCCTTATATAGTCTGAAGTCACAGGGCCTTCTGGAAGCTCGGGTTGCATTTGCTACTTTGGGCTTGCCAGGATAATGCAGTGGTTAAGAACATTGCCTCTAGAGTCAGATGCCTGGGTTCAAATATTGGCTCCATGTGACTTTGAGAGCTGACCTCTCTGGTTTGACCTCTCTACAGTTTCTCAATCTGTAAAATGGGGATAATAACGCTACCGACCTCTTAGGATAGTTGTGAGGCTTCACTCACTTCACAAATATTTATTCAGTGCCTGGTATGTGCTAGGCCATGATTTAGGTGCTGAGGATACCTCTGTGAACAAAATGAAGCTCCGTGTCCTCACAGAGCTTGCATTCTAGTGGGAGAAGGTGGACAATAAGCATGAGAAATACACTGGACGGTACAGTGGGATGGGGCGAGGTGTGTTATTAAATTGGTCAGTTGGCACTGGGCTCCTGCATAGGTGAGATTAGTGCAAAGCCTTGAAGGAGCTGGGGGTTTGGTGGGCATGGGAACCATTACAGCAAAGGCATCATGTGCGTGAGGACCCTTAAGGATGTGGCGCGGCTGGAGGGGAGGGATGGAGGCAGGCCAGAGAGGGCATGGGGGCCTGTGTGTGGAGGGCCTCCAGAATCTTGGTAGGATTTGTACTCCACAAGACACAGGTAGTCATAGCAGAGTTTTGAACAGAGACATATCTTGAGCTGACTTCTGTTTTAAAGAATCTCGCTGTTTGGTGTTGAGAATCAACTGTGAGGAGCCAGAGTGGAGGCAGGGAGCGCCGTCAGGAGGAAGCACAGTGGCCAGGAGAGAGCGGGGGTGGAGGCTCAGGCCAGGGAGCTGGACACAGATACCGGGAGAAATGATCAGCCTGGCATGCTTTGAAGGTAGAGCCAACAGGATTTCCTGATGGATTGGATATGAGGTGGGAGAGAGAAAGACAGGAGTCAAGGATGACTCCAAGGGTTTTGGACTGAGCAGTCGGAATGATGAATGCAGTTAATACATTTATAGCTGTTAGATATGAGTTCTAAATTTCTTTTCAAAGAATCAATATGTCAGTATGTTCAATTTTTTGCCTTCTACTTTTAAACTTAACTTCCTCATAAAGCAACCTTTTTCGATTACCTGCTCCACCCTGACTCATTCCAATCACCTGCTCCACCCTGACTCATTCCTATTACATGCTCTGTCATAGCCATTTTTCCCACGAAACCACCCACTCCATCACTAAATTAGCCATCACTCCATCACATAAATTAGCCAATCGGAATTAGTTTAGCCTGTGTGGTCTAACCCCAGCCAATAGGGGAACGACAGAACAGCAGGGGCCACGTGCGTCAGGGATAAGAACCCCTTCCCCTCCCTTGTCCAAGTGTGCGCTCACCATTGCTCCATCTGTAAGGGCGCACCCTTCTATAGAAGTAACTTGCCTTGCTGAGAATTAAAAAGAAAATTTTATATTTGAGTGCTATTTCTTTTGCGGCACCAAAACTTTATTTATGACACAGCTTTCAGGACAGTCCTTGGCACATAGTGTTGAGATGATGTCGCATTATTCCGTTAGACCCTTGACCATGTCATCTCTCTAGGGTGTGGTCCTTCTCGTGAGCTGTTTTTCTCTTTCTCTGAAACTCTAGATCCCTCTCCAACCCCCTTTCTCCTTTGCCTGCTAACTCTTATTCACTTTCATGAACACAGTTTAGAGAACATCTCCTAAGGGAAGCCCTGTTGACTGGACTTCACCCCAAGGGCTTTGTGCAGATAACAGCTTACTCCCATTTAAAAAAGATTTTTTAAAAAAGTGATCCTTAGGAACAAGTTCACTGAGAAGTAATGTTTACTCATTCTTTTCTTTCCCCCACATAGGGACAGATCTATAGATGTGGGAAACAAAACATTTTGTGATTTCCAAGGACATTCTTATGGGGAAAGAGGAGAAGCAACGGGTTGGTGGTTTCATGGCTGTCAGAACACCAAAGACAAATAAAACTCTATTAATCTGGAATCAAATAGAGACCCACAGATTTCTACACTTATCCCAGTCGAATCGAACATTTTATTTGTTATTTTCATAATGAACTACTGATTTGCAGAAATCACAGCTGAGAATAGTTAATGTGCACAGAGTCACGATTTAACATTAATCTGGATCATCTCATGAGCCAGCATAAACTGAGCCCCAAACCAGATAAAGACTTACAAGAAAGAAAAATTATAAGCCAATGTCACTCGTGAACATAGACACAAAAGTCGTAAACAAAATATTAGGTAATATAGCTCAGTGATAAATTACAAGAATAATTCATTAAGACCAAGTGGGACTTATTCCAAGAATGCAACTTTGAAAATCAATGTAACTTGTTGCATTAACAGAATAAAACAGAAAAACATATACAATCTCAAGAGATGCAGAAGAAAATTGATAAAAACTGACACCCATTCATAATAACAACTTTCAGTGAACTATCAATATAAGGAGACTTCCTTCACCTAAAAATGACATTTACAAAAACACCTGCAGTTAACATTATATTAAACAGTGAAATAGTTAACACTTTCTGAGGCTGGAAACAAGACAACTATGTCCACTATTACACTTCTATTTGACATCATAGAGAGGTCAATAAGGCAAGAAAAATAAATAAAATTTGTAAAAATTGGAATGGAAGAAGTAAAACTCTATTTATTTGTAGATGGCATGATTGTCTAACATAGAAAATTTGAGAAATCTCTATAAATAAACTTCTAGATTCAATATTGAGCTTAAAAATATTGTTGGATACAAATTTAATATACAAAAATTTATTTCTACACATGGGCAACAAACTACTGAAAAATGAAATTTTAAAAATATAACTTACAATAACAGTAAAACTATTAAATACCTACAAAAACATTTGACTAAAGATGTACAAAAGACCTGTAGTCTGGAACTACAAAATATTGCTAAGATAAATTTAAAATACCTAAATATATAGAGGTTCCACATTCATAGTTTGGAAAATTCAACATTGTCATGATGTCAATTCTTCAAAACTTAGCAAGATTATTATAGTACTGTAGTTGTGTTATGTAAACTACTCATATCTTAAGTAGAAAGATGAAAAGATTAACCAATTGAAAATAATAACTACAACAACTTTTCAAGATATAGACAGTACAATAAGATATAAACAAGAAAAAGTTAAAAAGTGGGAAGATTATGTTAAAGCGTAGAGTTTTTATTAGTTTTATTTTTGTTTGTTTATGCAATCAGTGTTAAGTTGTCAGTTTAAAATAATGGTTTACAAGATTATTTGCAAGATATGATAACTTCAAATCTAAAAACATACAATAGATACACAAAAGTGTGTCTATTTTCATGCCTGTAATCCCAGGACTTTGGCTGAGGCAGGCAGAGCACTTGAGGCCAGGAGTTTGAGACCAGCCTGGCTAACATGGTGAAATCCTGTCTGTACGGAAAAAAAAAAAAAAAATAGCCGGGCGTGGTGGTGCACGCCTGTAATCCCAGCTACTTGGGTGGTTGAGGCATGAGAATTGCTTGAACCCAAGAGGTGGAGGTTGCAGTGAGCTGAGATCATGCCACTGCACTCCAGTCTGGGTGACAGAGTGAGACTGTCTCAAGAAACAAAAAACAAACAAACAAAAAACAAAAAAAAGAAACCCTAGAAATCAATAAGAAGAGGAATTTTGGAAACTATACAATTTCCAATTGTTTAATTGGAAATTAAACAATGCTCCTGAATGACCATTGTGCCAATGAAGAGATTAAGAGGGAAATTGAAAAATTTCTGGAAACAAATTATAATGGAAACACAATGTACCAAAACTAATGGGATATGGCAAAAGCAGTACTAGGAAGAAAATTTATAGTTATAAGTGCCTACAGCAAAAAAGTAGAAAAAATTCAAATAAACAACCTAATGATACATCTTAGAGAACTAAAAAAGCAGGAGCTAAAGCCAAAGTTAGTAGAAAAAAAAAGAATAAAGATCACAGCAGAAATAAATGAAATTGAAATGAAGGAAACAATACAAAAGATCGACAAAATAAAAAGTTGGTTTTTTGAAAAGATAAACAAAATTGACAAACCTTTAGCCAGACTAAGAAAAAAAGAAAGAAGGCTCAAGTAAATAAAATCAGAGATGAAAAAAGAGATGTTATAACTGATACTCAAAGGATCATTAGCAGCTACTATGGGCAACTGTATGCCAATAAATTGGAAAATCTAGAAGAAATAAATTCCTAGACACATACAACCTGTCAAGATTGAATCACTAATCCAAAGCCTGAACAGATCAATAACAAGTAATGAAATCAAAGCCGTAATAAAAAGTCTCCCAGCAAAGAAAAGCCCAGGACACCATGGCTTCACTGCTGAATTTTATCAAACATTTAAAGAAGAATTAATACCAATTCTACTCAAACTATTCCAAAAAAGAGAGGAGAAGGGAATGCTTCCAAAGTCACTCCAGGAGGCCAGCATACCCTAATACCAAAACCAGACAAAGTCACATCAAACAAAACAAAACAAAACAAACAAAAAATCTACAGGCCAATATCCCTGAAGAACACTGATGCAAAAATCGTTAACAAAATACTAGCAAACTGAGTTCAACAATACATTAAAAAGATCAATCATGACCAAGTGGGATTTATCACTGGGATGCAAGCATGGCTCAACATATACAAATCAATCAATGTGATACATCATATCAATGGAATGAAGGACAAAAACCACATAATCATTTCAATTGATGCTAAAAAAGCATTTGATAAAATTCAACGTCCCTTCATAATAAAAATCCTAAAAGGCATAGAAGGAACATCAATCAACATAAAAGCCATTTACAACAGACCCACAGCTAGTATCATACTGAATGGGGAAAAACTGAAAACCTTTCCTCCAAGATCTGGAACATGACAAGGATGCCCACTTTCACCACTGTTATTCAACATAGTACTGGAAGTCCTGGCTAGAGTAATCAGTCAAGAGAATGAAATAAACGTATCCAAATTAGAAAGGAAGAAGTCAAATTATCTTTGTTTGCAGATGATATGATCTTACATTTAGAAAAACCTAAAGACTCCACCGAAAAGCTATTAGATCTCATAAATGAATTCAGTAAAGTTGCAGGGTATAAAGTCAACATACAAAAATCAGTAGCATTTCTATATGCCAACAGTGAACAATCTGAAAAAGAAGCCAAGAAAGCAATCCCATTTACAATAGCCACAAATAAAATGAAATACTTAGGAATTAACTTTACTGAAGAAGTAAAAGATCTCTACAATGAAGACTGTAAAACACTGATACAAGAAATTGAAGATACAAAAAAAATGGAAAGATATTCCATACTCATGAATTGGAAGAATCAATATTGTTAAAATGTCCATATTACCTAAAACAATCTACAGATTCAATGCAATCTCTATGTGACATTCCTCACAGAAATAGAAAAAACAATCCTAAAATATGTATGGAAACACAAAAGACCCAAAATAGCCAAAGCCATCCTGAGCAAAATGAACAAAACTGGAGGAATCACAATCCTTGACTTCTAATTATATGACAGAGCTATAGTAACTAAAATAGCATGGCTCTAGCATAAAACCAGACACATAGACCAATGGAATAGAAGAGAAAACCCACAAACAAATCTATACATCTACAGTGAACTCATTTTCACAAAGGTGCCAAGAAGAAATATTGAGAAAAGGACAGTCTCTTCAATAAATGGTGCTGGAAAAAGTGGATATCCATATGAAGAATGATGAAACTAGACCCCTATCTCTCACCATATACAAAAATTGAATCAAAATGGATTAAAGACTTAAATCTGAGTCCTCAAACTATGAAATTACTAAAAGAAAACACTTGAGAAAATATCTAGGACATTGAACTGGGCAAAGATTTCTTGAGTAATACCCCACAAGCACAGGCAACCAACGCAAAAATGGACGATTGAGATTGCATCAAGTTAAAAAACTTCTGCACAGCAAAGGAAACAATCAGCAAAGTGAAGAGACAAGCCACAGACTGGGAGGAAGTATTTGCAAACTACCCATCTGGCAAGGGAATAATAACCAGAATATGTAAGGAGCTCAAACAACTCTGCAGGAAAAAAACCTAATAATCCTATTAAAAAAACATGCAAAAGATGTGAATCGACAGTTTAAAAAAAAAAGACATACAAATGGCAAACAGGCATATGAAAAGGTACTCAACATCACTGGTCATCAGAGAAATGCAAATCAAAACTACAATGAGATATCATCTCACCCCATTTAAAATGGCTTATATCCAAAAGACAGGCAATAACACAAGCTGCCAAGGATGTGGAGAAAAGGGAACCCACATACACTGTTGGTGCAAATGTAAATTAGGACAATCACTATGGAGAACAGTTTGGAGGCGCCTCAAAAAACTAAAAAAACTAAAAATAGAGCTACCATATGATCCAGTAATCCCACTGCTAGGTATATACCCCAAAGAAAGGAAATCAGTATATCAAAGAGATATCTGCACACCCATGTTTATTGCAGCACTATTCACAAGAGCCAAATTTGGAAGCACCTAAGTGTCCATTAACAGACAACTGCATAAAGAAAACGTGGTACATATATACAATGGGAGTACAATTCAGCCATAAAAAAGAATAAAAGCCTGCCATTTGCAACAACATGGATAGAGCTGGAGGTCATTTTGTTAAACGAAATAAGCCAGGCACAGAAGGACAAAATTGGCATGTTCTCACTTATTTGTAGGAGCTAAAAAGTAAAACAATTGAACTCATGGAGATAGTAGAATGATGGTTACCAGAGGCTGGGAAGAGTAGTGAAAGAGTGTCGAGGGAGGTGGGGATGGTTAATGGGTGGAAAAAAATAGAAAAAGTGAATAAGACCTAGTATTTGGTGACTATAGTCAATAATAATTTAATTGCAGGTTTTAAAATAACCGAAAGATCAGCACCATAAGACAGGGCAAAAAAATAAATGATTATAATTGGATTGTTTGTAACACAAAGAAAGGAAAAATGCTTGAGATGGTGGATTCCCCATTTACCCTGATGTGATTATTATACATTGCATGCATGTATCATGCATGCATGATACATGCATGTATCAAAATATTTCATATACCCCATAAATGTATACACCTACTATATACTCACAAAAATTAAACATTTTAAAAATTGACAAGCTGATTCCTGTAAACAGATATATGGAACCAAAAGAACTAGAATAACCACGAGAATTTATACCGCCATCTCTCTCTGTTTCTCTCTCTTGCGTCTCTCTCTCTCTCTCGGACAGGGTCTCGCTCTGTTGCTCAAGCTGAAGTGCAGTGGCAGAATCATGGCTCACTACAACCTACGCCTCCTGGGCTTAAGCAATTTTCTTACCTCAGCCTTCTGAGTAGCTGGGACTACAGGCATGCGCCACCATGCCTGGCTAATTATATATATATATATTTGTTTAGTAGAGACTGGGTCTTGGTTTGTTACCCAGGCTGGTCTCAAACTCCTGGCCTCAAACAATTCCCCCACCTTGGCCTTCCCAAAATTATAGGCGTTAGCCACCGTGCCTGGCCACACTGCCATCTTTCAAGATCAATGATAAAGCTATGCTATTTAAGAGAGTGTGATATTGGTGCAAGGATAAACAAAAAGACCAATGAAATGGGACAGAGTCCAGAAGTAGACTCACACATATGATCTCTTGATTTATGACAAAGGTGCTATTCAAGGGGGAATGGGTGGTCTTTTCAACAATGGTACTGGGGCAATTGGATATTAATACAGAGAAAAAAAATCAGCTTTGATCCATACTTCACTCTATACACAAAAGTTAACTGGAGATAGATCATAGTCCCAATAGTGAGAGGTAGAACCATAATGATTCCAAGAGAATATCTTTGTGACCTTGTATATAAGGCAAGAGTTCTTAAAGAGAATACCAAAAGCAATACCACAAAAGAAGATTTTGATAAATTGGACTTTATTATCAAAGGATATTATTAAGAAAATAACACACAAACCATGGACTGGGAGAAGATATTCACAACACATTTATCTGACAAAAGACTCAAGGCAGAACATGCAAAGAAAAACAAGTCAATCAGAAAAAGTCAAACACCTTAAAATAAAAGTGGGGGAGGGGGCAAAGACTCAACAGGCACGTTGTTAAAAAGGAGACTATTCAAATGGCCAGAGAGCATATGAAAAAGTTCTCGGCTGGGCGCGGTGGCTCACGCCTATAATCCCAGCACTTTGGGAGGTGAAGGTGGGCAGATCACCTGAGGTCAGGAATTCGAGACCAACCTGACCAACATGCAGAAACTCCGTCTCTGCTAAAAATACAAAAATTAGCCGGGCATGGTGGCACATGTCCGTAATCCCAGCTTCACGGGAGGCTGAGGCAGGAGAATCGCTTGAACCCAGGAGGCAGAGGTTGTAGTGAGCTGAGATCACACCATTGCACTCCAGCCTGGGCAACAAGAGCAAAACTCCATCTCGGGGAAAAAAAAAAAAAAAGAAAAAGAAAAAGTTCTCAATGACATGGTCACCAGATAAATACAAATTAAAACTGTGGTGAGATACCACTACTACCCAGCCCCTGGAATAGTTACAGTGAAAAATAATGGCAAGATGAAAGTGCTGGCTAAGGCTGGAACAACTAGAACTCCACTTTATGGGAGTATAGATTGGCTCAACCCCTTTGGAAAACTGTTTGGCAGTATGTACAAAAACCCACCATGCACCTACTCTCGTGGGCTAGCGATGCTGCTCCTAGGTGTTCATAAATGCCTGTTGATATAACAACCTAATTCATAATAGCAAAAAACTGGAAACCTATATGTTTATTGACAGAGGAATAGATTGTGGTGTTTCTATACATTGGAATGCTACATAGCAATGAAAAATGCAAACTATGTTCACGATCTTGCTCTGTCCCCAGGCTGCAGTGCAGTGGCACGATCATAGCTCACTATAGCCTCAAATTCCTGGGCTCAAGGCATCCTCTTCCCTCAGTCTCCTGAGTACCTGGGACCACAGGCACACACCACGGGGCCTGGCTAATTTAAAAATTTTTTTTTGTAGAGACAGGGGTCTCACTTTGTTGCCCAGGCCAGTCTCGAACTCCTGGGCTCAAGCAATCTTCCTGCCTCAGCCTCCCAAAGTGCAAAATTACAGGACTGAGCCACCACACCTGGCTATATTAATCTAAATACGTGGTATGGATGACTCTTACAGACATTATGTTGAGCAAAAGATGCCAGAACAAAAGGATACATACTGTAAGTTTACATTTACATGAAGTTCAACAGCAGGAAAAGAGAAATCTATACAAATTGATGTCAGAGGAGTGGTTTCCTCTGGATGGTAGGGATGGGTTGACTGAGAAGAGGCATGAGGGAACCCTCTGGAGTGTTGGAAATGTTTGTGTCTTGATCTGGGTGGTGTCACATAGGGGAATACATAGACAATAATACATTGAGCTTTACACTCAAGGTTTGTGTATGGAAGTGACTTCAATTTAAAAAAATACTAAGGAATAATAAACATTTAATTTCGACAGACTTGAATGCTGGATGAACACTAACAAGACGAAAATCAACAGATGTAACTACAAGGTTTCATATTTAGGTTTAAAATTTGGTTGTTCAGTGCATGTGATGGAAGCAACCTGACCTGCAAAAAGTCGCATTAAAAAGATCTGGGAACCTTCATTGAGCACACGCTTGTCGGGCTGTATTGGGGTATCATCGTCAGGAACAGAGGAGGTCTGTCCTACTGCACTCATGGGAGCAGTGCCTGGTCTCAGGAAGGAGTGTCCTACTGTGATGTGTAATGAAGTTAGACCTCATCAGCCAAACAATGGTTTTCAGACAGTGGTCACATTTTAAGAGAGGTGTTAAGAGCTGACAGGAATCCTTTGGCCCTGTTTTAATTTGGGTTTTTAATCTCAAGCTGGTAACTGGGGTTGCCGCCCTTTGATGACCACACGTTGCGGGTGGATTGCAGTTTCTCTCTCACAGGCTCACGTTAGGCTGCTTGACTTGGGATGATCACACTGCCTTCCTTGGCATCTCTTGCAAGTGTCCTCTGAGACCAGGTTAAAAACTTCCTTTTTTAACATGGATCCCATTAGGATATCAAAGGGTGACATTTGTGGTCATGTCTCCTCCTTCAAAGGGTGGCCCCTTTTAGGGCCTATGGGCCCTTTGTTTCCCATTTCTAAAAGAGGCAGGAAGGAGAAGGTGAGCAGAGAAAGTGAAAAGTCATTAGAGGGGTGACAACAGGTAAGAGAGGAAAGTGTGGTTTAACTTTGCCCCTTCTGCCCCTCTTCAAAGGCTAGATTAGTGCTGGCAGCCAGAGGGGGACAGAAAACCCAGCAGAGGGACCCCTCGTTGTCTTTACTTGCTCTGCTTCAAATAGCCATGCCTTGGGCATTTAGGAAGATGTGGATGAACCCCACACAGAATGTGTCAAGACCACAGTCTCTGACCCTCCCTGGCCATCCCACAGCAGGAGCTGAATGGCTGCTAGCTTCAATGATCTTGAGCTGGGTTTGCTGCACTTTATGTTTAGGGCTGTACAAGCTCTGCTCTGAATGGTGTCTGTGATTATGCTGTGAATAATGATGGAGCAACTACTGTGTGCCAGGTGCTGTACTGGGACTGGAACTATCAAGACAAAGAATGGAGGGTGGGAGTGGGGTGGCCTATATCACCAATACTTGTCCATCTTACAGCAAACACAGTACTTTTCATATTATTTCATCAACTCTTGGGTCATTCTCCAGCAATTAGGAAACACTGCCCTGAGGAGCAGGTTATTGAAGAAAACCAACACCTCGGCATTCCATGGGTGCATGAAGACAGCAGCCACTTACTGAAGGTTTCTCATGCACCAGCCCAGTGATTCTCGACTGGCCTGGTAAAGCCACACAAGAACCACTGGCTCCTTCCAGAGTGTTGCAAATGCATGGAATGCATTTCTGCTGTAACCGGGTTCATGTATTATCGGGAGAAAGGGATGAAAGGCATGATAGAATATGAAGCTATAGCCACAAATGTTTTCTTGTGTTCTGGAACATGCAAGAAATGGACTCAAGATCTAGATGATCTCTGGGATGACTTGACAGATGATCAACAGTTCTGAAACAGCCACACAAGGCTGAGAGGCCAGCTGAACAGAGCGAGGTGCTTCTAAGGACTCCAAGAGATAGTGTTATACCTCAGTGGTTGTAATGTGAGTACAGAGAGCCAACTTGTTTATGCCAACTAGTCTGCAAAAATATTAATATCAAAAAGAGGACCACGGTCACAAAGACTAGGTACCACTGTTACAAACGTTGTTTCTAATTCTCACACAACCAGGCACAGATGAGGACAGCCATCGTGCAACTTGTCCCCTTCCCACCTGGAGACGTGAAAGACCTGGCACTGTCCCCTCATTATATTATAATCAACTGAGACTCAAGAATTCTGTCACTTGTATAACCCCAAATTCTATACTTGAGGCCATTGTCAATTTATATCTATTGCTATCTGGCTGTACAAAGATTTGAACCAAATAGGGCTTATATTTTGGTGGTTTGAAATAGTAAAGGTGTCCCTTTTACTAAAAATAGAGTATAAAAAAATTAAAATGTAAAAAAAAAATACCAAAAATGAAAACAGTAGTGGTCTTACTCTTCTACATGTCAGTTTTCATTCATTCCCTCTGCTGGTAGAAGGTGGCCATAGATTTGACATCATCTTCGCTCTCTCTGTGGGAGAGTGTGACTGGCCTGAGAGAATGGCCTCCGGGTGAGGTTGTGAGATGTGTCCACAGCTCGAGGGGTCAGCTCAGGGGCATGTGGTGGCTAAAAACAAATTTGGGCTCTATCTGCCTAGTCAGCTTCAGCTGCTGGAAAGGGGCCTCTTCTAATTATGGCAGTCCTGCCTGACGGAGTTCCAGCATTTTATCCACTGGGGAGGAGGAGGAAGCCAGGCGCTTGGAACTGTGCTTCTATCAGCCCCAAAGCTGACAGTGAGGGCCCCTCCTGAGCGGGGAAGGGAATCTGGGGGCTTGTTAACTCTTATCTTTGCAGGAAACTCTCCAACAGATCTCAGCAGAGTTTCTGGCCAGAAGCAGTGTTCAAGAAGGACAAGGGTGTTCCTGATATTGCACTTGACATGCTTGGCTGCGAGAATAAATTTTCCTGAGGGGGCCTAAGAGGGGCTTGTTCCTTGTACCTGAAGCTCCAAGTGGCTCTATGGGACGCTGGTGGGACTCCGTGGCTCCCTGTGGCTGCCAACGGTCACGTGAACTGGGCACCAAACAGACCTTAGGGATTAGCTAGTCTAATGTATTTTACACAGGAGGAAATTGAGAATCAGGAGGTTAAAGGATTGTCTGAAGGCCACACAACTAATAAGAGGTAGCAAATCTGGAATCTGATTTCATTTCTTTAAACTAAAATCAAAGACATTTCACCATACTACTGAGCTATGGCTTAGAAGAGGGAAAATGGGAAGAAGAAAGGGAATGTCATAAGAAGGAGATTGGGGCGGAGAAAGACAGGGAGGATCAGGACTTAGTCACTTGATTTCCATGGAATGTTCTGGAATATATCCATTGAGAGATAAGAATTGATTTTATGGTTTATTTCTCTATTCTCATGCCTAAATTGTAGATATTAATCTCCTGGTTTACACACTTATTTCTACTTCTGCCACGACAAAAGTTAGGGAAATATGGCATAAATATCAGAGCAAGCTTTTACTAATTTCTTTTTGTTAAAAAAATATATAAAGATAGCTTCCTGCTGAACCAAGAGTCTAGTAAGACACAAAAATATGAAATCATTTTCAACAAGGTCTTGAAATTTTAGAAAAATCTCTGCAAGGCAGAGAGAAGTACATTTGAGCATTGAGAATCAACACCACTTAACACTATTCCTGTGTTCCCAAGGCATCACAAGACACTCAGTACTTTTAAAGATGTTAGAATTAAAACTTAGCTACCATGTTGGAAACGAAGCTCAGTGTGTTGTACTGATTAAATGTAATGCCATGGATCTGGCTTTTCTAGGACTTAGCCATGTCCAGACATTAGAAAAGCAGGTGAAATGGGAGACCTGCAGGGGACAGGCATCCCATTGCGACTGTCACCTGGGAATTCCAATGGGGCAGCCCATCCTGCAACAGGAAGCTTCCAGTTCAGATTGGAGGGTTTCCTATGCACAGCAAAGACCTTTCGCCATACCACTGGGCTATGGCTTAGAAGAGGGGGAAATTAAAAGAAGAAAGTGGGTGTTATAAGAAGAAGATTGCGGCAGAGAAGGAGACGGAGGTCACATAAAACAAAGAGGCCTCAAAATAGAGACGGGGGCAGGCAAATGAGGTTGCACACCTGTGTTTCTGGTTTCACTGCCCTCTGTAGTCTGTTTGTGCTTTCAGGAAGAACTTCTCCCTTGCTCAGAGCTGTAGACCCGTAATGTGAGTTGACCTTTCTCAAGAAATGCACAGCTAAAAAAAGTTGGCAAGGTTTGACTGAAGCCATGAGAGCTTCCCTAGGTCATGCATGGCAACCACTCTCACAAGTAAAATCTTGATGCACATGTTTGAACATCTGAGTGTCTTCATTTACTCAATGTTTGATTTAAGAGAAAGAGAACCAGGAACTCCAGGTGAACAGTTTTCAAAAACTGTCAGTGGTTACAGGTGTAGGAATGAGTTCAAGGGGGGCGGTTTTATGGCAAGTCTGCCAAGGGCCCCTCTCTCCTCAATGGATGCCAGCAGGCGGGTCCCTGTGGCCCCCGCACAAGGGCGTCTGACTCACCTGTAGCCCTGAATTGAGCTTTCCTTGCCAATTAGCTCTGCAATGAGCCAACATACTCTTTTCTTCCTTCGATAGGAGGCTGCTGCAGATACAGAGGACAGGAAGGTTTCCAGTGACTAATTTGCCTATAACTTTAGTCATCTTCACCAATGCCAAGGAGTTTGTGGTTTCACAGTGACTCATCCTGCAATGTTCACAGCTGTGTGGAGAGCGAGTGAAGCAGCCCCTGAGAGGCTGAACCTGGGGCAGCCAGGGTGCCGGGTATTGATGGTTCGGGATAAAACCACCCACCACGTCCATCACATGGCTTTGGACGTGACTCTTGTGTGTCAGTGGTGTGGCTCGACCTGTGCCTGGAGAGGTGACCTCTGTGTTGCTCATGAGGACCTGAGAGATGGCACTCCATACTGCCACTCCAGACCAGAACCCACATCTCCAAAGCACTAGGCTTAGTGTTTTGACACATCCCTGACATGCCTATCTGACCAGACCAAGCTAACATGGGCCAAAGACTGGCTTACCTCTTATCACCCTTCCCACAGCTCCCTAACTCTAGGCCTTGATAGGAGGCCAAGAACAAGAAGTTCTGCCTCTGGTTGTGACCATTTCTGCTGAGTCATGTGGACTCAGCTCCATTTTCCACAGATATTTAAAAAAGAGCTGCCCTATGGTTTCATTAGGTACCGTACCTGACAGCAAAGAAGAGCTCATTGAAAATATCTAAATAGAAACATCCGAGTCCTGATGTACCAGGACGACTGAGCTTCTATAAGTGCCAAGAAGATTGATTTGGGTTTAATGATAAGCTGTGGTTGCACCATCATGGAGCAGTTTCAGGAAGCACTGAGGACATTGATAGAGACCTACAAGGTCCACGTGGAAAATGAGCAAGATGAAGCAGAGACATTGCACAGACTCCAGAGGCCCAAAAACTGTGAATGGGAAAGCATGACATTAAGAACTGCCGCTCCGGATCCAACCCACAGTCTGCTCCAGCCAGTGTTCTGGAGTTTGGAAAAGAATATTTCACAGGATGATATTTGAATTCACACATTTGTTCAATGTTGTTGTATGTCAGGGAGCTCCCTGTTGCATCACCCCCACCTCCAGTGAATATGCTCTATGGATCCCTCATGGGATGCTTACGGCTCATGTCAAATTTCAGAGCTAAATCCAGCTTCCCAAATCAGGGCCCTTCTCCACCAGGCTGTCCAGGGACAAAACTCAACGTAACTCAAGCCTGAATTTGTGAGCAGACATGGGCTCTCCCTGTTGGAGAATGAGAGCATGCATTATTTAAATTCCTTTTCACTTAATTTATCAAACTAATATGCCGAGGTATTTTCTGTATCACAAGGGACCGTTTGGTAGCAGCCTGCATGGAGTAAGCATTTAATGTTTACCGAGTGAATGTATAATAAAGCTGAATTGCTGAACGCTTAAGTAAACATGGCCTATTAGAGGGAAGGCAACGTGGTGTCAGTAAGGAGAAATCACGTCTCACTAATCTCCTTGAGTTCTTTGAGCAGATAAATAAGCATATGGATAAGAGGGAACCACAGAACCCAATTTAATTTGACTTTCAAAAACCTGTGAGAAAATCCCACTTTAAAGACTGTTTTTTAAAAAATTGAGTCACTAAGGGTTGTTTTACCATCGATATGGAATTGGCTTAAAGACCATAAACAAAGCTACACATAAGTGGATGCATTCCCAGATGGAAAACTATAAACACTGGGATTTCCTGGAGATCTTATCTATGATGGGTCTTTTTACGTGTTTGTGAATGACCGAGACGAAGAAGACTATATTGCAACTCCAGGTTCAAGTAATACCTCATTCTTCTGGGAGGAATGTCAAGTTGATGGAAATTCCATTCAGTTGGAACAAGAATATATTGGATGCTGAAGAGTCAATATGTGTTTATGTCATGGGGTTTAAAAAAAATACAAGATACAGTTCTTGGCCTTAAAGAGCTAATAATCAAGCTAGAGTGAAAGCCATATCCTCCTTCACTGTAAATACTGGAAGGCACAAGGGGATCAACTGTGACAACGAGTGACACACATGGTGAGCGCTGCCAGAGTTCAGGGAAGGGGAAAAGTGCATGTGGATGGAGGCAGGGAAGGCTTCCTGGAGGAGGCAGTATCTGAGGAGTGTCTTGAAGAACAGCAAGAGTTTGGATGGGTGTGGAAGAGGTGGAGGGTTTTCTTGTGAGAAGCAGTAATGTGTCACCTGCCAAGTACTGTGTAGAGGGAGAGGTTATATGCATGATCCCATGTGGCTTTATGACAGCCCAGTAAGGTGGATCATATCCCCCAACTCCAGGCCTTGAGAGGAGGCCAAGAATAAGAAGTTCTGCCACTGGTTGTGACCATTTCTGCTGAGTCATGTTGATTCAGCTCCACTTTCCATGGATATTTTTAAAAAGAGCTGCCCCAGCTCTTTTTTAAGTTAAGAAATGTGGCCAGGTACAGTGGCTCAGGGCTATAATCCCAACAATTTGGGAGGCCAAGGTGAGAGGATCACCTGAGGCCAGGAGCTCGAGACTAACCTTGGCGACATAGTAAGACCCCCATCTCTGCCAAATTTTTTTTTTTTAAAATTAGCCAGGCATGGTGGCACACACATGCAGTCCCAGCTACCTAGGAGGCTGAGGTGGGAGGATCACTTGGGCCCAGGAGTTTGAGGCTGCAGTGAGCTCTGATCACACCACTGAACTCCAGCCTGGGTGACAGAGCAAGACCGTGTCTCCAAAAAAAAAAAAAAAAAGATATGTGCTCAAGCTCACGTCATAATCAATATGAGCCCCACTGTTACACTGCCTTCAATTCTGAGGCAGTGTCAGCGTGAGCAAGGCAGAGGTCAGGTCTCTCCAGAGCAGGTGAGGGTGAGCAGGGAGAGGCTGGAGTGACGATTTGTATTGGGGAGCAGTGAGAGACAGGGTGGAGCACACACAATGGATCTAAGACACAAGGGCCCTTAAATATCGTCTAGGGAACTTGAACTTAGTCCTGAAGGCTTAATCCTGTGCTGAGTGGAAGAGGACGAAAATTGGAACTCTACTCTGGAGTTTGGGGCACTGGACCTAGTCTGCGTGGAGGGGTGGGTGAGGGGATGGTGAAAGAAATTAGAAACGGCAGACAAATGGCTTGGAGGATAAATTGATCAAAGCTGAGGGCAATATTATTGTGTCCTCCTTGCTTGGACATGTGCATTGAGTATGTCTGCCCCTAGCAGGCCAAATCATTGACCTCTTCTAGGTCAGCTCTCAGGGTCACATGTCCTGGTATCATGGGAGGAAATATGGAGACACCAGTTGGCAAGTGCCGTCTCATGGCTTAGGGGCTCAGACAGTCTCAAGTGCTATGACAGGCTCCTGGGAGTACCTTTACTGCTTGCCAGGATGTGGCTTGGTGGTCCGTGCACTTTGACTTATTGGCTTCTCCAACTTCTTTAATCAGCACTCCTTGCTGAGGCTGATGGAGCAACAAGCTACAGCTGCATTTAATAATCAGAATCAGTTTCTTGACAGACGGCTTCCAGGGGACTTTGAGCGAGGAGATAGCAATGCAGTGTTTGGGAAAGAGAATCTAGAGGCAGCAGAGAAGCAGTTAAACTTCTGCAATTCCTTCGGCCATCCTGAAGGGATGGAGGTAGCAGGCCAGCCGCCTCCCTCCAGGCCACATCCCTCTAGAGGCCACGTGATGTCTGGAGTTGGGCATGATGCTCTGGGGCTGGAAGAAGATGAGCAAATTTTGGGTGAGTGGCCAATTACTCCACTCAACCTTGACATCCTGAAATGTCACTGAGGCAGCTGTCACAGCTTTGGCAGTAAAAAGAGCTCTAGACTTAAGTTGAGAGATGGCACATGAATCCCTGCTCTTCCTCGTGTTAAGCCATGTTACCAGGGTTGATCATTTAGCCTCTCTGAACCTTAGTTTCTTTGTCTATAAAATAGAGATGATAATTGTACTCATCTCATAAGCTCTTGCGATGACAAGGACACACTCTGGATGGCTCACCTAGTTCGGAACACAGGCAGGGGGACTTTCTCTAATTTCTTTAAGACTCAGCCCCAAGCACCTCACACCCAATAAGCTTTCCTCTGTCTGCATCCTGGTGGCCTGGGCTCCCCACCTCAGGAGCACTCACCACACTGCATTGTGCTGGTCCCTTTCCTTGTCTGCCTCCCTCACTAAACCGAGAGTTCCTCGAGGGACACTGTCTCTTTACAGTCAGCACCTACACAGTGCCTGGCATATGGTAGGTATGAAAAAGTTTGCCACATAATCAACAAAAGAATGAATACGTACTTCCCTAAAAGAATGAAAAGTGAGGTCTAATTGGAACCCCCCAAAAATGGTTGGCAAGGTGATTCTCTGAGTTCTCACAAACATGTTTATTAATTCACTTTAGACTTTTTCCAAGAATCAACGTAAAGGTTACTGGTCTTCTCTGCTAGAATGCCTATCTCCCTATTTTTGGAAAATGGTTAGCACTGATATCTGCCATTTTTTCATTCTTTATTTCTTTTATTTATTTATTTAATTTTTTTGAGACAGCGTCTCTGTCGCCCAGGCTGGAGTGCAGTGGCGCGATCTCAGCTCACTGGAGCCCCTCCCACTCCCAGCCTCCCAGATTCAAGCGTTCAAGCAATTCTCATGTCTCAGCCTCCCAAGTAGCTGGGACTACAGATGTGTGCCACCACACCCGGCTAATTTTTGTAATTTTGTAGGGACAGAGTTTCGCCAAGTTGGCCAGGCTGGTCTCGAACTCCTGAACTCAAGCAATCCACCCTCCTTGGCCTCCCAAAGTGTGGGGACTACAGGTATGAGCCACTGTGCCTGGCCTGATCTCTGCCATTTTCTGTCACCTCGCCCATCCTTTGGGATTTCTCATCAAAGATAAATAGTAGGACATTTACTTTCCAAAAACAAAGGGATATGTACATGCATGTAGGCTGGAGACTTGACCTAATGTAAAGGAGCCCTCTTAAAGTTTCCTTCTCTTACTAGGGGACAAATTTCTCTCCTAATTTTGCTTGACTTCCCTTTCCAGCCTTAATACTCTTATACTTTCTGGGAAAGATGTAAGTGCAAGAACCTCAAAATTTTGCTTTCCAACTAATATTTATTAGCCTAGCTCATTCTCCGTCAGTCACTTGGCCTGTGCCCTCTGGATTCCCCCGGCTTTGAACCCAGCTTTAGAAAACCCTCTTGGTTTTAGCATTTTTAATAGCCTCAGCTTCCCTTGAGCTTTAGCTTTCTTGAAGCATTTCTTAAATGTAAATGTTACTCTTTTGTACCAGTCCCATAGATCTCTTTTGAAAAACCGAGTTCACTGAGGAGCTTAGTTTTGAGTGGAACTGACATAAACCTGATCAGAGGCCTGATTGCATCCCCATTGGATCTGACATGCAGTGTCTCCATCTGAGAACAATTCCCCATCCATCTATATGCGGAAAGAAAACTACGTACCATTCTGTTGGTAAAGTTACTGAAGTTCTCAACCAACACCTGCTTGATCATGTCTGGCTCAGAAATAACAATAAACATCCGACGACCAAGATAGTACCTGGGAGGAATAAAAAATGCATTAAAATGTGTTGCATTACCCATTTCTCCTTTCCAAAAAAGAGTTCACGGTAGCTTAGAATGAGGGATAAAAGATAACTAGGAAGTAAAGGTATGGAGACGATGAGGAAACATATGTTCCAATCATAAGCAACCATATAGCTGTGATGATCTAACATCAAATTTCTTTCCACCAGCACTCATGGAATGCCACCTTGCACCGGTCCCTGGAGACTCTGGGTTGAATAAGATACACTCCCTGCCCAAGGAGCTTATTACAGCCTAATAGGAAAGACAGAGCTATACATGTAAATGTAATAATAAAGGGTTCATAAGATCCAGTAGTAAGACAAAGAAGGAAAATGGCAGAGGTCGGTGTTATCCATATTTCCCCAAAACGGAAAGATAGGAATTCTAGCAAAAGACCAATAACCTTTATACCAATTCTCAGAAAAAGTCTAAAGTGAATTAATAAACAGATGCTTGTGAGGAAAGATTAAACCTGCTTGGGAAGAACTGAATATCTGGTCGCCACACCTATATATAAAGGAGCTCAACAGGTACTTTTTAAAATTTTATTTTTATTTTTGTGATGGAGTCTTGCTCTTTTGTCCAGGCTGTACTGCAGTGGTGCTATCTCAGCTCACTGCAACCTCCCCCTCCCGGGTTCAAGCGATTCTTCTGCCTCAGCCTCCTGAGTAGCTGGGATTACAGGCGCCCATCACCATGCCCAGCTAAGTTTTGTATTTTTAGTAGAGACAGCGTTTCACCTTGTTGGCTGGGCTGGTCTTGAACTCCTGACCTCAAGTGATCCGCCCACCTCGGCCTCCCAAAGTGCTGGGATTACAGGCATGAACCTCTGTGCCCAGCCCTCAACAGATACTTAATGACATTAATGAAAATATGGATGAAAGGCTCAGTCAGTCAGTCAGCTGGTGGCGTGAACTCTAACTGGAGATAGTGCGTAAACACATGTCATATTATACTTACAAAAGTACTGGGGGCACGAAAGCAAATCAAGACCCAGTCACAGTTTCCAAGGGTCTGACTATCTGACAGGAGAGACAATTAGGCAATTAATATACAGCGTGATGTTCTGGCAGGCATGAGTGACCCTGGAGGCACACTCAACTCAATGCTTGGAGAAAAGAGACTGAAGGCTTCCCAGAGGTGGTGCTTCCCAAGCTGAGTTCTGGAAGATGAGCAAAAGTTAGTCCAGGAATAAGGGGTGACAAAGGAGGTGAGGGTCTGCTGGCTGGAGGAATCAGCTAGAGCAGTTGAGCCAGGGACAAGCCTGCTTGGGGGAACCGTGAGTGCCGGACTACCAACTGTGCAAAGCAAGCCAGAGTGATGACAAGCGGCCCACTGTGTAATGACATGTTTTCGGTGTATGAAATTATACTTTCAGGGATGTAATTTGATCGCTGGTGTATCCAGCTCAGAGCAGTAAGGAACAGATTTTAAAGGGGAAAGTCACACTGAAAAGCAGCCAATTTTACTCTAGCACTTATTTACCAAGAACTTTTCATAAACCCAAATGATATTAATTGTTTTAAATTCTTCTCCTTCTCATTAACTATGGAAAACAATAAAAATATTTGTCTGGCACATATTAGGCACTTGGAAAACATTTACCTGAGTCATCGTATTTTCCAAAATTGTCAGGAAAATCTTTGAGAAACAGGAATTCAACAGATGTGGTACAAAGAAAGAAAAGAATACTAACTACTTTTTGTGTTTGTTTGTTTGCTTTTACTGATTTTAACCAAGAAAACAAAAAACAACTCAATAAGGCCATAAACCAATTCTTTTATAAAATGTATGGTGAGGGTCATGGAGTCTTTTGAGAATCTAATGAAAGCTGTGGACACTTAACAGCATTCTGCATACAATTTGAGAAGTCCTTGGATCTCTCAACCCCCCTCCAGAGCAATGTTTCTCAAATATACAATGTGCTTAAAAGTCACCTTGGCTTGAAGAAATAACAGCTGAAAATTTCTGAATTTTGCAAAAGACATAAACCTACATATTCAAGAAGCTGAGTGAATCTCAACTCAGATGAACCCAAGGAAATCCATGCCAAGATACCTCATAGTTAAACTTCTGAAAACTAAAAAAGAAAGAAAAACATCTTGAAAACAGCCAGAGAGAAATAATGTATTATCTATAGGGAACACCAGTTCAAAGGACAGCAGGTTTTTTTTATCAGGAACCATGGAAGCCAGAAGGAAGTGGCACATTTTTCAAGTGCTGAAAGGAAATAGCTGTCAATCACAAGTCATCTATTTGGTGAAAGTATCCTTCAGGAGAAAAGTGGAAATAATGGCATTCTCTGATGAAGGAAAACTAAGAGATTTTGTCACTCACATATTTACCCTTAAAGAATGGCTGAAGGATGTTCTCCAAACAGAAAGGAAAGGGAGATGATAACAGAAGAAAGTTTGGAACTTCAGAAAGGAAAGGACAATGAAATGGATAAAAATAATAGACTATCCTTCTCAGGAGTCTCTTAAATCATTCTTGATGGTTGAAGCAAAAATTTCACCACCATATGATGTGGTACTCAATGCACTTAGAAGATATACTTAAGACAATTATATTTTAAAAGTAAGGAGGCTAAAAGGTCCAAAATGGAAGTAAGATTTCTACATATCACTCAAAATGGTAAGGCATTCATACTCATAGATTGTGATAAATTATATATGTGTATTTACACAAGAACTAAGAAAAACTATTTTAAAATTATGATAAGCCAAAATGGAATTCTGAAAAATGTTCAAGTTATCCACAAAAAGGTAAGAAAAATGAAACAAGGAGCAGAAGGAATAAAAGAGAACAAATACACTACTATAATGGTGAATATAATGTAATGACTAGATAACAATATATCAAAATGTGTGGCTGCAGCTAAAGCAATGTGGAGAGAGAAATTGATAGCACTAAATGCTACTTTAGAAAAGAGGAAAGATCTTAAATGAATCGTCTATGCTCCCATCTCAAGAAACTAGAAAAAGAAGAACAAAGAACCTTATCAAGCACAGGAAAGGAAATAATAAAAAAAAAAGTGCAGAACTCTATGAACCTGAAAACAAAAACCACAGAAAAACTGATGAACGAAAAACTGGTTCTTTGGAAAATATCAATAAAATGGATAAACCTCGAACAAGACTAACAAAGATAAAAGAGAGAAGACACAAAACACCAACATCAGGAATGAAATGGGATATCACTACAAACACTGCAGCTACTAAAAGGATAAGGGTCTACTACAAACAACTTTAGACTAATATATTTAAAAACTAGAAAGAAATTGACCAATTCTATGAAAATTACAAACTATTAAAGCTCAATCAAGATGAAGTGGGCAATCTGAATAATCTTACAACCACAAAACTACTAATAATTTTAATTAAATTTCAAAATTTAATTATTCATATTTTTTATTTGAATTCATAATTTAAAATTTCCTGAAAAACACATCTCCAGGCCAGGATACCTTGGAGTCTCTTAAATCATACTTGATGGTTGAAGCAAAAATTACACCACCCTATGATGTGGTACTCAATGTACTTAGAGAGTACAATTCTCTAATGTAGAATTCTCAATGAAGAATTCTACCAAATATTAAAAGAAGAATTAACACTAATTTTACAATATCTTCCAGAAGATAAAAGAGGAGGGAACACTTCACAACTCAATTTATGAGGACAGGTTTACTCTGATACCAAAACCAGCCAAAGATACTACAAGAAAAGTATAGACCAGTATCTCTCATGACCTTAAACACAAAAATCTTCAACAAATCAAATCTAGCACTATATAAAAAGACTTATATATCAAAACCAAGTGGTATTTATTCTAGGTGTCCAAGGCTGATTCAATATTTTCAAAACAATCAATATAATTCACCATATTAACTGCCTGAAAAATAAAAAATTATGTGATTATATCAGTTGACATGAGAAAGCATTTGACAAAATCCAGCACTTGTTCATGATAAACACTCTCAGGAATAGAGAGGAGTTCCTCAACTTGATAAAGGGCATCTACAAAAACCTTACAGCTAATGTCATACTTAATGTGAAAGACTGAATGCTTTTCCTTAAGATGGGGAACAAGGCAAGGATGTCCTCTTTCACTACTCTTGTTTGACATAGTATTGGAAGTTCTAGCCAGTGCAATAAGGCAAGAAAATAAATGAAAAGCATATAGACTGAAAAGGAATAAATAAAATTGTCCCTATTTTGAGATGACATGATATCTACAGAGAAACTACTAAAAAATTTAAAAACAATCTTAGAACTAATAAGTGAGTTCAGCAAGGTTGCAGGATTCCAGATCAACATACAAAAAAAAGTCAATAGCATTTCTACATGCTAACAATGAACATGTGTAAACCAAATGAAAGCACATTGCCATTTACAATGTTGATGAAAGAAATAAAAGAAGAACTAAGTGGAGAAACATATCATGTTCATGGATTGGAAGACTCCACAATGTAAAAATATCAATTCTCCCAAAACTGGCATATCAGTTTAATGCAATTCCAATCAAAGTCTCAGCAAGAATATTTGTAGGTGTAGACAAACTTATTCCAAAACTTATATGGAAAGGCAAAGAACTTAAAATAACTAAATCAATTTTGAAAAAAGAATAAAGTGGGAGGAATCAGTCTACGAGATCCCAAAACTTGGCTGTAGTCGTCAAGACTGTGTGGTATTGGCAGAAAGACAAACACATAGATCAATGGGACAAAATAGAGAACCCAGAAGTAGACCCACATATATATGCTCAACTGATAATTTTGACAAAG
The DNA here is from genome assembly GCF_000001405.40 of Homo sapiens. Taxonomy (NCBI): domain Eukaryota; kingdom Metazoa; phylum Chordata; class Mammalia; order Primates; family Hominidae; genus Homo; species Homo sapiens. The sequence continues at coordinate 139,906,412 of NC_000007.14, read as the reverse complement.
ATACAAAAGCAATTCAATGCAGGAAGGGTAGGTTTTTCAACAAAAGATGCTAGAGTAGGCCAGGCATAGTGGATCGCGCCTGTAATTCCAGCACTTTGGGAGGCCGAGGCAGGTGGATAACTTGAGATCAGGAGTTTGAGACCATCCTGGCCAACATGGTAAACCCCATCTGTACTAAAAATACAAATAACTATCTGGGCATGGTGGCACATACCTGTAGTGCCAGCTACTCAGGAGGCTGAGGCAGGAGAATTGCTTGAACCTGGAAGGTGGAGGTTGCAGTGATCCAAGATCAAGCCACTGCACTACAGACTGGGAGACAGAGTGAGAAAAAAAAAAAAAGATGCTAGAGTAATTGGCATCCATAGGCAAAATATGAACCTCATACCTTATGCAAAAAATGAACTCAAAATGGACTACAGAATTAAATGTAGAATGTGAAACTATAAAACTTTTAGAAAAGTAAAAAAAAAATCTTTGAAAATTAGAGCTTGGCAAAAAGTTCTTAGACTTGACACTAAAACATAATCCATAAAGGACAAAAATCAAAAAGTTGAACTTGATCAAAATTAAAAATTTTTGCCCTTTCAAAGACACTGTTAAGAAGATGAAAAGACATGCTACAGGCTAGGAGACAATATTTGCAAACTACCTACCTGACTAAGGACTTGCATCTGGATTCACAGCAGAATTCTACCAGACATTCAAAGAAGAATTGGTACCAATACTTTTCACACTATTCCACAAGATAGAGAAAGAAGGAACCCTCCCTAACTCATTCTATGAAGCCAGCATCACCCTAAAACCAAAACCAGGAAAGGATGCAACCGAAAAAGAAAACTACAGACCGATATCCTTGATGAACATAGATGCTAAAATCCTTAACAAAATACTAGCTAACCAAATCCAACAACATATCAAAAAGATAATCCACGAACATCAGGTGGGTTTCATAACAGGGATGCAGGGATGGTTTAATATACGCAAGTCAATAAATGTGATACACCACATAAACAGAATTAAAAACAAAAATCACATGATAATCTCAATAGATGCAGAAAAAGTATTCAACAAAATCTAGCATCCCCTTATGATTAAAACTCTCAGCAAAATCGGCATACAAGGGACATACCTTAATGTAATAAAGGCCATCTATAACAAACACACAGCCAACATAATACTGAATGGGGAAAAGCTGAAAGCATTCCCTCTCGGAACTGGAACAAGACAAGGATGCCCACTCCCACCACTCCTCTTCAACATAGTACTGGAAGTCCTAGCCAGAACAATCAGACAAGAGAAAGAAAGAGAGAGAGAGAGAGAGGGAGAAAGAGAAAGAGAGAGAGAGAGAGAGAAAGAAAGAAAGAAAGAAAGAAAGAAAGAAAGAAAGAAAGAAAGAAAGAAAGAGAGAAAGAGAGAAAGAGAGAAAGAGAAAGAAAGGTAGGGAGGGAGGGAATGAAGGAAGGAAGGAAGAAAGAAAGGAGAGCATCCGTATCGCTAAAGAGGAAGTCAAACTGTCACTGCTGACAATACAATCGTTTACCTTGAAAACCCTAAGGACTCCTCCAGAAAGGTCCTGGAACTGATAAAAAAAATTCAGCAAAGTTTCCAGATACAAGATTAATGTACACCAATCAGTAGCTCTTCTATACACCAACAATGACCAAGCAGAGAATCAAATCAAGAACTCAACCCCTTTTACAATAGCTGCAAAAAAATAAAAATACTTAGGAATATACCTAACCAAGGAGTGGAAAGAACTCTACAAGGAAAACTACAAAACACTGCTGAAAGAAATCATAGATGAAACAAACAAATGGAAACACATCCCATGCTCATGGATGGGTCGAATCAATATTGTGAAAATGATCATACTGCCAAAAGCAATCTACAAATTCAATGCAATCCCCATCAAAATGCCACCATCATTCTTCACAGAATTAGAAAAAAGAATTCTAAAATGCATATGGAACCAAAAAAGAGCCTGCATAGCCAAAGCAAGACTAAGCAAAAAGAACAAATCTGGAGGTATCTCACTATCTGATTTCAAACTATACTATAAGGCCATAGCTACCAAAACAGCATGATACTGGTATAAAAACAGGCATATAGACCAATGGAAGAGAATAGAGAACCCAGAAATAAACTCAAATACTTACAACCAACTGATCTTCGACAAAGCAAACAAAAACATGAAGTAGGGAAAGGACACCCTTTCAATAAACGATGCTGGGATAATTGGCTAGCCACATGTAGGAGAATAAACTGGATCTTCATCTCTCATACAAAAATTCACTCAAGATGGATTAAAGACTTAAACCTAAGACCTGAAACTATAAAAATTCTAGAAGATAATATTAGAAAAACCTTTCTAGACATTGGTTTAGACAAGGATTTCGTGACCAAGAACCCAAAAGCAAATGCAACAAAAACAAAGATAAATAGCTGGGACCTAATTAAAGTAAAGAGCTTTTGTACGGTAAAAGGAACAGTCAACAGAGTCAACAGACAACCCGCAGAGTAGGAGAAAATCTTCACAATCTATATATCTGACAAAGGACTAATATCCAGAATCTACAATGAACTCAAAAAAATCAGTAAGAAAAAAACAAACAATCCCATCAAAAAGTGGGCTAAGGACCTGAATAGACAATTCTCAAAAGAAGATACACAAATGGCCAATAAACAAATGAAAAAATGCTCAGCATCACTGATGATCAGGGAAATGCCGATCAAAACTGCAATGTGATACAACCTTACTCCTGCAAAAATGGCTATAATCAAAAAATAATAATTAAAAAAACAGTAGATGTTGGCGTGGATGCAGTGATCAGGGAGCACTTCTACCCTGCTGGTGGGACTGTAAACTAGTACAGCCAGTATGGAAAACAGTGTGGAGTTTCCTTAAAGAACTAAAAGTAGAACTACCATTTGATCCAGCAATCCCACTACTGGGTATCTACCCAGAGGAAAAGAAGTCATTATTCAAAAAAGATACTTGCATGGCATGTTCATAGCAGCACAACTCACGATTGCAAAATCATGGAACCAACCCAAATGTCCATCAGTCAATGAGTGGATAAAGAAACTGTGGTATATATGTATGGTGGAATACTATGCTGCCATTAAAAGGAATGACATAACAGCATTTGCAGTGACTTGGATGAGACTGGAGAGTATTATTCTGAGTGAAGCAACTCAGGAATGGGAAACCAAACATCCTATGTTCTCACTGATATGTGGGAACTAAGCTATGAGGACACAAAGGCATACGAATGATACAATGGACTTTGGGGACTTGGGGGTTGGGGAGAGTGGGAGGAGGGTGAGGGATAAAAGACACAAATATGGTGCAGTGTGTACTGCTCAGGTGATGGGTGCACCAAAATCTCAGAAATCACCACTAAAGAACTTACTCATGTAACCAAATACTACCTGTACCCCCAATAACTTATGGAAAAATAAAATAGAAAATGGGCAAAAGACATGAACAGACATTTCACTACAGAGGATATACAGATGCCAAGTAAACACATGAAAAGATGTTTAACATTATTAGCCATTGGTGAAGTTCAAATTAAAACCACAATGAGATATCATTTCACATCTATCAGAAAGGCTAAAATTTTAAAAGAATAGTGATAACATCAAAGGCTGGCAAACATGTGGAGAAAGTGGATCATTTATAAGTTGCTGATGTGAAGGTAAAACCATAAAGCCGCTTTGGCGATTTCTTATAAAACTAACCACATACTTATGCTATGACCCAGCAATTGCACTCTTGAACATCTGTCCCAGAGACGTGAAAACTTACATTCACAGAACACATGTACATGAATGTTTACAGCAGCTTTGTTTGTAATAGGCAAAAACTGAAAACAATTCAAATGTTCTTCATTGGGTAGATGGGTAAACAAACTGTAGTACATCTATACAACGGAATACTATGCAGCAATTTAAAAAAGAACAAGCTATTGTTACATGCACAAATTTGGATGAATCTCAAGGGAATTTTGTGACTGAAAAAACAAATATCATTAGATTACATGCTGTATGATTCTGTTTACATAACATTCTTGAAATAAAATTATAGAGATGGAGAACACATTAGTGGTTGCCAGGGGTTAGGGATGGGGGTGGTGATGGGTGCATGTGGCTATACAGGGGTAGTTCTAGAGAGCTTATGGTCATAGGATAGTCTTTATCTTGGCTGTGGTGGGGGTTACACAGATCTACAAAGGTGATAAAACTGCATAGAACTACACACACACACACACACACGAGTGCATATAAACCTGGAAAAAATATGATAAGCACTGTGGGTCATACCCAGGGTCATTCTCCCTGGTTTTGATAACGTACTATAGTCACGCAAGAGGTTACCATTGGGGGAAGCTGGGTAATGGGAACATAGGACTTCCCCATACATATTTTTTTCAACTTCCTGTCCATCTATAATTATTTCAAAATTAAAAATTTTTAAAAAGTCACTGGGGAGCTTAATAAACTCTAAATTCACAGCCAAGCTCCCTACCAAGACTAATCTAGCAGGCCTGGGTAGGGCCCAGGAATCTGATTTTAACCAGCTCTCAGATTCTGATGCAAGAGGACTCTTTCCATACTCTGAGAAATGCTGTCCTAGGGCCATGGTTTCCAGCCTCGAGGGCTTGTCAAAACCAACTGCGGAGCATTCAGAAATAATAATGCCTGGCCCTACCCAGACCTACCAGACCAGAGTCTCTGGGGTGGGACCCAAGCACCTCCTATTTTAACAAGCTCCCAGGGGATCCTGATGTGATTGACAGATTGTGGACCCAATCTGATTGGGTGAAAACCTGCTCTATATTTAACCAAAGTTCACACCCATTCTCATTTCCCTAAATTCTTAGATCTAAAAGGAAAGCAATTACACTGTAGGGCACACGCAACTTTTGGTAATATATTTGTATTGATTTAGTTATCATAATAATCTTACGCATAATCTAGATTTTTTTAAAGGAACAAAATAATACTTCTACTTTCAAATGAAAGTTGTCCTTCCAAGTAGTCACCTTGGGAGTCTTCCTGCTTCTTTTTTTTTTTTTTTGTAGTAATATTGCTAATGCTAAAAACAATTTTGCAACAATTCCTTTAGAATTGCTTCAGAGCTGGTTTATGAATCTCGTGAGAAAACTGGTCCCATTTTACATGTAAATTGTGTAATCTTGTGAATTTATATTTACAAAAACTCTCATCTGTAGTTTGAGGAGCTCCTGAAAAGACCTTGAATGGAGAAAAAATGTAAGGGAAGTGTGTCCTAGGCACACATAGCTTTCGTTTTGGGTGTCTGGGATGGCTCACCTGCTTTTGTCTGCCCACTACATCTTGAGGAACCACCCTCGCATTCCATGCAGTTCTGAAGGAGCTCTCAGTGATAGAACCCTGCCCCTCTGGTCATGGTGGTGGGCTCACCACCCAGGCATGGCCAATCCTAGTATCTCATCTCCTTGGCAACAGTGACTGGTCCAAGGGGTGGACACATGACCCACTCCAGGCCGGTATGGATCCTTCATTGGGATTTCTACATGGATGCTGGGGTGAAAAGCTCTGACTTTCTCCTGGAGCTGCTAAACTGAGAATATATTAATCTAGGGCTGATGGCAGCCATTTTTGTACCACATGGAGAGAGCCGGTCTGCAGAAGGAGCTAATAGAGACCAGCAGAGATTTCAGATAGACAGACTGCCTACAAAGCACAATATAGAGTCCAAACTTTCCTCCTGCAGCTCTTCATTCCATCCTCCTAGCTTACATTAGTTAGTTTGTGCTAAAGTTAGTTTGTGTTGGGTTTCCCATAATTTGAAATCAGGAAGTCCTAACTAGTATGGTGCCCCTTTTTCTTCTCAACCTTGTGAATTCCCAGTGCCATTCTGCCTCTCAAAGCTTACTTCCCTAGAAGGGCCTGATCTTGGTATTGCACAAAGGTGTGAATGTGAGGCAGTGTCTTCCTGCTCCCTGAGGTGGCATGGGTCCTGGAGATTAATATGCAACAGCTTAGCAGGTGGGATCCGGGTTCATCCAGCCATACCACTCACACAGAAATCCGTTCCAGGCGCAAATTTCTGAAACTCTCTGGGCCATGGCTGAAATATGGGAGTGAAAACTAAGTTATCTCTGTAGTTTACTGGAACTGTAAATCCTATAATTCCTACAAATTTGAAAGGAAATTAAAGTATGGGGTGTTTGAATTTTAGGTCTACTTCCTATAGGGTGCAAAGAAACTTCTCATACTAGTGAAATATTTGCAGAGGTTGTAGATTCTTCTCAAACCTTTGAGATTAACAACAATCGTTAGCATTTATTTTGAGGGTTTACTATTGACCAGGCTTCATTCTAAGTGCATTGCCTGTATTTCCTCATGTAATTCTCATAGAAAATGGATGAGGACATTATTTTATCCACTTTTCAGAATAAGAAACTGAGACTTAGAGAGGCAAAGTCACTTGCCCAAGACAGGGACTTGACCCCAGCCCAGGTCCTTGGTGGTGAGCATGCTGTCATCTATTCCAGTGACTGCTCTTAGCTCGGGTGGCCTGTCTTTGAACCCGCTCCAGTGCTGGGTAGGTGTGCAAGGGAAAGCAGGCAGGCTCCCAGCTGTGCAGACTGTGGCTTTCAAAGGTGGAGATTTAGAGCATATTCTTGCTTAATGGACCAGAAAACCCCCAGCCCAATTAAAGAGGTAAGGCCTTGGTTCACTCTAATCCAAACTTACATATAGACTCCTTTCCGGGCAAGAAATTCTTAACCAGTTATTCATCTACATTTAGCTATGCAATTAAGAATTCACTTATTCAACTCCAAAGCACCTGGTTGAAGAGAAAATGTAGGCAAATCAGTGAAGTATTGTGTAGACAAAAATAACCACTTGTTTGACTTGTTTAATTAGTGGTTTTCTCTCTTTTTTGAAACTGACCAGTCAGTTAAACCAAAATAGTTCACAGCCGCCTTCTGGGAACTTAAGTAGAATAGACTGTTGGGATTAGCCTGGGGGCTGCCTGGCCTTGTTCCAGAAGGCCTGCCCCTGTTAGGGGTGACCGAGCTATAGACTGTTCCTGGTGGTGGTGGGCAGGGGGTCACCTACAGGCACCGACATGAAAAAATGTCCAAATGACCCAGCCAAATGGAAAAGCACATTGTAAAATAGTATGGGGAGCTCTGTTAATAAATTATAGTCGGTCTTTCTATTAACTAGTCCCTTCAGAAAGCATTTATTGAGCACATACTCTGTGTCAGACCCCTGGCTTACAGGGCATAGATCTGGAGCAGGAAATTATGGGGCACTGTCCTTTTCATCTTATCTATTCCTTGAACGTTCAGTGTTTTATAATGAGCGCATGTGACTTCTGCAATGAAAAAAAAAAAGGAGAGGGAGAATTTGTCACTGGATTGGTCCCCCGAGACTGTCAGAGGCAGAGTGGCGGCTGGCAGTGCCACAGTTGCAGGTGTCAGAGAGTCTTAGGAACTTGGGCTCAAGGCTTTGTCCTGTAATTTAACAGCTGTATCACCTTGAGCAAATCAACCTTCTTGAAACTGTTCCTATGATTAAAGAGACCGTTATGAGGTCAGATGAGAATAGTTTGTCCGAACAGTAAAGTTTAATGAAAATGCTGGTCATGGTCACCTTCCATGGGCCACACCCTGCTGCTGCCACTTTGTCAGGGACGAGGAAGCTGAGCGAGGAAGTGCCCCAACGGGGCATCAGGAGGCCCCTGACAGGAGCCCAACACCCCCCACATCAGCAGAAGGAACAGAAAGGCATGCACAGGCCGGGCGTAGTGGCTCACGCCTGTAATCCCAGCACTTGCGGATCACCTGAGGTCAGGATTTTGAGACCAGCCTGGCCAACATGGCGAAACCCCGTCTCTACTAAAAGTACAAAAATTGCGCCATTGCTTTCCAGCCTGGGTGACAAGAGCAAGACTCTGTCTCAAAAAAAAAAAAAAAAAAAAAAAAAAAAAAAAGCCATGCACGTTGGGAAACTTCTGATTTTCAGGTAGAACTGATGAGGGCTTTCAGCTCCTCTGACAACTGCTAAATGCCAAGCATCTGAGAACTTCTTGTCTCCGTGACAGTTTTATTTCCCAGCAGGCTGAGGATGCTAACAGGGTAGCTGCTGTCCTACCCTCAAGTCTGACCTTTGCCATGGAATGTCCATGTGGAAGCGGCAGGAGGCTCAGTGAGGAAAGGGGTAGACGCTACTGCAGATCACAGTTGTGAGTGTCTGAGATGCTCAACTTCCAGAAAGTTCAGAGAAAGTTAAGGAGAAGTCCAGTGCTGGGAGTACCTGGGCATTTGACTCACAGGCGCTCCTCCGGGGCTGGATGGTCCACAGGGTGCCATGGAGAAAGCAGGGTCCCCAGAGTCCTGGGGCTCTGTCCCTGCTTGGCTCATGGAGTGTCTTTCCCTTTTGGGTCAGCTCTCCCGTCTGTCATTAGAGCAAGAGGCTTGAGTCAGCTGAATGACAGAGCAGACTCAGCTACCAGGGAGAGTTTTCTTGAGGAGCCAGTGACACAGTCATAGGCCATGGAGTCTGGAGTTGCTTTCCCAGGGCTCCTGTCTGTCACTCTGAGCAGGGTCAGGCAACATCTGCCCATGTTACCCTCAGAGTACTCATGCCTGGGGTCCACCCTGAATTCACAGAGCCCTGCAGAGATCAATGGACCGAACCAGCGCTTTCTCAGCCCCTCCCCTTTCAGGAGTTTGTAGAGCCTGTTCAGCAACTTTCTTTTGCCCTTTTCAGGCTGGTACAATCCCTGGTCCTCTTCCTGGCCAGACTTTGGACCTCCCACTCAGAGGTTTCTGTCTCCATCATTCTGACCTGCTGCTTGTCCACATGTGGGCCCCAACTCCACTTATCCACCTAGGACTTGGTAAAGTGCAAATCTGAGTATGCTGCTTCTTTACTGAACACCCTTCAATGGTTTGCCAAGTCTTTAGCATGTGGCACATGATGTCCTTCACACCCTGCTCCCTGCCTTGTTCTTTGGCCTTGTGCCTCCTTATTCCCCCCGCCTGCCTGCCCCCGGTCCCCCTCCCCACCCCACCGCCAAGAGCCAATCCTGATCATACCGACTGAAACCCTCCATGATCTCTCACTCCCATGCCTTTGCACATGCTGTTCCCCCTGCCTTGCCTGGAACGGCTCCTCTTTTCTTGCCTGGTTGACTCCTAGTGGTTCTCTAGTAATTGTAATTTTTTTCCTGACTGTCTTTCTGCTCGTTTGTGAGTGGTGGAAACACATCTTGTCTTCTTATCTTTGATGTCTAGTGTTCATTATGGTGTTAAGCATGCAGTGGGAATTCCATGATGTCAACGCAGTGTGCTGTATTCCAGCTCCAACGTCTAATGCCAACTGGCTTCAGGCCCTGTCTCTCTCGCCTGGACCACTGAGGAGCTCCCAGTGAAGCTCTCTGTCTCCAAACCAACCCTCCCGCCAAGGCCAATCACCTTTGTAAAACAGAAGCTGACTGTGTCGTTCTATTCCCTATAAATCTCTAGTGGTTCTCCATCATTTGAAGCAAGTTTAAGCTTCTTCACTTGTAACCAAGCAGGGGCCCTTCAGGAGCTCCTGACTTCTCTCCTCACCCCATTCCTCTTATACCTGTGTTTCCAAACGTTCTCAGTTCACGGTGCCCTTAGTGACTCAGTAATGTCTTCGTAGCGCTCCCCAGGCCAAAAGAAGAACCCCACAGTCTCATTTCTAAGTAGATAAGTTCAAACAACTTTATAAGTATACATGTTCTAGCAAGTTAGTGGACATTTGAAGAAATAATACACATAAACTGAAAGCAGTTCCTACAGTGCCTGACAGATGTTGCTGTATTTGTCACGAATGTGTAAAATACCATAGCCCAGGAAGCCCCTGTGAGTTCACTGTGGCACCCTGGGGTGTCTCAGCACACAGTTTGGGAACCACAGCCTTTCATTCTTGCTGTGAAAAAGTTATTTATGGTTCCCCAGATGTGCAGTATTCCCCCTGCTCTGCCTCTTTGCAAGTATTTACCCTCTAAAGTGCCGGCTGCCCTCTTGTTAGTTTGGAAAACTTCAGACAGTCGGGTCACCTGCCCCTCTTTGTGAAGGCTTCATGGACCCTTCGCTCCTTGTAGTTTCTGTGGCACCTGGTCCTTTCCTCTACTGACCTGCATCACCCTCTGTTTATTGATAAGCTCCTGATCGCTCTGCAAGTTCTCTCAAGACAAAGCCCATCTTATCTGTCCGTGCATCCCTGAGAAGCTAGCAGAGCGCCTCACCCTTAAGAGCAAGTGGAAGGATGGTTTTAAGCTGCCTTTCCAGGACTGGGAAATCATTTTATCCTCTTGGCTTCCCTATTACTCCTCCTGGCAGAAGGAGCTTTCAACTCTGAAGCCAGACTTGAAACCTCAGAATCCTTTTTTCTCTTTATCCACATTTATCTTGCTTCCAAAATTCACCCAGCCCCTGGTCATTTTCTAAAACTTGGGGCCTGCTCTATTTCACTCCTACCACCCTGGAGAGGTGCCCCCTGCAGAGGTGCCCTGTTGGCTCCATCAGCCATGGGCCTGCCTTTGTGGCTGGCCCCAGCCAGTCTCAGGTCTAGCGGGGCAAAGAGTCCTCTGTGGGGAAGCTCAGCATACAGAACCCTCAGATCACCTCCCACTTCAACCTGGTGATTCTGCCAAAAACTTCATTTGAACTAGAGTTCCCATGATGTGATGACATCAAGACATGTCGTCCAGATCCCCCTTCTGGGAAGGACTTGCTGTCCAGCAGCCGAGACTGTGGTCAGCAGGGAGCCTCCAGCTGTTAGCTCCTTCAGGGCCAGCCTCAGCTGCTGAGATCCATGTCACTGGGGTCACCCCCTTCCTGGTAAAGCCCACATCCAGTGGCCGGGCTGAGTAGGAACACAGAGAGGTGGCATTTTGTCCTACTGGGGGATGACTGACAGCTTTCTCCTCCTTCCCTTCACTGATCCCTAGTAAACATCTTGCCCCTCAAACCCCATCTCTAGAAACTGACCTGCAAGACATGGCTTTAAGCAGCTTACAGGCCATTAGCAAGGGTAACAAAAGGATAACAAACATGTCTTCGCCTGGCAACGAAGGCTTTCCAGTGTGTGATGATGACTGGCCAATCCATCTGTGTCCCTCTCTCCAGCCACAACTTCCATTCCCCCAACCATTCCCACCTCAAGGGCTTTTCTCTGGCTGTTTTTACTGAGTGGAACATTCTTTGCCCTCACCTCCCCCTTATTCATTCTTCAAGACCTACTTCCTCCTAGAAGCCTTCTCTGCCTTCACTGGTCCATGATTCTACCCAGAATCCTGTTTCCTGTTCTTTCTGGGTTTCCTGTTCTTCTGGGTTTCTTTCTGGGTGTCCTGTCCTTCTCTTGTAGAAGTCAGCCACTATACTACCTGGCATTCTTGAGCAACTTGGCCCATGTCTGGGTTTTTCTCCTAAATTAGATGTCAGCTTTCTTTGGGAAAAGAGACATGAATGATACATTTTCTGGAGGGGATGGGTAGTCTCTCCCACTGCCATGAGCTCCATGCTGTACACGTAGCAAAGACTGAAATGTCTGTTGAGTGGACAACATCTGGAGCAGGGCCAGCAGTGAGCACTTCAAGACATGGGGAAACCATCCCCTCTGACTTTGTGCCATTGGAAGACATGGACATAGACCCCCAAAGAGTGTGGGAAAGGGCAAAAGGAAGAAGGGGGACACACCTTCCAGAAAGAATGGAGAACCGATGGTAGAAAGAGCATTGCATTTCGAGTTACAGGATGGTGAATTTGGACCAATCCCTTGGATACCTGGGTCACTGTCTCTATATCTGCTAGATTTCCCAAGTATCAGGGGAATAAACGCAGGTCTCACTTCCCTTCTTTAGGGATCTTCTTGCCTACTGCTGGGAATATGCTTGGTTGGTCCCTGGGTTGGTTTCTAAGTGGTGAGAGCAGGGGGTTAATGAGGGCTCCAGTCACACGAGCCAGCCTGAGGGAGGCCAGAGAACCAGCTCCACCAGGAGAGTCCACAAGCATGAAGAGACCCCACTGTGATTCTCCATGCCCTGCCCTTCTCCCACACCATCTTCTGCACACTTTCCTAACCACCCCAACCCAGCCACACCCATGGAAAACATGCAAAATGCTTGCTCTGCAAAGGACTGGGTCTGCAGCAATGGTGTGGTGCGTGGGTGGTGGCACGGTAGTCCCAGGAGGCCTCCTGCTGCTAAGGAAAGCCCCCAGGCTTGGCAGCCTGGAGAGGCAGGGTCAAGCTGTGCTCTACCTCTCAAGAATGGCGCTGGGGCAGCTATTCTCCACGCTTTCTGGAAGCAGGCAGGAAGATAGCCTCCCCCCTGGCCCTCAGCTTCTTCATCTATAAGATGAAGTGGTCCTTCTCATCCTGGTGAGTTATGACTCTGTCAAGCTACAATAAAGCTTTCTCCAAAACAGAGCTATGGCTAAAGGAGAGAACTGGGCAGCAAGGGGGAAAAATATCTGAAAGAAACCTGTAATGATAAACCTCCCTACTCTATTGAATATACCCACCCATCTAATTTATTCAGTTAATAAAACTTAGTCCCCAGAGGGGGACAGGCAGAGGTAAGCTACAAACCAATCTGCCAGTGTGAGCATGGGTATATATGTATATCTCATAACAATAAAAAAAGAGTAATTAAGAGATGTATTGAAGTGTGCAGAAATCCTGAAGGACACTGAAGATTACAATTCAAGTTACTGTTCTTGGTGCAAATGTAATTCAATGGGGAACAGATAAATAAAAATAAAGAAAAAACAAATTCAGAACAGATGTTAGGCAAGCAATTTTTTTCACAGTAAGAATCATAAACATGAAGAACAGCCTATAAGGCAAAGTTGTTGATGCAAACAGCATCAAGCTACTAAATAAATAGTTCGATGGCCCTGCAGGGACAAAGGAACATTAAAATAGTCATTTGGCTGTCCCTGAATATTTTTGCCCACACGTTATGCCCAGGCATGTATATTCGGGGGTATTGAAGGGAGCTGTGTGTGTGTGTGTGTGTGTGTGTGTGTGTGTGTGTGTGTGTCTATTCCATAGAATATGTGCAGGACATATATTTGTGAGAGTACATGGCAAAATCATCTCTCCCCAAATGATGTGTGGGCTTAGAACAGGAATACACGGTCTGGGAAAAAGCTAATGTCACTCCTGAAAAGACAGTGAGGCCAGGGGAGGAAGCCCAGTGCCATGGGAAGAATGTGCTGTCCAGGACTAGGTATAAAAAGCCCAGATATGCAACTCTGAAAGAAGAGAAAATTTAATGGCAAAAGAATTTCAGACACAGTGGGAGAGAAATCAGAGGCAGGGAAAAAATAATAAAGCACTGATCATAATACTTTAGAGATGGAGGGAAGCTTCAAGATGATCATTCTAGCCCAACCCCCTCATTTCATAGCTAGGAAAATGAGGCCCAAAGAGGGGAGAGGACTGGATGATGTGTGCTGTCTCCCCTTACCCAGGCGGAGGAGTCCCTGGAGACATGAGGGTGAGAGGACCCATGTGCAGGACTCAAGAAGCTCACCCCGAGCTGGTGAGGTATGGGGCTTCTGAATTCGGCAGACTCCCCAAGATGCAGGCTGGCTACAAGAACACCAAGGAGCAGTGGAATCCCAGTTGGAATCCCTGATACTTGGACAGTCTGCCCTGGGAGGGCTCTGAGAGCTCCTTTGAGTCTCATGTCAGACCTGTGAGATAGGTAGGTGCTCAAGTTTTTTTGTTTGTTTTGTTTTGTTGTTGTTGTTGTTGTTTGTTTTGTTTCTGAGACAGAGTCTCACTCTGTCGCCCAGGCTGGAGTGCAGTGGCATGATCTCAGCTCACTGCAACCTCCGCCTCCCAGGTTCAAGCTATTCTCCTGCCTCAGCCTCCTGAGTAGCTGGGATTACAGGTGCGCGGCACCATACTAGGCTAATTTTTGTATTTTTTTAGTACAGACGGGGTTTCGCCATGTTGGTCAGGCTGGTCTCGAACTCCTGACCTCATGATCCACCCGCCTCGGCCTCCCAAAGTGCTGGGATTACAGCGGTGAGCCACTGAGCCTGGCCTCAAGTATTTTTTAAAGGGAAGAAAATGATAAATGACTCATTCATTCTAGTCCCATCAGTAGGGATAGCTGAGCTAAGACCAGAACCCAGATCTGGCTCCTAATCCAGTGCTCTTTCTGGTACGGCCAGCTGACCCTAAGAATGAGGTTATGGGAGGTATCAGCTCTTCGGGAGTAGGATATGAGGCAGTAGCCCAATAAGACTCCAATTAATGACTTGGGTGAGTGGAGCCCAGCTAGTGTATCAGGAGAACATGTCCCTTATCTTCTCTTTTATCTTTTGGATCCCAAGGTGGCCTTACACAGTGTAATTCAATTTTTTACTTTGATGGGCTAACTACTGAATTGATAGAGCATAAAAGCCACTGATGGGGAAAGAGTATAAACTCCCCTTATCCAACCCTCTATTTTAATATGAGACTCTCCCCCTAATTCCTTTTATTTGTCTCCAGTAAAATAGTACCATTACCCAAATTAGCCAAATAGCAAGACCTTCCTGTTTGAAGTTTCCTTGGAGACAAATCTGACATGAAAGACATGTACTTAGAGATGATTCTTCTGTTCACGCAACAGATATTTACTGAGCATCTATTATGTGTCAGTCACCATTCTAGGCACTGGAAATAGCAGCACAAACAAGAGAGCAAGTCCCTACCCTCGTGAAGTTTGCATTCTACCAGGAAAGCAGGTCAACCAACAAATAATTATGTTACGTATTGTTATGGCAAACGTCCTAAGGCAGGACTGTTTGGAATGTTGAAGAAACAGCAAGAAGAGGCAGTGGAATGGAAAGAGCTTTGGATTAATAAAAAGAACCTGTGCAACTCTGCTCACACCTCTTACTAGCCACACGCCCTTTTCATTCTAGTCACTCATGTTTCTGTATGATTGAGGATAATGCAACTAGCCCGGCCAAACTCTCAGGGATGTTATTGGGATGGCCATGGGAGATACTATATTGGAGGGACATGATCCACACTGAGTGCTGGAAAACACTTTCAGATTATTAGCAATTAATATGTAAGTGGCCTTAGGGAACAAATATATATATATAAATAAATAAATATATATATATTATAATCATAGGGCAAGATGGATAGCCCATAGAGTTCTCCCACAGGTCCGTAGAGGTCCCATAAAAGGATGCCCACTGCAGGGTTGCTTGCTGAGGGCCACTGGGTATCTCCTCCTGGGACAGTGGACAGGTGAAGTAGGTACAGGCATCCGTGGCATGTCAGGCAGCCATGGGAAGCAGCAGACTCAATGGGAACTCTGTGCTGGACCTTGAAAGCACAGTGCTAAATGAAAAAACTAAGGAATAGAATGAGATCTACGGCAGTACTATTGGCATAAACTAAGGATAATATCCACGAAATGATAATGCACAATTTGCAAGAACATGTGAAAAAAAAACACATTAAACACAATTGGAATGGTTGACTATTGGGGATGGGAAGGGGAATGAGAGAACACTGGGAATAAAAGGAAATAAATAAACAAGCAACACAGGCAGCAGTGCGTTCCCAGCCTCTCCATAGCACTGCAGGATAAAAACATCCCCCAAAACATCAACTCAAAATGGAGGTAATTAGTAATTACTGGTTGTAATGTTGATAATTCACAATGGTGAAGTAAACTATTTCTATTAATGGTTGTCTTTTATGGGGAATTCTTTAGGAGTAAAATGCTGGTATTTATTAGATCAGTGTTTTCTCTCAAAGCCTGTTCTCCATATCCTAGTCCCAAGAAATACTCTGGGGGGAAAAATGTTCTGTGGTCAAATAAAGACTGCATCCTGGCCGGGCGCGGTGGCTCACGCCTGTAATCCCAGCACTTTGGGAGGCCGAGGCGGGTGGATCACGAGGTCAGGAGATCGAGACCATCCTGGCTAACAAGGTGAAACCCCGTCTCTCCTAAAAATACAAAAAATTAGCCGGGCGCAGTGGCGGGCGCCTGTAGTCCCAGCTACTCGGGAGGCTGAGGCAGGAGAATGGTGTGAACCCGGAAGGCGGAGCTTGCAGTGAGCGGAGATCGCGCCACAGCACTCCAGCCTGGGCGACAAAACGAGACTCTGTCTCAAAAAAAAAAAAAAAAAAAAAAAAAAGACTGCATCCTAAATTTCTCACTTGGAGATTGTCGAAGGACATTGCTGCATGAAAGGTTCGGAGTCTTTCTACACTGAAGAGACCTGTGTTCCTTTTGCTATTCCCCATGTAACAATTATTACTGTCAGTGGAAACGATGGTCTCAAGGACACACTGCGGGAAACACCCCATTCGATTGTTGGAGGGTGGGAGGTGGAGATTCCGGATTCCAGGCCTACCCTGGAGCTCCCATTCCTCTCTCCTTCCTAATGCAGCTTCCTGATCCTCTGAGTGCTTCATTCCTAAGTCACCTTGCACCCAATGTCTCCTTAGCAGCTCTGCCATGGTCTGAATGTTTGTATCCATCCCCCCAACAGATTCATATGTTGAAATCTTAAACCCCCAGATGACAGTATTAGAAGGTGGGGTCTTTGGGGGACAAATGGGTCATGAGGGCAGAGCCCTCTTGAACAGGATTAGTGCTCTTATAAAGGAGGCCCTAGGGAGCTCTTTCACCTCTTCCACCACGGGAGGGTGCAGTGAGAAGGCACCATCTATGAACCAGAAAGTGAGCCCTCACCAGACAATGAATCTGTTGGTTCCTTGATCTTGGACTTCCCAGTCCCCACAACTATGAGAAATAAATTTCTGTTATTCATAAGCCACCCAGTCTATGGCACTTTGTTATAACAGCTTGAACACATGAGGATGAGGACAAGCTCCAACGGATTAAGAAAAAGATAAAACTATTTTGTCTTTGCCCTGTTCAACCTCTTAATTATGGTGGAATCACCATGTTGTCTCCAGCATTTGAAGTCAGCCTCAGTGATTAATGTTGACTCATCTCTTACTTGTTACAATCAATGACTTGCTGCATTTTTAGGACATTTTCTTTTCTTTTTTTTTTTTCCTTTTTTTTCGACAGGATTACAGTGACATGATCTCAGCTCACTGCAGCCTCTGCCTTCCTGGCTCAAGCGATCCTCCTATCTCAGCCTCCAAAGTACTTGGGACAACAGGCGCACATGCCACCACACCCAGCTAATTTTGGTATTTTTTGTAGAGATGTGGTTTCACTATATTGCCCAGGCTGTCTCAAACTCCTGGGCTCAAGCAATCTCCCCACCTCGGCCTCCCAATGTGCTAGAATTACAGGCACGAGTCACCACACCCGGCCACTACAGGACACTTTCTCTATAAAATTCTCCTTCTTTTCCTTCCATTTCTGATAATCTAAATCACTCTTATCTCTCTCACCTGTGCTATCAGAATGTTTTTTGCTAGTTTTTTTTTTTAACTCAATTCCATCCTCCCCCTGCACCCCTTCTCCACTCTATACCTGCACAACTTTCTTTAAATAACCCACCTCCTTAGCACCAGTCCTGAGGTTCTCTCTCATCTGCCACTGCCAAGGTTGTCCTCTCTACTTGTGCCCCAAACATCACATTTTCCTAGCACACATTTGGCCTCTACTCTTCTTCTTTCTATCTCAGCCAAAACCTCTGAACTTTCTCCCATGCATATGTGCCTGGATACACTCTTCTCCACAGGCCACCTGCCACCTCTCCTTTTTTGGATAGGTATAATGTGAGCTAACCTTTCCCAATGAGCACACACTCAGTGCAGAGACTGTGGGGTACAAGAGGGGAATTCAATATGTCATGAACAGTCATGAAGCAGGAGTGTATGCCCTGTGATATAGTGGAAAGACTGTGGGAAAAAAACCCAGAGGAAAAAAATTGAGAAGCCACCAATTGCAAGAACAGGATTTTGACAAATTACTCAAGGTAGGAAGCCCAGAGATCGAAGGGTCAGTTCCAGGAAGAGAAGGAACAGTGTAGACCCAGGGAACAAGGAAGCAGAAGTCAGTAAGAGTTTCAGACACAGAAGACAAAATTTATGTGAGACACAAAGGCCACAGTGAGCTGGTGGGAAAGAGGAAACTTGGAGGGGGCTGAAGGCAGAACCGAAAGGCAGACACATAAATTGTAAAGGGTTTGGCAGCAAGGAGTGAGATAAGAGGAGAAGGAGCTCTGGGTGAGGACTACTGGGAATTTATTAAAGCAAACTGAATTTATCGTGCAGTGCAAGCATTTGTTGATAATGGGGTCGGTTTGGTTAAAAATGCGCTTACTGGCCTAGCCAAAAGGAAGTTACAGGCAAAGTCACTGGGGTCATACATTCCAATTAGAAATGTGTGGTTCACCTTGACCAGTTGGGATCCAGGGCACAAAGGGAAGTGTAAATTTAACCTGAGCTCACTCTCAAGGTTTGAAAACAAGAAGTAATGGCCACATAATCGTGGTGAAAAGGGGACAACAAAGCATTGCTATAAGATGTCCTCCAAAGGTGAAATGGTATGGTCACTATGGAAAACAGTATGACGGTCTTCAAAGAGCTAAAAATAGATTTACTCTGTGATCTGGCAATTCCACCTCTGCATATATACCCAAAAGAACTAAAAGCAGGGTCTCAAAGAGGTATTTCCACATCCATATTCAAGTAACATTATTCACATTAGCTCAATGCTGGAAGTAACACACTCCGCCATCTACAAACAAACGAATAAACAAAAGGCAGAATAGGCTTACAATGGAATATTACTCAGCCTTAAAAAGGCAGTAGTTCTCCCATGTGCTACAACATGGATTAACCTTGAGGATATTATATTAAGTGAAATAAACCAGTTACAAAAGGAAAAATACCATATGATTCCACTTTATTGAGGTACTTAGAGTAGTCAAATTTGTAGAGACAGAAGGTAAAATGGTGGTTGTCAGGGCCTGGGGGAGGAGGGAAGGGAGAGTTAATGTTTAATGAGGACAAAGTTTCAGCTTTGCAAGATGAAAAAAATTCTGGATGTGAACGATGATGATAGCTGCACGACAATGTGAAGGTACTTAATGCAACTGATCTATACAATGAAAAATAGGAGAGTACATTTTGTGTGATGCATATTTTAACACAATAAAAATAATGTCCTCCAGCCAAATGTCCTTCAGGTTATTCTCAATACCTAGATCTAACCGAGAAGTGGGAGACCATCAATTCTGAAACCATGGGTCACAGTGTTCCTCCTGCTGGCCAGGTTGTAGAGGCATGAAAACCCATCCCACCTACTCATATGAAACCTTTCTCCTATGGGTGTTAGCTGTGGGTTCTCGGGCCCTGAAGCCCTGGTACTCATGAACAGGTATGGATTTTGAGCAGGGCAGAACTCAGGATGCTAAGTGTCCATTCCAGATTGGAGATAAAGCATCCTTGTGGGCTCCTACACAGAGGAGGACAAAGAGCTGAGGCTTCTTGCTCATGGGATGCTCCAAAGAACCAAAACTCTAGCAGAGAAGGCTAAGCCTTTGGGGGAAGCAGCTAACAATCTTTAGGCTGGAGTCTTTGGGAAGAACCTAGTGGCCATGTCAATCATCAGTCTCAAGCTGTGGTCTGGCAGTGAGATGAAGAAGTGAACTTGAAGAGTTACAAGCAATCTTCAAAGGCAAATGGAAGAGCCATTCAACAGTTGCCTCTTTGTGGTGAATATGCACTAGGCATTACATTAGCCACGGAAAAGATGGAGGTGGCACAAGCCAGGGAGTACCTGGATTTCCTTCCTGCAGTAGCTCTGTTGTGAAGTGCAGTAGTTTTGATTCAATCCTGGATGCCCACATCTCCAGTAGGCCAAGTAGTATCAAGAGGTGCTGGGGGGTGTTTTAACAAAAAAGACCACAATTGCCTCATCAAACTAACATGCTATGACAAGCCATTCACCAGCCATAGATTCCGGGCAAAGGTTAATAGGTTCCTCTTTAAGCCGAGGCCAAAAAAAAAAAAAAAAAAAAAAAAATTCATCTGCAAAGAGTGCCTCCTTAGTGGTTAATGTGGGGAGCCTGGAGAACATGTCAGAGAGTCAGACCTTTATAAATAGGCCAATAAACTGACAGCCTTACTCAGGGTGGAAAAACTTCATAGAGTGGGTTGCAAAATTCTTGCAGCTTGAGGGTGAGATGGAGGAGAGGTTGTTAGGAGCACGGTCTTGAGATACGAAGAATAATCAAAGAACTTATTTTCGTAGTTAAGTTTATATTATCTGCCCTAGGCAAGCAGGCATCATAAAACTTGGTGGGGCCTTGCTAAGGAATTACTTTGTGTGCATAGCTATAGAAATGTTACACATAAGAGTGATCAGGAGTAATTAGAATGCATAGTAAACAACCCAAACTTTAAAAGATTTAAAGATCCTAAGGAAGAAAGAAGAATATGTTCCAGTTTAAAGGCTAACGTCAAACATTCAAAATTTAGTAGAATTTCAAACGTGTATGCGGTGGTGTGTGACTTTTTTTGCTTGAAAGTTCACACTAGTATCTGGAGTTAATTTGGTTTTAGACATTTAGATTCCTTTACCTTTTGCCCTATGTGAGTAACAAGATTTAGAACTGGTTTTTAATCAAGCAAGGATTTCTAAGAACTTGTTTGGAAAAAGTTCCTCTGCTCACAAAATAGTGATGAAAGAGGAACTTTAAGCTCTAAGTGAATTGGGAACTCATTGCTTCTTCAAATTTAGTAATAATTTCTTTTAAATTTTGAAATCAAAGATGGCTTGTCTTTCTTCTTTTTAGATAGAATAGGAATGCTATTTGCATTCTCAATCAGAGTGAAGAGCCCTAAGAATTGGGTAAATGTGTGCACTTTTTGAGACTGTCTGTGCAAAGTTCTTGACAAAAGATATATGCATACAGCCATGTGCTTTCTGGACCTGCTTCCAGATGGGAGAATGCCTTGACAAATGTCACAGTGATTCATGACTGTTTTACATACTCTATTATGCATTTTGGGTTGAACAACTTGGATTTGTTGCAGGTACGCTTCAATTAAATGTGGAATTTATTATTTGAAGATATTAGCTCAAAATAGAGCTTTTATGCAACTTTAATTGAGACATTCTATCGATTGGGAACACATCTGTGCAGAGCTGTCACTTACAGGATAAAGAAGGTACTGATGCCATATTTGATAGTTACTAATGAGGAATGAGTTAGTTCCCTTCCACCTTGAACGTGATATACAGTTCTCCATGGTAGATTTTGGATGTGAATATCAAGGAAAGCAAAATTAAAAATCTGTGGCTGACGCTCCAGCCGCTGCAGTCCTCTCTCCTTTCTAGCCAGGTGCTCTGTCCCTCATCTGCAGGCCCAGCCCTGGCCCCAGAAGCAGGAACAACCTCCAGCCACACATCATGAGACTCGGTGCCTCTCCAGCATGGATCTGTTCCAACCATGATGGACCTGTCCACCCTGACTGATATCGGAGATTAGGTCTGGCTTCTGGTCCTGGGCCTCACATGATGCTGTGAATCTTAGAACTGAATGTCAATTCCTGGTTCATCCTCAGAGCCCTCACCGCTGAGACCCTGCTGTACTACCTAGACTCCTTTCTCAGGGCCGGGGGCTTCTCAGGTTCCTGAACCACCCACTAGTGGGGCCCTGGTGTCCACTGACAGCCTCCTCATCGCTGCTTTACTGGACGCCTGACTACTGTCCAGCTGACACCTTCCTGGTGCACAGCTCTCTCCTGGACTGTCCACTGTGGCCAGTGTTTGCTGGAATGGGGAGCACCATCTTACTCTTTAAACGCTGCCCTTCACCCACAGCAGGAAGTTTAGCAGGAAGCTGCTCTCTCGGTACCCACAGCCTGGTCAGTTTTCCACAGCTAGCTTACCCCGGCAAATGGGATTATTTCCAGTTTCCAGGCCATTCCTTCCTGCTGCTCCAGCTCCCTGGGAATAAGTAATCAGCTGGCCACACCTACCTGGGAGAAGATATCCACATGAATTACTTAGATATTTACACCCAATGCAAAAATCTTACAGAGAGATGTCTTAAATGGTCAATTAATATATTTGTGTTAGCTTCTTAGCATGATTCCGAGTTAAGGCTTGGAAATAATTTCAATAATAGTTGAACTTGTGATTTTAAAGAACAAGAAGGTGCTACTGGGTGGGAGGTGCCCAGCCTGGGCCCACAGTCAGGTGCGGGAGCTGGTCTCTGCAGGAGAAGTGCTTCCACTGGAGTTCGGTTTCAGCTGTGAACGGTGGGCTTTTACTGACTTTGACAGAGGTTTCTCAGAATCTTAAACCACAAAGAGGCAAACACAATGGCCTCTAACAATTTTCTGATGCACACTGATAGGGGCTGTCTCATTGGTTTGTAGTCATCCAGTTTACAACTGGAAAGGACTTCAGATATCATCTGGCCCTTTGCTTCTCAAATTGCTGATTTTGACTCACTAGTGGTCATGAAATCAATTTAATGGGCTGTGACCAACTTGTAAATGTTTTATTTTTTACAGATAGAATACAATACAATAGAATAGATCAAAGTGGTTCTTATACTGTGAATAAGGTGTTCTTCTGTAAAACTTTTATTTCAAATGTATGTGTGTGTATTAGATAACAATGTGGTTAATATATTATTTACTGAGGTTCATGATTAAACAGTGTCAAAATCACCGACCTAGTCCAAATCCCACATTTTACATCTAAGAGAACTAAAGCTGGAGAGGGGAAGTGATTGGCCTAAATCCATTAAGGTAACAAGCAGTAGAGAGAAAGAAAGTTGAAGCTGGGATTTTAACTGCAGATTTCTACTGTAAGCTATCATGCCCTGTTGGATGCTTCTACCCAAAGAAGAGGGAATTAATACAGGTTCTTGATCTTTATGAGGGTGGGTCACAAAGACTTAGATAGCAGTAGTCATTAAAATATGCAGCAACCATCACCCATATGCTGTTATAGAAAGAGGATGGGGGGAAATGAACTGGTATAAAATAAATGGGCTGAAAGAAGAAGTTAGAAGTCCAGAAAATTAGGTAAACTTCAGAAGGGTCTTTGGATCAAGACTGGGAAAGAAGGTGGTCTTAAATCATAAGAAAGCATGGAAGCTTTGTAGCAATACACTATTTGGTATAACGAGATCATGCTGGTGGCAGGTAAGGGTGAAGAGTCTATTAATGGTTCATTCAAGAAAAGTGGGACTCAAATCAAATTCCTCTGTCTCTTTGGTCTAAGCCACTTATTTATCTGTGGACAATTGTTCCTTTGATAATTCCACCTACTGGGCAGTGTGCTTGGCTTGGTGATAGTTGTCCTGTGGACAACTTTCTTCCTATTCTCAAAGGCCTCCTAAAACATCAGCACACTATGTCAGGGCATTCACTTTTAGAGAATAATGGCCCCCCTAAAATGCAATAATGCAGTTTAGTGAATTCCAATCATTTAAAAAAGGTGCTCTTACAGGCTTAGTGTTCATGATTAAGCTATTTTGACCAGTGAGAATATTGATATTTCACTCACTGAATGATGCTCAATAATTATGACCTACAGACCATCATGATGGTCTCACATGAATTTTGCTTTCAGATTCACATTATTGGGAACGGCAATGCACAGCTTTGCTTTCAACGCTTTCATGAAAGCCAGCTTTCACCAAGCTAGGGGACCCAAATATTGCCCACAGTTTGGCCTCATGGCCAGAGATGTTAGAATAATTCAGGACTTCTGTGCTTAATTCCACTGTTTCAAGGGTATTGTGTTTTCTCAATATACTATGTATATTTTCATTTTCATCAATTCCTCTTAGAATTGAGCCACATTTTTGGGTCAAACATTTAGTAAATGAGCCTCATACTGAGGCTTGCACTTTTATCAGCAGCAAAAACCTAAAGTTTGACTCCTTAGCATCAGTGTCTGGGAAGCTCTTCCACAACGGTGGCTTAATTTCCACCTTTCTTCAACATCTATGATTCTACTGAGCTCAGTCCAGTTTAAAAACAAGTGCCATCTCCAGGTGTCAGCTGCCCAATTTAAGTCTAAGTACTTGTCTTTTCTTGGACAAATCAGCAATAGTTTCCACCCTACCCTATCCTCAGCCACATGTTCAAGCCCAGTGTATTCAGATGTCTCATATCTTCTAAGTCAAAGAACAAACATGTCCAACAGGTGAGTCTTTCAGAGCCCTTCAATTCCCGTTGTTCTTGATCCATGATGGTAGGCCAGGAAGTCTCACATAGCCATCTGCCAGTATTAAAGTAAACCATCTCTATGCTGTTCTTCAACCCCATCTAAATAGTACATAAACATGATGGTTAAGAGCAATTACACGAAAAGTGTTCACACCTTAGTCACTTCCAGAACACAGACTCTCCTAATGGATGGCACCATGGAAGCTGAGCTTTAAAAAGTGTTGAAACGACCTTGTTATTTTGATTGCTGATGCCACATGCTTTTCCTTATGTATCCCAAAGTTCTCAACTTCCTCACTGCCTGGTGACAAGGTGCTATTAGTTCATGCATGCTAGCTAATTAAATTTTAAAAATGGTGCTAAAAACCTCCAACTTGGAGGCATATGAGACACCTCCCCCTCCTGTGGTGTGAACTTTGAAGCTAAGTGTCAGGCCCTTTATACCAAAGGCTTATTTATTTGCTAAATTGATTTTTTTTTTCAGTATGGGACCTAAGGTTCCCTGGGAGATAGATTGCTTCAGGCTTTGATACTTACAAAGATGTTCTTAGAACACCCTACTGCAGCTAGGTACAAGAAGCTACAAACGTGACATCCAAACGAGGATATTCAGTGCAGCCCTGGCTTGTGATTAAGCAGTACAACAGAATAGAGAAATCAGAAATACACCTAGGAATTAATAAATGATAAAAGTGACATTTCAAATCATTTGGAAAAGGATGAATTTCCAGATGGAACTCTACCCTCCTGGAGGGGGGGAAAAAGGGTGTGTCCCTAACTCCATCTTCCAAATAAATTCCTGATATATCAAACATTCTATATTTTAAAAATAAAATTTAAAGAAACTAGAAAAATGAAAGTTTATGAAAAAATATCCTTGGTGGAGAAAACCTTTCTGAGTAAGATGCAAAATGTAGACACTGTTAAAATCAATTAAAGTCAACAACACAAAAACAAATGTTTTCTGATTGGAAGAAATATATGATAAGCAAAGTCAAAGACAATGATAAAGAGGAGAAACTATTTAAGGCATATAAAAGGCTACTTTCTTTAATATGCAAAGAGCTTCTACAAATAAAGTGGGAAAAGATCAATAACCCAACAGAGAAGTGGCAAAGGATCCCTCAGAAAACAAAATACATTGCATTTTAAACATATGAAAAGATGCTCAAACTTGCTCATAATTAGAGAAATGCACATCGAAACTGCAGCAATATACCATCAAATGGTAAAGATTTAAAATTGTGACCACACATTTTAATGACAAGTATGGGAGGGACATATGCATATTTATGGGAATCTAAACTGACATAAACCCTAGAAAGAGAAATTTAGTCATATTTATCGAAATTAAAAACATAGACCATCTTTGACCTAATAATTCCATTTCTAGGAATTTATCTTGCATACTTACCCCAGACATCAATGATGTGTATATGAAAATCTTCACTGCGATGGTGTTTGTAAAAGTAAGAGATGTTTATCAATTGAGAACTTGTTTTAAAAATTAGGATACATTCATACAAGGAAATCCTTAAAAACACTACCTAATTTAACAAGAATGAATGAAGCAAAATGGGACAATTTCCCAAATACCATTAATGAACAAAGCAAGGTAAAGAACAGCATGTATCATATATGATCCATTTGACTATAAAGAAATTTTTAAGAGAGGTTGCCTCTGTGAAGGAGCAGATGGGCCCCAGGGTGGGAGCAAGTGTACTTTTTTCTTATACTCATTTGTACTTTATGAATTATGTACAAAGTTCATGCTTACCTACCTACAACTTGATGCTCTGATGGGAGTATATGAGGTTATGCAACAAGGCTGGCATCATGAAGGGATCCAGGGATGCAGGTGCCACTTACCAAAATGGAGCGGCATAGCTGATGGATGCCAGGAAGTGTAAAAGTCAAGTTCAACAAGAGGGAGCCAAGATCAAAACTAAAGTGATGTTGGGGGAAGAAGAAACGGGGATAAGGCTAAGTAAAAGCAGAACTATAGAGCAAGCATTTAAAAGACAATGAGATAGGCTGGATATGGTGACTCACGCCTGTAATTCCCACATTTTGGCAGGCCGAGGGAGTTGGATCACTTGAGGTCAGGAGTTGAGACCAGCCTGGCCGACATGTTGAAGCCCCGTCTTTACCAAAAATACAAAAATTTGCTGGGCGTGATGGCACATGCCTGTATTCCCAGCAACTTGGTTGGCTGAGGCACCAGAGAATCACTTGAACCTCGGAGGTGGAGGTTGCCATGAGCTGAGATCGTGCCACTGCACTCCAGCCTGCATGACAGAGCAAGACTCTGCCTCAAAAGGCAAAACAAAACAAAACACACACACACACACACACACACACACACACACACACACACACACAAAATGAGATAAAGGGAAAAGGAGCTTTGAATGGCGGCCTTTAGGAGTTGCTAATGACCTGAACTTAGGGCACTGTGTAAATATTTATTCTTACTTAACTATAAGTAATTAATAAAGGTTTATCATCTACTGGGTTACAAAGTCCAGCTACAAATTGGAGGGGATATAATCTCTATCCAAACAGGATATATTGAATATATATCAATATATATTTATATTCAATATTGGTATATATTGAATATAAACCATATTCAATCACCAATGTATGACGATAATGTTGATTCTGTTCTTACAGAGTTTGGGAAGGAATATAAATCCAACTTGGGGCTCATTCTCAGCCTGAAGGAGATAACAAGTAATCATTAATTGATGAAGGTTATCTAAAGCAATAAAGCCTTGCCTTCTTTGTGTTACATGGCCAGGTTGCTGTGCAATTCAGGAGAGTTTTTTATCACGTACCACCACGACTAATAGCTGTATAGGTATCCACGCCAGTCCTCCTGCTTTACATTCAAGTTCAAAGAAGGCAGAGACACCGTGTGTAGTTTTATTTACACAGAACCTGGCAAAGCAGGCTACATAAGTAGACACTTGGTGAAGATATTTTGTTCTCGATGATGGTGGTGGTGATGGTGGTGGTGGTGGCAGTGTTGGTGGTAATGATAAACATTGATGTTGTCTGCCCATCTTGATGGAAACCTTCTCCAGCCCTATTGTCCCCATGGTAGGGAGTGGGAGGGGAATTGAGTAAGGAGTCAATTTCCAGTTTTGAGCCTCAAACTCTTGAATTGCTAGGGTGACAACCAGATAATAAATATACATTGCCATCATAGTTGGCTTTCCAGTCTCGAGCAGTGAGGAGATTTGCCCTGTCCATTTTTCTCCCAACATTCAGTGCCAAGCTGTCATCTAAAGGCCCAATACATCTCTACACGGCATCAACAGTGTAGAGTGTGGCATTTCACTTGTCAAATAATGAATCAATCTATTATTTCAATTTTTAAGAAGACCAAGCTGGGATTGATTATATTTCCTAGTAATAAAAGTAAAATAAAAAATAAAATAAAAACTAATGTAATTTAAATTAAATTGTTCTCTGCAAGAAGGGTCTTTGCTGTTCATTGAGCATAGTCCATTCCCAATGAGTGAAACTATGTTGCTAAAATTTAAGCAGTAAGAAAATAACATTTAGAGTTAGAAAAGACATTCGATTTAGATTGGTTCAACCCTTTCATTTTTACACCGCCACCATATTGCCTCTAAATCTGGGAGTAGACACATTTAAAAAGAAGTCAGTGTTTTATGGCTCATCTTTTTTTTTCCAAAGGAGAAAAGTTGATAGCTTTATAGGAAGAAATTATGCCATCACCTTTCTTTTTTCCTTTTCACTAGAAGTGGGAACAAAGAATGGAGATGATACTGCAATCTTGATCTCTATAACCTCATTTGAAATCATTCTCTATGATTTAGGTTTTCTTGAAATGAAAAGGATAAATTGTGTTAACTCAGTTAAAGTTGGAGGAAAAAGTTGATTGGATATCCTGTTGTCAAGGAAACCAATTCGCTCCACCTCTCTCTCTCCTCTCTCTCTCTCTCTCCCCCTCTTCTATCTCTCTCTATCTCTTTCTATCTCTTTCTCTGTCTCTTTCTCTCTCCTTTTCTCTCTCTCTCTTTTTCTCTGTCATTCTCTCTCTCTCTCTCCTTCTCTCTCTCTCTCTCTCTCTCACACACACACAACTAGTTCATACAGTGCCCTTTAAACTCTTAATTTGGCATTTACAAATTATTTTTAAATACCCAAAGGCTCTACTTTGGATATCTGTACAAGAAACACTCAAGAAAAGTGGTTCCTAGAATTCAAACTCAGTCAGGACTTTTTCTGATTCTGGTGAAGGCACTGTCATTCTGAGTCAGTGCTGTGTCTCAGAGGCATATGAGACAGTCTCCAAGTCATTGCCAACTCAGCTGCAGAATGAGACTGTTTGAAAGAAAGAGCTGGAATGAGAACCTTTAAAAAGCAATAGACTGGTGAGCCGAGATCGCGCCACTGCACTCCAGCCTGGGCGACAGAGCGAGACTCCGTCTCAAAAAAAAAAAAAAAAAAAGCAATAGACTGGGTGCAGTGGCTCATACTTGTAATCCCAGCACTTTGGGAGGCCAAGATGGGTGGATCACTTGAGGTCAGGAGTTTGAGACTAGCCTGGCTAACATGGCAAAATCCCGTCTCTACTAAGAATACAAAAATTAGCCAGGCATGGTGGCGGGCGCCTGTAATCCCAGCTGCCCAGGAGGCTGAGGCAGGAGCATCGCTTGAGCTCAGGAGGCAGAGGTTGCAGTGAGCTGAGATCATGCCACTGCACTCCAGCCTGGGCGACAGAGCAAGACTCTATTGCAAAACAAACAAACAACAACAACAACAAAAAACAAAAACAAAAAGCAATAGAACCACACAACGGTAAGAGAAATGTAGACAGTTCAATTTCTTGAGCCTTTATCGAGCACCTATCACGCTTAAAGCAAGAAGCTATGCACCAAAAAGCAAAAATGAAAAAGTAAGTGAAGGCCAAGTTGAAAGAGATCTTAGGGAGTGAAGCAGGGTTGCTTGTTATTTAAAGACACGCCTTGCCTCCCCGCTCGTCCATCCGAGGAGTACACCTCCCTGCTCCATCAATGTCAGGCTGGGCCAGGTGTCTTGCTTTGGCCTCAAAGTGGCCACAGTGCCCTCCTGCCCACATCTTGGGTTTAGCCGTGTGACTTGGTTTAACCAATAGGGTATAAGCTGAAATGATTCAGCAGAAATGTATAATGTTCTTGCACCATCAGGCTTGCTCTCTTGAGTCTTTGCCCTTACCATGAGAACCTGCCAGCCGAGCTTACACTTCCAAAGAGGATGAGAGACATGCAGAGCCTTGGTGCCCCACATGAGGTCCTCCCCAGCAGATACACCCAGAAGTCCAGCGGAGCCATCCAGCCAAGTGCAGCTTAGGCCAGCCAACTCCAGCTGACCCTTAGACACATGATAAATCATAAATTGTTGCTTATGTCACTGAGTTTTGGGGTAGTCCATTATGCAGCAATGACTAATACAGAGAGCATCTTAACATCTTAATTTATTACTTTTTCAGGACCACGTAGCAAACCAAAAAGTAGGTAGAAGAACTTGACCAAAACTGTGGGCTTCCTAGGAGGGGCCATTTCCATAAAGAGGACAAGCCAATCCCTTTCAAAAATGGGTATCAGGAGAACAGACATCATGAATACTATGGAGATAGGACCCCCAAATCACTGGAGCCCATTGGAATGTACGTCGGCAACACAGGAGAACTTTAATGCACCTACAAAAGTGATCGCTGACCCAGAGGTCTACGAAAAGCTGCAAAAAAATCGCTCAGTGGCTGAAGAGAAGCTGCGTGAAAACCAACTAAAATGATTAGGACTTCAGTGTGGAAAGACACATGTTGAGAATCAATACAATTCAAGCCTGTTAAATCTTGAATAGAGTAAGTGGTCTGAACGTGGGTTTGCTCACCAGAATCTGGAATTTTAGAAACAAAGGAGCATACAAAGGAGAAATTCAGAAAATAAAGAGAAGGGCTATATTACTTTACACGGCCAAGAACTAGGGTGACCATATGCCCCAGCATATCCGGGATAGTCTTAGGTGATAAGGTTATCCTGGGGTAATTATTAATAGCACTTCCTTTCACTTTCAAAAGGGAACTGGATTGGGTGATAAATTACACGGTCATGTTGCTGGCAGCACACTTTCCCCATGGGCTGAAGGACCCGAGTCTGAGTAAGGTTCAGATATGCTCATGGGGTAAGACCTGCTGTGCACTGTCAAGGCAAGTTGGACAGTTTGTGCTCTGAGGCAAAGAGGCCACCACATCCCGTGGCAACACCCCTCAGCACAGCAACGGGAGATGATGCTGTGCCCAGCCCAGCAAGGCTGCAAAGGCTGGAAAGTGGTACTCTTTCAGGCCAGCAGAGTCCCCCCGTGGGCAACCCCAGGGTCTTCTCTAGAAGCCTTGTCTGTACTGCAGGACTCCCTCTTTGTGGGCCCTTTGAAAAATAGAAACACATACAACATTCCTAATCTTGGCATTTCTTCTATATCAGTTCAACACGTGAAAATCAAAATATCGTACATAATAGAAAATATCGTACATAATAGAAACGTTGAGTTTCCTTCTTACCCACACAGAGGTCCATACAGCTTTCTGAGCTCCATTTGGCTTTCCCAAAAACCCTGAAGGAAACACAGCACTATAGTAAGAATAAGATTAAGCAAAATTCCAATTATTCAAACTTATTCAGTAAACAATTTGGAACAGCAAGAATACAATTACAGAAACAATAAAAAAGAATGGAAGTTATATTGCTTTCAGGTACTTTGAAACATTGGAATAAACAAAAGGCTTTAAAAAAAATTGCCATGTAAAAGTCTTGGACAGGAGAGATCACCAGTTCTTAAACTACTTATGTATACTTGCTGCTAAAATATTCAAAAAGTTTGCTTTCTCAACTATAACATTGCCCTCTGAAATTTGATTTAGCATTATCATATAGCCCTTTTTACTGCCACTATATGTAACTTCTACTGAGTCTATCAAAATTATCACAAATTCTGAATTATCATGATCCATTCGAGTTAAACTTTAATTAAATTCAACATGTTTAAGATATATAAGACAAAATGCTAGACACTTTGTTGTTGTTGTTGTTTTGTTTGTTTTTTCGAGACAGAGTTTTGCTCTGCCACCCAGGCTGGAGTGCAGTGGTGTGATCTCAGCTCGTTGCAACCTCCACCTCCCGGATTCAAGCGATTCTCCTGTCTCAGCCTCCTGAGTAGCTGGGATTACAGGCATGTGCCACCACACCCAGCTAATTTTTGTATTTTTAATAAAGACAGGATTTCACCATGTTGGCCAGGCTGGTCTGGAACTCCTGACCTCAGGTCATCTGCCTGCCTTGGCCTCCCAAAGTGCTGGGATTACAGGTATGAGCCACTGTGCCTGGCTAGACACATTTTATAATGGGAAAGAAGTGTAGCTGGGTTGACGGAGGGGTGGAAAATGCTAGATCCATTGTGTGGTGGGAATGGACTAGACCTGAAAATACTCATGAGTTGGGGTGGGTGTGGGGGGTGGCAAATGGTAGATTTGTGTTGTGAGAATGGAGTATGGGGTGGATACATAAGGGGTGGAATGAAGGTGGAAAGTTGGGGGTTAGGAGTGTGGATGTCCTGCATGGAAACACATGCCTTTCTCATGAAATCTACTGAATTCTGCAGCGTAAGCTTGCCATATATCAAGGAAAGTATATATGAATATAAAAATAGTCAGCGAAATTACTATGTTCTAGAAAGAACTTGGCAGGGCTTGTAGCTGTGAGGATGGCGGGCTGCAAAGGAGCATATGTGGAGGCTCTCCAGAGGCGGGAGCACAGCGTTCTCCTCATGTCGACAGCTACGCCGTTTTCCTCAGAATGTTAATACCAAATTAATTATTCCACGGAATACAACTGATCATTTCCCCCCAGAAATGTGTGAAATGCATTTTCTTTAGCTTTCCGATCTGGTTTGTTGTTCTATCTTGACACTTTAAAATTTCTTCACACTTGTTTCAAGGGGCTAACAGGAAGCCTCATTGAGACTGTTGTTTGTGAGCTTAAAAGTTGTGAACCGCCCACCCCAGAGAGAGAGATGAGAGGAGAAGGTGTTTAAAAATGCTAGGAAGACAGAAACAACAATGACAAATCATGGAAAAGGTGATGGACACAGAAAGGAATGGAAAAGAAATAATTGAGAAGGTGGGGGCAGAAAAGGACAGAAAGAGCAGCTTTCTTTTCTATCTAGTGCCAAGGGCCAGCCTTTCCGGAGGTAGGGATGGGGGAAATTCTAGAGATGTTGAAGGGATATTATCAGGATTGTCCCAAATTTAGTCTTCCTGCCTTTGTTTGGCTTGGTGGTTCTTCCCATGCAGGGTGTTCCGGCTCCTGGCGTTGGGTCTGGAGTCAGTGTCCCCGTGACTTAGCAGAATAAGCCATCTGGCTTCTGAGAAAACCCAATGTGAGAAAAAATAACCGTAGACCATAAAGTCCTGACCTATATCTACAAATGTCTGTTGGCCATTTCCACTGGCATGTCACTCTGGCAAATCCCAAGCAACATACTTAAAATAAAACTTGTCTTCTCCCTGAACCACTCCCCCACCCAACGTTTTATTTCTGTCAACCCATAGCCATTCTCCCTGTTCCCCTGGCTCAAAGCTTAGGCTTATGTTTGACTCACTTTGCCTTGAATTCTCTACACTAATTTGTCACAAGAGTTCTTCATTTTGCTCCCAATTATCCATCTCTATTCACTCTCATCACCGACCAGACCGAGCCATCGTGGCTTCACCCCTGGACTTCAGCAACAGTTGGGTTCTACAGCTCTAACCTATGTTCTTCTCCCTTGCAGAGTGTTGTCCATTTCAATGTCCCTGTCCTCAAAAATGTTAACACACAAATAGTTCTTCACGTGCCTTCCTACCCTGTAAGCATCTAGTGCCCCTTTCTCTCACCCAACTGCATTGCCCAGTGCACCTTAGCATTTGGCCTCTAGTCAGTCCAGGCTGCTGGTCAACCTGTGCTGTCATTCTCACGTTGGTACACTCACATAAATAGTGCCACCCACCTGGTGTGTGTACCCTCGTCTCTATGTCCACAGGCCCTGAAGGACCTCCTTCTTCAGGAAGTTCCTTAGGATGATTTTAGCCCTGACAGATCACCCTCTCCTCTGACAGAAGATTACAGCTACCGTCTATACCACCCTATTTAGTGCTAGGGTGTATCTCATCTGGTGTTGCATGCCATCATTTGACAGTGCACTTGAGGGCACAAGTAACCTCTTCTTCTACACTCTAGGGTCTGACGTATTTAGACATACAATATATGGGGTTTGGGGGAAATGGGTGAGTGAATGGATGACAGGACTCAATACATATTGATAGTGATAAGAGATGGATTCTTGCCATCACATAACAATTCATATAAGTAGAGGAGGGCTCATGGCATCACAGAACACCTTTACTGCTCAAGGTGTGGGGACCTGGACAAGACCAATGTTTCATGCAGAAAGCCTGTCCTGGGCTCAGCATATTTTACTTTATTTTATTTCATTTTATTTTATTTTTTGAGACAGATTTTTGCTCTTGTTGCCCAGGCTAAAGTGCAATGGTGCAATCTCGGCTCAGTGCAACCTCCACCTCCTGGGTTCAAGTGATTCTCCTGCCTCAGCCTCCCAAGTAGCTGGGATTACAGGCATGAGCCACCATGCCCAGCTAATTTTTTGTATTTAGTAGAGACGGGGTTTCACCATGTTGGTCAGGCTGGTCTCGAACTCCTGACCTCAGGTGATCCACACGCTTCGGCCTCCCAAAGTGCTGGGATTACAGCCATGAGCCACTGTGCCTGGCCCTCAGCATATTTTATGATGGAAGCCAATGGAAGACAGCCCTTACCTGGCGGAAAAATGTCAAGTTTCCAATGAAAGGAGAAGGCTTGGGATGTCTGAGGCCTAACTTCTCCAGTCTTGAGAATGCTGATGTGGAGTACCTGGAGGGAAAAGCAGATTTCAAAAGCTGAGAAATGAAGTTGCACTCATGCTTTAGGCTCTATTAGGAACTAGAATTACTGAGCTCTCTGGAAGTAAAGGCAAAAGAATAGGTTTCCAGTCACCACATCTAAGAACCAAAAAATTGGAGGCCTAGAGTTGAGTGAGTAGAATAGGAGTCCAGTCAACCTCCTGTTGAGTGACCTGCTGGAGATCAACGAATCCTGAAACCTCTGAGCTGGAGATGCCTTACAGATGATGTAGTCCAACTGCCCCTCTCTGACCTAGAATTCCTCTTAATAGATTGTTTTAAAAATGCCACTCTCTCCAATTCCTTTCCTTTGCCTCTAAATCTATCACGAGCAATTGCTCAGAAGGCAAGGTAAAAAAACTAACAATGGCAAAAGCTCCCTGTGCAAATGTGTGTATTTTCATGGTCAAGACTAACCCCTCCCTGCCACACACATAATTTGTCCCTCATCACATTCCCTGGCCTTACAGAGAATAGTAAAAATAGGAACGGAGGGAAGGCGCCATGAGGAGAAGACCTATCACCAAATGCTTACAACCTCTTTAAGTCTTTGTTTTCTCGGCCCGCAACCATATGGGAAGCATATTTTCTTAACCAAAAATCAGGAAGCGTGGTCCGACAGATTTCTGTGCCACTTCCCAGGAGAAAGCGGCAGTCTGAGAAGTGCAGTGTGGCTGTCAAAACATTGGAATTACTATGGTATTTCAACAGTTTATAGGAACAGAGGGATAACACAGCTAAAGTCAGAACTGGCTTAGAAAAACCTGCACATATGGCTCTGATCCCTAACCAGCAGCCAATTAGGTCAAAAGTTCAGTTAGTTCAGCAAAATTAATGAGTCAAACTGGTTGTTTAGCATCACGCAGAGATCAGCCAAATCACAATTTAAGGGCAAGGAAAAACATGGAGACTATCAGTACAATCTAGCTTTCTGTGTGTATTGAAACTCAAACTATTACTGCTATAAGAATCACTCTTTTTCAAAGGACAGAGTATTTGCTATACTCTTTGATCTTTCCCACCTGCAGTCAATAAGGAGTACTTAAAATAAAAATACTCAAATATTCAGGGAAAGGAAACACAGCTTAAGTGCTGGTTTGCATTATTCTGAGCAATGTGCTATTTATTTCTTTATTTATTTCTGTCACCCAGGCTGGAGTGCAGTGGAGGCTCACTGCAGCCTAAAACTCCTGGGCTCAAGTGATTCTCCTGCCTCAGCTTCCCAAGTAGCTGGGACTACAGGTATGTGCCACCACTCCCAACTAGTATTTCAGATTCTTTGTAGAGACAGGGTCTCCCTATATTGTCCAGGTTGGTCTTAACTCCTGGCCTCAAGCGGTCCTCCTGCCTTGGCCTCCCAAAGTGCTGGGATTAAAGGCATAAGCCACCACACCTGGCCAAATGAGTCGATTTTTAAAGTGGTCACAAGGGAGAACCAGGGCAGAACGGGAAGGCAGGATGTCCTCTATCCCAAGTTATCCTAAGATTTCCACCGTATGGCTCCATTAATAGGTTTGAATGAATTCCCAGTACGTCACATTTAGGTCCATGTTCAAGTGTGATTACAAACCACACTCAAGAGCCACACGTGAACGCCAAGGATTAGTCATACCAACACTCCTCTTCATTAGTGTGAGTACCGAAGGTTGACAGCACAGTTGGTAAAAGTTATTCTTTCAAGTGGACCATAATGTTTTAAATAATTCCCCTTACAACAGAGAGGAAAGACCAAAGGAAACTTACCAGCCCACTTAACACTTTCTTTAACATCCTCAAATTCGTGTCTATGTTCATTTCTTCATCAGCTTTTTTGAATTATTTTCTAAAAGTAATCTCTAATGGGTAGAAAAAAAGATGTAGACCTTGGACCACATAATTACATCTTAATTTTGTAATTAGATGTCTTGATTGTCTAAAGGACAAGAAGTCTGTGCCTAATTACACATGCTAATTATTATGCAAGTCCATGCCCTAATTATGTAACTCCACTTATGAAAATACTGCTAGTGTGTCTATGCACAAAATTCAGACATTTTCAAACACATGGCATCAGCAGAGTGTCCTGGACACCACCACAAACTTCCCTTTGCAGCCTCGACTCAAATCTGGAACTTGAGCATTTGTAGCCTCGACTCAAATCTGGAACTTGAGCATCTTCAGCTGGAAACTGGCCAAATATTGCCATCAGTAACTCAAGTTCCTGCACCCAAATCTGCAGGGAGAGATCATTGCCACCAAATTTATGGGCAAAATAGCAACATGGGTTCCATTTGTCTCCCTACCACTTCCTTCTCTGCACTCTTGTTTCATACCCTCTGGTCTCAGGGTCCCCTTGCTGCCCTCTGACTGTCTCAACACGTTCTTAACCCAAAATCAATGAACCCCAGTTGTAATGGGTTGAATTGTATCACCACCAAAAAGATAAGTTGAAGTCCTAACCTCCAGAAGTCCTAATCTCAGAATGTGACTTGGAAATAGGGTCACTGCAAATGTAATTAGTTAAGATGAAGTCATATAGGCCAGGCACGGCTGCTGATGCCTGTAATCCCAGCACTTTGGGAGGCTGAGGCAGGCAGATCACTTGAGGCCAGGAGCTCAAGACCAGCCTAGCCCATATGGTGAAACCCCATCTCTACTAAAAATGCAAAAAAATAGCCAGGGGTAGTGTTGCATGCCTGTAATCCTAGCAAATCGGGAGGCTAAGATAAGAGAATCTCTTGAACCTGGGAGGAGGAGGTTGCAGTGAGCCAAGATTGTACCACTGCACTCCAGCCTGGGTGACAGAGTGAGACTCTGTCTCAAAAAAATAAATAAATAAAGTCATACTGAAGTACAGGGGCCCCTCAATCCAATATGACTGGTGTCCTTATGAGAAGATGGCCATGTGAAGACAGAGATTCACAGGAAAGTGCCGAGTGACTATGAAAGCAGAGATTGGTGTCAGGCCACTGCAAGCCAAGGTATGTCAAAGATAGTCAGCCAACCACTAGAAGCTAGGAAGAGGCAAGGAAGGATTCTCCCCTACAGATTTCATAGGGAACATAGCCCTGCAGACACCTCAATTTCAGGCTCCTGGCCCAGAACTGTGACACAATAAATTTCTGGTGGTCTGGGTGTGGTGGCTCATGCCTATAAACCTAGCACTTTGGAAGGCCAAGGTAGGACAATTATTTGAGCCCAGGAGTTTGAGACCAGCCTGGGCAACACAGCAAGACCCTCACCTCTACAAAGTGTAAAAAAATTAGCCGGGTGAGCCTGGTCGTGGTGGCTCGTGCCTGTAATCCCAGCACTTCGGGGAGCCAAGGCAGGCAGATCACTTGAGGTCAGGAGTTTGAGATCAGCCTGGCCAACATGGCAAAACCTCATCTCTACTAAAAAAAAAAATACAAAAGGTAACCAGGCAGGCTTGTAATCCCAACTACTCGGGAGGCTAAGGCACGAGAATCGCTTGAACCCAGGAGGTGGAAGTTGCAGTGAGCCAAGATTGTGCCACTGCGCTCCAGCTGGGATGATGAAGCAAGACCCTGTCTCAAAAAAAAAAAAAAAAAAAAAATATTAGCCAGGTGTGGTGGCACACACCTATAGTCCCAGCTACTTGGAAGGCTGGGATGGGAGGATCACTTGAGCTCAGGAGTTTGAGGCTACAATGAGCTACTTTTGTACCAGTACACTCCAGCCTGGGCAACAGAGCAAAACCCCGTCTCAAAAAATGAATAAATAAATAAATAAATAAATAAATAAATTCTGGAGTTTCCAGCCACTCAAGTTTGTAGTACTTTGATATGGCAGCCCTAGGTTAAGTGGTACACTAGGGATACTTATGAGTGAGTCTTACAGGGTCAATGAAAAGTTGTTTTTAAATATCTTGCTGTAACTTTAAAAATTGTCATTGTAAAAAAAATCCTTTTATGTCAAATTGTGTTATTAAGTCCTGTGCCATTTAAAAAAGTGCAGGAGGCCAGGGATGCTACTGTGTAAAGCAGGTAATACGCAATGATCAGACGATCACCATGTTCTGATGTTTACAATGGGTTTCCTTTGATGTGAATTAATGCAAATGTTTCCCACAATTATGGTTATGGACACCTGTCATTGTTTACATCAAGGATACTTAAGTTGGAAAACGACAACAGAAAGTATATATAGCTTTAGACAGCATCTTTCGGTTTTATTTTCACAACCAACGAGGTCATTAAACGCTACAGGACACAAATACTGCTGTGCCAGCGGTACAATTTACTGTCCATTCTCAAAATAAATCGGGCCACTGGATCATTCTCAAAATCAGGTTCAATTTGTAAAGGCTGGAAAATTTCCTGTATTTTATCTTCCTCAAGGCTTTCTCTTTATTTATTTATTTATTTATTTATTTATTTATTATTTATTTTCGAGGCAGAGTCTCACTCTGTCACCCAGGCTGGAGTGCAGTGGCACAATCTCAGTTCACTGCAACCTCCTCTTCCTGGGCTCAAGCGATTCTCCTGCCTCAGCCTCCTGAGTAGCCAGGATTACAGGCGCCCACCACGCCAGGCTAATTTTTGTATTTTAGTAGAGACGGGGTTTCACCCTGTTGGCCAGGCTGGTCTTGAACTCCTGACCTCAGGCGATCCGCCTGCCTTGGCCTTCCAAAGTGTGGGGATTCCAAAGTGTGTGAACCACCGTGCCCAGCCTAAAACCTTCTCTTGATGGATTCAACATGGGTGCTTAGCCCATTGTTTAGCCAAAGAAGCCACTTCTGATAAATTGGTATTTTGATGAATCACATATTAAGGAGATGGTCAAACTGACTGAGGTTTGGAACAAAAGAAAACAGAAATTATCTACCTCCAGGAATTGGCTTCTCCTGTGGTGTGCAGGAGAAGGGTCCAGCCGGCCCCTCCGCTCGGTCATTACATCCTCACTGTCACTACCAAAGAATTCCTACTTGGTGCACTGCTTTCAAAAACTTCAGTGGATGTATTTGAAATGGTGAAAGATTCCCTTGGCAAATAGCGCTTCTCCAGGGGTAAAAACTTGTGATGCTCCAAGAACAGGTGAAGCCCAGCGGTGCCAGGTAACCCAGTGTCCTGCACATTGGAGAAGAGAGGCCCTTTGCCATGGTTACTCTATGGTTTCAACACGCATGCCCTCATGGGCTTTGCCAGCAATTCCATTAAACATCATGGCCACATCGGAAGCTTTATTAGAAACAGATCCTTAAATAATTGCCTTTTCAAAACGTTTTGTTAAGAAATGGAAGCAGGGTGTGAGGTTTGCTGGCTTTCCAAGACACATTTTGAAGTGCTTCACAGAAATTTGGGCACAAAAGCTAGAACTATCAGGGAGAAAGCCTACTCTCTTTATATTGTCATTCTCTTGGTTTTTTTCACTGTGTATTTTTTATATGTTTGCTATTACATTCTCTCTCTATATTTTTCCTATGTCTCTACTTTTTCTTCTTTTTCTTTTTTTTAGCATTCTCACTCTGTTGCCCAAGCTGGAGTGCAGTGGTGTGATTTCAGCTCACCGTAGCCTCTACCTCTCAGGCTCAAGTGATCCTCTCACCTCAGCCTCCGAAGTAGCTGGGACTACAGGTGTGCGCAACCACAGGTGGCTAATTTTTTTTTTTTTTTTTTTTAGAAACAGGGTCTCACTATGTTGCCCAGGCTGGTCTCAAACTCCTGGGCTCAAGCGATCTGCCTGCCTCAGCCTCCCAAAGTGCCATGATTACAGGCAAGAGCCACTGTGCCTGGCTTATTTCTCTACTTCTATTTATCCAGATTTCTACTTTTTTCATTTAACATAAGGAAAAACATCTCCATGTTATTAATCCTTTATAAATATCATTTTTATGGCTGCTTAATAGTGCTCTTATATACATATTATAATTTACTAAACCATTCTTATTGTCAAATACTTAGCGTGTTTTCTATATTTTAGCTACTTTGAGTTATGCTGCTACAGTTAGCATTTCTGCGCAGAGGTTTTCCCACACTTTGTGCATGAAGATTTTCTTAACCTGAGATCCATGAGTCACTGGTTTTAAACACTGGTATGTAATATCTAATTGCTTTCCATAAAGTTTGTCCCAGCTAGTCCTACCGTTGGTATATCCTTTGCACCAAATGCTCTCATAAAACTTTTTTCTAATTTGTAAGCTACATCAATGTATTTTGATGTCTGCATCTATTTTCTTACTAGAGAGAGAAAACACATTTTCCTATCATTTCTTCTTCATTCTCAAAAATATTTCCCAATTTTTGACATTATTAACTAACTTTCTTCCCTTCTTCCCTTCCTTCCCTCCCTCTTTCCTTCCTTCCTCCCTCCCTCCTTCCTCCTTCCCTCCCTCCCTCCTTCCTTCCTCCCTCCCTCCTTCCTTCTTCCTTTCCCCCCTCCCTCCCTCCCTCCCTTCCTTCCTTCTTTCCTTCCTTCCTTCCTCCCTTCCTTCTTCCTTCCCTCCCTCCCTTCCTCCTCCTCTTCCTCCTCCTCCTCTTCCTCCTCCTCCTCCTCTTCCTCCTCCTCCTCCTCTTCCTCCTCCTCCTCTTCCTCCTCCTCCTCTTCCTCCTCCTCCTCTTCCTCCTCCTCCTCTTCCTCCTCCTCCTCTTCCTCCTCCTCCTCTTCCTCCTCCTCCTCCTCCTTCTTCTTCCTCCCTCCCCCTCATTCCCACAGTATGGTTTATCTAGGTGGCAGGCAGAATTGTGCTCCACTAACTGATTTAAAAATTAGTTGGAAAATGAGCAGTCATTGATAGGTACTGCAAGCTGACTCCACGCACATATCTGGGTGTGAAGAGGAAGATAAGCAGATAAATCTGAATAGTTTTCATTGACTTAGCTAATAACTAACCACAGCCTTGTTAGTTGACTGTAAATTCCATTCCCTTTATCCTTGTCCCATTTCTCACCCACACCCACAAGAGAAACTGTAAGGATTGAAACTGCTTAAATCACGCCTCAAGGCAGATGTTCCTGAAGGGTTGGTGGGGAAATGGTGCAATACAGATTTTACACGTGAGATCTTCTCGGTTTCCCTTTTAGCACCTAGTGTCCACCCTGGCATCCTCATCCTCATGTTCAGCCCCCTCTCCATTCCCTTAAGACCTCAATCTCAGTTTGCCCTCAGGGCTGGAAATCATCTGATGCACACTCACTCACGTATCAGTAGTAACTAGGCTATGCCCTAAAATACAACCTGCAAACGAGACTGTTCATTTACAAATTTATAATAGTGAGTATTTTTTTTCCAAGCAATAAGAATCGGACATCTCCTTCCTAGAGTACCTCCTTTCCAGGTACTTGAGAAGCCAAATCAATCATCAGAGGGTGTGTTGAGCCAGATTCTACAATGAGAGGTGGCTCAACAGAATCGGTATCTCAGTGGGACCCTGGTAAAATAATCCTGTCCCACAGCTGATTACATCCCTCCAAGGGGTTAGCAAAGGGATGTTGTGCCTGCTGCACTGCTCCCTTTTTCCCACTGATTCATAATGTCACTTCTATCATGCTCCTCAGTAGTATAGGTGCTTGGATCTATTCTGATCCATTTGTCTAGCTTATGCTTCACTATTTTAATTATTATAACTCTAAATCACACTCTTTGTTTTTTTCTCTTTTTTATATATTACTTCTTTTTATTCTCTTTTTTGTCTTTTTTTCTTACTCAAATTCCTTTTACCATATAATACATTTTTATAACTTACTTTTTCATATTAATTTTAGAATTAGTCTGATTTGATGAGAAAATGCTATTTGGATTTTTCTGGAATTGCATTAAATGTATACATTAATTTAGAACATACCAACATTATTACAACATCAATTTGTCTCATATATGAATGTGTTGTATCTCTCTGTTGATTTTATTTTCTCTGTCCTTCAGTAACATTTTATGATTTTGTGCAGAGAAGAGTATCTTTTTGCTATTTACGTACATTTGTTTTGGTGTTGCTCATGTATAGGAGCACCTTTTTTTTTTTTTAATGCCAGCGTTGTAATCAATGATCCTTCTGGACTTTCTAATTAGTTTTATTGGTTTACATGTGGAATTTCTTTGATTTCCTATGCTGATAATTATGTTTTATGCAAATAATATCAGTCCATTCTCTTTCTTTTTAATCCTTTTGTCTGACTTCTCATTTTCTTTTCTTATTACATTGGCTAAAATCTCTAGTACAAAAAGGAAGCAGAAAGAGTAAGCATCCTTTTCTTGTTCTTGATTCTGCAGGAATGCAGCTAATGTTTCAAAATTAAGTGTGAGGTTTTGCTTTAGAGTTTTCATAGATATCCTTTATTGGGTTGAAGATATTTCCTTCTACTCCTAGCTTGCCTGGAAAAGTTGTTCTTGATTAGTCGTGCTATGGGTTTATCTATTTTATTTATCTTTTGAAAGCACCAACTTTTTCTTTGTTGATCATTTCTGATTTTTGTTGTTTTCTAGTTCATTGATTTATGCTCATATTTTGATTATGGACTTCCTTCTATTTTCTTTGGGTTGAGACTTTGTTCCTTGTTGTTTTCTTTTAACTTCTTAAGTTATTAGTTTAGTTCACATGTTTTCAATGAACGCATTTAAAGCTATAAATCTTCCTCTAAGTAGTTCTTTATCTGCATTCTGTACATTTTTAATGTAGTGGTTTTATTGTCTGATAGTTGCATTCCAATAGGAAACTTCTGAATATCAATGTGCTATAAGATGTACACATGCAAACCTCAGGAGAACAGATATGTTGGAGTTACAAGACCTTCCTATTGTTTTTTCAATTCTGTCCCACCCTATATACAAGATTTAGTGAATGACAGCCATTATAATTTGTTGCCTAAGGAACCGCTTATAATCTTTACCCCTCTGGAAAAAAAATAGAAGACTACTCAATAAATACATAAATATCTGGCTGGTGTTCAGTTCTTTCACCAATAATGTAGGTACCACAAAGACATAGTCATTGCAGTCATTAGCCTGACAATAACTTTGTCACTGCACAAGAAAAATATATTATACATGTATATTGACATACAAGAGTTACACAATCATTACTATTATTATAATTTACAATAGTTTTTAGTTTCCTGTGTCTCAGGCACTATGCTTAGTACTTTTTATATACTGTCTTGTACAAGCCCTCCAACAATCACATAAGGATAGAAATAAATACCATTCTTATATTACTGATTAGGAAATAAAAGCTTAGAGAGGTAAATAATGTACCCAAGGTGCTGCTAAGCAATTGAGTCAGAGTTAAAACCAGGTCAGCTACATTTCAGACAAGTGCCGTTATTCACTAACCCTACTTACTGTCCCTTTCTGTCCCCTAGGCTAAGACTTTGTGGATAAAGCACAACATGAGAACATGTAGACAATATGCTGAGAACAAAGGCAGGCTGCTTAGAAACCAAAAGTGTATTAATAACATATACTAATGAACTGATGATTGTGATGAGAAAGAGAGAGACAGAGGGATTCTTTACCTATCTAAAGCCAATCTTGTTAGTTTTGCTCCTTGTCCTTACTCATTATTCTCAATTATTGTTCCTTCCTGTTGCATTGATTTCTCCATTTCTACTGGATCATTCCTATCAGCATACATATTCCAGTGTCTTCCATCTTAAAGGAAAAAAGGCAAACTCCTTGGATTTGGCCATTGCCTTATTTTTCTTCATTCCTTCCCAGTAAGTTTCCTTGAAAGCATTGTCTAGATGGCTTCCTCCCCTTCTGTGCCCTTAGTCTCTCCTCCCCCCACTCCAACTAAGCTTCTGTACCCACAGCTTCCTTGGGGCTGCCCTTGTCAAGATCATTGATGACTTTGATCTTATCAATCCCATTATTTCTTTACTGATCCTTCAGTAGGATTTTGATAGAGATGAACATTCCTCCTTCCTGAAGCACTCTCTTCCCTCTTTCCATGATACCACTCCTCCTGCCTCAAAGATTGCTCCTCACTGTCTTTGCTGGCTCCTTTCCTTATGTTGAGTCCCATCACTTCAATACCATCTAAAAGTCAATAATTCCACATCTTTAACTCTAGTTCCATTTTCTCCACTGAGCTCCAGTCCTCCTTACCCAACTTCCAACTTGATGGATGCTTTGAATGTCTGTTAGGCATTTTACAGTTAATCTAAATCTGATTTTAATTTACCCACTAAATCTGTTGTCTCCCAATCATCTCTACATCACCATTGCAACCACAATCCACCAACTTCTCAAGTCAGAAACACTTGAGACACAGTAGATTGCATAATGGGTTAAGACATGACTGTCCCTCCCAGTTGGAGGATTATACATCCCCAC
The DNA here is from genome assembly GCF_000001405.40 of Homo sapiens. Lineage (NCBI taxonomy): Eukaryota > Metazoa > Chordata > Mammalia > Primates > Hominidae > Homo > Homo sapiens. The sequence continues at coordinate 139,861,939 of NC_000007.14, read as the reverse complement.
CTCATTTACTTTGGGCAACGTGATGCCTGGAAGCAGAGATTAAAGTAAAGCAACCGTGAACCAAGGAGGCAAGAAACCAATATTCCCCTGGATCCCCCAGAAGGAACCAGCCTGCCTGACACCTTGACTTCAGGCCAGCAAGACTGATACATGGACAATTTGCTCCATAAAATAATAATTGCAATGGACCAAAACACATCAAATATATTTTGAATCCATGAGTTCACAATAATACAAAAATAGCATGTGTTACCGTTGTCAGATGTTACGCACTTAATTCATGATACCATGTTTGGTACTTCAGCCATGTGAATACCTGTGCAAAACTTACATCCATTTTGAGACTTGTTAATTGAATCCTTTGCCATTAGAATTATTTTAAACAGGCCAGGCACAGTGGCTCGCTCCTGTAATCCTAGCACTTTGGGAGGCCAAGGCAAAGGAGGTCAAGGATCACTTGAGGTCAGGAGTTCAGACCAGCCTGGGCAACAAAGTGAGATCCAAAAAAAAAAAAAAAAAATTCTAAAAAGAAAAAAAAATTAGCCAGGTGTGGTGGTGCATGCCTGTAGTACTAACTACTTGGGAGACTGAGGCAGGAGGACTGCTTGAGCCCTGGAGTTCAAGGTTACAGTGAGCTATGATCGCACCACTGCACTCCAGCCTGGGCAACAGAGCGAGACCCTGTCTATATGTATAGTAAGTGTCTTACATAATAGATCAAATGCAGAATCCTGTCAGAAGTGAAGAATTTTTTTTTTTTTTTTTGAGACAGAGTTTCACTCTTGTTGCCCAGGCTGGAGTACAATGGCATGATCTCAGCTCACTGCAACCTTCGCCTCCCGGGCTCAAGCAATTCTCCTGCCTCAGCCTCCCAAGTAGCTGGGATTACAGGCATGTGCCACCACGCCCAGCTATTTTTTGTGTTTTTAGTAGAGACGGGGTTTCACCATATTAACCAGGCTGGTCTCGAACTCCTGACCTCAGGTGATCCGCCCACCTCAGCCTCCCAAAGTGCCGGGATTACAGGCATGAGCCACCGCCCCCGGCTGCGAAGGAATATTTTTAGGTAAACTTATATTTCCCAACTGTATTAATTTTCTATTTTTGTTATAACAAGTAGCCACAAGCTGAGGGATTTAAAACAACACAAATTTATTCTCTGACAGCTCTGGAGGCCAGAAGTCCAAAATCAACCTCACTGGTTTACAGGCAGGGTGTCCACAGGGCTGGTTCCTTCTGGAGATGGCAGGGGGTGTCCCCTTCTTGTCTCCCTGGGTCATGGTCATAACCTTCCAGTTCTGCTTCCAGTCCTCACACTGCCTTCTCTCGCTCTGACAACTCCTGTGTCCTTTTTATAAGGACCTCATGATTACATTTAGGGCCCACCCAAACAATCCAGAATACTTAACCCCTTTCATGATCTTCAACTTAATCACATCTTCAAAATCAGTTCTGCCATCTAAGGTTGCATTCACAAGTTCCAGAGGCTAGGACATCGACATTTTAGGGGGCCAATATTCAGCTACCACGCCAACTTATAGTGTATGTAGATCCTGATTTTATTTTGAAGTGTGCCTGAAAAGAAGAAGTGTCTGGGGTGGGGACTGTGAGTTACCCTGAGCTTCCTGTTTCTACAGAACTGAACAGTACATGGTACAGTTGCAGGGGGTGGGGTGGGGGAAGGCCAGCCGAGAGCTCACCCAGTACCCAGCCTCTGCCTTGGGCAGCACTGAACCAGGCTTTGGTAGCCCTACCACTGAAACAGCCAAGAATACATATTCTTTAGTTTTGTTGTTGTTGTTTTTGAGACAGAGTCTTCCTCTGTTGTCCAGGCTGGAGTGCAGTGGCACAATCTCAGTTCACTGCAACCTCCACCTCCCAGGTTCAAGCCTCATGCCTCAGCCTCCCGGATAGCTAGGACTACAGGCGTGCACTATTGTGCTCAGCTAATTTTTGTATTTTTAGTAGAGGTAGGGTTTTACCATGTTGGCCAGGCTGGTCTCGAACTCCTAACCTCAAGTGATCCACCCACCTCGGCCTCCCAAAGTGCTGGGATTACAGGTGTCAGCCACCATGCCTGGCCAAAGATAACGTTTTATAAAGAAAGTATTACAATTCTTTTAAAAAGGTATCTAGTTGATGGTTATTGTAATTCAGAGAGTTAACTAACTTCTCCATTTTTATCCTAACTTTTCAGGGCAAGAAAGCCAGTTGAGTCAGTAAGTCTCAACGAGTATTAAGGCCTTAATCTTCTAAATTCAGTTATTTGTATAGCCCCTTTATAATTTTGGCCATATCTGCAAGTTGCCTGTACATTTACTTATTTCCCAATTTCTTTTAGATAAATTGAAATGAATTCATTTTAAAAGGAAATTTTATGTCGTGATCATAAGTGAAAATCAGTATCACTTACATAAATTAAAAACTAATGATAGGCCAGGCACGGTGGCTTATGCCTGTAATCCCAGCACTTTAGGAGGCTGAGGTGGGCGGATCACGAGGTAAGAAGATTGAGACCATCCTGGCTAACACAGTGAAACCCTGTCTCTACTAAAAATACAAAAAATTAGCCAGGTGTGTTGGTGGGCGCCTGTAGTCCCAGCTACTTGGGAGGCTAAGGCAGAAGAATGGTGTGAACCCGGGAGGCGGAGCTTGCAGTGAACAGAGATCATGCCACTGCACTCCAGCCAGCCTGGGGTGACAGAGTGAGACTCCGTCTCAAAAAAAAAAAAAAAAAAAACTAACGATAAAAAATGAATGCTTTGGGCCGGGCACGGTGGCTCACGCCTGTAATCCCAGCACTTTGGGAGGCAGAGGCAGGCGGATCACCTGAGGTTGGGAGTTTGAGACCAGCCTGACCAACATGGAGAAACTCCACCTCTATTAAAAATACAAAATTAACCGGGCATGGTTAATTCTGGCGCATGCCTGTAATCCCAGCTACTCAGGAGGCTGAGGCAGGTGAGTCACTTGAACCCAGGAGGGGGAGGTTGTGGTGAGCCAAGATCACGCCATTGCACTCCAGCCTGGGCAACGAGAGCAAAACTCCTTCTCAAAATAAAAAATTAAAATTAAAAATTAAAAAATAAATAAATGCTTTATAATGAAAGATTTTTAAAGTCCGTGTACCTTCTAAAGTGATCTCACTCACCATTCACAGTCTATGGGACACTGCCAAGAAGACGTGACTCTCAAGGATGGTCCGAGGAAGACATAATCAAAATGTGGTCTGCAAGGTTGCTTGGGCTCAGCTGATAGTTCAAAACCATGGCCAGAGAGCAGATACCAAGCATGGTGCTGGGGGAGTGCTGAGTTCCGGGTACCAGGATGCTGCAGGGACCATGCCTACATGCCCTTGCTCTGTGGCACTTACAGCCTAGTGGACCAGACAGACATTCAATGGCTACTGACAAACAGTTAATTAAGCATTTACATTATGATCATTGTGGCTAAGAGGCATCCCCTGTCACCTGTCAGTCCCAGTTTAAATACATGCTTTCTATTTTGATCACTCTTCTGTCTGACTATTGGATATTTGTTGAGCCTTAAAAAACGATAAATGGTCTCCACTTATTATGTCCCCCAAAGTTAATCTGGAAAAAAACAAAAACAAAGCAGGACCCTCCAAGAAGGACCCATCCCCAGAAAAATCATTAAACTGAGAACAGAGGTGTCAAAGCTGGCACAATAAACGAGAGCCATGTTGTGGCACCATAGCAGGTGAAGGCACTGGAAAGGCTGCTGCCTTGGAACAGATGGGTCACCTGGAGGCCATGGGGCAGAGTGAGCATGGGGTTGATGTGTACGAAGAAGCACTGCAAAGAAACTGCCTTAAAATGGAGTGTGTTCTACTTTCTCAAGAGTGCTTTAAAATGCCCATCCCACCCCCAAGAAAATTCAGCCCAAGGCCAGGCGTGGTAGCTCACACCCATAATCCCAGTGTTTTGGGGGGCCAAGGCAGGAGAATTGCTTGAGGCCAAGAGTTCGAGACCAGCCTGGGCAACATAGCAAGACCCCACCTCTACAAAAAAAATTTTTAAAAATTGCCAGGTGTGGTGGTGTGTGCCTGTAGACCCACCTACTTGGGAGGCTGAGGCAGGAGGATCACTTGAGCCCAGGAATTAGAGGCTGCAGTAAGCTATGATCAAGCCACTGCACTCCAGCTTGGGTGACAGAGAGAGACCCTGTCTCTTAAAAAAAAAAAAAAAAATTAAGAAGAAAAGAAAATCCAGCCAGCCAATCCCAGGATTCTGACCCTGGGAAAGTGTCTTGCCCTTCTGTCCCAGTGAGAATTAAAGAAGAATGATGAAGGTACAGCAAACAGTAGTGCCACCATCCGAAAACACACACAACGTGTGTTTCTATTGTGAAAACAGAACAAAGCAACTGACGTACATCATAAAACTCTTGAAGTGACTGATATTTATGAAACACTTCAGGGGTGGCTTTTGTTTGTTTAAGTATTGGTTATTTGACTAAATTTAACCAGACAAAGTTCCTCCACCTTTCACCAGAAAAACCAATGACATATATCCATGCAGCATAAAACCTTCCCCCAAAAACTCTTTTATAGGATGGAGAGAAAAAAAAAGAGTAATGGCTTAGTTAAATGAACAAAGATAAATCTATTTAAACAGAATATTATATGATTATATATTTTAAAATGTAAAAAGCAGCCTCTTGTATCTGGTCCTTGAATTCCTTATGTGTCAGGGGACAGTAAGCCCAGATGTAGCATCCCACGGAAGCCCAAAGACAGCTTCCAGGGGCTGGAGAATTTGCCTCTTGAGTAGGATGTTTGCTTCTAGAACTTGTAAACTAAAAATAAAATCCTAAGCCCCCAACTGACTGAATGGACCATCTCTTGGCCAAGGGGTCCCCAGAGTAAACTTGAAAACTGAGTTCTTGGCCATGATGGGATGGGGAGTCAGACACACTCCTTCTACCCCTCCCTCACTAGCCATGATTATGCTTTCTCCCCTAAGGGCTAAATAGAAAGCGGCCTTTTCAAAGCCTCCATTGGTGTTGACGCCATAACGCCCTGAAAGCGTCTGATGTTAAAAGCCTCCACCGCTGACATCAACCTGCCACCTGATGCTGCCCCTTTCTTTTGCCTGATACGAGACCACCGATTATGGAGTGATTCTGGCCATTGTATGGAGGATGCTCAGTGAGGGTTTTCCTGTCCTTTGCTTCACTTTTTGAAGTCAGAGGCTCGAAAACTCCACCCTCAGATTATGCTAAGGCTGCCATTTTTTCTACATGGGACCCATGAAGGCGCATGACGCTCAATTGCGCATGCACATGTTTCTCCTTTCATAAATATTCATGACTCCTCCCATAGCTTATTGAATATGTATATTTGGCCTCCCTGCTCTGCATAAATTCCCATTCCCTTTTCCCCTCCATCAAAATATCTTCCTAGCCTGTCGGAATGGCCACCCGAAGGCCGCAACCCTTTATGAGAAATAAAGCTCTCCTTTCCAATTTTATGAACCTCATCCCTCTTCCATTGACACACTCATCCCTCAGTTCTGAGTTCTGTGTCCTGGCCCATGAGAACGCCAAGTCAGTGGAATCACAGGCAGTTTCTTGGTTCTAGAGACGCAGGTCACCCAGGCTGCATTTTGCCTGGTGGAAAAACAACTCGATCACCCCAGATTAGCAGGAGCATTGCCACAAAACATTTTAAAGGACTCTCGCTCCCCCTAGAACAATTAAGGGTTGAAGCCACAACCCTGTAGTCCATTTCTGTCTCTCTGTCTGCCAATTAGTAGACTGGGCCTCCCCGATAATTGTGATCTCAAGGTAATGGCTTAAGTAATTGATGACGTTGTCCTCATTGGGGGATCTTAGCACATCAAAAGAAGTTGAGAAAGCCAAAATTCACCTCGAGTCTGAATTAATCACTTTGTCGAGCACAACAAAGGCTCTCTGCTTTGCTAATAATCCCAGATGAGGTAGCAACCCTCAGTTAAATAAGGAAACTGTGGTGTCTTTAATTAATGTTTCAAAGCGCTCAGACTTGCTTTTTTCACTCGCTTTATTTTTATGAAAATGGAGGCTAGTGAAGGCAAAGCAGATATTTTCTAAACTTCTCAAGTTCAAGAAGAATGAGGCCTGGCTTCATTGTAGCTCACAGAAAAGGATCTGGGGGCTCTGGTTGACCACAGGGGCAGTCTGTCGTTGCCTAGGTCAGAGGAAGTTAGTCCCAGTGTATGGCTCCAAATGCTACCCTGTGGTCTTAGTACTTCCCCTTGCTCCAGATATGGCTTCTGGGACGACAAAACCTCCCACTTCCTCCTAGCACTGCTGAATCAGCCTTTCTAGGCTGCAGCTCAGAAGCCAGCTGCCTTCTAGCCTGCTCTCTGTCTGACATTCTGATCTCAAATTGTCTTTCATGAGGCCCACTTCACCTGGCAGCCCAAGCCTCCCCAGCCTCCTGACATCCCCCACTCTGCTTGACCTTCACCTTATCCCTTTCACTACTTCCCAAAGCCCCAGGGCAGCCCACGCCTGACATCCAGTCACACTTCAGGCTTCAACTCAAGACCGTGGGGCCAAGTCAGAGCCCCAGGTTCTGTGTGTTTAGAATGGGAGTTTGAACACATTGCTGTGTTGGTCTGATCCCAGCTACACAGCCATCTTTAAAAGGACTTTGATACCTGTCTTAGTTTGTTTTCTGTTGCTTATAACACAATACCTGAACCTAGATAATTTATAAAGAAAAAGAATTTATTTCTTACAGTTATGGAAGCTGAGAAGTCCAAGGTTAAGGAGTTGCATCTGGTGAGGGCCTTCTTGCTGGTGGGGACTCTGCACAGAGTCCATTTATGATAGCTTTGCCCTCATGACCCAGTCACCTCTTACAGGCCTCACCTCTCAACACTACCACATCGGGGATTAAATTTCAACATGATTTTTGGAGGAGACAAACATTCAAACAATAGTAACACCCCTAAGGCCACTTGAAAGCCAATGAGCAGGATGCGGAGGTGTGAAAGCCACTTAATGCAGTTCAAAGATACTTACAGAGTAGATATCATACAAAAATGAATAAGATACATCCTAGCCTCCAGAGAGCTTATCCTACAGAAAACAGGAGAACTAAGGGTTTACCTTGGACTTGGGGAAGCTGAAATCACTGCCTTCACATGCTTGTTATCTTGTCTAATAAACCCCCTTGGCTTCTAAATTGATGACCATCTTTGAAACTTCATGCTATCTTTGGGTCTTTCCTTTGATCCTCATCTGCAGTCAATCACCAAGTTCTGTCAACTCTGCCTTCAACACATGTCTTGAGTGAGTTCTTCATTCTTACTCCTAACTGGCACTGCCCTATATCAGGTCGTCGTCTCTCCCTTGGGCATAGAGTTTTCAGTAGGGTCCTGAACTGGCCTCCCAGCCTCTAGCTTCTCCTATCATCCTCCAATCAGTCCTCCACACCAATGCCAGAAGAAGCTTGCTCATATGCAAATCTCATCATGTTGCAGCCCTGCTCAGAATTCTTCCTTGGCTCCCTGTCACTTTCAGTTCAAGCACTAACCTCCTTTATTTGGCACCTAGGGTCTTTGGTGATCCGGCCACAGCTTGACTGCTAGCCTCACTGTAAGTCATCTCTGTCCCTAAATTAGGCTTGGGCAATCTTGCATGACTCACACGTTCCTAGTTACGCCATGTCGTTTCACCGTTCTGGGCTTTTTCCCAGGCTTTTCTCTAGGGCCAAGACAAAGGAGAGGCAAGAACAAACCTAGGGTACAAAATTTAAGGAGGTCCTCACTCTCAGGGCTGTACAAGTGCCACCCCTGCTCTTGTACAACCCTGAGAGTGAGGGCCTTCTTAAATTTTGGGCCTAGGTGCTTGCTTCCTTCTCTCACCCTTGTCCCAGCCCACTCTCCTCTCTGCTGATGCATCCACTCTTTCTCCATTTGCAAAGGCCAGATTGCTCTTCGGCTTTCTGCTCAAGGGTTGCCTCCTCCAGGAGCCCACCCAGGCTATCCTGGGCACATGGAGATGTTTTCCTTGGCCACTCAAAGAGTTCCACTGATTCCCTACTGGGGATGATTGCCAATGAAGAGCAGGAGAACACAATGTATTATTTGTAGGAATCTAATCCTGTCTACGTTCATTATTTACTGTACCTGATTCTGTTTCCATCATGTGGGCTTAGTCATCTGCAGTTAATCCTTTGTTTTTATGAAGTCCTTAAAGAACCCCTGAGACTTGTGGTGAAAGAGGGACATCTGCCTCCGGTGAACCCCAACAGATAGTTAAATTAGAGCCCAGAGGGGTCAGCTGGGGCTGCCCCTGCCTCTGGATCCTGCGTAATAAAAGGAAACAGTTACAGGATGCTTCCTGTGAGCCAGGAGCCCGGCTGAGTGCTTCCCACACATGAGCTCATTTACTCCTCCCCAAATTCTGTGTGGAACATGCTGTTATTATTATCTCCGTTTTGCAGATGGGAACACTGAGGCTCAGAGAGATTAAGTAACTGGCCCAAGGTCACACTGCTAGTGAGTAGCACAGCTGAGATTCGAACCCAGGCTGTCTGGCTCTGGAGTCTGTGCTCACCATTACCAGGCCCTACTGTTTCTCACTTTACATTTGCAGAGCAGCCAGTTGCCCAGAATCCAACCTATCTGTAAGACGGGGGATGCGAAAAGCCCCTGTTTGTTCAAGTCTGTGGGTTGAGGGCTCTGAGTCCCCTGTGAAAAGGCAGATGCCATCTTACAGGACGCTATCCCCAGGGTTCAAATCAGTTGATCAGATTAGCCACTAAGTCAACAGGGCTTCAAGACTTGAAATAAGGACAGATAAATCTGTCATTATCTCCTCTGCACAGACCAGGTCTTCACTTCAGTAAAGTTTGAGCCCAGAGGGGTCAGCTGGGGCTTCAGTAAAGTGAAGACCTGGCTTGTGCAGAGCAGACAGGTTGCTTCTTTGGCCAACTGTGTGTGTGTGTGTGTGTGTGTGTGTGTGTGTGTGTGTGTGTGTGTGTGTGTGTATTGGAGTAGCCAAGGTTGGTACACAGGGGCATTGAGTACTGGTAGTGGGTGCTCAGAATAATTCTAGGTTCTTTTGTACCCAGCCGAGTAGGCATTTAAAAAATGTTTGCCAATTGGATAAGAAGTTATGTCTTCATAAACCCAGCCAATATTTCCACCTTTCTATTGCACTATGACCCGTCCAAAAGGCCTGGGAAATACCAATTTTGCCTTTGAGCTTGGCAGACAGTTTAAAGAGCTTGGGTAACTCAAAGTAACAAAAGAATATTGTTAAGAGTTTCAAAAAAATATTTATAATCCCCTTGCATCATGTTTGTTCCTGTAATCCCCCAGATCTTTGTCTTGACCTAATTCTTAGCAAGTTTAGCCACTGACCTTTGATCATCTCTTAGCTATAATGATCAATTGTGGGTCTAGCTGGAAATTGTACAGGACAAAGTCAAAAGGCAAGAGTTCTAGTCCAAGAGCCCTGAATCTCAGTGCCCGTTGTTCCTCAGTGTGTTTGCTTCTGGCTCTCACCTCTCTGGGTTCTGGAACACAGCCACAGGTGGAGACCCACAGAACCTGCCTGACCTTCCGAACAGACCACTTTTCTGGGTTTGGCCTCTTGCCTGCTCCCTGCAACTTATAATCCCTTCCATTATTAGAGTCCTCAGTCCTGACCCTGCCTGGTCCCAGCCATTCCTATCTCAGCACCTATATTAGTTATCTACTGCTGTGTCACAAATTGCCCCCAGACCTAAGTGACTGAAGACAACAAACATTCATTATCTCACAGATTCTGAGGGTCAGGAGTCTGCGAGCAGATCAGCTAGGTGCTTTGGGTTCAGGGTCAAGCTGGAGAATGGTGTCCATGCTTGCTTATGGAGCTGTAGCTGGCTTTGCCATATGAGCCTCTCCCTATAGGGCTGCTCAACATGGCTGCTGACTTCCCCAAAGTAAGCAATCCAAGGGAGAGAGCGAGCCCAAGATGGAAACCCCAGTCTCCAATAATCTAATCTTGGAAGTGATAACACCATCACCTCTGCTGTATTCCACTGGTCATGCTAACTGACCCTGGTACAATGGGGGAGGGAGCTATGCAAGGGTGTGAATTCCAGGGCAAGGATCCAGAGGGCCCTCTTGGAGGCTGTCTACCACATCACCTGTGCCCTATTGTGAACAAATGTGGTGAAATTACATCCTTTTCCAAAGTTTCACCTTGAGTGTATCAAGCTGGTTACTAAGCCTCATAAAATCTGTAAGCTATTTCCTCCTTTGATTAGATATTGAAACAATGTAGTTGTTCCATTCTTTATTCCATAAAAATATATTTAGTGCCTACTCTGTGTCAGGCACTAGCCCAGATGTCATTGTGCATCACTAAGAGAGTAGATAGGATCTGCCATGCTTTTACTGGAAAAGAAAAATCAGGGAAACTTCACCCTGGGGTGGATAAAAATGGATTTAAAGATTTCAGAAAACTGTATGTTTAATAATAGCTAACATTTATTATTAAGCACTTGCTATGGGTCAGGCATTGTACTGACCCACAAAATAAAATTATAAACACACTTTATAAACATCATGTCCTGTAATCTCTACCAACATCCCTGTTGTGTGCATTATACAGATGGGGAAACTGAGACTTAGAGCCCGGCCACAGGAACTGGCCCAGCCACAGTCCAGGCCTCCTGAGCTGTCTGAATGAAGGGCCTGAGCCTCCAGCCAGGCCTCTGGCTTGTCTGTCAAGTGAAGATTATTGCAGCTAAGAGATGATCAAAGGCCAGTGGCTAAACTTGCTAAGAGTTAGGTCAAGAAAAAGATTTGAGGGTTACAGTAACAAACATGATGCAATGGGATGCTTTGGCTCAGTAAGGCCAATGGGATGCTTTGGCTCAGTAAGACCAACGGGAGCAAGGAGACCAGACTAGTTACCCAGGGCTTCTCTAACAAATTGCCACAAACCGGGTGGCTTAAAACAACAGAAATTATCCTCTCATCATTCTGGAGTTCAGAATTCTGAGGTCAAGACATCAGCAGGGCCATGCTCCCTCTGAAGACACGAAGGGAGCTCCTTCCTTGCCTCTGTCCATCTCCTGGTAGTTGCTGGCAATCCATGGTCTTTGGCTTGTAGATGCATCCCTCTAATCTCCGCCTTGGTCATCACAGTGTTCTCGCCTGTGTGACTATATCTACATGTCGTCCTCCCTCTGTCCATCTCAGCATCCAAATTTCACTCTTCTTATAAGGATGCCAGTCACTGGATTAGGGACCACCGTCATCCAGTAGGACCTCATCTTAACTTGATTACCGCTGTAAAGACCCTATTTCCAAATCAGGTCACATTCAGAGGTTTTAATGGACATGAATTTGGGGGCGAGGGGACACTACTCAGCCCAGTGCAAAGACCATCAGAACTGACAGAAGTCCCTGGAAAAGGCCCAAATAATACCCCATGTGTGGGTGTGGGTGGGGAAGGATCTTCCACACCACCCTAGGGTCACAGAGGATGTGAGATGGAGAGAAACTGACCTTGATGAAAGAAGACACTAATTCAAAAACTTCTTTTTTCATGTTGTGCTTTGTTTTTCTATTTTGTTTTTGCTACTTATTGTTATTACACTAACTAGTCTATATTTTAGTTGTTTCAGTCAGCACATCTTTTTTATAGGAAAAAAGGAAATGGGATTTTGTGGCTGATTCTGGATTGCAAGAAACCTCCCTGTTCAGATTCCAGAGCAACTTACTGGAGGTGAGTGGACAAATGTGCAGGACGAGAAGGAGCGTGGAGGCAAGACAAGTGTCTCTTTTTATCTTTGAGAACTCAAGTTAAATTCACGATGTGTAATAGCCCTTGTGATACATGGATACACCCTTTCTTCTGACAGCCACTAGCCAGCACCAAAGGGTGGTTTCCGGAAGGGCAAGAAATAAACAAATTTTTTCCTTAATAACCCAGAGGACTTCCAGCACCCATGAGAATATTTAAAACAATTCTGGAGCAATTTATGTTTTCAGCCATATTCCTTTCTTGGCATAACAACATCCATAAATTTACTGCCCAGCATAGAACAATGAATTTGTCCTAAGCAATACAGCTCACAATCTACAAGAGTGTCCCCTGGTTGCTGTATTTCAGGACATGGTGAACAAGCTGCGCTTTCTGCATTCAGGTTTCCCCTGGTCTTCTGAACTTCAGACATGCCTCCCCTAAGTCCTGCTTTTCCAGGGTGGAGTTGAAATCTTAGGGCCCCGCCCCATCCCATCCCCCAGATCAATTCTTTGCCCTTCCTAGAGTGTGCTCATGCTCCGTCATCAGTCAGACCCTTCCCTCTATTGCTTATTTGGCTAGAAATTCCTAGGTACGTCCCCAGGTTCGGCCCAGGACCAACCTGGCCCCTACACTGAGCTCTGGACCCTGCTTCAACACTCTTGAAGCTAGGTTATCACTTCATAAGCAAGATCACCATGACCCACCATGTCAGTGTCTCAGTGGGAAAATTCTGCATCACTATCTGTTGTTTCTGTTTTTTGGTGGGTTGTTTTTTTTTTGTTGTTTTTTGTTTTTTGTGTTTTTTTTGGGGGAACAGGGTCTTTGCTGTTGGAAGTGCAGTGGTGCGATCTTGGCTCACTACAACATCCACATCCTGGGCTCAACTGATCCTCTCACCCCAGCCTCTTGAGTAGCTGGGACCACAGATGCATGTCACCGCACCTGGCTAATTGTTGTATTTTCTGTAGAGACGGAGACTTCCTATATTGCCCAGGCTGGTCTCGAGAATTCCTGTGCTCAAGTGATCCTCCTACCTCAGCCTCCCAAAGTGAGCCTCCCAAAAGAATTATAGGTGTAAGCCATCATGCCTGGCCTGTTGTTTTTTTTCCCCCAGAGAGTCACTGTTTTCACTTACAATAAAAGTTAATATGTCCATTCACGTTAAGTTTTTGTTCATTTATTTATTTTTTTGTTATGGTTTTATTTTGTCTTGTGACTTGTGGCCCCTAGATTCTATTTTGCCAAAGATCAGAATCCAGCTGTGTAATCTTGGAGCATGAGGTAGAGTGAATCACTGCTCCTGATGCTTCATGCCCCATCTGTATCAAAATTCTACATCAATGCCCCTTGCTCCATGACTGTGCAGTGCCTCCCGCTACAGTGGACAGAGTCTTCTTCCCTGCCCCATTAATGTTAACCTTGGGCATGTGGATTGCTTAGCCAATAGAATGTGGGCAGAAATTATCTTAGCAGCTTCCAGGTTGAGGCCTCAAGAGATATTACTGTTTCATTTTACATTTCTTGCATCCCTGTGACCTGTCAGGAGCAGCACTTCCCTAATATTCTCTTCAGCCTGGGTCCCATTACAAACATGTGGAGCAGATCTAAACCCCACTGTCAGACTGGAACAGAGCTACTCCAGTGAACATACAGACCATGAGAAAAATAAACATTGTCATTTGCCAATGAGCTTGGGGTGGTTTGTTACACAGCATTATTGCAACAGTAGCTGACTAATACACATCAGATCACATAACTTCTCTGGACCTCCATATTCACATCTGTAAAATGGGGCCCTGGCATTATAATCAATGATGCACAACTTTTTTTCTACCCCTACGTAACTGACAGCTTTGACATATACCCAAAATTAACAGAATCAAATGTTGCAAAGCGGCCAGGCATGGTGGCTCATGCCTGTAATCCCAGTACTTTGGAAGGCCGAGGTGGGAGGATCATTTGACCTCAGGCGTTTAAGACCAGCCTGGGCAACATAGCAAAATCCTGTCTTTACAAATAAATAAATAAATAAATAAATAAATAAGTAAAACATAAAATTAGCCAGGGATGGTTGCATGCACCTATAGTCCCAGCTACTTGGGAGGCTGAGGTAGGAGGGTCACTTGAGGCCAAGAGCTTGAGACCAGCCTGGGAAATATAGCAAGACCTCACTCTACAAAAAATTTAAAAATTAACTGGGCATGGTGGCACATGTCTATAGTTCTAGCTACTTGAGAGGCTGAGGTGAAAGGATCACTTGAGGTCAGAAGTTTGAGGCTGCAGTGAGCTATGATTGCACCACTGCACTTCAGCATGGGTGACAGAGCAAGATCCTATTTCAAAACAAACAAACAAACAAACAACAAATATTGCAAAGTGCCAAAGAAAGAGAAGGATTAGAAACTGTTAATTCAGTTTAGGTACTAGAGACTTAATGGTGGCCTTGAAGAAAGCCGTTTCAGTAGAGAATGGAACAGAGACCTTATTGCAGGGGTCGGGGGTAAATAGGAGGTGAGAAAGTGAGCAAATACAAAGTCCTCTTTCAAGTCACTAGGCTGGGAAGAGAAGGATAAGTGGAGTGGTGCCTGGGGTGGAGTCAAAGAAGAGGCGGTTAGTGAGTTGGTTGGTTGATTGGTTGGTTGGTTGGTTGGTTGGTTAGTTGGCTGGCTCAGTTGTTTGTTTTATGATAGGAGAGAATTGAACCTGCAAAGAAACATTTGCAGTGACACCATCATTGAAAATGATGTGGGTAAGGGCTTGGATGAGAGTGAGCAGGAAACAAAAGATCTGGTCAACAGGCGAGAATAGAGTATGGCTTAGCGGGGCTTATTTACTGATGTGCTATGCCTCATTGATACTTCAAGTTCTCAAGTCCAAGGGCAAGGCAAATGTCAACCAATGAAGCAAAGACCAGATGAAAATTAGAATGGTACTCTTACTGTTAAAATCAGAAAATAAATGTAAATTTTGTCATGGGAAAATTTGAAAAATTTCTGGAAAACAAATTGAGTTTAAAGCTTGATTTATTGTGCACTTTTCAAGAAATAGATTTTCTTTAATTTTGAAGCACCTACAACTGAGAGGTAAACAGATGCCATCAATGGACTAATAGCAATATATGTTGGTGTAAGGTTTATTGCTCACAAACCCTCATACTCCCTTTCAAGGAGACAGGGAGAGAATGACTATCTCCGCTTGACCGTATGGAAAAGTGATCAAGCCCAGAGAGGTGGCTGACATCTCTGACCTTCTTCAAAGAAAAGCCCACAGTCTTCTTTTCATCTGCCCTCCCACCCCATCATTTCTAAACCTGCCGCACTATGGCTCTGTCCCCACCACACCATTGGTGACCATCCCCAACACCCCCGAAGACACTTCAGCTTACTAAGTCTGATACGCATTTTTAAAACCTAATTTTACTTGTTCAAGGTCAAAAGCTACCTAGTGGTATAAGTCCAGGATTATTCAAAATGAGGTCACTTGTTTGAAGTACGCCTCTCCTCACTTTTCACTGCAGTGCATTCCTGGGGATCAGGTGAGAATTCAGAATGAGGTTTACAAAATAACTAGATAAACAAAATAAAAACCAAGATCTAGCTGCCCAGCGTCTATGCAGTTTTTGTTGAATATAAGCGTGCAGTTATCAGATAACACTAAGAGCTAATGTTTATTGACCCTGAGCTGTGCCATGCACTGCTCTAAGTCCACCTTATGTTCTTACTCATGTAATCCTCCCAACATGCTAAGAGGTAGGTACTATTAGTATCCCTATTTTACACATGGGGAAACTGAGACACGGAGACCTGACATCTATTGCTTAAGGTCACAAGGCTAGCCAGAGTTTGAATCCAGGAGATCTGATTCCAAAGCCTAAGCCCTGGGCCATTATAGAAAGTGTGGAAAGGCAGAAAGAGTGAAGTGTTTTTAGTGCGTTTTCAAGGGATCGTTGATAAACTAGCAAGCTGCCGAAGTGCTCGGGAGTAGTTTATTTTCCTAAATTGGTTGAGCTGTCACCTTTGCACAATGATTTTGGTTAGCAATCCCTTCCTTCATAAATAGCACAGAGATGAACTTCAACCCACAGCCCAGCCTAGCCTGACTTCTAAAGAAAAAAATATTTTATTAAGATCCAGAGTTCCCAGCCTGGGCAACATGGAGAAACCCCGTCTCTACAAAAAAATACAAAAAATAGCCTGGGGTGGTAGTGCTCGCTTGTAGTCCCAGCTACTCATGGGGCTGGGGTGGGAGAATTCCCCGAGCCTGGGGAGGTTGAGGCTGCAGTGAGCTGTGATTGTGCCACTGTACTCCAGCCTGGGCAACAGAGTAAGACCCTGTCTAAAAAAAAAAAAAAAAAAACTAGAGTTCAATTTAATGATATTTTGTTATATGACAAGTCAGGGTGAAAGCTGGTTGCAGTGGCACACGGCCAGAAATTAATGGAAATTCTCTATGATGATACCCATAGCGGCAAAGAACAATGCATATGCCACACAAAATCCTATAGATCATCTCTTCTAACGCAGTTTGGTTCAACAAGTAACTGCGTGCCTATTACTCAACAGAAGTGTGTTGAGTGCCCCTGGCACAATGCTGAGTGCTCAGCTAAAGATGAGGAAGGACCAATCCTGCCCTTGGGGAGCCAGGTAAGTGATGAGAGAGAGGGAAGGTACCAGGTACATTGGGGCAAGAACCTAGGAGATGCAGAAGAGGCTCCTGGAGAAGTTCTCACCCAAATGAAGGGGGAAGGACATGCAAGTAGAAGGAAAGAAATTGGCACTGAACTGCATGGTGTGTGGGAGGAGCTGTGAGCACCTGGGAGCCAGGCACCAGGTGAGAAGCGAGGGGAGTTAAACCTGCAGAGGGGCAGGGGACCAGGTCAGAGGGGGCTTCAGGAGCCAGGCCAGGAACACTCACTTCCTTAGACAGGAGGACCAGGAAAGGGTTTTATGCAGAGGAGCAGTGAGCCGGTGGCTGCAGTTGCAGGACAAATTAGGGGAGCACAAGATAGAAGGCAGGGAGACCCGTGGGAAGGCTATTTCCAGCCAAGGAGTGATTTTGAAGTCCTCAACTGCAGCAGAAGCAAAGCAGATAGAGAGAGGAACACTTGGGAGTCAAGACTGGCCAGACTGTGGAGGGTTAACATTAGGGTGAGAGCCAAGAAAGATGTGAGGCTGATTCCCAGCATAGCCTGGGGGGCTGGGGGAAAATGTGCCAATGCTGAGAGGCAGGTGTCCCAGCCCTCTCTCACCAATGAGGAAATGAGCAAGGAGGGAGTGGCTGGCCCAAGGACACCCAGGGAAAGAGGTGTGTCTGTCCCTACACTGTAAAGGCCTGGCTGATTTCCACAATGCCACACTTCTCCTGAGAACCTCCCAATTATCTCCTTAGGTACGCTCTTAGATCATGAGATGATGCTACCAATTTTGCTCACTCTCTGTGTACGGATGGAGTTAAAATCCTTAAATGTACAACTGACTACACTCCCTCTTCACTGCTTTACAGCCTGGGGTTCCCAGGTGCCTACTGATTTGTGAAGGTAGGAAGAGGGTACATGAGATATTTTCAATATTTCAAAGAGCCTAATGTAAATCGTGCATTTATTGACAACGCGATGGTGGTGCAGGTTAAGGAAAATGTCGAGTTTCTTTGCTTTGGAGTGGAATTATAATTTGGTACACTAATGCTGGTTATCTCATTGATCAGCTATTCTCAACTGGCAGAGTTTTCCAATTAGCTTGCCTTTGAATAATTAAAATGGGAAAATTAATCAATCATTACTTAAATATACATTGTTGCTGGGACAACAGAACATAGGATCTATGGGGAAAAATCACATCAACAGTGGATGGTAGGGAAGAGTTGAGATACCATTGCTTCAAACTGTGGGGATTTGTGCTCAATAGAACAGTGAAGGAGAAAGTGTCTGTTCTTCAATGCCTCTGCTGGGGGTTGGATGCCTCCTGTCCCCTAGTCTGGTGTCAGGATACCCCACTCAGACTTTGAGTGCTCTATATACCCCCATGTACCACGTATTCTAAGTGGCTGGGTCCTGCATTCCATCATCCCCTCCTTTTACAGTCTTGCTCTTCAATTTCAAATGGGGCAATTCCTCTATCTATCTGAATTCATGGGAATGTTATCCATAGCACACCAATGAGGTAGAACCAGCTCACAGCCTAGAAAACCTTCAGCATTCGACGATTGCATGAATCAAGATTTATTTCCCTTTTCAATAAGCCTTGTGCAAGGCATTCTGCCAGGTGCTAAGAACACACTACCACTAGTGTGCAATTAGGGGGAGACTGATTCTACCCTCTTCCATACACAGGCATGCACACACACACACACATTGTCACAGTAATCATTTGGAAACAGTGCTGCTATCTCGGTTACCAGAGGCATAATCATGATCATTAGCATTTACTGAGCAGCTACTATGTAGAGGGCACTCACTGGCTTAAGATGTGGGCCCTCCTCTTAGGGACTTACAGTCAAGCCAAGAAGATAGGTCACATGCATAAGCTATAAAATAAAGTGGGCCGGGCACTGTGGCTCATGCCTGTAATCCCAGCACTTTGTGAGGCCGAGGTGGGCGGATCACCTGAGGTCAGGAGTTCGAGACCAGACTGGCCAACATGATGAAACCCCACCTCTACTAAAGATACAAAAATTAGCTGGGTATGGTGGCACGCACCTGTAGCCCCAGCTACTCAGGAGGCTGAGGCAGGAGAATCACTTGAACCCGGGAGGCGGAGGTTGCAGTGAGCTGAGACTATGCCACTGCACTCCAGCCTGGATGACAGAGTGAGACTCCATCTCTAAATAAATAAATAAATAAATAAATAAATAAATAAATAAAGTAAAGTAGTAAGTGCCGAGATAGCCAGAGAGATAGGAAGCAAGTCCACAGGAGGCAGGGCTGGTTGAGGGCTGGCCTGATGGAGGAGACCTTTATGGAAGAGTGACATTTAGACAAGATTTTGAAGGTTAGGCAGGAGTTCAGTTAAACCAAGAAGGGAGAGCATTCAGGCAACAGGGACTGCGCTGTGCAGCTTGGAGGGAACAGGCATGTCAGTGCAGGAAGGAGGGAAGCACATGCGAGGACTTTAGGGCACCTTTCAGATCAGAATGTGGAGGCAGCTGCTGGTTTCGGGGTATGGCGCTGGCTCTCCCAGGGGGTCTGTGTGCAGTGCTCAGGGAAACAAGGCATTGGTGGAAGCCACTATTGGTAGAGCTTGGCTTTGCTTTCAGATCATCTCTGACACAGTTTTTTCTAGATATCTTCGAGGGGAAAAAAGGGGCCGGCCTCTTTCTGAGATTGTGTTGAGGAACTGGCTGACTGCTCAAGCGAAACCTAAGAAGCACACCTTTGCAAGGACATAGGGGAGGTTTAGGAGGGCCCCACAGCGCGGGCCAGGGCCAAACTCTGCACTGAGGGCTGAGGCTGAAAGCAACAGAGAGAGTCGAGGGCTCCAGGGAACTCCCCTATCAGCTAACACCCCCCTACCCTATCCACCAGGAAGTTGTGCAACAGCACCTATTTCTGGTAAACCAGGAAAGATGTGGCTCTTAGTAATTGAAGCACCAATGAATACCAGTGTGAACATCTGCCCCCTCCCTTTCTCGCCAGTCTCATTCCCATGTCCAGATGCATGTTATTCCGGCAACCAAAAAACAAGTCCATATAAGGCTACCAGGGTTCCCATAGACCGCGTACTTCCCTTCAGTGGCAAGCGATAGTTGTTAGGTTTGTTGTTATTATGGCACTAGGGTTAGGGGAAGAGTTCATTCAATCATTTTATTTCTGGGAGAGTCACTTCCTTCCCGGGAAGGCATCGCTGAGCACCCACTCACGCAGCTCAGTAATGGACACACATCAATCTGATGTTTTGCTTTGTTTATACAACAAATAAGATTCTTCTTTCATCTCTGCCCCCAAAACAGATGCTACCAGAAGCCTGAATTCCTTACTAGACGAGAGAAGGTATGACCATAAATATTAAGACTGTTGCTATTGTTTTCTTTAAAAAACAAAACCAAAACCAAAAACCAACTCGTATGCCAGTGAGCGTGGCCCCTCAGCAAAATTCCCAGGCTTCCAGAACTGGTTCATACACCTCTTCTGCAAGCTGTGTATTGTTTTATAATCACATTTTTAAAATTGCAAATAATATTACTCTGTTTAATCATCTATTTGCCAAAATATGGACTGTTTTTTAAAAAAAATCAATCTATTCTCCACAAAGATGTGTTGCGTTGAGGGCTTTCAAAGGACCACATCTAAGCACCAAGTGCCATTCCCACAAAAAGTGCTAAGAATGTGTTTTCTGATAGTGGCATATCTGCAGTAAGGGTTTAGCCTATCAGGAAAATGCCTCCGAAGGTCATAAAATTCATTTGGCTGTATAAGTATTGGAGTGTATGCTAAAATAATCAGTCACGTTACTTTATAGTCATACCTCGTACTCTCATTCTGGAAAATCAATAAAGTGAGGAGAAGGATAGGGATATTGTGTATAACCATTTAAGAGAGAGAAAACAAAAAAAATAATATTCTGTAGAAATGGTCCTCAAGGAAGCCACAGACCTAGTTTTCACAGCAGGCTCAATTTTATCTCCAAGCTCATCACTGAGTTATTAAATCGAAGTACCCATCATATCCTAGACAAAAATACAAAAAGATAAAAAAAAAAAAAAGGGAAATAGATGTATCCCTCTCTAGATGCTTGGAGGCACTGAAAATTATCCATGCCTTTAAAATGTATTTCTAAACTGTGTCCATTATTCACACTCCTAATGTTTTGTTCCAGCAAATGTTACAAACACTAATGTTGTCTTTGCCTGGGGTACTTCCCCACCTGAAATTTTCTCTTTCCTCTCCTCTGCCAAGTCAATTCTTCCCTGCATTTCAAGACCCAGCCCAAGACCTTCTGCTTCTCGAAGTAGAGTCTGACTGGCTGGCGATCCAGAAAGGCCTAGAGGCCAGGCCGGAAGAGGAGAGAAAAGAGTCAGGCATGAAGCTACCGTGAGGCCCCTAAACGCTGCTTCTGTATTTCTGGGCTCCTTGCCACGCTCACACCTAGGAACTACTGCTGGGGATGATGAGGTGCCCAGGCAGAAGAAGCAGCAGCCGCCATTGGGTCGCTGGTATGGCACCTGACTTGCTTTTCCTGAGCGGCAGCACAGACTGACCCATGCAAGAGCGCCAGTGGGCATAGAAGTCACGGAGTCCAGATCGGGAAGGCACTCGGTGGCCTTCTGTACCAGCTGCTCATGCCTGGCAGCAAGGGCTTTTGTGGCATTCCTATGGATGGTGAGGGACACTCACGACCTCCGAGGCGCTCTCTTGCCACCTTGCCAGACAGCTGTGAGTAGTACTCATTTTCTTTGGTGTAAACCTGGACCACCCCTACGCATGGGCCCTGCTTCTGTTCGCTAGACTCCATATTTTCTGTGCCCTGAAGGAAACAATACGTCAACCCTGGAACCTCAGAGCTTGCAAAGGGGCAATTTGAATGTCTTATTCCTCCGTTTTGTGGCCCCTCCATTTCCACTGGTTGTGCAGCTACCAATGCATCCGACCGCCGTTTTCAAGGGACCATCTCAGCGGGTCTAGTTGCCCAACCCACCACGGCCATATGCAGCAGTACTTTAGCAAAGACGCTGCGAAAACACTGGGTTAAATAAAGCTGAACAGGTTTCTTTATTAAAGAACCTTTCAGGGCCTTTGATATTCTATGAATCTCCAAGAAGGGCTTGATTTAGACTTAATTTCCTAAACACTTTTAGGAACCGAAGTTGGGAAATGGTGGGCAAATTGATCTTCAGTCCCCACATGCTGGAGGCGGGATGCCTTTTCCGGAGCTCACCTCCCATTGTGCCAGGGAATACCTACATGGCTTCTTCCTCTTCAGATTTCTCATCTTGGCTCCCATATTCCATCCCAATGGTGCCTTCTAAATATAGTCTGGAGTAGATGTGGGTCTAGAATTAGAGTCCAGTTCTTACATGTAGAAGAAACTCTCTGGGAAAGGAACTTCCAGGCATAGTGGTAAACTTAAGTCTTAATAATCTGTGATAGTCTTAAATCTTAATAATCACCAATCACATTTCAATTTAAACTGGTCTTAGAATGAGACTTGATCAGAACACTAACTCACTCTCTATCTGAAATCTCTTTTTTTTTTTTTTTTTTGAGACAGAGTTTCACTCTTGTTGCCCAGGCTGGAGTGCAGTGGTGTGATCTCGGCTCATTGCAACCTCTGCCTCCCGGGTTCAAGTGATTCTCCTGCCTCAGCCTCCCAAGTAGCTGGGACTACAGACAGGATCTTGCCCTGTCACCCAGGCTGGAGTGCGAGTGTAGTGGTGCAATCACAGCTCATTGTATCCTCAACCTCCTGGGCTCAAGAGATCCTCCGACCTCAGCCTCCCAAGTAGCTGAGATTACAGACTCGCACCACCACACCTGGCTAATTTTTGATTTGTTTTTTTTTTTTTTTTTTTGGTAGAAGCAGGGTCTCTCTTTGTTGCCCAGGCTGGTCTCAAACTCCTGGGCTCAAGTGATCCTCCCACTTTGCCCTCCCAAAGCCCTGGGATTTTGGGCATAAGCCACCACACCCAGCCTGAATTCCTATTTTTGATGTCGAATTGATTATGTACCTCTGGGTCTTGGTACCTGAGCTTTAAGAGCAGCTTGGTACTACAAGCCCTTCCAGGCTGTGTTCACATACTTGCCTAGATAGCTACTCACCTTCCTTGCCGCTTCATCAGCCCTGTTACTCCAAATCCTTTCAGACATTCTACTCCACTGGAAGAAATAATTAGACTACAGTCCTGAAACCTCACGCCTAAAGCATGAAACTGCTTTCCCCTTCACCACTAGAAGGGAGCAGTTTCCCACTCTTTTTAGTAAAATTTCTCTTTTTTGCTAAATATTCACACTCATTAAAGAAATACAAAAGATGCAGAAAGACTAAAAGAAGGGAAAAGAAATCACCCACAACCCCATCCCAGAAAGAAATCCACTATTGCTATCTGGGCTATTTCTTTACACTGGATCTTAAAGAATAAAGCAATCTTTATCCTCCCCACAGGAACCCAGCTGCCAGTCCTTAGGTGTTGCTTGAAAGATTAAATACGCTAGGACTTACGGTTGCCTCGAGCAACGTTCAACTCGTACAACTCATTTCTTGTCCATCAAATCTCCTCCAGAAGTAAGAATTTTAAACCATTTTATATGGGAAAAAATTAGTTTTTAAAATGTGTTATCTTGTGTGTTAATCGTCTTAGCATGTGCTCCATGTACTTCCAGCTAATACAGTCTCTATCCCCAGCTCCATCTCCAGCCCTGGTGGTGCAGCCCTGATCCCCTGATGCCCCAGTTCACAGAGCTCAGCCACACACTGGTCGGTTTAAATCAAATGATCATCATGGAAAAATGGTGTCCAACGCGGTTTCGGGAAAACGATCAAAGTGTACTGTGCCTAGTTTAAAACAGTGTCTTTTTAAATGAAAGATTTTTTTTGTCTTTTTTCCAAATTCACGCATACACCTAATAATTAATAAGTGTGCATTAAGTACATGGCATGGTGTCTGCTCTACAGGATAAGAAAGGATACAAAAACAGTCCATCTTCAACAACTGGAACAGTGCATGGCAAATTGACACAAACTGAAAACACAGCAAGCTTTCAGGAAAGGGAGTGGGTCACATGGGCAAGAGAATTTAGATCTGTATGGAACTGTGAAGGCCAAGAGAAGAACCACAGGAAGAAAGCACCAGGCAGAGCTTAGAGGTTGGAATTAGCCTTCAGTCAGCATTTGTTAGGCACCAACTATGTGCCAGGCATTGTGAGGGACAGAGATGGGATAAAAGCAATGCTGAGAGGGGGCTCCTCAGTGCCTTTGGAAACAGAAAACACTTCCCTGAGGAAGCACCCCTGAGCTTGGAGTTGAAGGAAAGAGGAGGCCTCATGCAGCAACAAAGGACCATTCACAGCACCCAGACAGCGTCGCTCTGACCCCAGCCCAGGATAAAAGAAACTGCTGAATTCTTTTATCAGTTCTAGGAGCTTTCTGGAGGAGGCCTTAGGGTTTGTGGGGGAGAGAGCGACAGGGGGCCCGCTGAAGGAGCAGGAGACCCACAGTGAGTCCTGGGGCGGGGCTGATGGTTGTGGACTTCTTGACTTTACCACCTTCAACCACATGCTAGCAGAGCATCCCTGCCATTGGCAGAAGATTCCAGAACTGTAATGAGATAGGAGACCTGGCCCTCACCCTTAGAGAACTCACAGGCTGGTTGAGAGCACAAGAAGCAACCTTGGTGTGCCTTTTGCTTTTTTGTTTTGTTTTGTTTTTGTTTTTTTATTTTTCCATAAGTTGTTGGGGCACAGGTGGCATTTGGTTACATGAGTAAGTTCTTTAGTGGTGATTTCTGAGATTTTGGTGCACCCATCACCCAAATAGTACACACTGCACCATATTTGCAATCTTTTATCCCTTGCCTACCTCTCATACTTCCCTCCAAGTCCCCAAAGTCCATTGTATCATTCTTATGCCTTTGGATCCTCATAGCTTAGATCCCACGTATCAGTGAGAACATACGGTGTTTGGTTTTCCATTCCTGAGTTATTTCACTTAGAATAATAGTCTCCAATCTCATCCAGGTCACTGCAAATGCTGTTAAGTCGTTCCTTTTTATGGCTGCATAGTATTCCATCATATACATATACCACAGTTTCTTTATCCACTTGTTGATTGATGGGCATTTGGGTTGGTTCCATGATTTTGCAATTGTGGATTGTGCTGCTATGAACATGCATATTCAAGTATCTTTTTCAAATAAAGACTTCTTTTCCTTTGGGTAGATACCCAGTAGCGGAATTGCTGGATCAAATGGTAGGTAGTTCTACTTTTGGTTCTTTAGGGAATCCCTACACTGTTTTCCATAGTGGCTGTACTAGTTTACATCCCCACCAGCAGGGTGGAAGTGTTCCCTGATCACCACATCCTCGCCAACATCTACTGTTTTCTTATTTTTTGATTATGGCCATTCTTGCAGAAGTAATGTGGTATTGCATTGTGGTTTTGATTTGCATTTCCCTGGTCGTTAGTGTTGTTGAGCATTTTTTCATGTTTGTTGGTCATTTATATATCTTCTTTTGAGAACTGTCTATTCATGTTCTTAGCCCACTTTTTGATGGGATTGTTTTTTTCTTACTGATTTGTTTGAGTTCATTGTAGAGTCTGAATGTGAGTCCTTGGTCAGATGTATAGATTGTGAAGATTTCTTCCCACTCTGGGTTGTCTGTTTACTCTGCTGACTGTTCCTTTTGCTATGCAGAAGCTCTTTAGTTTAATTAGGTCCCGGCTCTTTATCTTTGTTTTTATTGCATTTGCTTTCGGGTTTTTGGTCATGAAATCCTTGCCTAAGCCAATGTCTAGAAGGGTTGTTACAGTGTTATACCTAGAATTTGTATAGTTTCAGGTCTTAGGTTTAAGTCTTTAACTCATCTTGGGTTGATTTTTGAATAAAGTGAGAAATGAGAATCCAGTTTCATTCTCCTACATGTGGCTAGCCAATTATCCCAGTACCATTTGTTGATAAAGGTGTCCTTTCCTCACTTTATGTTTTTGTTTGCTTTGTTGAAGATCAGTTGACTAAGTATTTGGGTTTATTTGTGGTTCTCTATTTGGTTCCATTGGTCTATGTGCCTATTTTTATACCAGTACCATGCTGTTTGGGTGATGATGGGCTTATAGTATAGTTTGAAATAAGGTAATGTGAGGCCTCCAGATTTGTTCTTTTTGCTTAGTCTTGCTTTAGCTATGCAGGCTCTTTTTCAGTTCTGTATGAATTTTAGAATTGTTTTTTCTAATTCTGTGAAGAATGATGGTGGTATTTTGATGCAGACTGCATTGAATTTGTAGATTGCTTTTGGCAGTATGATCATTTTCACAATACTGATTCTACTCATCCATGAACATGGAATGTGTTTCCATTTGTTTGTGTCATCTATGATTTCTTTCAGCAGCATTTTGTAGTTTTCCCTGTAGAGGCTTTTCAACTCTTTGGTTAGGTATGTTCCTAAGTATTTTATTTATTTATTTATTTATTTATTTATTTATTTATTTATTTATTTATTTTTGCAGCTATTGTAAAAGGGGTTGACTTCTTGATTTGATTCTCTGCTTGGTCACTGTTGGTGTATAGGAGAGCTACTGATGTGTGGATGTTAATCTTGCATCTGGAAACTACTGAATTCTTTTATCAGTTCTAGGAGCTTTCTGGAGGAGGCCTGAGGGTTTTCAAGGTAAACGATTGTATTGTCAGCAAACAGTGACAGTTTGACTTCCTCTTTAGCAATTCAGATGCCCTTTATTTCTTTCTCTTGTCTGATTGCTCTGGCTAGGACTTCCAGTACTATGTTGAAGAGGAGTGGTGAGAGTGGACATCCTTGTCTTGTTCCAATTCTCAGAGGGAATGCTTTCAACTTTTCCCCATTCAGTATTAGGTTGGCTGTGGGTTTGTGATAGATGGCTTTTATTACATTAAGGTATGTCCCTTGTATGCTGACTTTGCTAAGAATTTTAATCATAAAGGGATGCCAGATTTTGTCAAATGCTTTTTCTGCATCTATTATCACATGATTTTTGCTTTTAATTTTGTTTATGTGGCGTATCACATTTATTGACTTTTGTATGTTAAACCATCCCTTCATCTCTGTTATGAAACCAACTTGATCATGGTGGATTATCTTTTTGATATGTTGTTGGATTTGGTTAGCTAGTATTTCATTAAGAATTTTAGTATTGGCCAGGCGTGTTGGCTCACGCCTGAAATCCCAGCACTTTGGGAGGCCGAGGTGGGTGGACCACGAGGTCAGGAGATCAAGATAATCCTGGCTAACATGGTGAAACCCCATCTCTACTAAAAAAAATACAAAAAATTAGCCAGCGTGGTGGCGGGCACCTGTAGTGCCAGCTACTCCGGAGGCTGAGGCAGGAGAATGGCATGAACCCGGGAGGCAGAGCTTGCAGTGAGCCGAGATCGCGCCACTGCACTCCAGCCTGGGCGACAGAGCAAGACTCTGTCTCAGAAAAAAAAAAAAAAAAAGAATTTTAGTATCTATGTTCATCAAGGATATTGGTCTGTAGTTTTCTTTTTTGGTTGTGTCCTTTCCTAGTTTTGGTATTGGGGTGATACTGGCTTCATAGAATGAGTTAGGGAGGGTTCCTTCTTTCTCTGTCTTGTGGAATAGTGTCAAAAGTATTGGTACCAATTCTTCTTTGAATGTCTGGTAAATTCTGCTGTGAATCCTTATGGTCCTGGACTTTTTTTTGTTGGTAATTTTTTAATTACCATTTCAATCTCACTGCTTGTATTGGTCTGTTCAGGGTATCTAATGCTTCCTGATTTAAGCTAGGAGGATTGTATTTTTCCAGGAATTTATCCATCTCAACTAGGTTTTTTAGTTTATGTGCGTAAAGGTGTTCATAGTAGCCTTGAATGATCTTTTGTATTTTAGTGGTGTCAGTTGTAATACCTCCTGTTGCATTTCTCAGTGACGTTATTTGGGTTTTCTCTCTTCCTTTCTTGGTTAATCTTGCTAATGGTCTATCAATTTTATTTATCTTTTCAAAGAACCAGTTTTTTGTTTAATTTATCTTTTATTTTGTGTGTGTGTATGTGTTTCAATTTCATTTAGTTCTGCTCTGATCTTGGTTATTTCCTTTCTTCTACTGGGTTTGGGTTCAGTTTGTTTCTATTTCTCTAGTTCCTTGAGGTGTGACCTTAGATTGTCCGTTTGTGCTCTTTCAGACTTTTTGATGTAGGTGTTTAGGGCTATGAACTTTCCTCTTAGCACTGCCTTAGCTATATCCCAGAGGTTTTGATAGGTTTTGTCATTATTGTCATTCAGTTAGAAGAATTTTTTAATTTCCATCTTGATTTTGTTTTTTACCCAATGCTCATTCAGAAGCAGGTTATTTAACAATTTCCATGTGTTTGCATGGTTTTGAAAGTTCCTTTTGGAGATGATTTCCAGTTTTATTCTGTTGTGGTCTGAGAGAGTGCTTGATACAATTTCAATTTTCTTAAATTTATTGAGGCTTGTTTTATGGCCTATCATATGGTCGATCTTGGAGAAAGTTCCATATGATGTTGAATAGAATGTGTATTCTGCGGTTATTGGATGAAATGTTCTGTATATATCTGTTAGGTCCATTTGTTCCAAGGTATAGTTTAAATCCATTGTTTCTTTGCTGACTTTCTGTCTTGCTAACCTGTCTGGTGCTGTCGGTGGAATATTGAAATCTGCCACTATTATTGTGTTGCTGTCTACCACATTTCTTAGGCCTATTTTAATTGTTTTGTAAATTTGGAAGCTCCAGTTTTAGGTGCATATATGTTTAAGACTGTGATATTTTACTGTTGGACAAGGCCTTTTACCATTCTATAATGTCCCTCTTTGTCTCTCTCTTTTTTTTATTTTTTTGAGAAAGAGTCTTGCTGTGTCACACAGGCTAGAGTGCAGTGGTGCAATCTCAGCTCACTGCAACCTCCACCTCCCAGATTTAAGTGATTCGCCTGCCTCAGCCTCCCAAGTAGCTGGGACTACAGGCACCTACCACCACACCCCTCTAATTTTTTTTTTTTTTTTTTTTTTTTTTGTATTTTTAGTAGAGACGGGGTTTCACTGTGTTGGCCACACTGGTCACGAACTCCTGACCTTGTGATCCAAAGTGCTGAGATTACAGGCATGAGCCACCACGCCCGGCCCCTCTTTGTCTCTTTTAACTGCTGTTGCTTTACGATTTGTTTTGTCTGATATGAGAATAGCTACCGTTGCTCTACTCGCTTTTGGTGTCCATTTGCATGAAATGCCTTTTTCTACCCCTTTAAGTTTATGTGAGTCCTTATGTGTTAGGTGAGTCTCCTGAAGGCAGCAGATAGTTGGTTGGTGAGTTCTTATCCATTCTGCAGTTCTGTATCTTTTAAGTGGAGCATTTAGGCCATTTACATTCAGTGTTAGTATTGAAATGTGAGGTACCATTGCATTCATTGGGCTCTTTGTTGCCTCTGTACTTTGGTTTTTTTTGTTGTTGTTGTTTTTTGCTTTTGCTTTTTAGCTCGTATTTTTGTTTTATGGGTCCTGTGTGATTTATGCTTTAAAGAGGTTCTGTTTTGATGTGTTTCCAGGATTTGTTTCAAGATTTGGAGCTCCTTTTACCAGTTCTTGTAGTGGTGGCCTAGTAATGGCAATTCTCTCAGCATTTGTTTGTCTGAAAACGACTGTATCTTTCCTTCATACATGATGCTTAGTTTCACTGGATACAACATTCTTGGCTGATAATTGATTTGTTTGAGAAGCTGGAAGACAGGGCCCCAATCCCTTCTAGCTTGTAGGGTTTCAGCTGAGAAATCTTCAGTTCATCTGATAGGTTTTCCTTTATAGGTTACCTGGTTCTTCTGTCTCACAACTCTTAAGATTCTTTCCTTTGTCTCAACTCTGGATAACCTGATGACAATGTGCCTAGGCAAAGATCTTTTTGCGATGAATTTCCCACGTGTTCTTTGTGCTTCTTGTATTTGGATGTCTAGGTCTCTAGCTAGACTGGGGAACTTTTCCTTGATTATTCCCCCAAATATGTTTTGCAAGCTTTTAGAATTCTCTTCTTCCTCAGGAACACCAATTATTCTTAGGTTTGGTCATTTAACATAATCCCAGACTTCTTGGAGGCTTTGTTCATATTTTTTTATTTTTTTTCTTTGTCTTTGTTGGATTCAGTTAATTCAAAGACCTTGTCTTTGAGCTCTGAATTTCCTTCTTCTACTTGTTCTATTGCTGAGACTTTCCAGAGCATTTCACATTTCTAAAAGTGTGTCCAAAGTTTCCTGAATTTTCTATTGTTTTTTCTTTAAGCTATCTATTTCATTGAATATTTCTCCCACTCAAATTGGGGGAGTGTGTTGGGAGAGGAGGGTCTCCCTTTCCCACTTCCGCAGTTGGGGCACTCACAGTATTTGGGGTGTCTTCTGGGCCCTACAGGAGCAATCCGCTTCCTTCAGAGGGTCTGTGGGTCCCCTCAGAATTGCTGATTTATTCTTGCAGTTGATCTGGAGCTAAAATTCACCATGGAAGCTTCCAGATGCTGCTTTGTCTGGAGCTGCAGTCTAGTCCTGCCTCCTGTCCACCATGATTCCCTCCATCCTCCCATCCTTCTGTTTTGTTTTGTTTTGTTTTGTTTGAAACAGAGTCTTTCTTTGTCACCCAGGCTGGAGGGAAGTGGCATGATCTCAGATCACTGCAGCCTGTGCCTCCCAGGTTGAAGCGATTCTCCTGCCTCAGCCTCCCAAGTAGCTGGGATTACAGACACCTGCTGCCATGCCCAGCTAATTTTTGTATTTTTAGTAGAGATGGAGTTTCACCATGTTGGCCAGGCTGGTCTCGAACTTCTGACCTCAAGTGATCTGTCTGCCTTGGCCTCCCAAAGTGCTGGGATTATAGGCATGAGCCACCGCGCCCAGCCCATTTGATTTCACCTTCTCAGGGTTTAGGTTCTCTGCTGCCATCTCACCTGGCTGGATGGCACATGTAACACTTAAAGCAAAGACTAATGTGCTGCAATGTTTAATCCACTCCCCCTGCCAGTTTCTCCTGCAAGTGTCTCTACACCTCCATCTTTCCTTGCCTGTGAATCCTCTCACTGGAGGAAAAGCACCCCTGTCTCTTCCACACATATCCTTTCAAGACAATGAAGCAGGAAGGGGGCCTTGCCTCATTCAAGCTGGTGGCTGTTGCTTAGTGGCTGACTAGAGTCTCACCCGGAACAGAAGGGTTGAAAGCCCAAGGGTGGTTCCCCTTGCACTGAATCAAGGGATGGACCCAAAAGCACCAGAGCCAGGGCCGTGACCTCTCTCCTGCTGCCTCTGCTCCTCCTGCAGTATCCTCTCTAGACATCCAGCTCACCCCCAGAACCTCTGTGTCTCCCCTGCCTTGGGCACCTTCTCCAGATCTCCTGCTTCCTGACCTTGTACCAGGGCCTCCTCCAGACTGGGCACACATTAACAGGTTAATAAATATTTTTGCAATAACAAATAGAAGTCAGCTCTCACTTCCTGTTTACCACTTCTGCTTGGTACATTTATCTTAATCTCTGCATCTTTGAACCAGGTTATTAATATGGCCCAAGAATAGACAGCAAACACATAGCTGCCCTGCTGAATGGTGTGGTGTTCCTACATGGCAGGCACTGAGCTGGAGGCTCAGACACAACAAAGACTGAAACAAAAGTGTAAAAAAGTGTCCGCTTTGAGAACCACAGTCAGAGCATAGCTATTGATGAGATTAATATGAATAAGCACATTAGTAAGAAATTAAAAATAAACCTAAACCACTAAAGACTTATTTTCTTTTAGGTTACATAGATGATAGATGGTTAATTATAGTGGCTGACATCGACTAAGCACTTTCTGCATGTCAGACACTGTGCTTCGGGCTTCCCGGAGCATAAAAACACATTGAGATGGATTATTGGGGGCTGGGGGTAGGGAAGGAGCTACCATTTGCTCTTGGTTTTACATGTGGCCAGTTTCAATCCAAGGTAAGCTACAATGAGATAAAAAAGTTCAAAAAAAAAATTAAACCAGTTAAAAAGAAAAACAGCACTGGGACTGAGGCTGGGTTTCAGAGCCAATTTCCAAGAAGTAATTTCATCATCATAGAACATCAAACGTGAATTCCACTCTCAGCTATGCAAATTCCAAAAGAATAATACCTCACATTTGCATAATGCTTGATGCTTTTCAAAGTGCTTTCCCAGTTATTAATCTAGAGAAGGCTTTATTACTACTGAAAACATAAATTAAAATTCTGTTCGGACTCCAGTCCTCCATTATTTTTTCCACTCACTTTGCCCTCAAAAGCCAGAGCCATCTAAATCCAGGTGCTTTTGATTGAATGGGTAACTCTAATAAGTTTAACTGACAGGGCGAATATGCATAAATGTAGCATATTATGAGGCCTTCGACCTACAGACACCAGAGTCAGCCTTAGGAAAATTTGCTGTTGAATTAACAAAACCACAGGGGAGCAACTCGGAGTTCAAGTTTGAGATCCTTTCAGGGTCTCAAATTTTGTAGGAGCTGCACACACTATGTTCATCAGAATCCATCTCCCTCTATCAACTATGAGAAATTAGATCTACCACTTTGTCCTTAACCCTACAGAAATCCCCCTCAATGACTTCCTGCAAAGAGGCCCACATTTGCCAAACAGCTCCTACGTCTTGTTTTGTTTTGAATGTAATATGAACCAAGAGGCTGAATTCACTGTAAATCCAACAAGGACAGAGGATTTTAGAAAAATGAGGTGAGGAGATATGACGGGGTTCAAGGAAATGCTTCTACCCAAACCTAATGCCTTTCCAATTTGTTTCTTTTTCCATCTCTTTCAAACTTAATTATGTGTAGCGTTCTCAGTCACTGAATCACCAGCCTTTCCTGACACTTCAATCTCATGCATTTTAGCAAAAGATTAACCTGGCTGTTTGCTTTTAATTCTGAAGCTGTGTTAATACTCACTCCCGCTAGATTAGAAAAGAAGAAAAACACACTCCCACATACCCCGCCATGGCACCAGCAAGGCTCCAGGGTGAGACGGCTGACGCTGTCACAGTCCCTAGGGCTGGCTGCACTTACCATTTCAGGAGGGCCAAGAGAGCCACTGACAGGGCCACCGTCACCATGGGGCCATTCACTTCCAATTTTAGAAACCCCAAGGCTTCCATCATTCCTCTGAGACCCCAGAGTGGTGGTCTTCCAGATGAGACAGGAGGCTGATCTCGCCGCCCTTATGGGAACCGTGCTCTGCAGGTAGAAAAGGGAACAGGCAACCAAGCAAACATCACATGGAGTGGGCCCCCACAATGTGCTCTTTCTCAGAGTGTCTCCCTATAAAGAGGAAGGAAGAGGAGGGCACAACAAAGGGTTTCAGTGTAAAGGAATGAATCAGCAACTTTATTCCTTGATGACTGCACTGTCAATAAACATTTATATTAACTTCCTCAGAGAAGAAAAGCAAACTTCCCCATGTTTGCTGAGAAACAAAATGGTTGTAACCACGGACTTGTACTCTGAGAGGAAGTCTTCAAAGAGAGACTCTTCTCCAAAATGTCTATCTATATCTATCTCTATGTCTATATCTATATCTATATCTACATCCATCTATAATTTTTTAAATTCACAATTAAGTGAAGATACATGTCAAGAGATTCTGAATATCCCAGAAAAATACAGGACCAGACGCCAGCCTGATCAAAATGCTGGCTGCTTTGAGGACAACCATCC
The DNA here is from genome assembly GCF_000001405.40 of Homo sapiens. Lineage (NCBI taxonomy): Eukaryota > Metazoa > Chordata > Mammalia > Primates > Hominidae > Homo > Homo sapiens. Next base: position 139,828,831 of record NC_000007.14, on the reverse strand, counting down.
CACCAAGTCCATTAGTTGCTGGGTCTGAGGACCTGTCTGAGTGTCTGGCTGTTGGAGCAAAGCAAAGATCCCGATTGGGGTCAGTGTTCTCATGGTGAGTTGGAGGGCTTCTCAAGTGTTTGAAGGCAGATCCGTAGGCTCATATATGGGTCCTTTGTTCTAGCTTTGAGCTTATCTGACTAAAGTGGACAGAGAGATGGAGGGGATCATAGTGGCTGGGTGGCAGGACTAGATTGCAGCTTCAGACAGAGCAGCATCTGGAGGCTTCCATGGTGAATTTTAGCTCCAGATCAACTGCAAGAAAAAACCAGCAATCCCAAAAGGACCCACAGACTCTCTGAAGGAACCAGACTGCTCCTGCAGGACCCAGAAGACACTCCAAATACTGTGAGTGCCCCATTTGCGGAAGTGGGAAAGGGAGACCCTCCTCTCCCAACACAATCCCCCAATATTGAATGGGAGAAATATTCAATGAAATAGCTTAAAGAAAAAATAATTGAAAATTCAGGAAACTTTGGACACACTTTTAGAAATGTGAAATGCTCTGGAAAGTCTCAGCAATAGAATTGAACAAGTAGAAGAAAGAAAATCAGAGCTCAAAGACAAGGTCTTCAAATTAACCCAATTCAACAAAGACAAAGAAAAAAGAATAAGAAAATATGAACAAAGCCTCCAAGAAGTCTGGGATTATGTTAAATGACCAAACCTAAGAATAATTGGTGTTCCTGAGGAAGAAGAGAATTCTAAAAGCTTGGAAAACATATTTGGGGGAAGAATCAAGGAAAACTTCTGCAGCCATCTAGAGACCTAGACATCCAAATACAAGAAGTACAAAGAACACATGGGAAATTCATTGTAAAAAGATCTTTGCCTCAGCACATTGTCATCAGGTTATCCAGAGTTGAGACAAAGGAAAGAATCTTAAGAGCTGTGAGACAGAAGAACCAGGTAACCTGTAAAGGAAAACCAATCAGATGAACAGCAGATTTCTCAGCAGAAAACCTACAAGCTGGAAGGGATTGGGGCCCTGTCTTCCGGCTCCTCAACAAACCAATTATCAGCCAAGAATTTTGTATCCAGTGAAACTAAGCACCATATATGAAGGAAAGATACAGTCATTTTCAGACAAACAAATCCTGAGAGAATTCGTCATTACCAAGCCACCACTACAAGAACTGGTAAAAGGAGTTCTAAATCTTGAAACAAATCCTGGAAACACATCAAAACAGAACCTCTTTAAAGCATAAATCACACAGGACCTATAAAACAAAAATACAAGTTAAAAAACAAAAGCAAAAAACAAACAAAGAAGTACACAGGCAACAAAGAGCCCGATGAATGCAATGGTACCTCACATTTCAATATTAACACTGAATGTAAATGGCCTAAATGCTGCACTTAAAAGATACAGAACTGCAGAATGGATAAGAACTCACCAACTAACTATCTGCTGCCTTCAGGAGACTCACCTGACACATAAGGACTCATGTAAACTTAAAGTAAAGGGGTGGAAAAAGACACTTCATGCAAATGGACACCAAAAGCCAGCAGGGGTAGCTATGGGCTTCCTTTTCTGTGCCCCCACAGGTCTTAGGATGGTCACAGGTACATTTGTTACAGAAGGCTGTGGTCACAGGTGCAGATTCCCTGGAAAGGAGTGAGAGAAAAGACAGGGAGGGCACACAGAAGGCTGCTGCCTTCACCCAGAGAGAAGGGATGCTTGGCTAGAGGAGAGAGGGAGGTGGGAAGAAGTAGATGGACTTGAAATATATTTTGGGGGTGGGTTCATGCTCTGCAGAAGTTCCTGGTGGGGTGCATATGAAAGGGAAGGGGAAAGGAGGACCACACCTGACCCTCAGGTTCCAAACTTGAGCTACAGGTATATCAGGTGCCATTCATTGAAACAGGGAGTCTGGGAAAGGTGAGGTATTGTTGGGAAAATCAAGAATTCTGATTCAGTTTTGTTAAGCCTGAGATGCCCTGGAGACATCTGAGTGGAGGTGTCGAGCCAGAGAGCACTGATGGCTGAAAATATGAATAATAACAATTGATCATGATCATGTCATTTGAGTGCTTACTACACACTAGTTATTCTAGGAGCTTTCCTATGTGTCAACTCATTTAATCCTCATACACACACCTAGCGGGTAAATCTTATGGTTAGCCCCAAGTTACAGAGGAAGAAACTGAGGCATGGGCTGTATGACTCTAAAGCCCATGCTCTTCCTCGAAAGATTATATTCAAACGTGGAAGCCATCAACATAAATTTGGTATTTAAATCCAGGGGAAGAGATGAGTTACAGCCACAAATAAGATAGTGAACCGCACAGGTGCCAAGAACCTTCCTTTCCTTCTGACCATTTGCCCTGCCTCCCTGTTTTTAACAGACGTATTATGAAAATTATTCCTCTGTAGTTCCCTGCTTATTAGTGTCCCTCCATGTCACTCCTACTTAGTGTCCCCCAACTGCACCACCCCATCTGGCTGCTCCTGGCTGCATTTCAAGCCCTTTTAGACTCCCCACCCCTCTCCTTTTTCAGTAGGCTACCTCTCCTTCATCCCATTCCATCGGGATCTGTACTGAGAGGCTAACCCATTCTCTCTCACAAAACAGAGCTTCGTTTTTTCCAGGGGTCACCTGAAATAATCCATGTTCAGCCACAGGAACACTGCAGGATGATGGCCCGGCAGCATGGAGGGGGTGGCATGGAGGGTGACTCATCGTGGTCACGGATTCAGGGAGCGAGCAGTGACTGTGGATAACACTTAACTCAGTGTATGTATAACCAAGATGCTCAGAAAAAAAATATCTTAAAGGATGCCAAGGTGAAATAAACATGAGAATTGCTGGTATAAGCATTGATAAGTAAGTTTATTTACTGCCAGACCTCAGAGACTCTAACCTGCTAATATGCATTGGAAATCTCCAAGAGCACGATGCAGAGAGCTGCATTTCTCAAGTGTATTTTACCACAAAGGCCTCTTCAGGGACATTTATAACATATCCCAGATGTAGTTTTCCAAGGAGAGTGCTTTGAGAAACACTGACCAAGCCTTACTCTTTTTTACAGAGGTGAAAACAGAAACCCAGAAAGGGAAAGTGACCGGTACACTGTCCCATAGTTGTTTAGGGATAGGATCTAGGTCTCCGAAGCCCTTCTCAGGCACTTGATTTAGAACGTGCCCCTCACATCAACCTGTGGACATGGCACTGTGCACCCAGCACAGCTCCCACCCTGCTCATGGAGAGGCTATAGAATGTTGGTGGCCAGCTTGGAGATGTCCAGCTTTCTTGGGGAGTTGCCAGCTCCCCCATGGGCGCTGAGTTAACTGGCTCATTCCTCTAATATTCTTGGAGCCCTTCATATGTGATTTGTGATTTGTAGAAACCATAAATGCCATGGAGACGTTACCACACCCATTCTGTGGCTGCGCAGAGTGGAGACAATACTCTGTGAATTGTGGACAGTAAATTAGCCAGGATGGAGTGGAAGGGAAGAAATGAGAGATGCTCGGGGTTTTTACTGGGACAGTAGCATGATGAAGGATGTATTACAATTTTGGTACCTGTGATGCAATACAGGGACACTGATCAGGGTTTTTCTAGGATGAAGGTCAGACAGTTGCCATATTTCCCGTAATTTCACTATTTTCTGTATATTTTTCTTTTACTAATATGTCTATTAAAAAAAAATCAACTCAGGCTGGGCGCAGTGGCTCATGTCTGTAATCGCAGCATTTTGGGAGGCCGAGGCAGGTGGATCACCAGAGGTTAGGAGTTCAAGACCAGCTGACCAACATGGCAAAACCCTGTCTCTACTAAAAATACAAAAATTTGCCAGGCATGATGGCAGGTGCCTGTAATCCCAGCTACTTTGGAGGCTGAGGCAGGAGAATCATTTGAACCCAGGAGGCAGAGGGTGCAGTGAGCCAAGATCACGCCATTGCACTTCAGCCTGGATGATACGGCAAGACTCTGTCTCAAAAAAAAAAAAAAAAAAGAAAAGGAAAAGAAAAAGAAAGAAAAGAAAAAATCAACTCTACACAACTGTACAGAAAATATCCTATAATCCCAACTCCCACTGACAAACTCTGGTCACAAATTAATTCCTATCCTCTTGTATTTTTCCATGCATGCACAGGCATATGTATATTTTTAGTTTTTATGGAAACAAGATCATCATACCTGTGCCATCCTGCAACTGGTCTTTCTCACTTATTGTATAATGAATATGTTTCCTGTTCATATTTAGAGACATAACGCCGTTTGCTGCTTCAGTCCACTGTACAGACGTGTTGTAATTTGTTTAGCCTATCCTCTGCTAAACAGCATTCGAGTTGTTTCCAAGTTTTCTCAACTTCTAATGAGGCTTCAGTGGACATCCTTGTATATATTATTGTGCCCTTGCATGAGGCTATCTCAAGCGACATTCTTAAAAGTGGAACAGCTGGGCCCAAAGATGTGTGTTTCCAAAATGCTGGTAAGTGCTACCCTGTGTACAGGCAGGACCGACTTTCCGTCTCGAGCCATGCGGGGAGGTGCCCACTTGCCCCACTTTGTAGGGCTCCCCACAGAGCTTTGCTTACCCTGTCTCCACTCACTCCAAGTCTTTTTCCCCCACTCCTACTTCCAGGCAGACATCTCCCCTAGAATTGAGTCAACTGTTTTGACTTCAGACTTGTGTTTCTTTTTAAAGCTTTCACTCCATAAATTCTGTGGTATTTCCTTCATGTTCCCTATGTTTAAAAACTGCCCGTGCAGATGTCTAAGTGGTGCCTTCCTTCTCTGCTGAAGGCTCCCAGCTGCTCTGTGCTAAGCCTGACGTCTCTGGCAAGGACTGAGGCAGAGGCTGAAACAGAGGCTGAAAGAGGTGTCAGCAGGCACATTCTCTTTGCCATGAAGGATGCTGGGTAAAGGGACAATGGAGCTTCCTCAGCACCATACAAGTACCAAGAAATTCTCTAACTTTACTCAGCCTCAGAGCAACCCCAGGAAGTAAGTGACCAATACTTTTCATTCCCAGGTTGATAAAACCGGAGCTCAGAGATGTCCCACGACCACCTGAGGTCATACATGTAACACAACCTAGAGGCCAGGCTCAAGCCCGAATCTTTTGGCTTTACATGCAGTGTTTTTTTCCCACTAAATCTAAGATCACATCTTGGTTTAGAATACTCATAGTTCACCGAGCCAGCCCACGGTTATGATATCGTTTATTCTGATGTTTACCTCCAGGGTGCAGAGTGGCTAGAGGGAAGAAAGAGGACGGGTGGTATGAGCTTGGGGTCTGCTTCACCTCCTTACAAAAGATATTAGGGGCCCTTTGGAAGCATGAAAACCTTGGCTACCCCCAATGCAGTCCAGTCTCTTCAATATGATCCTTTTAGGGACTCTGTTCCATTTCTGAGAGCGGGAGATCAGGTTAGGAGGACTCCTCTGTTCCTTCAGTCCTTCTTCTAGAAAACACTTATTGAATAATCACTGGGGACCTGGCAGTAGATGAGAATCCCAGTGTATAAGCCCCACATCTCTCCAACAAGGAGCTCACCTTCCAGGATAAGGAAATAGACATATAATCACCTAAGTTCCGTCCGTCTTATAGTTATGATGGCACACAAATACATGCAGGGCACAGAGCGGACACAAACAGGAGGACAGGAGATCGGCAAAAGGTTTGAATCTAATGACATTTGAGCTTAGACTGTGCAGATGAATTCACCAAGCAGAAGAGAGTAGGATAGATGTGCTTGTCGGAGGGAGCATGGCTGACGCTTGCTCAAAGGCATGGGAAACTGGGGTGAGTGGGGAGGACGGGGAGATATGCAAGGCACTGCGGGCCATACCAAGAAGTTCATCTTTCATGCTAGGGTCAGGGAAAGCCAGAGCAGGAGGTAAAATTGAGCAGCAACGTGATCAGATTGGCTTCTAGAAATATCACTCAGGAGGCAGATTGGATGCTTTCTACCTGACATGAGGACCAGCCAGGAGGCTGCGGGTCAGCTAGGTGGGGGATGACAGCCTGAATAAGGCAGTGGATGTGGAAATGAGCAAGAGAGGGCTGGTTTTTAAGACCACTAGGAAGGCAGAATCCATAGTATTTGGTTGCTGATTGAGTGTGGGGATGAAGAAGAGGGGGACGTCAAGGATCACCCCTGAATGTCCGGCTCTGTTGAGTGAGCCCATGATAGTGCCATACAGTACGACAGGGACTCGGGGAAGGAAGCAAGTGTTAGGAAGCTATCGTGGCTTCAGTGTTCTGCACGCTGAGCACGAGGCCTCTTGCGGCCCCACAGATTAAGATGCTCGGGAGATGGCCAGATCTGTAGAGGTCAGGAGAAAAATCTGAAGTAGGGAAATAATTTTCATTTTGAGAGCCATTTGCTTGTGGATGGGGCAAAGCCATAGGGATAAAAGTGGGCTACAGAGAACAGGTAGAGTGCTGAGAAGGGAAGCACGGAGTTGAGGGTGGGGGAACCAACACCAAGAAGAGCAGCCTTACAGGGCAATACCAAAGAGATGCCTGGAAAAAGATTCAACAGATATAACCAGAGAGAGAGAGAGAGAAAGAGTATAAGAGAGAGCAAGCAGACAACAGGACCATTAGCTGAGGAACCTTATTTTACTGCTTAAGGATGCAGCTTTTTGTTTTCAAATGACCTGTGTTCAAATCCTACCCCTTCCATACTCTAGCTTAGACAATCTTAGAACCCAAAATGATCTCTCTGAGCCTCGGTTTCTCATTTGTGAAGTGGTGATAACTGTCCACACTGCCTAGGATGGTTGAGAGGAAAATGAATTCCTCGTGTGGCCTGATTAGTGGAGCTCTGGCTCACAGGGAGCACTCAATACACGAGGTCTGTGATTGTTTCCACTGAAGCCACTGGCGGACAGTTGCAGGAAGCAGGAAACGACGTACAGCATTCGTGCCACAGAAAGACCAAGGGAAAGTGGCAATGTGGTCATTACGGCCACCTCCTTCCTGGCTTTGGCAAAGTGGAGGGTGTAGAGAGACAAGACCTAGAGAAAAGGGGGTTTGGACAGAAAGGGCTGATTCTGACGTCCCCCTCCCTCTCTTCGGCCCCATGGCTGAGACGTGGAAGAAGACTCGGGTTTGGACTGGCTAGAAGAGTGGAATTTGCAGGTGCCACTCATTGTGGGTCCCACGGGGAAGAGGAAACATCTCCTGCAGTGGGAGACTTGTGGGAGACAGCAGCCATCTGTGTGTTTCCCCTGCCTGTGATAAGGGCAGAGCTATCGCTCTGCTTCAAGGTTGCTATGGAGATATGGATGGGCTCATAAACAGTTTTAAGGTCTATGTCATATCTTGATTTTGTATTAGTCTTGAGGGCAGGGACCATATTTTATACATCATTGTACAACCACACCACCTATCACATTGCAATCTCATCCACTCACTTGGCTTTTGTTAACATCACAGGCTGTTCACTCCCAAATCTATTCTCTCCAGCCCAATTGTCATTCCTGAGTTTCAGACCAATATATCCAGCTGCCCACTGGACATCCTCTGACAACCAGCCTACAGATGCTACAGACTCGAAAAATCTAAAGCTAGACTCATTGCCGCAGCCTCCTTTCTCCATTAACCTCATCCCATCTCCCCCGTCTCAGTAAATTGTACCTTCCTCCCTTCAGCCCCAAGCCAGAAACTTGGGATCATCCTTGACTTCTCTCAGCCCCCTCATCTCAAAATCCAGTTAGTCAGCAAGCCCTGCTGGTCCTGCCTATGAAGTCTCCCTCATTCTGGTCACTACTCCTTTTATCCATTCATTCTACTTCATTTCGTTGATTCAACAAATGCCTTGGCATCTACTGGGCATGGGAGACTGTTCTAGGCAATGGGAAGACACTAGAACAGTGAACGAGCAAGGTTTCTTAGGGCTTAGATTTAGAGACACCCACCCAAATATCAGCTCCATGGTTTCTCATTAGATTGCAGCCATCTCCTGATTGACCTCTTATTCATTAATCCAAGAATTATTTATTGAATTTGTACAGGGTGCCTGGCACTGTGCTGGGTGCGCATGAAGAATGTAGAAAACACCAGCATGGCTGGGAGGCATTAAGCAGAAGAAAGGGTAGGACTGGCCTACACAGGAGAGATAAGGTAGGGTCAGGACATCTAAGACCCAGTGGACCATGTGAAAAATGCACTACTTCCTTCCAAAAGGAAAGGAAAGCCATTGAAGGGCTTTATGAAGTGGGGTGACTTGATGCTATTTAGGGTAACTGTAACCCGTCTATTTTCATTGTTAAAATTAATACAGACCTCCTCCGATGATAGCCCAACATTGGCGTGTCAACATCAATCAGGTGCCCCCATCACACAGCAGGGGAGTTGAAGCAATGCCACCATTCAGACTTTGGCTGTATGTGTCAGCAGAAGATGAGCAATGAGGTTGTCAACTACAAGTTGCTCTTGATGTTGCTAACCACACATGGCCCATCCTATCTCCTTCTCATTTCAGCCTCTCTATCAATTTATGACACCCATGATCTCAGCTTGTCAGATGTTAGCACTTCCTGAGATGTTGTCAAATCTCTCCCGCCCCTCCTCATGGCTGGATGCGGCTACATGTTGATGACTAGACGTAGTTCTCCTTGCAAAAGTGGAGAGTCAGCAGACGGCTTGACTGCCTTAAGGCAAGTCTTAGAGCTTTCAGGCAAGTTGGTGCCTGGAACAGTCATTTTTCACCTCCTAGTCACTGGGAGTGAGAGTGGGAGCAGGCATAAGGAGACAGACAGCATGCTCAGAAAGCAAAAGTTAGAATCCAGAGTTTGACAGCAAGATCACAAATGGCATTTCAGGCAAGTTGTCAGGACCAGGAAGTCCCACTACAGAGCAAAGGGGGCACTGTGACCCAGGCACAGGCCCAATAATAGAAACTCTCAAGCAGAAGATAATTCGAAGTTCTGGCAGCAGATGCCTCCAAGGAAATATGTCAGCAGGTGGTAGGGCCCCAATCTCCACCTAGTATGGCAATATAGAAATAAGAGCTGAGTTGGGGAGGCTGAGAGTGGTGGCTCATACCTGCAATTCCAGCACTTTAGGAGGCCAAGGCAGGTGGATCACTTGAGGTCAGGAGTTTCAGACCAGCCTGGCCAACATGGTGAAAACCCATCTCTACTAAAAATACAAAAATTAGCCGGGCATGGTGGCGTGCACCTGTAATCCCAGTTACTAGGGAGGCTGAGGCAGGAGAATCGCTTGAACCTGGGAGGCGGAGGTTGCAGTGAGCCAAGATAGTGCCACTGCACTCCAGCCTGGGCGACAGAGTGAGACTGCATCTCAAACAAAAAACAAACAAACAAAAGAAGAGAGTTGGGGGAAAGAATGAATAGCATAAGTGTTGTAATGAGGGGCCCCCAAATCTCAAGAGCTTCACACTACAGAAGTGTGTCTGTCACTCATGTAACAGCCCAAATGTGTGTGTTCAGTAGGCAGCCTTCCATGCAGTGACTCAGGAATTCAGGCTTTTTCCATCTTGTAACCCTGTCGTCCACTGGAACCTCAGATGCCTCTGCTGGATCATCCACAACCAGCTGGCAAGTGGAAAACAGAGAAGATGATATGAGGAAGAATTTTACAGGCCAGGCCTGGAGGTGGTGTACACACTCTTTGGAAACATGACCACCCCTAATTGCAAAGGAGGCTGAGAAATGGAGCCAGCCCAGGAGGAAAAGGAAAGAGGTTTGGAAAGCATATAGCATTCCTGCCACAGGTGGGGTCCCATTCTGGGTATGTCCTCAATTCACCAATTCCTGTATAGGAAACAAGCCACTAGAACAGGCTGGAGGGTGGCAATTGCAGCCCTCTGCTAAAAAGCCAAGGCCCAGTAGCTAGTTCAGGGATCAGGGATGGAGAGGGACTAGCCTCTGAGATGCTGGTATGATGGCATCTGACCCAGTATTCCCAACTCTCTCTCCAGGAGGCTGAGTTGCTACCAGGGGTCTGCTCTACATGTGCCACCAGGAGCCTTCCCCCAGCTCCATGAAGCCATTGGAGCCGTCTATGTGTGGTATTCATCTCACCAGCCCAGCTGGACCCTCTGAGAACGTGGTTTCTACTTGAATCAAGGCTCAATTCTCCACACTCCAATGAACAATGTAAATCAGAAATATTCACTCTGTCTGCAAAGGGGGCACTGCGACCCAGGCACAGGCCCAATAATGGTAAACCCTCAAGTAGAAGATAATCCTAAGTTTTGGCAGCAGCTGCCTCCAAGGGAATATGTCAGCAGGTGGTATGGTACCAGTCTCCACCTAGAATGGCAGTATAGAAATAAGAACTGAGTGAGGGAGGCTGGGCGTGGTGGCTCATACCTATAATCCTAGCACTTTGGGAGGCCAAAGCAGGTGGATCACTTGAGGTCAGGAGTTAGAGAACAGCCTGGCCAACACCTTCGTACCTTGAACATTTAGCCAAGTCCCTGTCTTTACTGATCCTAGTTCCATCCCTGTCTGTACTGGTGGTCTCTGTACTGAACCCCAGTCTGACTTGTACCTGCACCCACCTGAGTTACAACAGGCCCTGTGCCATCCTATACCTTCACCCTCTCCTAACAAGGCAGGCTCCTTTCTGTGCATTTTCAGGACTTAGAGTAGCCACCACCTCCTCAAGGAACCCTCCAGGGCCTCCCAGAGATGATCCATTGTCGATCCGTGTCCTGCCACAGCACCCCAATCCTACTCAGTGAGCTTGCCTCTACCAACACTCTAGATGTAAGCTTTTTGAGAAGAAGAGTTATATCTGGTTCAACAATGTATCCCCAGTGACTGGGAGAATGCCTGCTTGTCACTCAGTAGGTGATCACGAAATGTTTCTGAAATGAATGAATGTACTACTGCCTGTGTTTTAGGTAGCTGCCATCAGGTAACAATGGTGCTCTTCAGGTTATGAAGGTAGGTGGCACCACTCTTTCTGCAAGAACACTTGACATAAATTAAGGTTTGTTTCCATAATCCAAGAACCTGGCTCATTTTCTATAAAATATATCAGTTTATTGAAATAACCATAAAATCATTTCTCAACCTAGATTTTCTAAGAAGGATATAATGAGTGAAATACCATAAAGAAAAGAAGAGGTGCAGAGAGAGCAGTGAGTTCTTGAGTCCTTGAGTAATTAGTTCAGTTCTCCACATCATCTCACTTTCATGCTATTTAACTCAAAGACTGGAGTGTACCCATTCCCACCCCTGAGCACTTGAAGTTACTAAAGCTGCGTCCTCTGGACACCCCGTGGCTGCCTGTACCTGTTCCGGGTTTATGGGCTCTAATTTTACTTGCTTATCTTATCGGGGTTTTACCAGTATACCAGTTTGGCTGGAGCACAAGATTCATGAAGCAGGATGGTGAGAGATAAGGTTGAAGTGGTAGGGAGGGGCCGGCAGGGGGGTCTCTGGATACCAGGCTGAGGATCATGGACTTTGCCCACAGGACAGGCCACAGGACTTGCTGGCGGCGTCTTGTGGAGCAGGCACGTGTGCATGCATGTACAGGTGGGCAGCGTGCATGTGTCAAGCTCACATGGGAAGCAGGGTGGAAGAGGAAGGGATGGGCGCCAAGTGCTGTCGAGAAAGACAGCTGATGGGGGGCTGGGACGGGGGGAGACAGCAGCAAGGGAGACCCACTGGGAGATCCCTACCAGAATCTAGGAAGTAGGGCTGAAGCATGAGACTAGTGAGAAAATGGACAGTGATCGGTGGAGGAGGATTCAGATATTTCTTAATGAAACAGCTGGGGGCTTGGCAACTGATTGGGAAGGACAAGGAGAGGAGGGAGTCCAGGAAGCCCAATCATTGAACTAAACCCTGACTCTGCAAATCAGACCTTCCCCAGGACACTTGACTTCTACTTGCTGGAAAATTCTCTTGTCTACGCAGCTCACAGGTGACTAGGGCTGTGGAGTTGCCCTCCCCACCTGCTCTACGCAGCCCTACGAGGAAGCCTCCAGGGTTCCAAGCCTGGATGGGGGAGTCAGAGACAGGATTTCTTGGAGAACTAAGGAAGGCAGGGAGCAGGGGCAGGGATGGGAGCATCCTGAGATTCAAACATCTCTATTGCAGTAGTTCAACTTCAGCAAATATCGGAATCACCTGCAGAACTCGTTAAATACAACACAGTTTGATGGGCACCATTGCCAGAGTTTCTGATTCAGTAATTCTGGGTTGGGGCCCTAGAATTTGCATTTCTTCCAATTTCCCAGGTGATGCTGATGCTGCTGGTCTGGGACCACTCTTTGAGAACAGTGTGCTTCTCAACCCTACCTGTGCATTAGAAGCACCAGGGAGATCCTTTAAAATTCTAAAGCCCACACCCTACCCAGACCAACTGAATAAGAATCTACACATTAGATTCAAAGATGGCACCTCTGGGGGACACCTGAGGTCTGAAGAAGCTGCTGTATTTGGGCAGCAGCATGTCAGCAACTCTTTCGATTCTGTATGAATTTCTTCCTATTCTGTCTCAAGCACGCTCCTCTGTCCCCCAGGAGAGACCCTGACTTCCCATCTGTATTAGCCGATTTTCACACGGCTCTAGAGATACTACTTGAGACTGGGTAATTTATAAACAAAGGCAATTCAATTAATTCACAGTTCTGCATGGCTGGGGTAGCCTCAGGAAACTTACAATCATGGCAGAAGGGAAAACAGGCGCCTTCTTCACAAGGCGGCAGGAGAGAGAAAAAGAGCATGTAAAGTGGGAAGAGCCCCTTATAAAACCATCAGATCTCATGAGAACTCACTCACTATCATGACAGCAACATGGGAGAAACTGCTCCCACGATGCAATCACCTCCCACCAGATCCCTCCCTTGACAAGTGGGGATTACAATTCGAGATGAGATTTGGGTGGGGACACAGAGCCAAACCATATCACCATCTTTCCTTGACAGGTGTACCAAATTGGCCAGAATTGTCCAACCCTCTCTGAGGATTGATGTGAACTGTTTCCAACTTGGTTCTTTCACAATAATTAGCCATCACTTTACTGCTTTCCTGGTCACTGGCTGCCTGGGGGTTTCCTCTTCCCCTCTCCTCCTCCTCTGAAGTGACCTCCTCCTACGGAAGCCCTGGTCTCATACTTGCACTTCACCACCACCCAACTATTTGGAGTCAATGTCTGCCTTATCTCCCAATAGGATTCTTCAAGTTTCTGCAGGAACTGAGAAGTGTTCCTTTCTCTCAATATGGCAGTGGAAGATGAGGTAACATAAGGTGTGTGTGGGATGGAAGTAAATATGGCTCTGAAACCTCACATAATTACATCATAGAGAGGTATTGCCAAGGTAAACTAATAAGAAAACAGTTGGGTGGTGTTTACCAACAAAATCAGTTTGGGCTGTGTTATTCACTGCCTTTGCTTTGATGAAAGAGCTGCGGATTAGAATCATACATTTCAAAAGAGGGAACCTCTTCATGGAATTGACCAAATTATTCTTCCTACTTGGTCAGGCTGCCTAGAAACTTGGAAAATTGCTAAGATAAGTTCTAGGAGCTCCATGGAGGCTCCTCTGCCCACTGGCTGCTTTGCAGAGCACCCTGTTTGTCTGTCTGTCTGTCTCGCTCTCTCTCTTTCCATCTGTCCTGATGCCTGTGCTTCTCCTAAGGCCATGGAACAGCAAGGCCAGAGTTTTAGTCTCAAACTCACAGTCCTAATGTTGGTTTTAAATTTACATTCTCTTACATCAAAATCCTTGGGTAGCAAAATTGAGATTCGAATCCTGTTTCTTATCAGTATCATGTAGACAGTTTGGATTTGAGACAGTATTTCAGCTCACAGCTGGGGTTGGAGGAGCCAGCATGCCACCACCCCTTTAGGAAACACTTGTAGAACACCCTTAAGGTGAAAGGCACAGAGACAGGTGCTAGGGGAGGATGATGGACAAGACCAGTGCCCTGTGCTCAGGGAGCTCACCACCTAGGGACCAGGACACCAGACCCAAGTTGAGACCAAGGATGCAGAAGCTGTTGAGGACTCCAGGTCAGTGCCAAGAACTACAATCTTTGGAAAAGTTTGATCACCACACAGAGACTCTGGGCACCTAGTCCAGTCTTCTACCTTCATAGCACCCCTGGCACCTAGGTACCTGGTCTCTGCTTGAAATCCTCCAATTCTGGGGAGCTCACTTTCTCATTAGACATGCTTTGTCTTGTTGCTCAGCTCTAGAATCTGTGTCATATTTCCCCAAGGCCCTAATTCAGTGAGGCCTTGGAACTCTCTCATTGGAACTCCAGAGAACTATATTTTCCCACCTTGTATGAGGCCTTCCACATCTGTTCTTTCCTCCAATGGCAACAACCACCTTGTGATTCCAGCAAAGTCATGTTGAGTGTCCACTTGACCAACTGGATACAATCAAGCTTGGTCAGTTCAGTGAACTTAGGCCAAGATAAGGCTACTTAACTCCTTACCTGACACTGTTTTCATCCCAAAGCTCTGCCATCTTGGGGAGGGCATCCCAGAGTCCAGCTTTTTGAATCTGAAATGTATCATGCCAGCTAATTTTCCCAGAAAAACTGAGTGAGAGGGTGAGGGTTGGAACCATGTACTCCACACTTTAAACCTTCGTGGAAAACAAACCAATTGTCTGAGCCATAGGCTGAGTTGATCAGGAAGTGAGCTGAGGGTCGATAGAGACTGTTCCTCCCAACACTACATAGCAATGTGGCTCAAACGCTACTTCTTTCTACTTAGATGATTTTTCTGTAATGAAGAGATGGTACCATCTGGACAGTGGGGTGCTTCATTTAGGAGAGGCAGAAGCAAAGGCCGTGCTGGGGGAAGGCAGCATCAATGCCACACAAACGGTCCAAAAGAAAGCCAATCCAAAAGGGCCAGAAAAATGAAAACCACATCCACATAACATGCAAGCAACAGAGACTTCTGATTTTGTAGAGTGGAGAGGAAGTGGCACCTGAGGGCTCCCACTGTGCCTTCTTCACCTCATTCATCCTGGCTGTTTTGGGTACCAGGTCTCAAATGTGCTAACTGATTCACACCTCATTTTGGCAGAAAAAGATACATACACATTGTATGCCTGTCATCCCTGAACCTAGTATTTCTTAATGCTTAACATAGTTACAAAGAAGATCTGGAAAACTAACAGCCCTGTGTTCTAGAGTTGCTGAGTTCTAGAGCCACAGGTAAGGTGGATTTGATGATGATTACAGAAAAACAGTTACATGTGATTCAGGGACCCAACCAAAGGTCCGAGAACAGGTGACCACAGCCTATAACTCTATGATGGATGTTATCATTCAAAAGAAGCAGGATATAACATAACCAAACCTTTGGACAAACCTATGGAAACCTGGACCTATTCTTCCATGTGAAACATTTGTCAGGAAGTCGTCCTCAGTCAAGCGGACAACAGATTTTCTTCAGCCCCTTGACCAGAAGGGTGTTTCCTCAGCCAGGCAGCAGCCCATCTTTTGTGGCTGTGCAGAGCGAGTTACACTAAAGGAAGTGATCAGAGGTCTGCAGTAGTCAGTGGAGGTTACTCACATCCTGAAGGGACATCAGTGACCCAGTACTGGAAGGTCTCTGAAAGGCCGAATACGAAAGGTCCAGGGCTTCCCCAAAATGTTCTTCTCCACTCTTATCCTCAAACAGGAATGAGCGCCTCCTCAGAGGATGAACTGAGTGACCCACCAGGTTCTTCTCAAGCATTCAAAGCACTATTTTATTTTATTTTATTTTATTTTATTTTATTTTATTTTATTTTATTTTATTTATTTTATTTTATTTATTTGAGACCGAGTTTTGCTCTGTTGTCCAGGCTGGAGTGCAGTGGCATGGTCTTGGCTCACTGCAACCTCCGCCACCCCGGTTCAAGCGATTCTCCTGCCTCAGTCTCCTGAGTAGCTGGGATTACAGGCACCCACCACCACACCTGGCTAATTTTTGTATTTTTAGTAGAGACCGGGTTTTGCCATGATGGCCAGGCTGGCCTTGAACTCCTGACCTCAAGTGATACACCTGCCTCAGCCTCCCAAAGTGCTGGGATTACAGGCGTGAGTCACCGTGCTTGGCTTCAAAGCACTTTAGATGAGGTACAGTGACTGCTCATTTCTCGCAGGAAACTCTCAGGTACTTCTCGTGTTATCAATGCAAGACACAGGGGCTCACCACCTTTCCCCAAAAACTGGGGATAGGAATGTGGAGAAATGAATACATTCCATTCATTCCTTCTTGCAAGTCCCCTCAACTCATTTTGATACTGGTCTCTAAGAAGAGTACTGTCTTTAATTAGGCATAATCCACAAAACACGACCCAAGGCAAAGGACGTTTTTCCACGTGTACATGTACAGGAAAAGCAAAGGAGATTTTCTTCCTTATGTTTGTCTGAACTTCCAAAAATCTAGAATGAATGTGTATTACTTTGGTAACAGAGAAAAAAATTTCTGGAAAAACGTTTGGTTCAGGGTAAAGCATCTGATATGAGGATAACTGCACTGAGAGTGTTTGTTTCTTCATCTGTCACCGAGGAGTTCACCCCAACATTGTGGGGTTGATATTGTCTCCCCTCATTTGTGTGTATTTGCTCAGTCGGAATTCAGCCTCAACCACAAAGTGTAGAACATTTCAACCTACTTTTCTTTGCTCTGGAAAGAGTTTCTATCTAGCTATTTTTATGGCACACAAGAAAAAGAGAGGTCTTTTACCATTCCTATATACTGCTGCTTTTCAAGGACGGCAATAAGAACTAAACATAAGATACTGAACTACCACCTGTGGAAGACTGTTCCATGGCATGGATGCCAAGTTGTGCCAAGGCCAGCATTTCAGAGCCTTGAATTTGGGAGCTGGAAGACATTGAGGCCCGGATTTATGATCCTTCCCATGTCTCAACCATCTGCTTCAGGCATGCTCCTGAAATTTATGAAATGCAATTGCTCGAAAGGGTACAGGCCAGGAAGTGCAGGGTTGAAATATTCTACCTGGCCAGAGTCACTGTCATGTAGACTAACTTAAGGCTTTGCTCATTTTAAAGGGGGCATTTCTCATTCACAACAGAGTACATTCCATGCCATTTGAAATGTTATAAAGCAGTCAAATCCAGCTTTGAATGTTCAGAAAATATCCCTCACCAAAGGTCATTTTCTATTTCCATCTTTAGGGTTAGTCACTCATGTGGTTCTTGTCAGAGTGAAAAACTCCTTTCCTTTTGTCTTCTTTCCCTTCTTTTTTCCCTTTATCTGTTATTGAGCCTGCAGATCATGTTAGACTTTCCTTCCAGAAGTTAACTCCACAGTGTCCTTTCTAAGACACCCAGTCATGCCAGGGAACCATTTCTAGTCCAGAATCATCAAAGACAGGTACAGACAATTTTCATAAGCAGCATCTGTCCTAAGACAGGAGATAAGAGCTTGCCCATGCCATTTTGTCCTTCTTCAATAAGGATAATTTGGCTTTCAGACTAATTGTAAGCACAGCCCCTTTTGAAGCATCCAGTGAGAACAGCTCATCCCTCTTACCCACACCACGGCTTTGCTCATGAGTCTCAGACTCTCAGGAAACATCTGTTCACCACAAATGTGACCCATTATCAAGTGTGACAAAGAGTGACTGTATGTGCAGAGTATATATAGATTTGTACCCATCATAGGCAAGAAATAATGTTTCCCTGTGGAAGGAGATATTGAGAAATCACAATATACTTCAGGTTGAATCCAGTCAAAAAATAAGCTATTTCAAATGCTACTTCCTCGAATTTGAATTAAATTCAGGTGAACTCAGTCTTCTGATTTTGCTTTTCAGTCTGATGTGTGTGTGTATGGATAGAATAAGACCTTAAACTTTTCTTTAGGGAGAGAATAAAATCTCTCTAGGTTTTCAGAAACATATAATTCCTACAAGATATGGACCCAGACTCACTGGCATAGTTTGGGTATATGTGGTATTGTTGGTTTTAGCTCTGTTATGATTTGCTTTTAAATATTTATTTTTGAAATATAAATCTTGCTTAAGATTGAAGTCTGCTCTGGAGAAGTAGCTGTTTCTTTTGCTGTTGCTTAATAGAACTGTTGAATCTTGTAGGAAAGCAAAAAGATTCTGTTCTATAAATAAGTCATCCTAGTGAAGTATAAAATAATCCCAGAGCGTGCACTGCTACGTCTTCTTAGTGAGGCTTGAGCTAAAGTTCTGTCAATGTCTGGTAAATTAGGCATTCTAAGAAAGAAGACTATGCAGTTAATAGTATACAAAAATATGCATCCCTCTAAAAATGCTTAGAAATTAGAGTCTGTGTCATTAAAATGACAAGCATCCTGTTTAAAAACTCAAAAAACATTGTCAATACCTTTACAAATTCCTTTCCATTCATCTATCCCCATGGCGAATATAGCACCTGTCACACCAGAGACACTCAACCACTGTTCTGTTCAGCCCAAGAGATAACTCTTCCTGGTGGACTACTCTGATTTCCTGGCAGTCACAGCAGTCACAAAGATGACTTAGAATGGTAATTTCCAGGCCGGGCACAGTGGCTCACCTCTGTAATCCCTTTTGGAAGGCCAAAGTGGGAGGATTGTTTTGAGCTCACAAGTTTGAGACCAGCCTGGGCAACATGGCAAAACCCCATCTCTACCAAAAAGAAAAAAAAAGTCAGGCATTGGTGGCTCATGCCTGTAATCCTAGCTATTTGGGAGGCTGAGGTTGGAGAATTGATTGAGCCCGTGAAACAGAGGTTGCAGTGAGCCGAGATCACACCACTGTACTCCAGCCTGGGTGACAGAGCGAGACCCTGTCTCAAAAAAAAAAAAAAGTTAATTTCCACTTATTGAAAATGACCAAGCCTGGGCTTAAAGAGCTGCAGGACATGAAATGATGTCCTTAATGCCTTAAATTATCACTATGATGGTTAATTTTAGGTGTCACCTTGATTGGCTCAAGGGATGCCTAGATAGCTGGTGAAGCATTCTTTCTGGGTGTGTCTGTGAGGGTGTTTTCAGAAGAGACTGGCATGTGAGTTGGTGGACTGAGTGGAGAAGATTCACCCTCAACATGGACGGGCACCACCCATTCAGCTTTGGACCTGGATAGAACAAAAAGGCAGGTGAATCCACACTCACTCTCGGAGCTGGGACACCCTTTTTCTCCTGCTCTTGGACATCAGAATTCCAAGATCTCTGGCCTTTGGACTCTGGAACTTGTACCAGCAGACCCCCTCAAGTTCTCAAGCCTTCAGCCTCGGACTGAGAGTTACAGCATGAGCTCCCCTGGTTCTGAGGTTCCGAGGCCTTTAGACGGGGACTGAGCCATGCTGTCAGCATCACTGAGTCTCCAGCTTGTAGATAACCTATCATGGGACTTCTCAGCCTCCATAGTTTGTGAGCCAATTCCCCAAATAAATCCCTTCTCATATATCTATAACTCTCTATCTCTATCTACCTATCATCTATTTACCTATGTATCTATCTCCTGTTGGTTCTGTCTGTCTATCTATCTATCTATCTATCTATCTATCTATCTATCTATCTATCTAATCTCCTATTGGTTGTGTCTATCTATCTACCTATCTATTTCCTATTGGTTCTATCTATCTATCTATCTATCTATCTATCTATCTATCATCTATCTATCTATCTATCTATCTATCTATCTATCATCTATCTCCTATTGGTTCTATCTATCTATCTATCTATCTATCTACCTATCTCCTATTGGTCCTGTCTCTCTGGAGAACTCTAATACAACACTTTGCCAAAGTGATTAATTTGCATTCTATAGCCACAGGCAGTATATGAGTAAACAATTTATACTTAAAACTGCTCTAGTCAGCTTGGTGAGTTTACCCAATCAACAAGCTTTTTTTTTTTTTTTTTTATGAAGACCTGGCACTCTGTTTCATCATGCAGCCAAGAGCATTTCCCAAAGTGATTAGAAATAGAGATAGATGAGAAAAGAATAGTGCTAACAGAAAAGGCACCATCAATTCTTTAAATCATAATTCACCAAATGTGTACTATGTTCCAGGCACTATACTGGGATTACAAAGATAAATGAGACACAGCCTCTGCCCTCAAGAAGTTCATGGAATAGGAGGTGAGACAGGTGTGTAAATAGATCATTGCAATGTGGGGAGAGCAGTGATGGAGTGGCAGAGGGACACACTCCCACTGTGAGCAGAGCTGACTTAAGGGAAGGATAAGTATTGACCAGATGTCGGTGGAGATGAGGGATCTCTAGGAAGGGGAGCCAGGAGCACGCTGGAGCTAGCTCAAACCAGCTCAGGAGGGCTGCTCGCTAAGTGTTCAGGAATTTTGCCAGCAAGCTGTTACATGTGGTCATTATTAATAATTAAATTATGTAAGTTTACAATTAAATAAATTATATTAAAAATAAAGGTTATAAATACTAAAATACAAAATACTAAAGATAATAAATGCTAAAAATATATCACTCCCTAATTATTTTACTACTATTTACTATTATCTATGCCCTTGAGGGTTTTGTTTTTGTTTTTTTGAGACAGGGTCTCACTCTGTCACCCAAGCTGGAGGGCAGTGGTGTGATCTCAGCTCACCACAATCTCTGCCTCCCAGGCTCAAGTGATTCTCCTACCTCAGCCTCCCAAGTATCTGGGACTACAGGCATGCACCACCACATCTGGCTAATTTTTGCATTTTTTTTTTTTGTAGAGATGGGATTTTGCCATGTTGCCTAGGCTGGTCTCAATCTCCTGGGCTCAAGCAATCCACCTGCCTCAGCCTCCCAAAATACTGGGATTACAGGTATAAGCTACCACACCTGGCTGAGGGTTTGTTTTAGGTCTATTGTATCTGTAAGGTGGAAATACTGTCTAATGGTGGCTATTGAACATCTCTACCCAACTCCACATTCAATGAAGTCATGTTAGTAGTTTGAGATTGGCGGTGATGGGAATATTTACACCACAGATGTCAGCAAATGCTAAAGAGCAGAGATTATTCCCCTCCCCAGAAGGCCATTTACCAGCAGACAGGGGCAAGGCCATGGAAAATAAACACAGGGAACTCCAAGCTGTGCAGAAAGCTGGGAAAATACATGGGAGGTTTAGGCACGAGGATCGCTTGAGGCCAAGAGTTTGAGACCAGCCTGGGCAACACAACAAGACCCTGTCTTTAAAAAAAAGAAAAAAATTGGCTGAGCGCGGTGGCTCACGCCTGTAATCCCAGCACTTTGGGAGGCTGAGGTGGGTGGATCACGAAGTCAAGAGATCGAGACCATCCTGGCCAACATGGTGAAACCCTGTCTCTACTAAAAATACAAAAAATTAGCAGGGCATGATGGTGGGCACCTGTAGTCCCAGCTACTTGGGAGGCTGAGGCAGGAGAATCACTTGAACCCGGGAGGCGGAGGTTGCAGTGAGCCGAGATTGCGCCACTACACTCCAGCCTGGTGACAGAGCGAGACTCCATCTAAAAAAAAAAAAAATTAACTAGGTGTGGT
Source organism: Homo sapiens (assembly GCF_000001405.40). Lineage (NCBI taxonomy): Eukaryota > Metazoa > Chordata > Mammalia > Primates > Hominidae > Homo > Homo sapiens. Next base: position 139,807,374 of record NC_000007.14, on the reverse strand, counting down.
GGGACACCTCTGTAATCACAGCTGCTCAGGAGGCTGAGGCTGGAGGAGGCTGAGGCTGGAGGATCACTTGAGCCCAGGAATTCAAGGATACAGTGAGCTATGATCGTGCCACTGCACTCCAGCCTGGGTGGCAGAGCAGGAAACAGAATCCAGCAAAGAGCAAAGTTCAATGAGGTGAAAAGTGATCAAATCCCTGATGACCTCTGAGACCACATGGAAGAGCTGGCGCTGGAGGCTTTGGAGGACTCGAGGAAGGGAGAGATCATCTGCCCACAGCAGGGAGGGCAGTTGGACTGCAGAGTGGCCAGACCAGAGGCAGGAATCCAGGATGACTCCCCAGCAAGTGGAAGGCACATTCAATGAGAAAAGGTGACCAGTGCAGTGTTCCATATGGGAGTGTGTGCTGTCCAGTTTGTGAACCCCCTAGGTAGAAGCATTCGGCAGACAATCACTGTTCAAAGGAAGTTTGGGAGACATCTGGGCTGAGGCCAGGGACCACACACCAGTGTGGATGGCGGTGAAAGCTTTAGAGTGTGTGAGGTCACCAAGGAGGGCGGAGACAGAAAAGAACAACTGAGAATGGAGCCAAGGGGGAATCAAGGTGCAGACAGATGAGAGGGAGGATGGGGAGGGCACAGCCAGAGACCCTGGAGATAATGAAGCAGAATGGCAGGCAAGGCAGAAGAGTGTTTCAGGAAGCAGGAGACAGAGAGGGAGACAGGGCAGAGGGAGAGACCTGGAAAAAGGGGAACAGAGCATAGGTGTTCAATCCCCAGCTCCTAGAAACTCCTAAAAATACCAAAATAAAAACAGGCCAGGCACGGTGGCTCATGCCTGCAATCCCAGCACTTTGGGAGGCCAAGACGGCTGGGTCACTTGAGGTCAGGAGTTCAAGACCAGCCTGGGCAACATGGCAAAACCCTGTCTCTACTAAAAATACAAAAATTAGCTGGGTATGGTAGAGCGCGCCTGTAATCCCAGTTACTCGAGAGGCTGAGGCATGAGAATCACTTGAATCCAGGAAGTGGAGATTGCAGTGAGCCAAGATTGTGCCACTGCACTCCAGACTGAGTGACAGAGTGAGACCCTGTCTCTAAAATAAAATAAAATAAAATAAAATAAAATAAAATAACATAGGCCAGGCACAGTGGCTCATGCCTGTAATCCCAGCATTTTGGGAGGCTGAGGCAGGTGGATCACTTGAGGTCAGGAGTTCAAGACCAGTCTGGTCAACATGGTGAAACCCCGTCTCTACTAAAAATACAAAAAAAAATTAGCCAGGCGTGGTGGCGGGCGCCTGTAGTCCCAGCTACTTGGGAGGCTGAGGCAGGAGAATGGTGTGAACCCAGGAGGCGGAGCTTGCAGTGAGCCAAGAGAGCGCCACTGCAGTCTGGCCTGGGTGAAAGAGCGAGACTCCATCTCAAAAAAAAAAAAAAAAAAAGCAAAAATTTGCTAAGCATGGTGGTGCACACCTGTAGTCCCAGCTACTCGGGAGGCTGAAGCAGGAGAATTGCTTGAACCCAGAGGCAGAGGTTGCAGTGAGCTGAGATCGAGCCACTGCACTCCAGCCTGGGCAGCAGGCTGTTTCAAAAAAAAAAAAGAAGAAAGAAAGAAAGACAAGAAAGAAAGAAAGAAAGAAAGAAAGAGAGAGAGAGAGAGAGAAAGAAAGAAAGAAAGAAAGAAAGAAAGAAAGAAAGAAAGAAAGAAAGAAAGAGAAAAAGAAGGGAGGGAGGGAGGGAGGGAAGGAAAGAAGGAAGGAAAGAGAGAGAAAGAAAATCTAGGGATGTGTTCTAGACTTTCATTCTAGATATTAAGACAAGGAGGAACTAGAAGGAAGACTCACAATTCAACTCACTTCAAAGAGTTGTGTGTCATGGGATGAAAGTGGAAGGTCCATCCCACTGAACCCTCAGGTTGAGCCCACTGAGGAACAGGAAGCACTCCTACCTTGGGGGCTGTGGCACTGGAGCCCCAGGCCCAGGAGCAAGTGAGGCAATATAACATAAAAGTTAAGACCATGAATTCTGGAGTCAGATAGTCTGGGTTTGAATGCTTATTCTGCTAATTATTAGCTTGGATAACTTTCTTAACTGAGCCCTCAGTTTCCTCATCTATGTAGTGGGAATGATGATAATATATATACCTCATAGAGTGATTGTGAGGATTAAACAAGGAAACACACATGCAATGTTCCAAATCAGGCCTGGCACCTGGCTAGCGCCACTGATGGCTGTGATCAGGATTGCTGTTAGGACACCCCCAGCACCACCAGGATCCCTGCTACACCCATCTGCCTGATGGATCACTGAACTTATCTCATTCCATCCTCCAATTCAAGATGGAAAAGGATTATTCTAATTGACTTCAGGTAAGCTGTGAAATCCATTCACATTACTTTTGGGGGAATGCATAGTCAAGAGAGATCTTTCCTCATTCCAAAATATATTAAGAGGGAAAAACAAACATGTTGTATTAGTCCATTTTCATACTGCTATGAAGAAATACCAAGACTGAGTAACTTATAAAGAAAAAGAGGTTTAATGGACTCACAGTTTCACATGGGTGGGAGGCCTCACAATTATGGTGGAAAGCAAAGGAGGAGCAAAGGCATGTCTTACATGGTGGCAGGCAAGTGAGTATATGTAGGGGAACTGCCGTTTATAGAACCATCATATCTCATGAGACTTACTATCATGAAAATAGCACAGGAAAAACCCACCCCCATGTTTCAATTACCTCCCACTGTGTCCCTCCCATGACACACAGGAGCTACAATTCAAGATGAGATTTGGGTGGGGACACAGCCAAACCATATAATTCTGCCCCTGGCCCCTCCCACATCTCATTTCCTCACATTTTAAAACACAATCATGCCTTCCCAACAGTCCCACAAAGTCTTAACTTATTCCAGCATTAACCCAAAAGTCCAAGTCCTAAGTTTCATCTGAGACAAGGCAAATCTCTTCTGCCTATGAGCCTGTAAAATCAAAGGCAAGTTAGTTATTTCCTAGATACAATGGGGATACAGGCATTGGGTAAATACATCCATTTCAAATGGGAGAAATTGGCCATAAAACAAAGGAGCTACAGGCCCCATCCAAGTCTGAAATCCAATAGGGCAATCATTAAACCTTAAAGTTACAAAATGATCTCCTTTTACTCCATGTCTCACATCCAGGGCATGCTGACACAAGCTTGGGCTCCCACAGCCCTGGGCAGCTCTGCCTCTGTGGCTTTGCTGGGTATAGCCCCCCTTCTGGCTGCTTTCCCAGTTGAGTGTCTGCAGCTTTTCCTGGTGTATGGTGCAGGCTGTCAGTGGATCTACCATTCTGGGGTCTGGAGGATGGTGGCCTTCTTCTCACAGCTCCACTAGGCAGTGCCCTAGAGGGGACTCCATGTGGGGGTTCCAAACCCACATTTCTTTTCTGCACTGCCCTAGCAGAGGTTCTCCATGAGAGCTCTGCTCCTGCAGCAAACTTCCACCTGGACATCCAGACATTTCCATTCATCCTCTGAAATCTAAGTGGAGGTTCCCCAACCTCAATTCTTGACTTTTTTGCACCTGCAGGCTCAAACCATGTAAAAGCTGCTAAGATTTGGGACTTGCACCCTCTGAAGCCACAAGTCCAAGTGGTACCTTGGCCCCTTTTAGCCACAGCTGGAGTGGCTGGGACTCACAGCACCAAGTTCCTAGGCTGCACACAGTGGGGGCCTGGGCCTGGCCCAGGAAACCATTTTTTCCCCCTAGACCTCTGGGCCTGTGAGGGGAGGGGCTGCTGCAAAGGTCTCTGACATACCCTGGAGACATTTTCCCCATTGTCTTGGTGACTAACATTGGGCTCCTTACTTATGCAAATTTCTGCAGCAGGCTTGAATTTCTCTCCAGAAAATGGGTTTTTCTTTTCTATTGCATCATCAGGCTGAAAATTTTCCAAACTTTCATGCTCTGCTTCCTCTTGAATACTTTTCTGCTTAGAAATTTCTTCCACCACATACCCTAAATCGTCTCTCTCAAGTTCAAAGTTCCACAGATCTCTAGGGCAGGGGCAAAATGCTGCCAGTCTATTTGCCAAAGCATAACAAGAGTCACCTTTGCTCCAGTTCCCAACAAGTTCCTCATCTCCGTCTGAGACCACCTCAGCCTGTACTTTATTGTCCATATCACTATCAGCATTTTAGTCAAAGCCATTCAACAAGTCTCTAGGAAGTTCCAAACTTTCTCATATTTTCCTGTCTTCGTCTGAGCCTTCCAAACTGTTCCAACCTCTGTCTGTTACCCAGTTCCAAAGTCACTTCCACATTTTCAGGTATATTTACAGCAGTACCCCACTTTACCAGTACCAATTTACTGTTTAGTTCATTTTCATACTGCTATGAAGAAATACCAGAGACTGGGTAATTTGTAAAGAAAAAGAGGTTTATTGGACTCACAGTTCCACATGGCTGGGGAGGCATCACAATCATGGCAGAGGGCAAAGGAGGAGCACATCTTACATGGCAGCAGGCAAGAGAGCATGTGCAGGGGAACTGCCACCACCTTCTTCTTTCTTCTTTCTTCTTCCTCTTCCTCTTCTTCTTCTTCTTTTCTTTTGAGACCAAGTCTCACTCTGTCACCCAGACTGGAGTGCAGTGGAGTGATCTCAGCTCACTGCAACTCCACCTCCTAGGTTCAAGTGATTCTCCTGCCTCAGCCTCTGGAGTAGCTGTGATTACAGGCACACGCCACCACACCCAGCTAATTTTTGTATTTTCAGCAGACATGGGGCTTCACCATGTTGGCCAGGTTGGTCTTGAACTCCTAACCTCAGGTAATCTACCCACTTCAGCCTCCCAAAGTGCTGGAATTACAGGCATGAGCCACTGCGAACAGCCGGGAACTGGCCTTTATAAAACCATCAGATCTCTAGAGACTTATTCACTATCACGAGAACAGAATGGAAAAAACACACCCCCATGATTCAATGACCTCCCACTGGGTCCCTCCAACAACATGTAGGGATTATGGGAGCTACAGTTCAAGATGAGATTTGGTTAGGGATGCAGCCAAACTATATCACGTGTAACCTATGCAACTATTCTGTAACGAGAAAATGGATACACGTAGCACTCAAGAAGTGTTAAAATTGAATATTTTAAAGAAAAAATGTTACTGTAGAAAATGGAAATACATTTGAACAACACTTAAAACAATATTTAAACTACATTTGATGGAGGGACAGATAAAAATCTCAGACTCCATGAAATAAAAGGTAAGAATGAGATAAGCCAACAAAGTGATATGAGAGAGTTGACACAGTTAAGAAAATAATGTGACTGGACGTGGTGGCTCACACCTGTAATCCCAGCACTTTGGGAGGCCAAGGTGGGTGGATCATCTGAGGTCAGGAGTTTGAGACCAACCTGGCCAATGTGGTAAAACCCCATCTCTACTAAAAATACAAAAATTAGCCAGACACAGTGGCGTGCATCTGTAGTCCCACCTACTTGGGAGGCTGAGGCAGAAGAATCGCTTGAACCTGGGAGGCAGAGGTTGCAGAGAGCAGATATCAGGCCACTGCACTCTAGCCTGGGTGACAAAAGGAGACTCTGTATCAAATAATAATAATAATGACATGGAAGAATTGTAAATAAACTTAGCAACCACAGTGGTTACAACTGGCAATGGAAGATAATTCAATCAGTGAAAAGAAAGCTAAGCATAGGACTGTATTCTGTAATGCAAAAGAAAAGGACAAAGATTAGCTGGGCATGGTAGCAAGTGCCTGTGGTCCCAGCTACTTGGGAGGCTGAGGTAGAAGGATTGTTTGAGCCTGGGAGGCAGAGGTTGCAGTGAGCTGAGTTGTGCCACTGCACACCAGCCTGGGTGACAGAGCAAGAACCTGCCTCACAAAAAAGAAAAAAAAAGGACAAAGAGATCAAAACTATCAGAAACAAGGTCTAGACATAGAAAGACAGGTGATAGAAATCTAGTTTTGAAGGAGAGAGAAAAAAAGAACAGAAGAGCTATTTAAAGATATTAGAAAAGAAAATATTTTTAAGTTGAAGCAAGACCTGCATTTGTAGATCAAAGCTCATCATATGTTAGCCCAAATTAATAAAAAACAGACCTAGATTTAGACATATTGTAGTGAAACAGTTAAATGTTGAAGGGGAATTTAACAATAATGTTAAAAAGCCAATACAAAGAAAACATTATTTTATTTAAAAACACATAAATGGAAAAATGTGGTCTGTCCTTGATTAGGAAGAGTTTTGATATTGCAAAGATACTGATTTCCCTCAAACTAACTGATAAGGTTAATGTCATCCCTAGTAAAATGCCAGCGGCATTATTTTTAAAACTGTCTCAAACTGTTTCTGAAATTATTCTGGAGTAATAAAAGATATTGATGGGGAGACACTGAATACAGGGAAGGAACAAATGAGAGTAAGGAAATATAGTTAGCTATAAACTATTTTGTAAGAAGAAGAAGAAAGTTTGGATGGAGTTGAATGAGTTTTTAAACATGAAAACAACAAGTAAGCAATTGATAACTGATAGGAAAAGACTAAAAATTTAGGTCAGGATTCCAGAGGACATGAGGAAATATGAGAAGGTCACAAACACTCTCAGATAGAAGGGAGAATATTCTATCCAAAGAGTCTGAAATCATCAAGAAACAGTAATATTAAAATAGTAATTATAATAGCTAACATATTGACCATTGCGTGGACAGCTGGAGAAACGATGGTTAACAAGACAAACACTCCGGGGTCTTTCGGAGCTTCAGGTCTGGGGGAGGCAGAAAAAAGATGAGGAAACAAACACAATCATTGCAAATGATAAAAAGGTATGAAGGAAATAAACAGGTAATAAGAATAGTGGCGGGAAGTGGGAATGACACTACTGAAGGAAGTCCAGAAGGGCTTCTCTGAAGATATTTAAGCCAAGACCTAGGAGATGAGAGGTGGAATGGATCAAAAAGCAGGGAGGAGGGTCATTAGGTAGAGAGCCTGGCCAGAGGTGGAAACGTGCTGAGATCAGTTCAGTCAGGTGCATTGAGGTCTTCGAGGAGGGAGGGAGAGGATAAGCCATGCAGGACCTTGGAAGCTACTATAAGGATCTTGGATTTTACCCTAGGTGCAATGAGAAGCCACTGGAGGCATGATACAACCTGATTTGCATTTTTAAACATTCTGGGCCACTGTGTAGAAAATGGATTGACGGGGCCAGAGGGGAGCAGGAACTGTCAGGAGGTTCTTCCAGAGTCTCAATAAAGGGTGGCATTGCCCTAAACTAGGGTGGTGAGCATGGAGAAAAGAGCTACAGGGAAACTCTGGAGATCCAGTCTGTGGGACTTGCCGACGGGTTGTTTAAGGAAGTGAGGGAAGACAGAATGATCCACACATTTCTGGCTTGGAACCTAGAAGTGGAAACTCTCCACTGGATAACAAGATGTGGATAGAGGGTGATGGGATATGGGCAGATAAAACGGTAATGAGGCTTGTGGGGTAGGGCCAGGCCTACTGCCCTAGGAAATTAGGAGACCTCATACACTCTGAGTCAGAAGCCAAGTGAAAGCCACATTAAGGAAGTTGTTCTACAACATGTGTGCTGGCTAAAATAGAAGGAGTCAAGTGGGAAGCCAATAAATGAGGACCTGGGCTTAATTCAGGGCAGCAAGAATGGCAAGGAAGGAACTAGGAAATCATTTGAAGAAAAATTTGGCAGCATATTGGGCTGGGCGTGGTGGCTCATGCCTGTAATTCCAGCACTTTGGGAAGCCAAAGGGGGGTGTATCTTTTGAGCTCAGAAGTTCAAGACTAGCCTGAGCAACATGACAAAAACCCATCTCTACAAAAAAATTTAAAAATTAGGCCAGGCATGGTGTAGTCCTAGCACTTGGGAGGCCGAGGCAGGCAGATTGCCTGAGCTCAGAAGTTCAAGACCAACCTGGGCAACACGCTGAAACCCCATCTCTACTAGAATACAAAAAATTAGCCAGCATGGCAGCGTGCGCCTATAGTCCCAGCTACTTGGGGGAGGCTGAGGCAGGAGAATTGCTTGAACCCGGGAAGCAGAGTTTGCAGTGAGCCGAGATTGTGCCACTACACTCCAGCCTGGGCAACAAAGTGAGACTGTCTCAAAAAAAAAAAAAATTAGCTGGGCTTGATGGCGTGCACCTGTGGTGTCAGCTTCTCGGGAGGCTAAGGTGAGAGGACTGCTTGAGCCCAGGAAGTGGAAGCTGCAGTGACCAGGGATTGCACCACTATACTCTGGGTGGCAGAGTGAGACTGTCGGAAAAAAAAAAAAAAAAAAGCAGTGTATGGAAGTAAAGAAGAGACAATCAAAGGTGACAATGGGAGAGGAATGGTGCTAATGTCTGACGGCAGGTGGAGAAGGAGGCTGGTTCTGAGAATGTTTCAGAGTGAGGACAGGGCTCCCAGATGGAAATGTCTGGCAGGCAACTGAAGTTACAGAACCAGAACTAAGATCTGAGGTCCAGACTGGCTGGCAAATGGGCCACATCCTAGAAAATGGAGGGTAATTCAATCTTTCACACACGGAATCAGAATCTTCTAAAAAATTAGAATACACACTTAAAATTCAAACTGCATTTGCTGGTCACACCACTCTACGTAATTCATTTTTCTTTGAAAATTCCGAAGCTTCCTTGGGTTCTTGTGCTTCAGGGTCACGATCAGGAACATGAATTATGGTTGGTATGAGACAACTTTATCTGAAACAGAACTACCATGGTTTGGGAGCAAATGTTCTCTTTGAGCCTCGGTGTAGGAAACAGACAAAGATGCTGATCTCCTGCATAGAAGGTTTCTATTCTCACACTTCTCAAAACTGACACAGATCACTATTTTTCAGCGTTAGCCCAGCTGACTTGCATTTTGTTTCCTGCTCTCGCTTCCACGTGTACCTTGTGAGCCATATGTTAGGCAGTTAATAACGTAGTTTCAGGAACAATACACCTGGCTTCCTCTGCTCACAGCACAGTGGAAACTTGGCTCCACCCATGCGGGAATCTCCCTGTTTTCTCCTCGGTTCGCCTCCCTTGCTGACAATCTCTTTCTCCCTCTCCTTGGCATCCATTTCTCATCTTCCTACCCTTTCGTGTTTTCTTCTCTTCCTGCTTCACCGGCTTCTTTCTTTTCCTTCTGGCTGGCGTGTCTCCCTCTTCAAGCTGCCTGCTTCATCCATCTTCTCCCCTACAGAGCTCAGAGATTTAGAACAGCACTTGCTTGAATCTCATTGTCTAAGCAATGACTGCCCTCCCTGACTTCTGTCTGTTAAAAAAAATAAAAATAAAAATTCTTGTCATTTGAGCTTCATGACTGCCTGAATTCTTGATACACTAAGATTTATTGTGTGTACACAATGGCGACCCCCAGGCTAAGCACTTTGAATGCATATCATGAGTGTTCCAAGGAGAAGAATTTCAGGAAGCATCTCTTTGTTCTATTTGGAAAACATAATTTTTATAATTATTCAAGGAGGTAATGCATGGAATCAAATGAATGCTGTGGCCAGATCCATGGCTGGGGTCCAAGGAGTCACTCTGAGGGCAGTGTGGCTTTTTTGAGGGAAGTTTGAACACTGTATCTCAGCTGTGAGTGGACATTACAGTGGTCAGCAGTACTTACTGCCTGTGCACTGACCCTTTACTTCATTCGTCTACCTTTTCCTCCATCCCACTCCCAGCCCCTCACCCTAAAGACTACACAGGAATGTAAAGAGTTGGTGAGAGTTGGGAGATTTGTTTGGGATAGGAAATGTTGGCAGAATAGGCCATCTTACAAGGTACTTTCTAGCCAACCAGCTGAGTCACTACATGGTGAAGTTAGTTTATAGTCTTTGTGAAGATGGATGGAATAACAAGACTTTGCAATGCTTCATTCCAACAATTCAGTCACTTTAATAACCAAACAAGATGTTACTATGTGAGGATCAATGCAGGGCCAATGGCTAACACTGTGGCCAAACCCCTGCCTGACCTCAATGACCAATGCAAGCAGAGCCACAGGGGAGAAGTAACCCGGTCAGCCACCCAACTGTGTTCTTTCCGAGTTGAACACACAACACTGAACCTGGACCCACTGCTCCCTAAAATGATTTTCTGTGGCTCCAAATAATCATTCTGCTCCAGGTAGTTATGGCTCTTCCTCAAAGCTTCTGTGAAAAATACAAAAACAGACAAAGAAGAAAGAACTCTTTTAAATGGCAGCAAGGTCTAGGTAGGCCTTCTTTCTATTTATGTGTAAAACTCGCTAATTATATTTTAATGGATTTTCTTCATGTTGAAACGTGTACATTAAATGTGGAGCCTTTCATTGACATTAGAATTGGCTGAGTCTCTATCATGAGAGCATATCTTACCAATTCTGTTAGTTCATTTAAAAATGGACATTGTGTCGACATGTCAAGCGCAAGTTTAACTGAGCTTAACAATGACGGATACAATTTTCAAAAAGTTAAAATACATGCATTGTATTAAGGCATTGCCTCTTCTTTATCCCAATGGTCATTAGAGGCTGCAGCCAAAATCGGAAACTTCTCTTCTTTTTTTAGATTAATAGACTTTATTTTTTAAGAGCTGTTTTACATTTTTAGAAAAATGAGCAGAAAACAGCATTTCCATATAAACCTGGCCCTCCTTCCAGTTTCCTCTATCATTAACATCTTACATTAATGTGGTACATTTATGACAATCAATGAGCCAATATTGATATGTTATCATTAACTCAAGACCATAGTTTACATCAAGGTTCACTCTTTGTGTTGTACATTTTATGAGTTTTGACAAATGTTTAATGACATGCATCCACCATTGCAGTACCAGACAGGATAGTTTCACTGGCCTGAAAATCATCTGTGCTCCACGTGTTCATCCCCTCTGTCTCCCCCAGATCCTGGGAAACCACTGTCTTCTTCATGTCTCCATAGTCTTGCCTATGCCAGAATATCATAGTTGGAATCACACAGTATGCAGCCTTTTTGGATTGGCTTGTTTCACAGTGCAGTATGCATTTAAGGCCCCTCCATGTCTTTCTGTGGCTTGATAGCTTATTTTTATCACTGAATGCTATGCCATTGCATAGATGAACCCTAGTTGGTTTATTCATTCCTTTTCCATTAAATACCGCTATGTGCTCTACATTTAACCAAGTTCTATGAGGATACCAAAAAATTCTACAACAGCTTTCTCCTCAAGGTTAGTCTAATTATGAAGATATATATTAGGCAAAATGATATAAAAGTATATTTTAAGGCAGTGAAGTATATGGTTTGTTCTAAACAAATGTGATCTAGAAAAGCAATGTTTTCAGGGGAACATGATCCCCTGAGATTAGACACATATTTTTTGTGTATATGTGTCCAGGGTCCAAGGCATTCATCACATTCTTAAGGGTATATAATATGCCCCCCACGAAATTAAGAACTACTGCAGAGATGAAGAGGGGTGCAAATGATAATCAGTTGCATTTGTAACTGGAGAAGAGCTTGTGAAGGAGGTAGGGCTTGGCCTGAAAACAGAAGGGTGGTAGTAGGGCCTGGTTACGTAGGCAGAGGAGTGGACAGAACCAGGAGAGGTGTGAAAGGGAGGCGGGGTGGTGAAACAGTGAGGAGGAACAGGTCTACTTTGAGTTAAGAAAGGGAAAGCTGAAACTGGATCCCTTCCTTACACCTTATACAAAAATCAATTCAAGATGGATTAAAGACTTAAACGTTAGACCTAAAACCATAAAAACCCTAGAAGAAAACCTAGGCATTACCATTCAGGACATAGGCATGGGCAAGGACTTCATGTCTAAAACACCAAAAGCAATGGCAACAAAAGACAAAATTGACAAATGGGATCTAATTAAACTAAAGAGCTTCTGCACAGCAAAAGAAACTACCATCAGAGTGAACAGGCAACCTACAAAATGGGAGAAAATTTTCGCAACCTACTCATCTGACAAAGGGCTAATATCCAGAATCTACAATGAACTCAAACAAATTTACAAGAAAAAAACAAACAACCCCATCAAAAAGTGGGCGAAGGACATGAACAGACACTTCTCAAAAGGAGACATTTATGCAGCCAAAAAACACATGAAAAAATGCTCATCATCACTGGCCATCAGAGAAATGCAAATCAAAACCACAATGAGATACCATCTCACACCAGTTAGAATGGCAATCATTAAAAAGTCAGGAAACAACAGGTGCTGGAGAGGATGTGGAGAAATAGGAACACTTTTACACTGTTGGTGGGACTGTAAACTAGTTCAACCATTGTGGAAGTCAGTGTGGCGATTCCTCAGGGATCTAGAACTGGAAATACCATTTGACCCAGCCATCCCATTACTGGGTATATACCCAAAGGACTATAAATCATGCTGCTATAAAGACACATGCACACGTATGTTTATTGCGGCATTATTCACAATAGCAAAGACTTGGAACCAACACAAATGTCCAACAATGATAGACTGGATTAAGAAAATGTGGCACATATACACCATGGAATACTATGCAGCCATAAAAAATGATGAGTTCATGTCCTTTGTAGGGACATGGATGAAACTGGAAAACATCATTCTCAGTAAACTATCACAAGAACAAAAAACCAAACACCGCATATTCTCACTCATAGGTGGGAATTGAACAATGAGATCACATGGACACAGGAAGGGGAATATCACACTCTGGGGACTGTTGTGGGGTGGGGGGAGGGGGGAGGGATAGCATTGGGAGACATACCTAATGCTAGATGACGAGTTAGTGGGTGCAGTGCATCAGCATGGCACATGTATACATATGTAACTAACCTGCACAATGTGCACATGTACCTTAAAACTTAAAGTATAATAAAAAAAAAAAAGAAAGGGAGAAGACAGAAGATTGGCTAGAAAAGGGAAGTTCTTCAAAGTCCAGAAGATATCTACACTGGGATTATAAAGCACAAAATGTCTTGTTCATCCCATATAGAAAGTGTTGGCTGGGTGTGGTGGCTGATGCCTGTAATACCAGCACTTTGGGAGGCCAAGGTAGATGGATTGCTTGAGGTCAGGAGTTTGAGACCAGCCTGGCCAACATGGTGAAACCTCATCTCTACTGAAAATACAAAAATTAGCCAGCATGGTGGTGCATGCCTGTAATCCTAGCTACTTGGGAGCTGAGGTAGGAGAATTGCTTAAACCCGGGAGGCAGAGGTTGCAGCGAGCCGAGATCATGCCACTGCACTCCAGCCTGGGCAGCAGAGTGAAACTCCATCTCAAATAAACAGACCAAAAAAAAAAAAGAAAGTGTCTTGTGCCAACTGTTAGCAAACACATATACATGCACGTGCACCATACACACACCCATACAAGCATTAAGATGCATTTTCTTTAAGAAATGCAGCCTTCTCATTCTCTTTGCCACTTCTTTGTAGAAGAAATCCCCTATAAAAGGGCTTTGGATTAAGAAGTCAATATGAAACCGTGAACCCTGATCAGGAAAGGGAAGACAGGAGAGAGAGGTAAGAAGGAATGATTACTTTCTACTAAGTCAGATTGGTCTCAACACTTGGCTCTGAAAAGCTTGGCTTATTTTCACTCTGAATCATGAATGCGAAAATGCTCTGCAAACTGTAAAGCACTTTGTAAATGTTTTCATTATTATGCTATTCAATCTCATATGAAATATGTTTCCTTTTCCTCTCTGCTTTTGTAAATCAAATCCATCCCTAAATGCCTGGCTCAACATGTAAGCTTTCTTTGACTCTTTCAGCAGATTGTGATCTTCCCATCCCCTAAAAGTCCATCAAATTTATAACAAGAGTCTTTCATTTGGCCCCAGTATCACAAACTACACTCCCTTGTTTGTTTTTTCTGGGTCTCTGTCTTGCCTTTCACTACAAAGGTGTTCACTGTTGTTTGCCACTCAGTAAAACGGTGTTTGGCACAGAGTAGGTGTTCAATAAATACTTTTTTTTTTTAATGGATTCTCGCTCTGTCATCCAGGCTGGAGTGCAGTGGTGGATCTTGGCTCACTGCAACCTCCACCTCCCAGCTTCAAGTGATTCTCCTGGCTTGGCCTCTTGAGTAGCTGGGACTACAAGAGTGCGCCACCATGTCCAGCTAAATTTTTTTGTACTTTTAGTAGAGACAAGGTTTCACTATGTTGGCCAGGCTGGTCTTGAACTCCTGACCTCAAGTGCTCTGCCCGCCACAGCCTTCCCCAAAGTGCTGGGATTACAGGTGTGACCCACTGCACCTGGCCCAGTTAGTACTTTTTAAATTGTATTAATGACACAGGATTTCTAGAGAGATGTTTTATAATATTTTTAGTTTATACCATTCCCATAGTAGATAACCATTCAATTACATATCTAAAAACTGGTGACCTGGTCTGAACATTTTGTCTAGTTAGCCATGAATCAGGCAGGCTGCAGACAAACAGCCACATGACCCTACTTCGCACCAAGCATTCTTATTGCTCTTCTTTTCCTTTACCATCTTGCTTTGTTTCCTATTGATGTTCTCTTACCTGGGCCTCAAATGATAGTTATGACTTTAAAAGTGCATTTTCCAGGATATCTCTTTTGGAGGACAGGGATGAAAGTATACCCTTCTCTCCTCCCTCATTCATCCTTTGATGACTTGGATGTAGTAGGGTTGACTTGGAAGTCTAGGACCCAATGAAAAGCAAACTCAGTCTCCTATGAGTAAAAGCAGACAGGGAGTCTGATTTCTGTCCCTGCCCTCATCCCTGCAGATAAAGAGGACTGGCTATTTGTCCAACTGTGCTTCATGCAGTCCCTCAAGAATAACCACCTGTATTCCCATCACTGTGTTCTATGTCTGTTTGTTTTGTTTTCATTGTCAATAAACTGTATCTAGATGCTGGGTGAAGTTCTACAGAAAAATTTGACATAAAAGACAAACCTCTGGGACCTGCAGAGAGAATAAAGACAAGTAGGTAGGTGATAATGCAGGCCAGTAAACAAACCACCAAGCCGACCATGGGTGAAGCTGGCTGGCTCTCCTTGGAAGGGGTGGATATTGGATGAATCTCTGTAAAGCCAGGAGTCCAGGTCTTAGCCTTGTGGTTTTGGTAACTCTATTTTACCAGTTTACTCAAGAGTTATCAGGATCTGATGAGCTGATCTATTCCTATAAAACCCCAGACTGGCTTTATCTTTCCCAAATCAGAATATCAATATATTGATTTAGAATGAGAAGTATATCCTTTTAGGACAGGAATATTCAGGTTCAGGGCACTTATGTGCATGATATGATATGCACGAAACTGATAAATTAAAGTTTTAATGTGGAGATAACTTGCTAAACATGGAATCAGTCTTGAGGTGTGCTTTCTATGGGATATAGCATACCCTGGAACACACACAAGCTCTGCTCCACTTCGAAAAATATCTTCCCACAGGAAAAAAATATAACAGTGTGGAGATGCACAAACACATTCTTCTTCACTTCTTTTTTCTAAATTTCACAAAAACTACCACCCATACTTTAAAATTATACCTAAAAATTTAATTCCAAAGTAAGTATGAGATCACTGCAAGAAATGAAAAAAAAAAAAAAAACAAAACATTCCAAAGATATGTAAAGAAAAAGTTAATAATTTCATGTCTCTGCCACTGCCTCCATACCCAAATCCGTGGTAATAGATGTGCGGGGCCTGGGTTATACAGCCGCCTGCACCTTTCACTAGGATTATACAAAGACATGCACTATAGTTAGGGATTTTCACATTTCTTTTTATAAATATTACACAATACAACATACTCTGAAACTTAATCCTCTCACGAATATATCACGGACACTTCCCCTTGGCCAATGGGTATAACTCAGACATTATTTTTAGTAGCTGCATCATATGTGATCATTTCCCAGCCTGCCTTTGGTTAGAGGTAGCCATGTCACTGAGTTGTGGCCCATAGAGTGCAAAGGGAACCAGCACTCCACACCTAGGCCTGGCCCGTAAAAATCTCCCGTGGGGGTATCCTCCATTCTCTCCTTCTATCTGCCAGCTGGAAGTGAAGGCCTCCGAGGCTCCCACTCACAGGTAGGGGACGCCTAAGTCCCTGAATTACTATGTGGAAGGCCACTCACTAAACCCCTATGCTGACTGTTGTCAGAACGAGAAATAAACTTTCATTGTGTTAGGCTACCGTTAGCATTTATCTGTCACCACAACTAGTGTTACCTAACTGAGGCAATGGCTTCCACTATATTAGTGTTTCTGGGTTCTTTTTTGTGGATAATCAGATATAAGATCCAAAACCTAAGCCCAGGCACAGTGGTTCATGCCTGTAATCCCAGCACTTTGGGAGGCCAAGGCAGGAGGATGGCTTGGGCTCAAGAGTTCGAGACCAGCATGGACAACATGGTGAAACTCCATCTCTACAAAAACATACAAAAATTAGCTGGGTGTGGTGGTGGGTGCCTGTAGTCCCAGCTACTCAGGAGGCTGAGGTGGCAGGATTGCTTAAGCCTGGGAGGCAGAGGTTGCAGTGAACCAAGATTGCACCACTGCACTCCAGCCTGGGTGACACAGTGAGACCCTGTCTCAGAAAAATAAAAGTAAAAATCCAAAACCTGTATCAGTCAATCATGCAGTCACTTATTACACATTCCCCTAATATCTATTAATTCATACAAATGTAATATGGAGTCCTAAGCCATCTATCTTATCCATCAGAATGAATTCATAGGTGCAAGAAAAACATGGTCTGCCATTTGAATTTTTGCTTATTACTATGTACATTCATTTAGTTTGATCACAATGCAAGCTTGATTTCTTTTCTCTAAGAGTTTAGGGAGCCATTTTTCTTTTTGACTACTGTCCTTTTGTCAACTGTCCTTGACTAATCACTCAAACGATATAGGTTTTGTTGTTTTGACAGAAGTGAAAAAACTTTCCAAATAATTATTTCAGTTTTTCTTGCTTTAAAGGTAGAATAAAGGGTGAATAGACAACAGTTGGGAAAGTGAAAGAAATGGGAATTTTAAAAAATTAGCCAGACTTGGATTGTTCTAGTTTTCAAAAATCATATAATGCATTTAGTAGTAATAGCCGTAGTAGGAAGAGCAGCTTGAATGTTTCAACATGAAACCCAAAAGATCCTCATGGTCCCTACTTGCATTTTAAACTAATGCTCTATCAGCTTTATGGCTGAGGCAAATATTTAGTAAGCCTCAGATTGTGCTGCAGCAATTTGGGATAGAATGATTCCCACGTAGTCACAGGTACGTGTGATAAAGGGAAATTGTTGTATGTATAATGTATGGAGAGGAGGAAATAATGGAACATAGAAACAGATTACTTTGGTATTTTGTCCATGGGCCTAAATAATGATGTTGCTCCGATTCCATAGTTAGGGCTCAGTGTGAGTTGGTGTTGGCATTGACCTAGGACTCCGTGTGCAGACCTAAAAACACTCTAGAAGAAAATATGTTTAGGCCGGGTGCGGTGGCTCACGCCTGTAATCCCAGCACTTTGGGAGGCCGAGGAGGGGAGATCACTTGAGGTCAGGAGTTTAAGACCAGCCTGGCCAACATGGCAAAACCGCATCCCTAGTAAAAATGCAAAAATTAGCCGGGTGTGGTGGCAGGCACCTGTGATCCCAGCTACTCGGGAGGCTGAGGCAGGAGAATCACTTGAATCCAGGAGGCAGAAGTTGCAGTGAGCTGAGATTGTGCCATTGCACTCCAGCCTGGGCAACAGAGACTCCAGCTCAAAAAAAAAAAAAAATGCTTACAGGATACAGTGATTTGAGGCCATACTAAAAAGACCATCAGATCCTAGCCGTTGGGTCAGATATCTCACTAATAAAAAGATTAAAGGCTGGGTGAGATAGTTTGCACCTGTAATCTCAGCACTTTGGGAGGCTGAGGTGGGAGGATTGCTTGAGCCCAGGAGTCCTAGACCAGCCTGGGCAACACAGAGAGACCATGTCTCTACAAAAAAGTTTTAAAACTTAGCCAGCCATGGTGGTGCATGCCTGTAGTCCCAGCTACTTTGGGGGCTGAGGCAGGAAGAATGATTGAGCCTGGGAGGTTGAGGCTGCAGTGAATTGTGATTATGCTACTGCAAGTGCACTCCAGCCTGGGCAACAGAGCAAGACCCTGTGGAGAAAGGGAGAAAGAAAGAGAGAGAGAGAGAGAGAGAGAGAGAGATTAAACATATTAAATGTATAAGCATTTTCTATAACTTCTCAAATTATTATAAAAAAGGCAAAAAGTGAATATGTATATCTAGTGGGGGTGCTAAACAAAGTGAGAATGACACCCCATCACACTAACGACCTCCATTTACCAGACTGGTGGGTGTCACCCATACAGAATTGGAGAAAGGGTTATATTCTGCTTTTGCTAATGATTTATAAGGTGGGCACTTAAACTCAAAATCTTATAGCCCTTATTTCCAGCCCTTCTTTCATTCTACCAACTTGGACTCCTGCTCAAAAATATTCAGTGCTTCTCTATTGCTTTTGGAAATAGATGTAAATACTTCTGCTGGGCACTAAAGGCCCTCCCCAGTCCAGGCCCGATCTATTTGTCTAAACATATTTTGTATTAACTGTTGTCTAACACCTGGCCCCAGTCTGGGGCAGGCCAACCCTAGGGCACGGCCATTCCATGTGCCATGTGCATTTTTCATTCCCAGCCCTAAGCCTTTCCTCTTCTCCTCCACACATCCAATCCCAATGGTGCCATGGGCAGAACTCAGTGTCTCCAAGTCCACCTCCACATAGCAGTCTGGCTCCCTCCAAAGTACAAGAGAATTGGCTGGTGGGCAGTTTGATGGGTGCAGCTGCATGGTGCCCCACATTCAGAAGGACCATGGGCCTGGCTCCTCTGTCTAGACTCAGATGCTGGTGCATTCTGGACTTACTCATGTAACAAGTATTTATTGAGCCACAAGTAAGTACAAGGCACTGTTCTAGACACTTGAAATGTATCAGTGAACAAAACAGACAATGACTTTGTGAAACTTACATTCTAATAGAAAGAATCAGACCATAAAAATGAACTTTAAAAATAAGTAAATAATAAATGATGTTAGAAGAGAATAAATACTATGCAGATATAGCAGAATAAGATAAGAGCAGGGATTCTTATCCTGGAGTTCCAGACTCATAGCATCTTCATGGATAGAATTCAGGGGATCTGTGAACTTGGATAGGGGGAAAAATGGCACGTTTATTTTCATTAATCTTAAACCTTCAAACCTGACTGTAGGCTAACAACCTCAGAAGCCACAGCAATACCTATAACTTTGTTACCAATTGAAATCACAGACATTTTGTATCAGATTGACAATTGTTGCAGATTTCTTGAACTGTTGTTTACATTCATCACTATTTTGTAGCTATTGGACCTGTGGTTAAATCTTGTTATTTAATGTATCAATAAAGAAACACACATTTAGTAACTGTTTCTCAAAATTGTATCAATAAAGAAATACACATTTAGTAACTGTATCTCAATATAATTAGCTTCTTTTGTAGTCTTATGTGTTTTTATTCAATACATTTAAAAACATTATTCTGAGAGGGCAATCCCAGGCTTCACCAGACTGCAGAAGAAATCCACAGGAAAAAGAAAAAAGGTTAAGAACACCAGGTAAGGGAAAATGGGGTGCAGTAGAGGACAGCATGGGTAGAGGGGCAAGTTGCAATATGAAATAGGGTGGTCAGGTTAGGTTTCACGCCTAATGCCCTTTGGACCTGAGTTTCTACTGCTTGCTCTCCTTGGCCATCCCAGTCGTTGCCCTGGCTTTACCCAACCCTCAAACTCAGGAACCCGGTGGTGCCATCTTGTTAGTCACCACTCTCCCAGCTGCCCACCACCTTCCCCTCTCTGGCTATTAAACACAGGACTTAACATCCAGAAGTTTGTAATGAATGTAATAATGTCAATAGAGCCCAAAGAAATTAAAGGATATTTTTAAAAATCTTACCTGTTGTTGTTCTGCCTTCTATTTAAACATCCAACTCAACCAGACAAACTAGCTCACATCAGCCAGGCAGTCCAGGCAGTATATGTCTCCTAAAGAAAAGATAAGCAAAACCAATCAGCAGCTTCTGAAAGTTGATGAAGTGTACCACCTAGGGCAAGTGGAATGCAAGCTGAAGATATTGCCATATTCCAAAAGAAATTCTTTAAAAATTCAAATTCATCTCATACATACAAACGAAAATCCTCAGAATTCTATGACAAAAGATTATTTGTTTTTTTCTTAACTTACACTTTGAAGCTGTTGAATTATTTTTAAAAGATCTATACACAGACTGTGATAAAACACATAAGGAAATCACAAAACTAAATTCTTCCTAAAAATGACTAAGATGCTGTTAGCTGTAGGTAATGGGATCCTTGCTAAAGGTGTCTTCATAAAGACAGCTCTCCTCTCAATAAGGCTGGAGGTCAGTGGTTCCAAAGCCAGTTTACTTCCTTACTTGCAAGACATCACTCTAATTGATCCCACCTAAAGCATCCCATCCTACTAGGATATGGCTGAAAAGAGGGAAAGGAAATGGACCACCTCTTCCCATGGAACACACCTTTATGAGAAAGGAGACACTTTCTCAGAAGTCTCCAAGTTTTACCTTTTATCTCATTGGGCCACATGACCACCACTGGAAACATGACTGATTTGCTGCAACTGACTTAAACCAATCATAATTTACTTTCTTGGGCAGGTACAGTACTGCCTAAATAAAATCAGAGTTCTACAACTGAGGAAGAAGGCACCAGAGATAGGCAGCAGGCAACCACGTGTGTCTTCCACATAGAGTGAAAAGCTTCAGGATTATATGAAAAAATAAAATAAAAAGAAAGAAAGAAAAAAGAACCCTAGGCTTAAAAAATAAAATTAAGCCTTGAAGTTGTTGGAAGTAAAAGGTCTATCTGTGAAACTTTTCACTAAAATAAAAACAGGTAATCCCAAAACTAAATTCTTCCTTGCATTCTATCACTTAATTATTATATTCCCAGAACGGTTCAAAGCTGTCTAGAAGTATACCCTTTCTCATGGATTCAGTACAGATTTATTAAGTGTCTCCTTCATACCTGACACTACGGTGTTTTGTTGCCTTGTATAGTTTATCTTCCCCTTCCTTCACATGAATAATTTCTACTGATGAGGCAGACATTATTATCTCACTCTATAGATGAGAAAACTGAGGTGCAGAGAAATGAAATCATTTCCCTTATCATCATCCAGTTAAAAGTGATGGACCTAATGTTCCTGATGGTCAGTCCCTCTTTCATTGCTCCCATAGAGGGAAAGGCGAGACATTAAAAAAACAAAAAACAAACAAACAAAAAAAAAACCCTCTAATACTAGATAGGAAAAAATGAATGCAGCAGAAACAGACCTAAAATATGCTTTGGGGAGAATAAAGGATAAATGACCTCTGGGGATGTGGGCTGGGGAATAGGAAAGGCTTCATGAAGGAAATAGCATGTGAACTGGGTCTTAAAGGATGGGGAAGACGTGGAGTTCAGGACACTCTGGGCAGAGGCTGGCATGTACAAAGACAAAGCTGTGCAGCTATTGCTTAGGATGCACGAGATGCAAGAGTGGGAGATGAGATTGGGAAGGGGATTTTGGGCAGATCATGATGGGATTTAGGTGTCAGGTTAAGGTGATGAAGGTTGTTGTGCAGTAATATGGTGACTCCGAACATCTCTGAGCAATGGTATGCAGTGCGCAGGAAGCCAATGTTGTCAACAATCAGTTATGTGAATTAAAGACGAGGGAGAGACTGGAGTCAGGGACATCTGTTAAAAAAATAGCGCAGCAGTCCAAGGAGGAGGTAGGGATAGGCTCAATCAGGTACTGGCAGTAGAAAGGAAGAGGAATGGAAGAATGTGAAAAGCTATCACACAAAAAACAACAACAACAACAACAACGAAACAATGGGTCCTGGCAGTTGACCTGCAATGGCTGGAGCTGAAGGACTAGGAGGTGGTTATTGTTTACCAGAAGGAGGTTTGGGAGGAGATGAGTTCCATTTGGTAGCAGTGTCTGGAAAGCAGGTGGAAATGTGGGACAAGAGCTAATGAGACTATGTCAATTCAAATACCAGCCTCAGAGATCTAGAGATCAGCTTGCCAAGAGAACAAGCAGAAAGGGAACAGAAGAGAGCTTAGGTCCAGTCCATCAAGAAACAGGGTGAAGGGAGAAGGACACGGCCCCTAAATGATCAGGTCTCTCTCTTCTTAGTTCCCTCCTTTAGCCTCTTAGCCTCTCTCTCCACACCTGTAGTTATGGAACTGCTTTGTGTAAATGTATCCCCTAGGGAGTAAATTCAAAATGCAGATTTCCAGGTGCCACCCCCAGAGATTCCTGAGTCAGTGGGTTTGGGGTTCTGCCTGAGGAGTCTGCATCCTTAGAAAGCCCCTTCGATGCAGGCAGCCCAAGGACCACACTTTGAGAAATGCTGCCATGTAACCTCTCCCTGTGTGATCTCACCTCCTATGGATCAGCCACGCATTATACACTTACTGATGACTCAAAACAATCTCTATCTCCTATTAAAAACCCTTGGCTGAGCTCCAGTCCTGTACACCCACCTGGCAACTGAGCATCCCTATCTGAATATCTCATAGGTACTTTAGACTCAACATGTTCAAAATTGAATTCATTTTTCCCCACATCTGGTGCATTCAGAATAAAGTATAAGTTCTTCAGCTTGGCATACAATCTCCAGCGTCATTCCTGACCACTGTCTCGGCCTTGCTTTGCATGTTTAGCAATATTATAATTTCTTACATATCCTAGACATTCATATCTTTCTATCCTATTTGCTGTCACCTGCCAGAACTCGCAGTGCCAGGCACAGACGTGCCACCTCCCCTGCCCCAAACACACTCCTTGCCATTTGTCCCTCTGTACTATCTTTTGACCATGTGCATCCTTTTTACTGCTGCACTCATTATATTGTATCATGCTCCTTGCTTGGTGGTTTTTCTTTGAACTTGAGCTCCTTGAAAGCCAGGGCTATGGCTTATTCCCTTTTATACTCCCAGGTCCTGCTACAGAATCTAGCACATAGTAAGCTGTAGCTGAACATTTGATGAATTGATTTTCTCAGGAAAAAAAGAAAGGAAGAAAGAAAGGAAGGAAGGAAGGAAGGAAGAGAGAGAGAGAGAGAAAGAATGAAAGAAAGAACAAACGAAAGAAGGAAAGAAAGAAAGAGAAAGAAGGGAGGGAGGGAGGGAAGGGGGAAGGCAGGCAGGCAGGCAGGCAGGAAGGCAGGAAGGCAGGCTAGGAGTATTGAAAACAAAAACAAAAACAAAAACCTAAACAAGCATGTGAAAGGAGGAAGGACTAGGAATTTTGGGAAAAAATACAAAAAAAAAAAAAACAAAAAAAACTAAACAAGCATGCATGTGAAGGATGTGAAGGGAGGGGAGTGATTCAAGAAGAGTGAGGTGATTAACAGTGTCTAACTAACTCATGTTTGCTTAGAGATCAAGCAGGGGAGGGGCTAAGAAAGGGCATGCGATTTGCAATCTAAGAAGCCACTGGCAACCTCAGAGCAAAGAGTCAGTCCTAACTGCCCTCTGCCGTGACAGTCAAGCCCCTCCAGGGGTTGCCAGATAGGAGCAAGCTCTTTCATGTCAGTGGGAGGAAACCTTACAATTGAAACTTCACACTGTACAGAAATGCACAGGTCCACTGATTCATGGCTGAGGTAGGCTTAACAGGACCTGCAGGCTTTTAAAAGAGCTCTCCTCAGTCTACCTTTATTTCTGCCTCCACCCCAAGCTTCTTTCTGCACCATTTCTACCTAGTCTGTCCAAGTTCAGCCTGGACTGCAGGTCAGGAAAACCAAGCTATTACCTACCTCCCATAATCACAGAAATTTCTCTGCAGGGTTGGGTTGCTTCTCTGAACTGCTTCTCATGTGCAAATCCATCCTAATCTGCCATTCCCGCAACCTCCAACAAAATCGCCCTACCTTCTGTGCATCTACATTACAGCTTCTTTTCATTCATAGGCTGATTGCATTTTTTTTTTTTTTGCCATATTTCCTTTCTGCTCAATGCTCTTATGGCATCGCTTTGCTTTTCCTGCACCCCTGTTCAGGTGTCTGATCATTTTTCTTCTAGGAGCAAAAGCAGAAAAATGAATGATGTTTCCCTATTCCCCTGATTTTGCCAGTGTAATTTCTCCAAGACTGCCATTTCCACAATCAGATTCCCTTCACCCTGCCAAGCCTCGCTCTCCCCTTTGCCCTTAAAGCCACAGCTCTATTGTTCCTCATTTGAATGAAATGTCTACTCTTTTAAATTCTCTGTGAGTGTAATGTCTTGTTACTGAAGCTTTCAGTTAAAGAGTTTTGTTATTAAATACTACTCTGTTACAAACTGTATCATTGAAACCGATCAAAGGTTTAAAGCAGAAAGACAAGGTAATTTCTTAAGAATAATCCAAACAAAAATAGGTCTCTATTATGACTTGTTAAGAAACAGAATTAAAATAAAGGGAGAGGAAGAAGAAATAAAGAATGTGTGGAAAAGATAGAAAGATACAGAGAAAAAGAAAATTAGACACACAGTCAGAAAGAGAGGAAAATAGAGATACAGCAAGAGACCAAAAGAGAGGTGTGATATCAAAAGACAGAACTTGAGATAGTGACCTACCTCCCTCAGGCACATCCTCCAGAGATAAACCACAGGCACAGGCTCACACATGGAAAATAAAGAGCTGTCAGGAAAATAAGAGCAACACACACCAAGTGAGAATAAGATACAAGCCACACAGACATCATGCTAAGAATACCCTGAGAGTAAGAGAGACATACACACCTAAATGCATACACCAAAAAGAGGGTTATCTCTATCCTGTGGCCTTGAAGATATTGTGATGTTGTGCAGTTTCACAACTATAGGCATACATGAAAAAAAAAAGACCCTTTGTTCCATGTCCTGTAAGCAAAATGAACTTGAAATGAGGTCAAAGCTCCCCCATGTTCACTCTACCAACTCCTGAGAAAGATATGACTTGCACCATTTTGTAGAAAGGCAAATTAAGGAGAGGTAACTGGTATAAATGGTTACTAAATCCTTTCCAGTTTTCTTGCCTTTATTATTGTTCTTCAATGCACCCTGAAGTTAAATGGTATTTTGGCAACCTAGAGTTCCATGTACTGTTAAAAAAAAAAAAAAGTGATTTTTTTAAATGATTGATTAAACTCCTTAGAACACTGACTGCTAATGTGCTTATTAAATAAATAAAATACAATGCACACTATCTCTAGCCAAATGGGACAGCTCCCAGACCCCTCTCATTGTCTCAGGCCCATGACTGGTAAGGCCCTCTCTGCTTGGAGCAATCTCTGGTGCTCTTTTCTGGTACCTCCTTAGCCCTCCCCATCCTTCTACTATCTCCACCCATAAAACAGGACACATATTCAGGTAGAATTTAAGAAACCTGTATTTCCCTCCAAACTAGTTTCACCAAAGTCACTAATGCAACTCTTGTTGCTAAATCCAATTGATGCCTTTCTGCCTTTTTTTTTTTTTTTTTTTTTTTGAGATGGAATTTAGCTCTTGTTGCCTAGGCTAGAGTGCAATGGCACTAGAACTCGGCTCACTGCAACCTCTGCCTCCTGGGTTCAAGCGATTATCCTATCTCAGCCTCCCAAGTAGCTGGGATTACAGGTGCCCACCGCCACGTCTGGCTAATTTTTTTTGTGTTTTTAGTAGAGATGGAGTTTCATCATGTTGGCCAGGCTGGTCTCAAACTCTTGACCTCAGGTGATCTGCCTGCCTCAGCCTCCCAAAGTGCTGGGATTACAGGCGTGAGCCACAGCACCCAGCTGCTTTTCTGCTTTCATCTGACGTGGGCCTCTCAATAGCATGCAGCACTGTTGACCTTGCTGGGATGTTGAGGAATCCCCCGTCCTGGCTGTCCTCCAACTTCTCTGCCCTCTTGTCCATGGGGAGCTCTTTTTCCTCTTCCCATGTCTCAAATACTGGTACTCCCCAGGTTCTGTCACAGATCCTCTCTCCTCCCAGCTCCCATGCTCTCCTTCAGTGACATTTCACTGTTAGGTTTATACCTTGCTGCCACTTGACTGCAGTCACCGGAAGGAAAGGAGACAATTAGTATACTCAGTCTGCCAATTCATGAAGGAAAATCTAAGCTCATTTCAAGAATATTTTTCCGTTATATCATACGAACTTCGCTAGCTCAATTGAATGCATGTTTTGCATCTCATGGATACAGCTTCAGTCATGGTGGTCTGAAGAGAAGGTGGACCTCTGTCTGTATGGCTCCATCTTGTTCCCCTTCCATGGGACTCTATTTCCTTGCCCAAGATTGTTCCCTTCTTATGGGGAGGAGACTACCTGTAAAATGTTTTCGGTTGACACAAGTGATATTCATTTTAAGACTGCCTAGAATCACTCACTGCTAGACAGCAGCTGGGATGGACTTAGAGGCAGTTACTGAACACTGGTCAGTGCTGAATTCAGGGGCAGTCCTATAAAGCAGGGCCTTGCTCCAAGACGCTGCCAATCCAGTTATGAACACAGGGTACCTACACAGAAGACAAGAGTCAGCCATCTAGGGTGCGGGTATGCTGTGGACAACAGAGTGTGAGCAACAGGCAGGAAATGTTCTGTGAGCCTAAGGAAAGATGAGACAAAAGTCAGTGGGGCTGGTCAGAGGGAGGAGTTAGAATAATAATAACTTTTATTGAACCCCTACTATGTGTCTGCCCTCTATATAAAACTCTCTCTCTAATCTAACCCAGCCTCAGAGGCTGTGATGAGGACTATATGAAATGCCTTTTATCGAGTTTGTAGTGTTGTGCTGGACACAAGGGAGCATGCAACAAATTGCAGCTATCATCCATTCAACAAATATGTGTGCAGTACTCACCATGCGTTAGGCAATGCAGTTATTGGACATACAATCCAAAACAAGAAAAACATGGTTTCTGTCCTTACTGAGCTTACAGTCTAGAGACACCTTGTCCAAAATGGTAGCCACTAACCACCCATGGTTATTAAAATTAAAAATTCAGTTCCTCAGTCATACTAGCCACATTTCATGTGCTCCACAGACATAAGTAGCTACACTGCCATTATGGCAGCAAGTTCTAATGGCCAGCACTAGAAAGGGGCAGAGAGACATGCATGTAGGGTATGTATTAACAGGGAGTTACATACCTGTGTGGTGAAGGCTATGATAGAGATTTACAGATGCAAAAGGAGAACATTACTATTGTTCTCCTTCTCATAATCAAAATACAGACACTGAGGCTCAGAGAGGTTAAGCATTTTGACCAAGATCACATAGTTAAGTGGAAGAGCTAGGATTTGAACCTAGGTCTGACTTACTCCCACGCTATCTCGGGCTGTTTTGTGGAGGAGGTGAGCCAGGCACAGGTAGAATCTGCTTAAAGAGAGAAGATGGAGAAGGTACCCCTCTGGGAAAGTGGGTGGGAAAGTGACCGCTTGGGCAAAGGCACAGTGACAGAGATGGGTGAAGCTGGCACTGGGCTACAAGTAAACCAGTTTGGCTAGAGAAGCAGTGACTTGCTGAACTCATGTCCTTAGAAAGCTAAGTCAGGACTCGCCTGCCTTGATGAAAAGCCAAGGCACTCAGCCCCACCTGCAGAGGTTGAGTCCTTAGAGGATGTTAGCCAGGAGCGTGGCATGGCCAGAACCACGTATTATGAAGATGGCAATATTTAGGATGACCTGGGCCAAGACTAAAGTTAAAGATTGCAGGGAGGATAGAAGGGAAGGAGATAAATGACCGGTGTGGAGCAAAAAACACTAGAGTGGGAGCCACGAGACCTATTCCTAAGCTTCAATACTGTGTGACATTGGGCAACAGATTTTACTTCTCTGGACTCCATTTCTTCAACTCTAAAAGGGCAGGGCTGGCCCAGATGACCTCTGAGGTCCTTTTAGCAACAGTAGTCTAGGATTCTGCAAACGTGAATGGCATTAGGTTAAGAGAAGGGATAGGAAGTGTAGCATTGATTATGGGGGCAAGGAAGACCGCAGAGTACAAGATCACACAGAGGAAGGTGTCGTGATGTACCACTAAAAAAGTGTGAAAGAGCTTGCCTTTTTTGGGAAGGACTGAAGGATGGGAACGGAGGATGGAGACCGGAAAGGATAAGAAGTAGTGAGAAAATCACGAGGTTGTTTTTAAGAAAGTTATACAGTGTTAGAGATCATTATTTTACACAGATAGCTTTTCAACTTTTTTAAACCCACGATTCACAGACGGAAATAAAATTGACATCATGGTCCAGTACACTTGTCCAGTACCTATAATCGAAACAAAAGGTTTATGAAACAATAGTTGCCCTTACTAAGGGCAATGGACTCTAATATTTTCTATTGGATTCCATTTCGTTCTTTTTGAAAGCTGGTTGCCTTCCGCTGCATTTATTTTATGATCTATTACTGTGTCACGACCCACAGTTTTAAAAACAGTGCCTAAGAGGAGACTCAACAAGTCTTCCTAAGTTGGAGGGGATGGCAGGGCATCCTATCCAAGCATCCGGGAGGCAGCTGGAGAAGCAAACCTGGAGAGGCTCCCGGCTGGGGAGAGTCTGGAGAGTGTTTAGCGGAAGCCCTGATAGGAGAGAGCGCTGAGAAAAGCGAGGACCCAGAGAGTTGTGAGCTCCCATTCAAGTGATGGAGTGGCGGCCCTCGGGACAGTGTAGACGCGAGGAGGAGAAGATCAGGGTGGCGTGGAAGCCAGACTCCGGCAGGAACCCAGCGACCACCCCGGGGGCTGCATTTCCGCGGCGTGCACGGCAGGGCTTCGGTGCCTCTGACCTCGTGTGGCTTTCCGAAGCTCCTCCACTCACCCGCCCTCCTCCGGAGCACGGCGCGCGCCCACTCCTTCATTCATTCATTCCACTCCTACCTCCGCGAGCGCCAACCGGCTGTGAGATGGGCGAGCCACTTTGCCAGCGTGGGGCTCTCTTTCGGGTCGGTTCCCTCCCCGCCAGCACACGCGCGAACCCTCGCACCTGGGCACACACGCGCGCGCGTGCACACACACACACAAAGTTCTGGGGGCCCCTCTGCAGACCGGCTCGGCTGCGCTGGGCTCGGAGCCGTGCGCCCGCCGGGTCCAGGCCGGCCCTCTCACCCACTACCCGGGGCCCGCCCTGCGCCCAGTCCCCCCGCGCTGCGCGGCAGCCCCTCCCAGCGCGGTCCCCTCGGGCCGCCGGCGCGGCTCTGCCCTTCGGTTCGGCCTTCCCCGCCTCGCATCCGTGCCATCGGCGCTCGATTGCGCGCGGACTCCCTGTGGCTCTCCCGGCCCCGCGCCCCGCCCCCGCCCCCGCCCGCCGCCCCCCTCCGCCAGCAACTTTTGCGGAGCCCCCGCGCCCAGCCATGCTGAGCTGAGCCCCGCCGGCCCTGGCCGCGCGCTGCCCCCGGCTCCCGCCCCTCCGCGGATCCGCTCGGGGGCCGCGGCCGCTCGGCGCCTCGGCCTCGGCCGCTCCGCCCGCCCGGCCGCCCCGAGCCCCGAGCCCCGAGCCCCCCGCGCCGGGCCCGGGCGGCAGCGGCGGCGGCGGCGGCGGCGGCGCGCCCGGCCCCCTCCCCCGGCGCCGGCCACGGGAGGCGGTGATGCGGGCGCGGGCGGCCTCGGCTGCGCCGAGAGCGGAGACACAGGCTCAAGATGGCAGATTCCGACTGAGGCTGGGGGGGCCGAGCTCGCGCGCCGCTTTCCCGTCCCCGTTGCCATGAACCGCGGACACCCCGGCCCCGATGGCCCCCGTGTACGAAGGTAAGGGGCGCCCGGCCCCGCCGACCCCGCGCCCGCCGCCCTCCGCGGCCCCCGCAGCTTTGTTCTGCCCGCGGCCCCGCGCCCGCAGCCCCCGGCGCCTGCCCCAGCCCCCACCCGGGGCCCGAGGGGGCCGCGACCCCCTCCCTCGCCCGGAAGATGACCGGGACCCGGCGCCGGCAGGGTCTTGCTTCCAGGGCGGGGAGAGGGGCCGGGGGCGCAGGAGGGGAGGGGGCGTGTGCGAGGGTGGGCGGCTGCCCGGGGAGGGCAGGGACGCCGGGGAAGGCGGACCGGTGACTGTGCTTTTTATTTATTTGCGATAAATGAAGGTGATGCGGCTTAGCTTCCACCGCCCCCCCACATTACCTTTCGGAGCACCTCCTTTCCACTTCGCTCTCCGCCCCGCGCCCCTTCCCATTTCTTTCCGCGCCCACCCCACGCTCCTTTATTCTCCGCGAGCCTCCGATTTTGGGGGGGCTGTGGAATCGGAATGCACGGGGCTAGGTGGGGAGAGAGGAGAGAGATGAAAAGTCCATGTCAGAGCCAGGCAGAACAATGAAATAGGCGAAAATCTCCCCTCATTAGCGTGTGGAAGGGGACGTGGACTTTGGGTTTTCCAGCCGGGGGAGCGGCGGAGACGTTTTTCTGGCTCGGTCTGGGTCGATCTGTGTTGTGCACCTTCACCTGGCATCGGGGTATTTTTCCCCATTTGACTGCCTTTAGCAAGAAAGAAAAGAACGCAAGGCAGAAAAGCAGTAGGTCTGCCTCGCACACTGTCTTTCGTTTCTCTTCAGTCCGTTCTGTCAGCTTCCAGCCAGAAAGCAACCCAGAATCAACTAAGTTTTTACACTTCGATGTGTTTTTGTGTGCTTGTAGTAGGAGAAATTTTAAACCCAAGTGTGTCTGATTTTTCAGTCGTTTCATCGTGTAAATGTTTGTCTCATGAAATCATTGAAATCGCAGCCTTCACATACTTTTAGCGTGGGTCCCCCGGCTTTCTTTCGGTTTTGTTCAGATATTCTGTGGATGAAATCGCAAATGAGAGGGGACAGGGTTTGTGTGGCACAGAGGAGGGCACGAGGGGGGAATGTAATCCTCCTGTAAATCCGGAGAACAGTTGTGGCCAGTGAGACAGGGAAGGCATTAATAGTTTTATCTCTGTTATAAGAGGCTGATTAAAAAAAAAAAAACTTAAAAGAAAATCTGTTATTAGTTTCAGGGCTCCAAATGAATTAGGTTTCTGGCCGGAATAAAGTTACCAGTCAGGCCCTGGATAACGAGGCTGTAAATAACCTATAGACTGTAAATATTTTTTTTTCAGACTCTCTTAGAAACAAAGGGGCTGTTTAGAAGGCAACAGAGAGATGTTATTCCAGGGGCTTTCCTCTTTGATTCTGAAGAACACAAGGTCCATTTAACCATTCGACAAAACAAAACGAAATTTCTGATCACTCCACCACGCAGAATAGAACATGCCGGTGGACATGTGAACATGCGGGAGAACCCATGTCGGGCGTTCATTGTTCATCTGCGTCTACAGGAGGGGGCTACAGTCAATGCTCCCACTGTCTAGAGTGTTAAAATGAAACAATTTTCTCTTTATTAAGTACCTCCTTGAGACTCCCTCTGCTGGACACTCCCGGTGAGTTGAGAGAAGGAACTTGGCATTGAATTCAGAACTATAGTAAACGGCTGGTTTCCCTGTTACTAGGGACCGGGTATGTGAGTTGGGGTGTATTTTGTCAACTTTGTGGAAAGCCATCTTGGGAACTGCACTGTTCTCCTCCTGCTCCTTTCATTTTAAATCCATATGGAAGGTAGGCCATGCCCCCGAGGCTGAGACTTGGCTCTCCCCGTTCCTGCTACATTGTTCTTCCAGTTCCTTACGCCAGATAAAGAACTGCAGGTGTGTAGGGTGTTACGGTTTAAGAATAATCATGGATCTCAAAAGTCTCATGAACTGTTTTTATTTGCCAGCCTTCCTTCCCTGTCTCAGGTGACCTCCGCGGTGGCCTCTTTCAGCCCTCAGTTTCCCTCCATCTTGTCCGTGTGCCCTCTTCATTGTTCCTGCGCTGTGCACCCTTTTATTCCGGATGTTTATCTGTGCACCTTTATAATTATTTTTCTAATCTTCCTCCCCATCCCACCTCAACTGGCCCACATCAGTCTGCCAAAAGCCCAGATCTGGGTGTTTTTGAAAGAGATTGTTGGACATGCTCTAAAACAGACAGGTGACTTCTAGAATCAAGGATTAGGTTGCTAGGACCCGCATTCACTCACTGTGATGAGTGTGCCAAGACTCTGATGACCTCCTTTCTCCTGCCGTGGTGACATCCTCTGGGTTCAGGAAACCTGATTTTTCCCCTGTCTCAATCAGAGCACATGGACTCCCTGTGTGCATGCTAAACGAGCAGAGCTTTTCCTGTAGATTTCTATAAGAAGAGGGATTCCTTGTGGGTTTTGAGCTCCTAAAGAGTGTGCATGATTCTTCTCAGGAAAAGTATAACGACACGAGAGGGAATTGTTTCAATGGGGTGCTGCTGCACCAAGTTGGAATACCAGGTGAAGGCCCAGATACATTAATGGAGCGTTCTGAACCGCCAGAGATTTAGACAGAAATGCTGTTTTTGAAACAAGGGGTATTTGATAATACCAATTAATGGGTGGCAAAGAGAATCAGTCTTCCAGGGCTTGCTTGAAGGATAGGTTTATAAATAGCATGTTAGTTTTTGGTGGTTTGGAACTGAACTTCTTATAAAAAGGTTTATTTTCTTTAGAAGGTTAAACATTTGCCTTGTGATTGTATTTCCTCCATCAACTTGCTTTGCGAGGCTTTTTCAATATCTAGTGCAAAGGCCAACCACCAAGGTCTCTATTATGGGTTCTGAATGAGAGGAGCCTAAATTCCAAGTTATTTATGTTTTCCTCTCCCTGAGATATGCTGTGTTGATTACTATTGGCTTATGTAAAGGAACACTTCACAGACTTCCAAAAACTGTCTGCTGCAATTCATCATCAGATGGACCTGAAGATGCCTATCTACCAAGCTGTCTACCAAGAAATGAGATTCTGAATCATCTTGGGTTAGCAGAGTTTGATGACACATGCCCTAAAATATCTGTTCCTGTGTTTAGGTTTTATATTTTAAAAATGAGTAAGTATAAATGTTGCTTTTCTTCTCGCCACATTTGAGTAGTGAGTAAGGTGCCTTAATTTTATCCTTGATTTCAGACAATGTGCTATGATACTTGAATCAGAGAAACCTGAGTTTGAATCTAGTGATACGACTTTGGGCTTTATTGGACTGTGCAGGAACTCCATTAGAAACTAGTGCACGTAAAGTCCCTGGCTGTAGTAGGCATCTTCTCAGAGTGTGTTAAATCCCTCTATCTTCTGAGATGCTTACAGACATGATGACTCCAGGGAAAGAATAACCCACAAATAGTTTCGAAAACCAATAATAGCAACATTTCAATTATTAATCTCCTGCGATTCCCTTTCCAGTTTGGGCACCAGCAACAATAAACCCCCTATAGCCATAGAAGAAAGAACCTTCTTTTTACTCCCTCTGTGACCTTTCCAGATTCTTTATTTGCATTGAGCTTCTGCTGGTTTCAGGTAGAGAATTTCTCTTCTATAGTGGCACTTTCTGTGCTACTTGAAAAATGTGGAAATAAACTGCTGGGGCAGAGTTTCAGGGGCTGCAGCTGTGCCTCTTGGAAAGTATCCCCAAGTATGAAAGATAACCTTTGCCGTTAACCAAGATCCATTCCTAAACAAGGCAGCAGGCTGGGCAAGGGAGCACCCAGAGGTGGTTCACCAAGAGCCTCCTCCAAGGGGAGGCTCCTCGCCCACCACAAGCCAGGGTCTGCCTCACCATGCATTAAACATCATTTTCCTACAAAAGACAATTTGGTGCTTTCTGTAAGTTACA
Source organism: Homo sapiens (assembly GCF_000001405.40). Classification (NCBI taxonomy): domain Eukaryota; kingdom Metazoa; phylum Chordata; class Mammalia; order Primates; family Hominidae; genus Homo; species Homo sapiens. Next base: position 139,773,673 of record NC_000007.14, on the reverse strand, counting down.
GGGGCTCAGATTCTTTGTATTTTATGTTTTATATTTCTTCATCTCTCTCTCTCTCCCTTCCTCCCATAGAGACCAGTCTTGGGGAACCACCTTTGAGGTTTGTGTGGAGCAAAGTAGTGATGATCAAGAGGGTGTGATATGTGAGCATTTCTTATTGTTCTCTGAACGTGTAATTCGCCTGTGCTTTCTGGTAGTCTTATTGATGACAATTCAAGGACTTTGGGTTGGTGTCAAAGACGGGCTTCAGAATAATGGCAGTAGACTTTATATAACCACCGATGGGATGTGAACTTGAAAGGCCCAAACTCGCAAGAGTTCCATTTCATATAGCTATTCTCTTTTGGGGGAAAAAAGAAAAGAAAAACCTACAGTATAGGCAGATCTTTATTTTTCCTATAAAAGAAACCCAGATGCTTGAGGGTCACGGTGATCACTGTGACTTAGGCCATATTGACTTTGTGCTGTGCACCGCCCTGCGCCCTTCACCCACATGAACTCAAATGTTCCACCTCTTGACAGACGAGGGCCCATCTTTAACGCATTCATTCAGCAAACATTTATGCAGGACCTGCTGTGTGTCAGGCCCTGTGGCAGGTTCTGGGTTTGTCGAAATGACAAAATCTTAATCCCTGTCCCTGACTTTACAGGGTGGGGGAAGTGAAAGAAGCATAGACTCACTAGACCATGGGTCTGATTCAAGATGGAATTTTTTCTTCTCCTTTTTTTTTTTAGTGGCAGTTCATACTTCTAACATGCCTATGCTTTCTTCAGCTAGAATGGGAAGACTTGGGTAGGCACAGTGGCTCACACCTGTAATCCCAGCACTTTGGAAGGCTGAGGCGGGTGGATCAGGAGTTCGAGACCAACCTGGCTAACATGGCGAAACCCCATCTCTACTAAAAATACAAAAAAAAAAAAAAATAGCTGGGCGTGGTGGTGGTGCCTGTAATCCCAGCTACTTGGGAGGCTGAGGCAGGAGAATTGCTTGAACCCAGGAGGCGGAGGTTGCAGTCAGCTGAGATTGTGCCATTGCACTCCAGCCTGGGCAATGGAGCGAGAGTCTTTCTCAATAAATAAATAAAGAGTGGGAAGACCCCATTTTCCTATCTCTCTTGAAGTGTTTTCTTTACGTAGACTCAAAAAAGTGTTTCTGAGTGTAGAAAATACTCATTACAAGCTTTCTTAGAAATGTCCATAAATATTACTGTCTGTAACTTGCAGAAGATCCTGTCTTCTTCTATTTGTTACTTAAATTTTATATCCTTGCCAATGCAAATACGTTTCTTATTTGCACAAGTTCTCAGAGACTTTCGTTTCTGATATTTGGTGTGTCGTAGGCTTTGTTGCGAGTGGACTCTTGCATCATATGTGGCTGTTGGAGAATTGATTCCCAGCCTTTTCGCCTGGCTGAGACCTTGTATTCCAGGTAGTTGTGTGGCACTTGGTGGTGGGGATATAGATCGGGCTGTCACTCCGAAGCATTCAGTGGCTACTTACCCAGAGCAGATCATTCAGGGAATTGTGGAAAAAGAAAAGCCTGACCTAGCTTCAGGGGCATAGAGCCCCAGAGCAGAAGACCTTGACACAGATATAGTTCACCCCCGTCTTCAGGAAGGTGAATGTCTGTGACTTGAAATTGTCAGTTCATTATTTATTTAATTATTTTTTCCAGGAAAGGGCAGTTGGAACTCCCTGAGTGACCAATTCCAGTATTCTATTAACCTGATTGTCAAGAAATTCCTGGGCCTGGCTGAAATCTCGCCTGCTGTCATTCAAACTTGTTTTCTTTTACTCAATTCCTTTCTCTAAAACCTTTCATATACTTAAAGATAATAACTGGGTCTCTTTAGCTTTTTCCTCACAGAGCCGGTTTTGTGTCACTGAAAGCATCTCCTTTCTCTCTTCTGAACTCTCTCTAGTTTCTCCCTATTTAAAAAAATGGTGGCAGTTAAAACTGAATACAGCTCTTTAATAATGTTCTCATTAGTACCGCATATAAGAGAAAAACGACTTCAGGGTTCTTGCATCATCGTGAACCCCTGGAGGGCAGGAACCATGTCTGATTCATCTTTGTCCCCTACAATAGCCGTGCAGTTCCTTAAACCTAGTAGGCGCTTCATAAATATTTCTGGAATTGACTGTTCCTTTTAATGCATCTAAGTTATAACTTACGCAGCCCTGGATTGGTGACTCATCTGTAGCTCGCATTCATTTCGGCCGTCTTTATTTTTCTTGTACTTGTATCTGGCATCCCTCACCCCAACAAAGCCACCTTCTGCTTGACTCCACTGATCACTTTGCATTTCACCCCTCAACTTCCAACTCTTTAGAATCTTGCTTAATTATCTCCCGTAGATCTGACAAACAGAATGCAGAGGCCATAAGTATAAAAACTTGAACTACACTTGAAAGAAGAGCAAGCACACAGAAGAATCTTGATGATTCAGAGCAGTGTCAGGTCATCCTCATTTAGAAGGGACCGTTTGTCAAATTCGTTATAGATTCTGAGTCAGCTAAAGCCATACCTGTTTTACTAGGTTCTCCAAGGTGAGTGAGCTAGGTGTTTATGAGAGTGGTTACAAGTCAGACTTTCAGAGGGTAGTCCTCCCTCTCTTTGGTTTAAAGCCAATGGAAAAGGCAAAAGATGTAATGAACGACATCACTGCAGGTTGTGTTTTTTCTGACAGATATCTTTGCCCTTAGAAAGCAAGCTAGTAAAATCATTGCCAAAAAAGAAAAGGCAGAAAACCTTTGAAACTCCAAAATATCTTTGTGGTTTTATAGCTACTTATTTCTGAATACAGCATTGAACAAATTTGTAATGTTTTTGACAGTAGTCTGTTTTAACAATTCTTGCCTAAGTACTTTTGCCTTAGTAGGTTCTGATCAATTAAATGCCACTGTGTTTAAGCAGAATTAAGATTGATCAATTCTTCTGCATGTGTTAATGCTGTCGACTCTATAAAAACCTTTGTCACAAAAAGAATGCAGCCTAATATGTGAGTGGACAAGGGTATTTTTCCTCCAGGTGGTTCTGTCCATCCGCAGTGAGAGATCACCATAGAACCTTCCATGACATTGACTACGAAAGCACTTCTGGCTTCACACAGTCACAGATTTGCATCTTGAAGAACAAAGGGTTTGTTTGTGTATTTTTACCATTTTCCTTCACACTAATATTTCCCTGTTGATTCAACCTATGGAATCGTTATTCCCAAGTAAAATCATTCGTCCAAGGGCTTATGATAAGAAGCCAGCTCTATACAATATAGAACTTATAGTTTCATAGCATTAAGGAAGCAAATTTTAATGGTGTTTGTGCCTGGATTTCTGTTAAAAGTCACAGGGTTATAATGCCGAGGTTGTGAGTATTAAATTAAAAAATTTTAAAAAGTCACAGGGCAGGGAGATTTGGAAAACTCCAGCTTATTGCCGATTGTGGAAATGTGTTCTTTTAAAATTTGTTTATTTTGTATCTAATGAAAGATTTATAGGGCTCTGACAAAAACCAGCATGTACGTTTTTGAAACTGTACAGAAAGACAGCAAGTTACACCTTCCTGAATTCTGTGTCACGGCATCTACTCACCAGAATCTGAGCGGATAGCAGGGACTTCTGGAGGATAGTAAGTGTCAGGGGAACTCGTGACAGGGAGAAGGAGCACCAAGAGAGAATGCACACGTGCTTTCGGCCTTTTCCCCTGAACCACTCACCTCTGCAGCTCCAGCACAGTGTCATTACTATTATTCATTAAGTGTGACCTGTACCATCAGGAAAAGATTCATCAGTTTCATTATGTTCTGTTAACTGAGCCTGGGAGGTTCTCTAATGTATTACAGAAATGCTTCCACTAGTCAGTGGTTAAAGAAATTCTTTCATTTGCTTGTTACAGTGATGTACTCCAAAGAGGATTTAAGGCTGCTTAAATGGTTAAGTTTCTGGTAGAGAGGGAAATTAATTTATGTAGATCAATTTTGTGGATAGCTTCTTTCCAAGGATGTCGGATAAATGAGGTATTCCTATAGAAAGAGACAACAGCAATAGGCAAAGCTCTGGTGTTGGCTTAACAAGGTGAATAAGCAGAGTGCATAATGGAATTCATTTGCAAAGTAATTTTTGCTTGGCTGGAGTGGTAAGCACAAAATAGACTAGCAGATGAGAATGGTAAGTGTTTGGGATCAGTTGTTAAAAGGTTTAAAAGGGGTTCTAATTCAAGTGACATTTTGTGGTGTGGAGAAGGGGACCGATATTATCAGAATGATACTTGAACAAGGTAATTTTTACTGGCCTGGGTATAATAGAAGGAACCAGACAGCCAGGGGTGGGCCATGCTGGTAGGCCTTGTGGTGCGGTGGAAGGCACTGCGGCCGTGGAGATGGAGGTGGGCCATGCTGGGAGGCCTTGTGGTGCGGTGGAAGGCACTGCGGCCGTGGAGTTGGGGCAGGGCTGCTGTTGGGGTGGTGCAGGAGAACACGCATCGAGCACTTGTCGGCTTGCCTGGTCCAGAGGTTCAATAAATGTTGGTTTCTTTTTGCTTTCCTCCCCACACCTTATGGCAGTGATCTAGGATCAGGAAAACTTGCTGGGATTGGCAATACCATGATGTTCTGTTTTTCTAAAGAATCTCTTTTTGTAGGCTCACTCGCATTTCACAGAATCTGACTGGGTCATAGTATAACCCTGGTGGGGTCTTCATGCGTTATTATTCAGTCTTTGACACATGAGAATCTGAGGCCAGAGCAATGAAGAGGCTGTTCCAATGTTATGTGTGCTGGGGGAGCAGAGCTAGGGCTCTTCCTCTCCCTTCCCCTGTAGCAGTGTGCACAGAAGCCCCAGAACACTCCAGAATGCCGAGTGGAGCTTTGCTAGGCTGCACTGCCAGGTGGGGCTCCAGGTATAGTGGTTCCTACCAGGCTGTCAGAGCCACTTCCTTTTTCCCCAGAGGCATACGGAAGCTCCTGAGTTCTGGTTCTCGTGGTCCCCTTGCAGCCCACAGTGCTACACTGAGCCCCTCCTGCAGGGAGTGTTTCCCTCTGTCCCAAGGAAAGCAAGGCCACAGTGCCCTCAGTGGTTCCTTGTGTTTCCCTGAGAAAGTTCACAGCTTGTCACCATGAGCTACTTAATAACAACAACAACAAAAATCACAGGAGAGAAGTCAGTACGATCATGATGAGTTTCACAGAACCTCAAAGCACTTTTAAGTCATTAAGCAGCTTTAAAAAAAAAACTGATTTCCCAAGGTACAGTTTAAAGTCATTTTATCTCTTTGACATCACCAAAACTTGAGCCCTGCCTCTTGTCTCCAGGCATGACAGTCTGACCTCAGATAGGGTCCTGTTGTAGTCTCTGTCTGGGGCTACTCCCCACCTGCCTGGGAAGCATTTCAGTCCAGATGAGCAGCATTTGAAATTAGTTGAACACTCAGACTTTCACGGTTATAAGACACAAACTAGGGAGTGAGCTTGCCCTGACATTTGTGGGTCTTGGGTCAAGAGTGTGAAGCGAGGCCCCCAGTCTGCCATCCACCCAATTCTCTCTCTCTACTCCTGGTCTGTGTGTCCAAGCTGCGACCACTCCCACCTCCGCTTGGAACTGGGGTGCCTCTTGCCCACCTTCCAGGTCTACATGTACACCCACAGGCCCTGGGAAAGGGCCTGGAAGCAGGCATGAAGCCTTTTGGGCAGGGAATCTCATGGCCCCAGGGACCCAGAGCCTGGTCTTGAAGAAGAGGGTGGGTGCTCAGCCTATGAATGGGCACAGCCCATGTTGGGAGGGGTGAGCTTGGGCCTTGACCCAATGAGGTTCAGGGCTTGAGCCCTTGTTGCCCTGTCCTAAAGGCAGTACTGATAAGGGGACACCTTGCTTCAAAAACTGAAGCAACAAAGGCAACTTGAAATGTTTCCTGTTTATATGGCTGGTGGTTGCATTTCTGCATCCTCTGCTCTCCTTTTCCTCCTCAACCTTGGTCTCATACATATGATTGCTTCCTAAAGCAAAGCTGATGAAACTGACCCATTTCCTGTTGCTTGCCAAAGTAGTTCAGTAACCAGTATGTTCCTTCTGCTGGTGAAACCTGACAGAGAACCTGGTAATTCTGACAGCTGTTATGTTTTGTGGGTTTCAGCCACTGACTTCCATGGCCTCTCCTACCATCCTTCTTTGATGGCGTCTCTGCTCTCTGCTTCCACCTATTTATTTTTTCCCACTTGTCTACCCACAGAGCCAGGCTCCCTTACCTACCTGTTTATTCTTTGACTGTGTGTTCCTTGAGCGTGTATTTGCCTTGTTTTACTTGTAGGTGTGAAGGTCTAAGTGGATGTACACACAGAACCTTCTTTGGGGTGTATTTGTGTAAGGGACTGTCTGGAAGAAGTGGTTCTTCAACCTTTTTGCCCTTCAGTTCTCTGGAGGGCTTGTTACAACAGATTGCTGGGTTTCACCCCCAGAGTCTCTAATTCAGTAGGTCTGTGGTAGGCTTGAGCATTTGCATTTCCAGTTGAGGACCATTGTTTTGGAAGAGTACATTCAGAACAAAAAGTCAGAAATATTTAGAATCAGATGGTGGTTGTTTTGGTGAAAGCTTTTCTTGGATGTGAGAGAGTCAGGGACCTGGCCTTAGCATTCTTCGCAATTCTACTGCCTTTTGTGGCTGTGACTTCCAGAAGCCATAGGCACATGCAGATCCAGCCTCCGACTTCCTCTCCTCTCACCTGCCTTCACATCTTCTCAGGGAAGGTCACAAAGTGCAGGAGCCACTTTCTCTTGTTCATTCAGAGCCAGCTGGTCTGTGTAGTTCATCCAGTTTGGTCTTGGGGCCCCAGAATAAAATGGGCCAAATATCATCCTCACAATAGTAATACACTATTATTAACTAATATTTAAGAGCTCTATGATTTTCTCCATTTACAGAAGAGGAAATTGAGGCTTAGAGATATGAAATAATGTATGCAAGGACTCATAACAAGTAATTGGTAGAGCCAGAGTTTGAACCTCAGTCCACTTGTCGCCAGCGCATGCCCTTATCTTCACTGGCAGGCCACCCTGCTTCTTGCAGGTAAGTTAGAGTGATCCATGCCATGTGCAAGACTGACTCCGGTAAGAAGGATCTGGGATCCTCCTTGGAAAAGAGGCAATCAAGCTGGAGACCGAAGGTGCTAACACAGATTTCTGTGACACTCTTGTTCCATTTGTCCTGTTCATCAAACAGGGTCAAGTGAGGTGGTGAATGTACAGCACTTGGACCTGTGGCTGGCATGTAGGAATGTGGTAGAGGGCAGCCAAGCCATGAGTCCCCTTTGAGAGCAAAACATATCAAATATTCAGGAATACTCTTACTGAGACCTCTAAGGAAAAACATGTTATGGGAAGATGATCATAACAGCTAATACCGCACACTTGCTATTGCCAGTTCTGCACTAAGATTTTACATGTGTGAATTCATTGAATCCCTGTAGTAACACTCAAAAGAGGTTCCACTTCCACAGTGTTACACAGAGGCACAGGCAGGTGAGGCAGCTCCTGAGTGCAGAGATGGGATCGACTCCAGGCAGTCTGAGTCCAGAGCTGACTCCTGACCACCAGCTGCACAGTAGAGACTCTTCCTCATCCCTCCTAGATGAGAGAGGGCAACTTGTAAATACATTGGTTCTTCTCCAAGTATCAATGGTCTTTGTTTTCATCAAAATCTGGATAAGTATTTTAAAACTTGAGAGACCAATTTCTGTTGCTTTTCTTGAAAGATAAGGTGGTAGGACATAGGTTAGGCATGGACCATAAGAGTGGTGAAGGGGTTAGCTCTATCCAGTGTCAAACCATAATGCTTCAAATCTGGGACAAAATTTGACAGACCCATCCATGGGGCAGAAGGGGGGAGGCAGATTTCAGGTTCCATAGTCTGTGAGCATTTAACAGAAGATGGAGGAGGTGCTGTGAGGCCATGGGGAAAGGAAGGCTGATTACCTGAATGGGAATGGGACTATATGAGAGCAATCTGAAAAATCTCAGTGGGTATCATCACCTCACATCATTACACCAATGTAAATTCTGCCTGATTAAAATGTGAGGTTTGACAAAAATATGTTCAAAATACATTCAGTGTTCTGGGGACTCTCCTAGGTGCCAAGTGTACAGCATTGAGCAAAACAGATAAAATTCCTGCCCTGAAGCAGCTTGCGTTTTAGCAGATAAAGACAAACGTTCCACTTTTTTACAAAGCTTTTTACAAAAGCTTGAAGGAAATGGAAGTGGATATTTATTAAACCTCTGGAGGAGTTGAAATTTCTAAGATTAGAAGCTGTAGATGAACTCACAGAGGAAAATATTATTAGTCTTGTCAGCATAAACATTCCCCAAATGTTAAGGTTATTTACTATCATGAGTTATTCCTCAGTGTAATTCTATGTAACATTGAGGTTTGTCTAGATGTTAGGATAGGTCCTCCAAAGTAGATATACTAGGTCAAGGGATTTGAACATCTGTTGGGTTCTAGATACATCACCAGGTTAATTTCCTTGCCAAAGTTTAATTTTTTTTTTTTTTGAGACAGAGTCTCGCTCTGTCATCTAGACTGGAGTGTAGTGGCATGATCTCAGCTCACTGCAACCTCTGCCTCCTGGGTTCAAGAGATTCTCCTGCCTCAACTTCCTGATTAGCTGGGATTACAAGCACCCGCCACCATGCCCGGCTAATTTTTGTATTTTTAGTAGAGACAGCCTTTCACCATGTTGGCCAGGCTGGTCTCAAATTCCTGACTTCAGGTGATCCACCTGCCTCAGCCTCCCAAAGTGCTGGGATTACAGGCGTGAGCCACCACACCAAGCCTAAAGTATAATACTTTTATATTAAACAAATCAAACCACCAAGATGAAAAATTGAGTTAACCCACCTGTTTGTCTGGGTGCTGCTCTCAGGCCTGGGCCCTGCTGTCATTCTACCCCTCTCGCCAGGTGACATATCATTCCCAGGTTTTCAATGCTCCCTCTATCTGTTAGGGACTCCTAAAGTTGTATCTTTACCTAGACTTCTTTTTTCAGCTCCAGAGTCATAAAGCCATCAAGCTACTGGACCTCTCTCTTTGGATATCTCATCCTTAACACATTCAAAGGAAACATCTTGGTCAACCCCCTGAAATATACTGCTGTTCTGGAATTCTTTATTTCCATAAATGGCACCTTCTGTCACCCAGTAGTTCACATCAGAAACCCAGAGTCATCCTTGACTTTGTTTTACTTAACATTTAACCCATCACCAAATTGTATTGATTTTTGCCTCCCAGGTGTAGCCATTCTCATCATTCGCCATAGCTGTGTTCTCTAAAGTCGCCAGGAACACTGAATTAGTGAATACTGAATCATTACTCCTAAGGGAGATACAGAGTTAGGTTCCTGTGAGCCTCTGGTCATATTTCCATTGACTGATCAATACGTAGTATCAGTTTCGTTGGTGTAATAATGTTGTATGTTGGTAGATGTTGTACGTTGGTATAGCATTACATATGTTGGTGTGATGATGTTTTATGTGTGTTTCTGTTTAAACATATATCTTAGCATATAGTTTTGATTAACATCAAACTCATGCCCAACAGCACTATAACTCATGCCTGAACGAGCTTATCTAACACATGCGTTTCTCATAAGGCACATCACAGTCTTCTTGTGCTTAGGAGCACTAAGCAGCACTTTAGCACTGTGCTTGGGGACCATTTAAACAGCAAAATCACCAACAAAACACACCAAAATGCAAAAAAAATGTGGCACTATATAGACAGTTGAAAGGGTACTTGTTTATAGTATAAGAGCTGAAACAGGAAGGCAGAGTGTCACCATTGTGGAGCTCAGCTGGGAATGTGTGTGTTGACCAGCGCAACTTTTTTGCTGCTCTGCGCATGCGCAGGCATGACCAAAAGTGCTCTGAGTATTGACTTTGGGGTTACAAACACCTTTTAGTGAGTAGGTGAATTTGCAAATGTGGAATCCAGGAATAATGACGACAGACTGTTTATCGTGAAGCCATCCATTTCTGTCTCCACTGCCATCCCTTGTCTGGGGGTTGGCAAACTTTTTCTGTAAAGGTCCACGTGGTGCATATTTGAGGCTTTGCAGGCCATCTGGTCTCTGCCGCCGTTACTGAAGTTGTAGAGTGAAAGCTGCACAGACAATACATACACGAGTCACGTGGTGGGAGGGGCGTGTGGGGGGGGGGGCGTGTTCCGGCAAAATCTTACTCCTAAAAGCAGACTTGGGTTTGAATTTGGTGTCCAGTCTGTAGTTTGGATCCCTGTAGCTAGCCTAAGCCACCATAATGTCTCATCTGGACTGGCTTCCTGACTTGTCCCTCCATGCCTGTTCTTGACCTTCCCCAGCCAGTTTCCCATAGTGATATTAAGTGCACATTAGATTCTGTCACTGCCGTACTTCAGATGTCCAACTGCTTTCCATCACACTTGGAAGAAAATCCTGAATCCTGAACAGCATGGATCACAGCACAGTCCCGGCTTGCTTCTCTGATCTCCCTGGACACCAGTCTTCCCCTCTGTTTGCCCCATCCTGGCCTCTTTCAGTTCTGTGACTGTTCCCAGCTGTTTCCTGCTTCAGCACCCTTTCCCACACAACAGTCTTCCCTTCCTGGAATGTTCTCCTGCCTGGCAGCCTGGTTAATTCATGCTCACTCTGTGGTCACACCTCAAATGTCACTTCCTCCAGGAGGCTTTCCCTGATCCTCCAGTGTAAATCATATTCCCCTCTTCTCATCTCAGAGCACCCTCTTCTTTTCCTTCATGACACTTAACAATTTTCATGAACCCACTTATTTGGGCATATTTGTTTTCCACCTGCCTTCCCCATTAGGCTGCAAGCTCCATGAAGATAGAAACCCATCTGTGGTTGTCTCTGTGTTCTCTACCCCGTTACCATCACGCACATTATAGACACTTCTGAAAACTTGGCAAATCAGTGAATGATTGTACAACATGCTTTTGTTCATACAGATTTTTGTATGAAACTGCAATCGAGGAAATTGCCACCCTTTTAGAGTGTATAGTATATCTTCAAAAATTGACAGTGATGATTAAAAGCAAAAGACATCTTGATAGGTGAGTTTGTAAATGGGTGTGCACGTGTATCCGTATTGTCAAAGGGTGATTCTGAGACAGACACTCTGCGAACAGGTATATCTGGTGTGAAGTTTTCTCCCTGGGACTTGAGTGCTGCATTCAATCCTGCTGGTCTCACTTTTCCCCTAGAGCTTTGGAACTTTGCTGGTAACATTTTCACATGAGGAAGTGGAGGTAAAGTTTGCTTGAGGAGGCATTTCAGCACCCCTCTTAAAAATTGACTTTGCTCTTGTTTCTTCTCTCAAACCATCACCTCATCTCTCTTAGACTTTGTCGGTGCTAGTTGTTGTTCTTTCTACAGTGTTGCCACCATCTGGGGAAGAAATCTTTGATTTGTCAGAGAATCATCTAAGCAATGAAGTTCCAACTTGGGGGTTGTTCCCAAGTCATTCCAGGAATCCTCCATGCCACTGATGGACAGGCCACTTAGCATATTTTAGAAAGGTAACAGATCATTTCTAAGATGACCTTCTGTAGATTACTAGTGAAACCTAAAGCCTTATGTAACTGCTTTTTTATGTATTTAGTACAGAAATAACATTTTCTAATTAAAGGAAATTAGAAAATAAAGGCAAGCAAAACACTCCACATACACACAGTTAGTCTCTCTCTCTCTCTCTCTCTGTCTCTGTCCAGAAATGACCACTGTTACATCTCTTAGGTCTTTTTGTATGCATAGATGTGTGCACATTTTTTTAACCAAAATGATGTATTACTGTTTTATTATCTGATTTTTTTGGATGACAGTCTCCAACTTTGTATTTCAATAAAGTTCATCTCGTTTAATACCTTGTTTCTATTCCGATTTCCATAACTGGCCCTCAAATACCCTTCAAGGCTGGTTTGTCGAAATCACCATCTAATCGAGTATCGTGCCCTATGTCTGGTTGTAACTTCCTTTTAGTCTCTTAATCCAGCACAGTCTCTTATTGAAGCAGCAGACCAGTTGCTGGTCTTGCCTCCAGAACCTCTGACCTGCTAGAGTGTGAGGTTGCTTCTTTATGGTTAGGCTTATTTCTCCATCCTCTGATTTCCTGTATGGAAAAGCTTGCAGGATTCAAGTTGTTTTTGACTAGATCTCACCAGAGCTAATTCAGTGTGCTTCACTCACTGTTACTAAAAAGGCCCACTACTGGGGATGCTGAGATTGACCCCTGGTCTAGGGCTGTGACAGCCTGAACCCACCATCGTCCAGTTACACTTTCCCCCTAGAGACCAGCAAGTGACTTGTGTGGTATAACTTTGCATACAAATCGTTTACTTAATGGTTTTGTACCCAGTGGTCATTCTTGCCTGAACCATACCTTCCTTGGGTTTTGGGAAATGTTTCTGTAATTCTTTCATTTCTTCTATAAAGTAGAGCTTTCCTGTACTGCCTGGGGCCGTCTGGTTACCCTGACACATGGTTCCCACTGGAAAGGCAGGATCTGTGCTAATGCTTTCCCTTTCCCCATTAACTTTCACAGTAAGGAGTTTAATAACCACTTCACGTAGTAACACGTGGTTTTTTTCTGTCTTTCTAACATTATACATTCATGGATTTTTATTGATCTGGTGTGTTCTAATCATTACTCTTTTGTTACAACTTTTAGGCAGTGAGACCCCTTCAGCTAGGTCCTGTGACCTTTTGACAGAACTTCTATAATCTTGAAAATCTGTGTTCATTCATGGCACAAATGCCCCAAGCTCATCTTGTACTTTTCAGTGGTATGGGACAATGGTATTAGAGAGTACAATCAGGGTATTGGGGGTGGTTATTGGTGCAGAGGTGACTTGTTTCTAGAGAACTTCAGTGGACAAAGCTGGAAAATATATACTGTTAAAATTTAAGAGTTCAGGTGGACATGTCCAGTTTAGTTTTAAAATCCTTATGCTTTCACTTTCCTTAGTAATTATTTTAACTCCCTTTTTCTGGTATGGAAAAATCTTTATTTTTTCTTTAACCTATAAATGTAAAGAATGTAGTTTCGAAATACCAATATTTATATTATTACCAATATGGAACTACAGAGGAAAGTTTAATACTTCTTTGTAATTTTTGTTTTGTTCTTAAAATGCATTCCACTAAGGGTATGTATTAAAAATACTGTGTTCTAAAATTCCTAAAAATAAATTCTTCCTCAGAGAGCATGTCACCCAGTTTGATGTATGGTTAGGCTCATATCATTCAGTTTCTTTTCAGTTTAGGACATTTTGAATGGAGCTTTTTTAAGATGGGTAATGCATTACGTGGCTGAAGGGTCAAAACTATGTAGATGTGGGCCGGGTGCGGTGGCTCACGCCTGTAATCCCAGCACTTTGGGAGGCCGAGGTGGGCGGATGATGAGGTCAGGAGATTGAGACCATCCTGGCTAACATGGTGAAACACCGTCTCTACTAAAAAATACAAAAAAATTAGCTGGGCGTGGTGGCGGGTGCCTGTAGTCCCAGCTACTCGGGAGGCTGAGGCAGGAGAATGGCGTGAACCTGGGAGGTGGAGCTTGCAGTGAGTCAAGATCACGCCACTGCACTCCAGCCTGGGCGACAGAGCAAGACTCTGTCTCAGAAAAAAAAAAAAACAACTAGGTAGATGTTTAATCTAGATGATGGGTATGTGAAAAATTGTTAAATCATTCTCTCTACATTTCTTTTGATATTGGAAAGTTAAAATAATTAAACAATATAGAGAAGTATACACAATGAAGTCTTAACCTGTGAACTTTGTTTTTTTTCTTTTTTATTATTTCTGTTTTGCAGATGAGCCCTATGCACTTTGTTCCCTCGTAGATAACCATTTTTCTTAGTATCTCGCTTAACCCTTGCGTCTTTCATTTTTAGAGGTTCTAGTGTGTGTATGGGTGTGTTCTTATTCCCTTACACAAAGGATAACATAACACATACAGTCTGTTGTTCTACGTCTTAACTTTTTTCTCTTAATAATACATTCTGGAACTCTGCATATTTGTACATAGAGATTATCTTCAGTCTTTTTTATAACCTTAGAGTACTCCATTTTGTTGATGTGTGATGATGGCACAACAACATAATCTTGGATTGTGTCTAATCCTCTGTCTTTTCAAATCACCTGTAATAGATAACCTTGTAGACATGTCATTTAATACTTTTGTAGGTGCATCTGTGAAATGAAATCCTAGAAATGGGATTATATAGTCAAGGGACAGATACATCTGTCATTTTTAAAAGTTATTGACAAATTCTTCCTGTAGGGTTTATACCGTATTCTACTCATGCAAGCAGTATGTGAAAGTGCCTGTTTCCCTAGAACATCACCCATGGAATCTGTTGTCAAACTTTTGGATTTTTGCTGGTAGGTGAGAAATGGTATTTTGTTATAGCTTTAATTTATATTTCTGTTATTATAAGTAAGGTTGATCATATTTTCATGTATTTAAATGTCATTTTGTGTTTATTTTTATGTGGAGTGTGTTTTGAATTTCAGACATTTTCCCACTATGTTGTTGGTCTTTTTCTTCTTTATTCTGAAAGCTCTTTATGTATAGTCTTTGCTATGAGTTGCATTTTTTTTCCAGTTGATCATGCATGTTTTGGTTTACTTAGTGGTGGTGGTTTGCCCTTTGGAAGTCTCTTTCATTTTATGTAGTCAAATTTATTTTTTTTATGGCTTCTGTATTTTTAGTCAAAGTTGGAGAGGCTTTGCCTGTCTCATATTTTTCAGTTCCTTTGGGTACTTTTGTAATTTTACTTTTTTCTGTTTACATCTTGGTACGTTTGGTGTTTCTTCTAGAGCAGCAGTTCCTAGCCTTTTTGGCCCCAGGGACTGGTTTTGTGGAAGACAATTTTTCCATGGACTGGGGGTGGGGGTGGTTTCAGGATGAAACCATTCCACCTCAGATCATCAGGCATTAGTTAGATTCTCATAATGAGCGCACAATCTGGATCCCTCGCATGCGCAGTTCACAGTAGGGTTCATGCTTCTGTGAGAATCTGATGCCACTGCTGATCTGACAGGAGGCGGAGCTCAGCCGGTAATGCTCACTCACCTGCCACTCACCTCCTGCTGTGTGGCCTGGTTCCTAACAGGCCAGAACTGGTACTAGTCTGCGGCCGGGCCAGGGCGGGGTGGGGAGTGGTTGGGGACCCCTGTTTTAGAGTATGTTCTGAGGCTTGGATGCAACTTTATATTTTTTCAATACTCAATTGTCCCAACATTATTTGTTTAAAAGTTTATATTTTTCCCATAGTATCATAACCCCTACTTTATCATTTACTAAGTTCCTATAGGTCTGGGAGTCTATTTCTGGACTCTATGTTTTTCCATGGGTTGATCTGTTGTTAATGTTTGAAATTTATATCATCTTTTCATATCTGAAAAGACTAGTTCTCCCTCGTTGCTCTTCCCCTTCAGCCTTGTCCTGGCTATTCTCCATGTTTGTTATTCCATATGAACTTTAGACCCAACATTCTTGATTCCAGAAAAAAAGCCTGTTGGTATTTCCATTGGGATCACATTAAATTTATAAATTTCTTAGGAGGAATTAACATCTTTACAAGGTTGAGTCTTCCCGTCAAAGACAATGTTTTCTATGTGTTCTTTTTTTGTGTGTACTTTAGTAATGTATAAAAGTTTTCTGTATATAGGTTGTATACATGTCTTAAGTTAATCCTTGTAAATAATATCTTTCATTATCTCCTCTTGTTTGCATATGAGGACTATTTATTTCCACATGTATTTTTGACAGCTTTATTGAGATATAATTCATGTAATTTACCCATTCAAAGTGTATAGTTCAGTGGTTTTTAGGATATTCACAAATTGTGCAACCATCACTACTATCTAATTTTACAACATTTTTGTCACCCCAAAAAGAAACTCTGTACCCATTAGCAGTCATTCCCCCTTCTCAACCTCCCCCAGCCCCTGGAAACCACTAGTCAAATTTCTATTCAAGACGTTTTCTATAAATGGAATCATGCAATACATGGTCTTTTGCAGCTGGCTTCTTTCACTTAGCTTGTTATCAAGGTTCATCCATGTTGTCGCATGCCTTTTTTTAGGATAGCCATCCTTGTGAGTGTGAAGGGTACCACTGTGGCTCAGATTTGCTGATTTCTATATGTATTTAGTTCTCTTTTGTGAGATTTCATGAGTGCAGGAGGCTGGCTTTCAATTCCAGATCCCCAGTGCCTCCCAAAGTGTCTAGCAAATATTTGGTACTCAATAAATGCTTATTGAATGAATGCTTGGATTTAATATACTTCTAGGCCACCTCTACATTTTAAAGTTAAAATGTAGTTTGGCATATATAAATTAATTTTTATCTTTTCCTAGGTGAAACATAATTACAGGGTGAGTTTTTCCTCCGGGAAAGCCTGGTAAAAGCAGTTTTGACTGATATGTGGTTTGTGCTGGTCAATATTCCTTTTTCTTACATTAAAACGAATGATTGAGAGTTGCTGGTACATATGTCTAAGTGTCTGTGTCTCATCTTTTCAGGAGGATGATTTTTAGCTCTAGATTCTAATTGTTATTGAAAACTACTTAGTAATATGTATAAGATAGAGGTGAGAAATTAGGTAAAGTTCTGGGCCTGGGAAAAGGGAGTTTTGAATGAGATGGATCAGTTCATATGTATTTTACAAGTTCTAGGTTTACCAAGGGCTGTGTTCCAGAACCTCTTTTGTAAGCTAGTTGTGTGGACACATCACAGTTAACAATAAAGTGCTATCAGCTAAGATTTGGGTCTCAAGCTTGCCTTAAAGGAGATATGGGAGAGTATAGTTGATGCATGCGTGAGAGCAGGCGGTGTGTATGGGAACTCCCTGTACCTTCCACTCAATTTTGTTGTGAGACTAAAACTGCTCTACAAAAATAAAGTCTGACTGGATGCGGTGGCTCATGCTTGTAATCCCAGCACCTTGGGAGGCTGAGGCAGGTGGATCACCTGAAGTCAGGAGTTTGAGACCAGCCTGACCAATATGGTGAAACCCCATCTCTACTAAAAGTACAAAAATTAGCCAGGCATGGTGGCATGCGCCTGTAGTCCCAGCTGCTTGGAAGGCTGAGACAGGAGAGTTGCTTGAACCCGGGAGGCAGAGGTTGCAGTGAGCCAAGATTGCACCACTGCACTCCAGCCTGGGTGACAGAGCGAGACTCCGTCTCAAAAAAACAAACAAACAAACAAACAAAAACTAAATAAAGTCTAGTAATTTTTAAAAAGAGTGAGAGAGAACACAGCTGAAATACATATACTTTTTAGGAAAAGGGAAATAATTAAATATCAGAAAAATAATATTGAAGAAGAAATATTTCTCTTTAATGTCAGTGTTTGAAGAAAGGTATTTTAATTAAATCAGATCGTGTGTGTTTGCAGGAGACTTTTGGACACTATCCAAGGATTTTGAGATTGACAATATTGGATTTTTATATTGCCCCAATTTTCTTTCAAAATATGTGACTGTTAAGATTATTATTACCCTTATATTATTAGACGTGTTTGGGTTGGGGATAGGAAAAAGACAGAGGGAGATTGATTGGTTGACTGATTCATTCGTTCATTGGTTAAATGGGACAGACTGATTTCTCTAACTGTCTGAGCCTGAGAGATGGGGAAGGTAGAACATGGCTCAGAAGAATATGCATTTCCTGTAAGAAAACATTTGTCTGAAAGGAATTATAATAATTGAGAATTAAGCTGTATGATACAGAAGCAGTATCTGAAGGGCAGATGGATAATAGAAGGTAGCTGTGGTGCAACTCGAATCAATGGCTGGAAAGCCACAGGAGGCAGATTCCCACCAGGCCCTAAGGAAGGACACCGTACCGAAGCCCTCCACATGTGGACATCCATGGGGCCTGCGATTTCTCTGGTACTGGAGGTATTCCAGATGAGTGCCTTGTGAAGGGACTGCCGGAGACTGGCATCCAACAGAACATGGATGTGGGACCAGAGCATCTTTAAGGCTTCTTCTCAGAGAGGCTGGTAGTTCTGAGCGTGTTTACAGTTCCATTGAGGGAGAAAAAAGGAAGAAGCAGGGAAAAAGAGTTAGGTGGGGATTTTCCCCGTCAGCTCAGGAGACCTTGTTTCTCTTCAGAGAGAGTAGGATGGTAGAAAACAAATTGTTTTTTGTTTCATGGTCTGTTTATTAGTAGATTATTGGTTAAGATGCTTTTAGCTTCAAGGGACAGAAACCAACACAAAGTGTATAAACAAAAGGGAAAACTGACTGACTGGTTAACAAGAAGTTCTGAGGTCATCAGCTCCAGGGTTGGTTGTAAAAAACTGATGTTCTTTCTGTATTTCTGCCCCATGGTTTGTGGTATGTCGGTCTGATGGCTGCCACAGTTCTAGGCATCACATCCAACTCAACAGTGTCCATGGGAAAAAGAGCATCTCTTTAAAGCAAGAAAACCTTTTCCAGAAGCTTCCTGCAGACCTCCCTTCACACCTCGTTGACCAGGCTGATGGTGTGTGCCAGTGCCTAAGTCAAGTCATTGACAACAGGAAGAAGATGAGCCCTGGCTGAGTTAAACTGACCAGGATGTGCATCCCCCCCATGCTGGAAGTGAGGCCGTCTTCCCTGAGAGTCAGTATCCGAACAGAAAGATCACCCAATGCATGTTGTTTTTAAAGTACTTATGGAGATCTCTGTGCCGTGGTGGTATCATCCGTATGAACCATCCAGGCTGTAGTCAGAGAATCAGAGACTCGCTGTGTGATCTCCAAGAAGCCGTATCACCTGTGTCCTCCATAGCAAGAGAACGTATTGGAAGCCCCTCCTAGCTTTCGAATTCCATCATCGTCTCTCCTTCTCTCCCCTTCAGCTCCCCTCCCACTGCCCACGGAGGCTGCTGTGTGACAGAGGAAGTTTCTTATCAAGTCCTCAGTGATCTATGTAAAGAAGAGATGGTGTTTTCTCAGGCTCTTAGCACTTTGTTCTGTTGGTTTCACAAACTAATTATTGTTCAGAATTTAATTTTTAGAAAATTTTAATGACTTTTGTAAGAGGTTTAGTTAACATACTGCACACACACACTCTCTGTCTCTCTCACACACTTAGCTTTTCTATGTGTATATACATGTACATGTATCTATATTCTAACCTGGCTTTGGTGGAACCAGCTTTCTTGCTCTGTGCACAGACATCTTCCTGCTGCTCGTTTCAGCCCTGATGTGGTGGAATGTGTCTGAAGCATGCGTTTCTAGGTCTTTTCCTTATGGCCTCCACAAAGTGGTCTTGATGGCCCTCAGTTCTGTTCAGCAGTAATGCAAAGTGAAGATGTTTCTCTGACTCAAAAGTGAGATGACATTAATTGAGCGCCTACCATTTGTGCTCCTTCTATCGGAGACTTAGATACGATATTTATGCTTAAAATGGCTCTGAAATTAAAGGGCAAGGCCTGAGGTGCAGTATCTCCTCTTTCTAGCCCTCCCATTCAGGCCTGTTTAGCTACTTTCTCCCCACTTCCAAAGGGTGTCTCTTGGAAAGAAGCAGGACTGTCCCCTAAATTGGAGCAGATAGCAGCCTGGGGCCTCGAGCCCCCGCTTCCCTTTGTGTTGTGCACTGGCTCCAGCGTGGCGCCCGTCTTTGAAGTCAGGTGGAAGCCCCACAGGCAGGGCTGCTGCCCTCCTGCTCTCTGGCCATTCAGCACAACCTTTAGTCTAGGAAAAGTGCCAGTCTTCATTTCCAAGTATCATATCTCCCTAAATGGGGCAATCTGCTTTAAATGCCTTCTCCACTGGCGCCTTCCCCATCTCACAATTGGCATAATTAAAGGGAAAGGCTCACCTCCTTTGCTGCCTATGTGTACTGGGTCAGGGCGTTGGCTGGGGGCCGCTGGTGTGTATGCACGCCTGCCCTCGCAGAGACGCTCCCTTGGCCCTCCAGCCCTTGAGTGATCATTTTCAGAAGTGTTCAGAGCCACTCTGCAAGCATACACTTTACCTTTGCATTTTCCCTACTGTGCTCAACTCAATAACAGGCAAGCTGGTTACTATGATCCATGAAGCTTTTTGTATCTTGCTGGAAAAAAATGCACTCTGAGCTGAAAGATAATCTCCCTCGATGGTTCCAAGTCAGAATTTGCTTTATGACTCATGACATTTGGTGTCTTTCTCCATGAAGATTTCCCCCTTCTCCTCGTCCACTCCCAGCTTCAGATGTGTGCGATGGTGTGGTTCATCCTTAGAGAGTCACTGCTGGTCCCAAGGAATGGTGTGACATGTAGGAAGGCTCCCGTGGTTGCTGGTCCCCTCTGATCTCCAGTTCAGCTGCCACGCCAGCACCCTCGATTAAGCTCCTTTGGAACCTGGGTTTTTATTACCTGCCACTCAGCTTAAAGCAGAGGCCTCTCAGAGGGCATGCCTGGTAATGCAGCTGCCCTCTGTTCTGCGGAGGCAGCCTCAGTCTCCATCACCTCCCTCTCAGAAGTCAGTCTCTCAGCAGCACTGGGGGGCCCACTGTGTGCAAAGCCCTGTGCCCACTGGTTCAGCCAAGAATGGAATAGAAAACAACCATGCCCATCTGACTACTGTAAAGAGGGACAGGAGAACCTTGGGACAGAGGCATACCTGTGCTTGCCCAAGCCTACCTAGACCACCCTCTTGTGGGATGTGCACTGGGAATTGATTTCCCAGTGGTGGGGACAAACTTGTGCTCATTTCTGCCTCGTTTGTCACCTAGATTCTCTTTACGATGACATCTAATGTGCAGAAGTCCAGCCCGTAGCAGCAGCATTTGACTAATGTGGGAAGTTCAGGAATTTTGAGCCTGGAAAGTCCTGGGAAGGAAAATCCCTCATGCTTCAGCAGGGCTGTGTGGCCGGTTCTCCATGTGCTTCAGCAGAGTTTTCTTTCTCTTTTTCTTTTTTTTTTTTTTTTCAGCTGTGAAAAAAGCAGTGCCAGCTGTTTGGTAAAATATGGGTCAGTGAGAAATAGGATTTGCTTTATAGAAGTTAACTTTGGAGAATCGTGTCCTCAAAAAGAAAAGAAGTCTAAAGATAGGAGGACTGAGGGAATCCTGGGTGTGGTGATCCTAACCCCATAAGTTAGCTTGGGGTGCTTTCAGGAAGATTTTGGTTTCCAGCAGTTCAGAAGGGAGGTGGGCATGATTTGGTGCAGAAGGGGGAGAGGTGAGGGAGAAAATCACATGCAGACACGTTGAGTAGTGATAAACCACGAGACAGACTCTGCACGGCCGGACAGAGGGCATCTTATTAGAGTGGAAAAGAATAGTATTTTATTTTGCTGTGAACAAGATAGTTTGGGGAGTGGAGAAGAGCTCCCAGGGTGGGCGATGACAGGTGTCTGGGGGACACTGGAGCCAGTGGATGCAGCAAACAGCTTGGACTTCAGTCCCTTTTCTAGCAAAGGAGCTGCCCCTGTGGGGTGGGGGGCTGAGGAGGTTGGAGACCATTTGAAATAGCTTCTGAGCATGTGTGTGCACACAGGCACATGCATGGCTGGTGTCTCTTAGAGAAAAGGTATTTAGAGAAAAGCAAGGTTGTGAGTGGCCTGAGAGCAGTTACAATTGATTTTGAATATGGAAGCAATTCTACCTAATCCAGAGAATATACAAAGTATACTTTGGAAAGGGGCAGTAAACTTTTCTGGTTGGCCTGCCTTCCTCCCTCCTTTTCTTCTTCCCTTTCTCTCTTCTTCCCTTCCTCCCATCCTTCCTTCCTTCTGTGATCTTTGTGGGAGAGCAAGAGCTATTTGTATGTAGTGATTATAAATTTGGTACTTACATAGAATTTCTCAACATGTTTCTCAGAGATTAACATGATCCCTGGGAGAATCTGGAAGGTCTATCTTTGGGGTGTCTTCTGAAGAAGATTGTGATTCTTATGGCATCTGCCTTCTCAAGCCCTTAGTCATTAATTATTTACTCTCATATCTCTCAATGCATGCAGTTTAGTGCCTAGCACTAAGTGATGGTTTGTGTGCATGGTTGGCCCAGCAGAAATATGTTTGTCCATCCATCCATCCATCCATCCATCCATCCATCCATCCATCTATCCATCCAACCATCCATCCATCCATCCCTCCCTCCCTCCCTCCCTCCCTCCCTCCAAATCATTCATCAAATAAGGGAACCTTCCCCAAAGGTCCCAGCTGTTCTCTCTCCCCTTCTTATAGGCTATAACTGGGTAACATGCCTAGCCCAGATCATTCACTCCCAGGCACAGCAAACAATTAGCTTAGACTAGCCAGGATTGGTTCTTGAGTCACACAAAGGGGAGGTGGAAGGTGGTTGGAGGTGGTGGTGGGGAGAGTGACATCTAAACTAAATCCTGTCTCTCCAGAAGAGAAAGAGGGAATGGCTATTAGGAAGGCAACTTACAGTGTCTGCTTCAACATGTTCATTTTTTTTTAAATGTTTCACTCTGATTGTAGTGTTTTTTAACTATACTATTCTCTAAATTTGGCTGTGTTTACTATGGTAATTATTTTAATTAAGTTCTATTTGATTATTTGTAATTCACCTTGTTTTACAACTTTTGATTGATTTTATAGTATAAATACGTATACTGCAATAAACCATATGATACATAAAAGAATTTAGGACAGGATCAGGATAAATACAAATAAATATAGAAGTTCAAAGTTAGGAAGAAAAAGAATTACAGATATGCAGACAATAAGTCCCTTACATTGCTACTTAGCTGAGCTTCATAACATCAAAGAGAAAAGGCAAATGTGGTCGCTGCGGTCATTCTTGCTGTCAGAGAAGGAAGGTGCACCAGGTCCTCAAGAGGAGCAAAGATTTTTTTAGTTCTTTTCAACTAAATTTTGCATGTGGACTTTTATCTAGGAAGCACTGAGAGGTATCATGAACAGGGTGTTTGGCATCCCCACAACAGATGAAAAACTGGGTTCTTACAGCTCTTCTCACAGCAGTCCTCATTGGAAGCTCAAGGCCTAACATGAAAATGCAACTCAGCAAATGTTATTCCCTGGAAGGCCAAAATAACAGGTCTGAGTACTTCTTCTTATCCTTCTACTGGTTTGATGCAACACAAAGACCCAAAACACTCAGCAGAACTGCCAGTCTACGTGCCTATCAGACAACCTTCAAGACTATTACTTTTTTTTAACTGGCGTGTTCACGCATGTGTGTGCCTATGTGTGTAAATATATCTGTATATTTATGAATAGATGTATACATCCAAAATACTATATATATAGGAAGAGATCATTTGAGGGTAGATTCCATTGCCCACCATGCTGTATTCTAGCTCATCAATTGAGGCTTTAGGAATCGACCTGGTAAGGTTGACATCTGTGGAAATTAAGGCCTCTATTTAAAATGCTCACAGAGGAGAGTTCTATTTTTGTAAATAGGATAATTGGGTGGAAAACTGTGCTAATGTCTGTCTTTATTTAACCACTCCAAGGGACAAAGCCTAACTGCTAAAACCATGAGGCCATAACCAAGACACCACCATTTACCCAGGGACACCGTCATCTTTATACTGCAATTTTAAAAGAGTATGGAGGTCAGAAGCCAGACAGTTGGTTTCTGTATTAATGTCTCCAGGGGATGAACAGAGGGTGAGAAGGAGCAGATAGACAGAGGCAGGTCTGGACGGGAGGTTGGAGAGCGGTCAGCGATGTTCTCCCAGCTGTCAGGAATGTTATGTGGGAAGAGGTTAGGGAAGAGAGTTAGGGGAAATATCAAATGAGGGAATGACTGTGTCCTGGCAGAGGTGTTATTTCCTCTAAACCACTTTTGATGATCTTCTGTCCTTGTGAAGATGTTGGGAGTGGACAGTGCCAGGACAGTATGAACTGTTGTGCGGCGTGGCGGATACCAGAGGAGGGTGCAGGGAACAAGCATTTATAGAGCCTGCCACTATTTCACCTGCTGACCTCCTTTGAGAGGCAGTATTAGGAAATGGTTAGAGTGCAGCTGTGTAATCAGAGGCTCTAAGCCCGAGTCTTCTCCCAGCAAACGAGGATAATAGCGGCGTCTTACCTCAGACCTGTTGGGAGCTGCCGTGAACACGTCATCCACGCCCAGTAAATGCTAGTTAACACAGTGATGGCCATCCAGAGAGCTTTCTTAGCCTGATGTGAAGTAGATCTCAGGCTCTGCATTTTCCAGCAGGGTAAACTGAGGCATAGAGAGACAAATTCACTTGTGCAAGATCTTTTATCTATTAAGTGTCAAAGCTAGGATTCAAGCCAGGTTTTCTAGCACTAAAGCTTATTGGTTTTTTCTGTTCCATGCTGCCTGAATTCATAGGTAATTCACCTGTGTCTTATAACCCAGACACGTGATGTGGGCCATGAACCACAGCACCTTTCTGGGTCCACTGTGCTGGTGGATAGCTTTCTGTTCATGACAATCACGTCTGATGAGCTTGGCAGTGATTTGTATGATGACAGTGACCGTCCAGCAGTATGTTAAGGAGTCTGGGTCAGGAGGGACTTTCTTCATTTGTTTTTGCCACATCACCCAGAGAACATCCCTGTAAAAGAAGGCGGTTTGATGAACTTGGAGGAACTCCCCAGCACTCTACTTGTGACCATGACAATTGTGACAGTTTTTCCTTCACACTGTATTCAAGGTCAGGTTTTTGTTCTTGGACCTTGTTAAATCGAGGATAGTGGGCTTGAATGACTTGGTGTATCATGGAAATAGCCTCATGTGGTGTTAGCTTCTGCCTGGGGTCACCAGCTGCTCCCACAAAGCTGAGTAGCCAGTAATTTCTTACAAATCTTTTCATATTAATAGAAAAATGGAAGGCAGATGGTGGGCCAGGAGGAGTGCTTTTTCTTTGAGGCTTTGAGGGCCTGTCAGGGGATGAATTTTGTGTCCCCCTCCCCACTCACATGTTGAAGTCCTAACCCCCAGTACTTCAGCATGTGACCTTATTTGGAAATAGGGTCATTGCAGATGTGGCTAGTTAAGATGAGGTCCCACTAAAGTAGGGTGGGCCCCTAGTCTAGTATGACTAGTGTCCTCATAGGAAGGGGAAATTCAGACACAGACACGCCCACAGGGACCATGGCTCATGAGCACGAAAGCAGAGACTGGGTTAATAGGCATAGAAGCCAAGGAACAGCAAAGATTGCCAGCGCCCACCGGAAACTAGGAGAGAGGCATGGAACACACCGTCCCTCACAGCCTCGGAGGGAGCCGGCCCTGTCGACACCGTGATCTTGAACTTCTGGCCTCCAGAACTGTGAGATAATAAATTGTGTTGATTATGCCCCCCAGCTTGTGGTGCTGTGTTATACTAGGCCAAATAAAGTAACGTAGGGCCCATGGAAAAACAGTGACTTACAAATTCCAGAAGAAAAGCTAGAGCCCCTCCTATGCTTTGGTTAAAGTTTCCATCGGAGCGTGGGAGTCTGGATGTAGGGCTGAGGGTTCCAAAAGTGTCATAGAAAGCAGAGAAGCGGCTCAGATGGGCAGACCAGCTTCCGAAGAACACGGGTGTTCTGTGAAGGTCATTGCGTGGAGGTGACCTTTTCCCTCACTGAGTTTTTTAGAGAAAGCAATTTTGTCCTTTCAGGTTGGAAAAATATTTTCTTCAAGACCACAAAGTGACAGTTAAAAAAAAAAATTGGCCACCTGCAAGTTTAAATGTCACCATCTAGAACAGCTCTGCCTGATAGAGCTTTCCGTACTGATGTCTCTCTCGGTCCACCCTCTCTCCCACAGTAGCTACTTGCCACGTGACCAGTAAGCACTTGAAATGTGGCCAGTGGGGCCGAGGAACTCAATGTTTTATTTTAATTAATTTAAATTTAAATAGCCACTTGTGCCCGCTAGCTAATTCTATGTGTTGGTCAGTATGGCTCCAGATCACCAGAATAGTGGTGGGATGGGACCCAAGGGAAAAACCGGGGGTGCCTGGATATCCAGTGGAGGCCACAGGAGGGCTGGGGCTGATGGGTCACCCTGGCTTGGCTAGTGCCCTTGTGTGTGGTCTTGTCCTCAGCCACAGGGGCCTAGGTGGGAGTAAAAGTGAAGTAACACAGGCAGAATTTTCTGGATGCTTTACTAAAGAGATGCTTAATGTGAGGCTTTGTCTGCCGTTCCTTCTCTGATCCCAAAGTATCTTCGACTGGTTTAGTGCTCGATAGAGATGGGGTAGATTAAGATACTTGAAGAAAAGCCAGGAAGCTGGGTCTCTGGATATGGGCAGACCGAGATGTTTCTTTGCAGGTTTCAAGTGCCGGCCCTTGATGTACCCAGAGGGGCCGCTAGTCCCAACGCTAGGAAGGTGGGAACGTCCAGATGCAGACCACCTTCTCCGAAGCTAGGAGGGTTTCCCCTGAGTCTGTCATACTAGACTTATTGATTGCAGATGCCTGTCAAAAGCTACTGAGGCTCAGCCACCTCTGCGTTCTTCACAGTTGCCACCCTGCCTCCAGCCCCTGAATTGATGGCTGCTGCAGGGAGTGTGACCAGAGGATGCCGTTTGGAGAGTAGTCACATGGGACATCTCAGAATCTGAGATGGAACCCCAACTGGGCAGTATTTGGTGCAGTTTCACACCGAAAAGGGGTCCCTGTGACTGATTTGGCCAGCCCTGGACAAATGAGTGTTGTCATTGTATCACCAGCGGCTTTGGCTCAGTGCGTGGTATAATTTAAAAATTGCCTCTTTTTCTAGCTCTACTTAGTTATCATTCTGATTTCAGAAAGAAACAAATGGTTCACCAAGTCTTATAATATCTCTAACCCCGAGACAAGCGAGGGGTGTGAGGCAGAGACACGCTATGTCAGGCTACAGCCTGCCTCTCCCCTGGCCCACGTCACCTTGGCCGACTGGACTCTGAACAGTGAAGGGATAGCCTAGAAGGAAGGAGCTGAGCCACCTGACTGAGTGGTGAGGTTGGTGGATGTGCAGATGGAATTCCTGGCATTGAATTGGAGGGCAGGAGTTTTAGTTTGAGTAGAGGTTAGGAAGATAAAAGAGGTGCGAGAAACCTGTTGTCAACCTCCAGCAGATTTGGTAGCTTGTGCCACATGTGCAGCATCATGCTTGGGGACTCAGGGGACATCAATAAGTAGTCAGTAGCTGATGCTTATATTGGTAGTGCCTACAGTGTGCCAAGCCCAGTTCTGAGCTTAATACTTTACATACATTAGCCACTTCAGCACAGTCGCTGTCTTTTCCAAGCACTCTTAAACTCATTGCAGGCAAGATTAAACCAAGCAACAAAAGACATCAAGCGATGCAGGGTAATACGTGATGAGCACTGTTAGGCCCAAAGAGAAAACCCTGAGGTCCCCAGTGACAAGGGATGCATCATTTGATCTGGGGTTTGAAGGATGGTCTTGATTTGGAAAGGTGGCTAGGGAGCAAGCTCGAGGTTGCCCCACACAGGGGTGCACAAGGCCCGGCTGGGGGACAGTGGGTGTCTCACTTGGGCTGACTGGAACAAGTTCCAGGTCACAGGTTTTTTTATTTGAATGTAATTATTTGACTGTAGTAGCCATCAGCAGATGGAGAGTTCAGAGGGACTGCACTGAAATAATGAATAATTTGCAGATGCAGTTGGTAGCCCTGGTGTCTTGGTGTGCCTTTCTGTTCCAGCAGGATGCGTGCAAAGAGTGGCTCACAGCCCCATCTGCTCTGCTCCTCCTGGCTCGAGCTTTGCTTTAATAACCTCTCTGTCACCTATTTACACGAGGTCATCCAGCTCCTCTTTTTCTCCTTTTCTGTGTTGAAATAATCGTGGCTGCTACTTGCTGTGAAAGACTTAACTAGTAGTGGGTAGGATTGACCTCTCAATTCAGTAAACATTTACTGAGTCCCCAGGACAATGCTTGCAGTGAGCATGCAGAGGAGGAGGTGATTCCAGCCGGCAAGTGGAGGCAGAGCTCGAGCCAGCAGGCCTGGCCACTGCCTGGAAGTTGGGGGGTGAGGGGGGTGTGGAAGGTGAGCCAGGGTGCTTAGCCTCAGCCACTGGGGAATGCGAATGATAGTCCTGGGGGAAAGAGAAAACAAGAGGAGGAACAGATTTGTGGGATGGAGAACAGTGGGGTAATGAGCTCCATTTGGGACATTTTAAGTTTGAGACAGGACATTCCCTGGAGACATTAAGCAGGCAATAAAAAGACCCCCAACTTAGAGTCCTCGAGGCCCTGCGGTTGCAGTGTGAAATAATCCGGCTTCAGCTTCCTTCCCTTTCCTTCTCAAGTGGTTCCCCATGGAGTCACTTTAGACTCGGGGGGAGGATAGTTGCTTCCTCAGTCTCCCTAGCCTTTATCCTCACACTTGAATGCTAAATCCAGAACTCCTCATTCCTGCTAAGTAGTTCAAAAGCTCCAAGGGATCCTTGGAACAGTCGCACCCTGGTGGGACTTTTCAGAGCACTCCTAGGGTTAGAAGAGAAATTTCAGGGTAACCGCAGAATAATGTGAGCTATAACTGGCCCGAGTGATCTTCTAGCTGGGACCTGGATGTGAGGCTGGCATGTTTGAAGGTTGGTGAATGCCTGTTGACCTGCATGCCCCAACCGGGTGAACTCCTTCTACCTTTTGATTCCTAACTAATTGCAGTGAACAATACGCCAGCTTGTCTTCTGTAAAATGAGAGGGTGACTGTGCCCACCAGCCTTGCTGCTTTGGTTGGACAGGTCAGTACAGTGCCTTGAAACTCTACTTATTCATCTGTGAAATGAAGGGATTTGGCGAGATGCCGCTTAACGTGACTTCCAGCACTAGCATTTTATGTAGGTCAGTGATCCTTTGTCCAGGGAGTGATCTTTTTTCCAGAGGAACCGTTCTGCAGTTGCTGGTTAGCTTATCATCTTGGCAGGGAGCAGCGTGGTGAAGCGAGCAGAACGTGGCCTCCGGAGTCAGCAAACCTAGTTAAAATCCACTTGCCGTAAGTCCGTCACGTGGCTTCGCAGCGGGCCTCTTGGCAATTAGCTGCTTTTCACCAGTCCTCAAGTTTCCTCATCTGTAAAATGGGATGATGATATGTATTTCAGGTCCGGTGGGTGAGAATATGTATCAGGCATCTACTTTTGTGACTATTTTTAAAATGGCTTTATTGAGATATAACTCACATACCGGAAAGTTCACTTTTTTGAAGTGTACAGCTCATCAGCTTTTAGCCTGTTCACTAAGTTGTACATCAGGCACCACTGTCCAATTCCAGAACATTCCATCATCCCAAAAGGAAATCCCATTCCTGTTAACTCACTCCCTATTCGCTTCTCCTTCTAGCCCCTGGCAACCACTAATCTATTTTCTGTCTCTATGGGTTTGCCTGTCCTGGACATTTCATTGAAATGGAATCAGACAATGTGTGATCTTTTGTGTCTGGCTTCTTTTGCTTAGCATGATGTTTTTGAGGTTCATCCATGTTGTAGCAGGTATCGGTTCTTCATTGCTTTGTATTGCCAAATAGTGTTTCACGGTAGGAATATACCACATTTTGCTTATCTGTTAATCACTTGATGGACATGCAGGTGGTTTCCACTTTTTGGCTGTTATGAATAATCCTCCTGTGAACATTAGTGGACATGGTTTTGTGTAGACATATGTTTTCAGTTTTCTTGGTATCCCATTGTGTTTTTGATTTGCATTTCCCTAATAATTAATAATGATCATCCTGTGCATATTGACCATTTGTATGTCTTCTCTGGCTAAATGTATATTCAGTTCTTCATTCATTTAAAAAATTAGGTTGTGTTTTTATTATTGAGTTGTAAGAGTTCTTTATATACTCTGGATGTTGTACCTGGCTTTTAAATAGGCATACAATCAATGTTAGTTCCTCATTCCAGGTCTCTCGCAGAACCCTGTAGTCTTTTAGGTGACCTCTGGAACTAACTGCCCAGACACTTAATCCTCAGCATCCTGAGTCTTAAACCATCCCCTTATGTCTTGTTCAGAGCTCTTCTTAGCACAAAGCCCTGAGCCATTTTGATCCTGGAGCCCCAGTCTGGAACTTGGAACAGCAGGGGGATAGGTGGGGTCTAGAGATGGGCTCTGGCTGAATCCACAGGGCAGTGGCTACTACCAAGTCTCATTTTTTTCTAGATGGAGGACTTAGGGGGTAACTGCACTGATTTTTGGCTGCATGGAGTCCTCTGTCCTGTGCTATGGACACCTGCATGTTGGGGCTGGGGCCCACAAAGAGATATGTCTAAGGACACTGGCTTCTTTCCACTGCCACTGCCAAGATGAGCAGCGGATTTTCCAAGAGTGATCTGGCAGTTGTAAGTTGTATATAAAAATGTCCCAAGGAAAATCATGTGTCTGTTTTAAAGAGAAGGGAGTTTTCTAGGAAACCTTTGACCTGGACATTCTTCTCTATTCTGAGAACTGTACCCTGTGCCCCCAAGATGTGATCTGTACTTTGTTGCCCCTCTGCTTTTGTGCCCATCATCTTCTTCCTCTATTTCTCCTCCCTGATGTGTGCAGCCCTCCCTTTCAGCCAGTAGGGAAAGGGAAACCTGCAGGGTCCGGCAGGGTCCCCTGTTCCTCCCCAACAAAGCCTCTTAGGTTTTCTTTGGCTGGGGTCTCTTCCTGCACACCT
This sequence comes from Homo sapiens, assembly GCF_000001405.40. Taxonomy (NCBI): domain Eukaryota; kingdom Metazoa; phylum Chordata; class Mammalia; order Primates; family Hominidae; genus Homo; species Homo sapiens. The sequence goes on along the minus strand of NC_000007.14, from coordinate 139,743,090 downwards.
GGGGAAGAGGTGCCTGCAAAGCAGTGAAGGCCTTGGGAGTCCCACCTAGACTGTCCTCCAGAGAGCCATCTCCACTAGTTTGTGAAACTGCCATGCCACGTTTCTGTCCTAAAGACTTGGCCTTTCCTTAGACATGGATTTGATGGGTCCTGGACAGACGTTATTGATTGTTCCTCATAAGTCAGTCAAGACAGTTTATAGTCTCTGTTAATGCCCGGGAAATTTGTTTTGGAAGACAAAGCCAGCCCAATGGCATTTGGATGATGCTGACTTATTTTAAAGGGGAGAAGATACCCCTAGATGTGCAAGTCTTTTATAGGAACAGCTGTCTATGATGAGTCTTCATGCTCCTTTTGCTTCTCTGAACATTCTGGCATGCCCCTACCTAGCTGCTATTTTCTTGATTTCATAGAAAAGCACATTCTACCCTCAGAAAATCTGCTGTCCATTTGGAATGATAAGATAAATCAGAAAATTACCCATTGTTAGAGCTAAAAGATTCCTTGGGGATTATCCAATCCATTATTTTTCAATCTCCTATCCTGACAAAAAAGAGTAAGTGTTTTGTATGGAGAAAAAAAAAAGAAGTTTCCCTTTGGTAAATAAATTTGGGCTTCAGAGCATATTGTATATCCCTCTTGGAGATCCACGGTGTGCACTGCGATATTAAAGCCTCTGAGAAGTCCTGCAAAAAAGAAAACCGCTTTATTTGATTTAACCCAGCATTTCTTAAACTGTTTTGACCTCATTTTTTTCTTCTTTTTTCATAATAAATATTAGCACCTCACAGGACACTCAGCCCAGTTTGGTAAGCATGGCCTCCTTCATGGAAGAAGAAATCTGTGTTCAGAAATATTAAGTGACTTGCTCAAAATCAACACAAAGCCAGACTTGAAGCCAAATTTTCTAACTCCCACTCCATTGTTCTTTCTACAATTTATAACCATGTCGTGGCTGAGTAAGGGTTTATGACTTTTAAAGATGTTGTCATTTACATTCCTAATGGAAAATGTAAAGGCATTAGGGTCATACTGACATGTGTTTGAATTCAGGTCCTCTGATTTTACGAGCTCATGACCTTGGGGGAGCGAATCCTGCCAGTCTCTCTGGATCTCTTTCTTCTGTAAGGTGAGGATGATAATAATGACCTCCCAGGGTTGCCGTGAGGCTTAGATGAGAGAGTGTATGTAAAGATCAAGTTCACGTTCTTATCTTTGTTTTCTCTGACATTTTTCATCATACCAGGTTCTGTGCCACTTATCTATGATTTCAAAAGACGAACCATATTACAAACAACAAAACGTGAATGGTGGTGATCATACTGAGTATTTATTGAATAGTGACTGAGAAAATGAATGCACAGGAGACAGGAGGAGTTACCTGTGAAAATTCAGAGCTATACTGAACTGATCAACGTTCACGGAATTGGAGAAATAACAAAGGTGGGACAGGCTAGAGTGTGGAGATTAATGGGGGCTGAGGGAACAGGCTGTGCACTGGTAGGACATATTCAGGATCTCAAGCTACCTGCCTGCCACTTCTGCATCCCCACCGCGTCAAACTGTGGTTGAGCTTTCTTTATTAAATATGTAGCAGTTTGCTTTTGAAATACAATATCTTCAAAAACAAAAATAATGCCAGGCCTGCCAACAAAGTTTGTCCCGAGGGGGCAAAGGTGAAGGACAAGTGAAATGTTGCAAGAGGACAGGACGATACGAAGGATGGGGTCCAGAGTGAAAGAAGAGGCCTATGAGGCTCAGCACAGTGACTCTAAGATGAAACCGAGTGTCTCCCCAGGGCGCACACATGGATGAAAAGTGAAGGGAATGAAAGAGAGAGCCAGCCATTCCAGGACTTCTGCTCTTCTCTGCAGAAATCCTCCTTTCCTCACCAACTCTTCACCAACCCCCAAGCTTGCTTAACTAGCTTTGGAATTTGTACTTTGTATTTTTGAGATAGAGTCTCACCCAGGCTGGAGTGCAGTGGCGCGATCTCAGCTCACTGCAGCCTCTGCCTCCAGGGTTCAAGCAGTTCTCCTGCCTCAGCCTCCTGAGTAGCTGGGACGACAGGCACCTGCCACCATGTCCGGCTAATTTTCGTATTTTTAGTAGAGGTGGGGTTTCACCATGTTGGCCAGGCTGGTCTTGAACTCCTGACCTCAAGTGATCCGCCCATCTCAGCCTCTCAAAGTGCTGGGATTATAGGCATGAGCCACCGCGCCTGGCCGGAATTTGTACTTTTGCCTGGTAATTTAGTCCAGTGCCCAAACATGAAGTGTGAGTGTTTGTTTACTGCCAGCTTGGAGGGGACACATGCCTGATACTGACTCACCAGTTGCATTGGTGGTGGACTTGGCTCCTTCCCTGGGCTTCAGCCCATGTGTGCACCAGTCTGATCCCTTGCTCTGAAATATATTAGGACTAACAGGTGTGCAGGCCTCGAAGGACCCGTCTCTTTTGATATCTTCCTTGTCTAGTTGCTCTCTGATTTCTCATGGTCCTCACTCCCTCCGGGTCTTCTCCCTGCCAGTTTCTGAGCAGGCACTTTCCGGAGCACAGTGTGTGGATGACAGCAAATAAGTCCTCCGAGGCTTTGACCAGGAGCACAGACAGCTTTGCCCTGGTGAGGGACGGTAGAGAGAGCACCAGTTTGCGTCCTGCTGCAGCTGCACTTTGCACAGAGCGCCTCTTCATCTGGCAAGCAAGCATGCATTGTGCCAACCCTCGTCTGCCATGCCAGGTGCTGGCTCTTTCTCCGGGGCGATACCAGGCTAAGCATGCTGCTGGCACTGAGCGAGTCACAGCTTCTCTAATTTATTTACCTCAAATCAAACAAACCCTGACTCCTGCTTTGAATTTAGGCTGGTATTTTACCGAAGGACAGAAGGGCAGCATCTCTGCAGAAGGGCCTTCTGTGCGCTTTGCCTGGGACCTCTGGGGGACTTTGCATGACTCCTGGGGACTTCAGGAGGCCACTTTGGAAAACAAGTGTCAGGTCCTCAAAAGGTTAAACATAGAGTCGCCACCTGACCTGGCAGTTCCACTCCCAGGTATGTACCCGAGAGGAATAAAAACACGTGTCCACATGGTTGCATCGCAGCGAAAAGGAGAAGCAGCCCAAATGTCCATAAGCTGACAAGTGGATACACAAAGTGTGCAGTAATAGTCCACTGAATATTATTTGGCAATAAAAGGGAATGGAATGTTGATACATGCTACCACATGAGTAAACCTTGAAAATTTTATGTTAAGCAAAAGAAGCCAGATGGACATATACATATTGTGTGATACCATTTATATGAAATGTCTAGAACAGGCAAGTCCGCAGAGATAGAAAGTAGAGATTCATGGTTTCCAGGGGCTGTGGGAAGGGGGAATGGGGAGTGACTGCTAATGGGTATGGGGTTTCTGATAATCAGAGTGATGATAATATTTTGAAATTAGATAGCAGTGATGGTCACACAATTGTGTTCAAAACCACTGAACTATACCTTTTTTTTTTTTTTGGAGAGGGTCTCACTCTGTCACCCAGGCTGGAGTGCAGCAGTACAATCTTGGCTCACCGCAACCTCCGCCTCCAGGGTTCAAGCAATTCTCCTGCCTCAGCCTCCCGAGTAGCTGGGATTACAGGCATGTGCCACCACACCCTGCTATTTTTTGTATTTTTAGTAGAGATGAGGTTTTGTCATGTTGGCCAGGCTGGTCTTGAACTCCTGGCCTCATGTGATCTGCCCACCTCAGCCTCCCAAAATGCGGGATTACAGGCATGAGCCACTGCACCTGGCCTGAACTGTACATTTTTAAAATGTGAACTTTATGGTATGTGAGTTGTTATGTCCATAAAGCTGTTACTTTAAAAATTGCCCTGCTGGGGATGGTGGCATATACCTGTGGTCCCAGCAAATAGAGAGGCTAAGGCAAGGAGGATCATTTGATCCCAGGAGTTTGAGCCTGGACAACATAGTGAAACCCTGTTTCAAAAACAAAACTTGCCCGAAACTTACCTTTGTAGCCAAGTCCTTCATGGACAGGCTAGAGGTCAGATGGAAAGAAGTCAGAAAATTTATCTTGGGCGAGGGCATTTATTCTGCCACTGTGGGAGAAGCACTGTGCCATGGGTGTGGAGGAGCAGTGTTCAGAGAGGAGTGTCCTGTGGCCTCCACAATATTCATTCAAAATTTGCCAATGTCTTGGACATCCTGGGTTCCATTCCCTGCCCGGAAATGAGTTCCTCTTTTTGCCTGGTAGATTTCAGTGATTAATAAATAAATGTTCATCCTTATACATTTAAAAACATTTTATTTGGAAATAGTTTCCAAGTTACTAAAAAATTGCAAAAATAAAAATAGTACAAAGACTACCCCTATACCCAGATTCCCCTCCCCTATACCCCATATCCAGATTTTCCTGTTATCACTTCACCCCATTTGTTTTGTCATGCCCTTGAATGTGCTGTCTCTCACTGTTGCTCTTTTGGTTGTTGTGTGTGTGCCTGTGGTGTGTTTGTATATACAGACACACGAATGATCGTTATATGACTCGAGGGTAAGTTACAAATATCATGGTGCTTTATTCCGGCACCATCCAGAATGGTAGCTACTAGCCACAAGTAGCTATTTAAATTAAAACTAAACAAAACTTTACATTCAGTTCCTCAGTCACACCAGCCACATTTTCAAGGGCTGCATAGACACATGTGTGGCTGCATCAGACAATAGAGACTACAGAACCTCTTCAGCAGCACACAGAGCTCCTCTGGACAGCTCCGCGTTACCCCCGATGCTTCAGCGTGTGTTTCCCAAGAATAGGGCGCTCTCATACATGGTACAGAGATCAACTGAAGAGAATGTAACACTGATACAATATTTTTATCTGAGCCACTGTTTACATTCCAGTTTTGTCAGTTGACCCGGTGGAGTTCTCATTCCTTTTAGAATGGAGGTCTTGGGTCTTGTTTGTGAGCCCAGATCTGCTGGTCTGTACTCAGGGAACATGTATAAAACAGGACTGCTAAGTCTTGAATTGAGCCTGTGCCTTTCCTATGCCCTTTCTTTCCATAAACTCGAATCCTTTCTCTAACTCATGTGCAGATGGATCGGGTCTGGGCCCTGGAGCCCAGGTTGAATTTCCTTAGCTCAGAATTGTTTTAATGCTTTTGTCACTGGTTGAATAACTCAAGGTGCAGCTTCCTCCTGTGCTGACATTTGGTCTGTGAGCAGGTGTGGCTCTGCTCTTAAATCAGCAGAAAAGATTTCCTGTGAGTAAAAGGAAATTGGCCTTCCCAGCAACCGCACTGTTTTTCTTTTTTCTAATCACTTTCCCCAAATTTTAGCTTGCAACTAAGAAAAGGCTCATTTTGTTCTTTGTTTCTTATTTTATGGCTTAGTCGTGACCCTGTAGCTCTGAATCACTTCATGCGGCCCAGGACCAATGGGGCACTGGGGAGCTTCCGGCCCCAAACTCCTGGTGTAGCAGAGGCCGGATGTGCAGGGCCCTTGGCAGCTCATTTTCCTGCAGTCCAGGAGAAAGGTGGGCTTCTAGCGATTTTCAGCCATGGTTTGGGTGAAAAGCTGGGGTAATGAGCAAATTGCAGTGATTTTTATTCTTTCACTAACTGGTGTTAGAGCTTATCCTCCAGGGGATTTCTGGTGACTTAATGGGATTTCATGGCATGAGTAGGTATGGAAAACAGATTCCTGGGTCACTGACTTCACTTCCATAGACATTCCCCATCCCTTAATAATTCTTAGGATTTTGTGGGTGTAAAAGCTGGGAAACAAGAAATCAACGGGCTTATTATTCTTGTATCCTTTCCTATATTTCAAGTTGCCCCTTAGAATGTATCCTCATACGTCCTCCCACCTTTTTGTTTGGATTCAGCAAGTCTTAGAAGAGAAGAATCTTTAGCAAGGTAAGACCTCGGTAGGAATACTATATGAGCCATGTAGTTTGAGCCAGGATGGAAAAGGGAAATGAATTCATGCAGAGAGAGTGGAAATGGAGCTGATAGCTTCATTTTCTGCTTAACTAAAACGGAATGAAAAGGGCTTGGCTGGCAAGGTCAGGACCACAAGGCGAGCTGCTGAGAGCCGTATGGTGCAAGATGGCAACAGAGTTTCTACCCCTTGACCACCTTTTGAGAACTGACAGGGAAGACTCTTAGCGCTGGGCCTGTGTGGCTTGTTTGGAGGAGTAAATTGAGTATACTTGATGCTAGTGAAAGAACCAGAGAGCTTCCCTGCATCCAGCCGTTGGAAGGAAAACATACATTCGGACATTCTCTGTTAATATCTTATGCGTAACATGAGGCACCCTAGTTGGGTAAATGGCTTTGATTGGCCTTTGTGGTTCCGCAAGGGTTGCTGTGTTTTGTAGGATTGTAGTTCCTGTTGTACTCCATAGCTCCAGCGTAGGCATTAAGTTTTTATGTTATTCGATAGCATCCTCCCAGCTTCAACAAAGGGTATTGGCCCAGGACAGTAACTCCTAGGAGTGCCTGAGAGCTGATTTTGTTTCAGGTCAGCTCTGGCCTTGGAGATGCCCTCCCTGGGAATCAGGGCAGAGCAGAGGGCATCTGTGCCAGGAGGGTGTGCTCTCCGCGTCCTGCTGTGGGAGTTCCCTCAGGGAAGCACCTTGGCCACCCTGACACTGGTGTGTGCGAGCCCCTTCTGGAAACAGAGTTGCAGTGCCCTGGTGAATGCTTCTTCAGGGCATTGGCCCCTCTGTCTACCAGGTCATGCCTTCCTCTGCCACTTGAAGTCAGCAAGGACGCCAAAGGGGACCAGCCTTCCCTTCATTCTCCTGTCACCTGATCCTGTGGCTTCCACATTATCGTGGTTCCTTTCCTACCTGTCAGTGCCAGGGTCTTTGGGTCATCCCTCTAGTTTGTTGTCTGCACCTTCCCTGCAGGTTCCTATCGCCTCTCAGATGCGCCTTCATGGTGGGTGCCAAGCCCCTGGCCACATGCTTTCATTTCCCACTCAGAAGTGGTACCATTCCTCCCTCCCCTCTCAGCCACCTCCTGTGACTCCTCAACAGAACAAAATCGAAACTAGGCACCAAAGACCTGCCACGCTGACTCCAGCCTTTCCAGACCCTTTTGTCACTCACTGCAATGCAGAGCCCTCAACCACAGGCATGGTTTTATTCTTCCTGATGTTCCCTTAGATGGGTTTGGTCCTGTTTTATCTTATTTTCATATTGTGCTTTGTATTGTATCTGCACACTATCCCAGGTCCTGTAGGCAGTGGATGGCTTATGAATCTTAAATAAAAATGGGTCTCATCTGTCCCTGGAACCCAGTGCTCACTGGCCTCTGTGTTTCAGCTCACCCCTGGCTTCGCCTTGGGGTGCACTCTCGTGTGTAAAGGGGTCGCTGACTCTGAGAGCACTCCATCCACTCTCTGAAGCCTGCACCGTTCAATGGGCAACAGTTGCGACTTCCTTCTGTGGTCAGTTATCTCTTCTCCCCTTGGCCCATCTCGTCCTGTTGACCTGAAAAACAGGTAGCCCTTTCTTTCACAATGCCAGTGGTCACCTGCCACTCTTGGGGTGGTGCTTGGACATCGTAGGTGCTCAGCAGATATTCCTGGATGCTGCTCACTCTGTCCTCTACAGTCCTCAGCCTAGCAGATTTGGAAATTTGACTCCATAAATTTAAGGATTATTGGGTTCTAAAAGACTGGTTCATACTAACTAATTCTATAAAAGGCTGATGGATCAATCTGAATCATTTAAAGAGAGATAATCCTAGCATCCAGAGAAGCTAGGCCTACATATCAAGGTATTTTCTCCTTGGTCAGAAGGTCCTCTCTGGAATCCCAGTAAGAGATGAGAAAGTTGCTTATTTAGCACAGAATTTAAGCAAAAGGCTTAAGTCGTCATGTACTTCTAAATGTATTTATAAATCATGAAAACATTCTCTGCTCATGGGATACTTCTCTTAAAGAACCTGCATGGGATATCTAGAATCAAATATTCCCTTCCCCCCTCGACAGTGAAAAACCTATGACTTACTTCTAGACTTCACTAAGATTAGTGTCAATTATCTTTGTAACATCATCTCTCTTTATTTAGGTATGACATATCATAGTTATACCAAGTTGGTAGATATTCTCATTAATTACATTTTACGTCATTTTGGAGTCACAAATCATACGGCTTGTCAAATCCTGGTTTTGTAATTTTTGAGGGTTCCTTCATTTAGGATCTGCAGATCTCTATTTATAAATTAGTACAGCATAACACTCCTATGAGGGAAATGATAAATGTGTGTGCCTTGATTCTAGAAATCACAATCTAAAACACCATACAAGTTAGGAGTCCACAGTAGTGTGTATTTGGCCATTAATGAATCAGTGGTCCCCTGGGTGTGTGAGCCATGCTATTTTTAAAACCATTGCTGACTTCAGTGATAAAGAGAGTACAGAATGTGCCTTCCCAGGCTTGTGAGCTTACCATGAATAATACCCATGGTTATCATGATGTCAGAACTTAAATATTCTTTACCAAGAGCACAACCGTGGCGTCATGGAGCATGGGAATGCATTTAGGGGGCAGGGTGTGGAAAGTCCATTTTTCCCAGAGAAAACATCAGCCCAGGGTAAAAGCTGATTCTCCCATGGGGGCACTTAGGCCTGTATGCAGCAGTGCCAGACTCCTGTAGGGCATCTTCCAATTTTAGTCACCAGAGAGTGATTTGCGTCAAAGTTTGCAAACCAAACCAGAGCATTTGTCACTGAAGATCCCGTGCCTTCCACTTGTTCAGAAAAGTTATTAGGTGGGGGATTAGTACGTGCACACTTGAAATCACTAACACTGGTGGTGATGAGAGTAGTTTCATCATTTGACACATTGATCTCCTGAAGCATTCTCCTGGGGAATGGAAGTGATGCTAAAACATGGAAGAAAGGGACTGAACTATTTCGGAATTTTAACGTTGTCTTTAAAAACGTGTGCTCTGGTTTTGCTAGGTGAGCATGCTGTGCCTCACAATAGAATTACACTAAACCACGTTAATTGTGACTCATTAGGGATGGCAGCATTAACGAATATTCCAGCACTGGTTAGGATGGCCTAAGTTGTACAGCAGTAACAAACAACAGAGGTTTGCTTCACACTTGCGCCACATCTTGGGTCAGCTGGGGTCTCTGCTCTTTGTTACCCTCTTTCACTGACCAGGCAAAGGAGCTGCTCCTCCCCAGACCATGGTTGGTTACCGTAATATAAGGGAAAGAGGAGTCACACACTGGCCGGAAAGGCTTTTGCCTGAGAATGCTACTTCTTGCGTACTTCTTATTGTCCAAGGTGGATCATTTGGCCAAGACTAATTCTAAGTTACATGGCTTAGCTTACCTGAATTACAGCACAGCTTTTCAAAGTAATGGGTGCAAGACAACGTATTAGGATACAGAAGAAAATTTGAATATGTATATTTTATCTCACTTTATCCTTTAAATTTTTCTATATTTGTGTTTTTGGTTAACAATACTGTATTGGAAAGTAAAACATAGATTATTTTTAATTATAAAAATCACATATATCAGGAGTGTTCTCTTTTCCCCTGATTAAGTGCTTAATCAAAAAAGTTGAGATCATTGTTTATACAGTAGATACAAATCTGCAATAAGCATATTGTACATAGAAACTGGGTCTCAGTTATGACCAAGGATAGTGCTTTTGGTTAAAATGTTACATGGAAAAGAGATGCAGAAGCTTTGAAAGTAAATTCTATTCTGTGTTAGCTAGGCCTCTGGGAGCTAGCTGACCACCCTCCCCTCAGTTTTCACTAAACGCTTGTTTAGGACTGTATTAGTCCATTCTTGCATTGCTATAAAGAAATACCTGAGTCTGGGTAATTTATAAAGAAAAGAGGTTTAATTGGCTTCTGGTTCTGCAGGCTGTACAAGAAGCATGATGCTAGCATCTGCTCAGTTTCTGGGGAGGCCTCAGGAAACTTACAGTCATGGTGGAAGGTGAAGGAGGAGCCAGCCTTTCACATGGCCAGAGCAGGAGCAAGAGAGAGTGAGGGGGGAGGTGCCACACACTTTTAAGCCACCAGATCTCACAAGAAAACTCACTCCCGTTGCAAGGACAGTACCAAGATGAATGGTGCTAAACCATTCTTGAGAAACCACCCGCATGATCCAGTCACCTCCCACCAGGCCCCACCTCCAACACTGGGGATTACAATTTAAGATTTGGGTGGGGACACTGATCCAAACCATATCAGGGACTCACTATTTTATACACACACACACACACACACACACATATATATATAATATGTTATATATATTATATGTTATATAATGTCATATATAATATATGTTATATATAGTTATATATATATATGTTCATTTACTCCTCACAAGGACCCTATGAAATATGATTACTGTCTCCACTTTAGAGATGAGGGGATTGAGGCAGAAAGGGGTTAAGTAACTTGCTGAGATCACAGAGCTAGAAAGGGCAGCACTGGCATCTGACCTAGTTGTTGAGAATGCAGAAACAATCTGAAAATTAGCTCTTGGAATACAGACCCCTATGAAGATAGGGATGGCCTACATCACCAAATGCCATCCTGTCTGTTTTAAAGCAAGACATAGGAGAGCTATCAGACATCTTAGATGTACGTGGGGAAGGCGCCCCGCTACAAGAACCAGTATTATCTGAGTGGGCACCTCCTCCCAGCACTGGGTGTAAGTGGCTCCGTGCCATGGAGTTGTTGGGTAATAACGCCAGGACTGGCTTGATGACAGTGACTCACAGTAGAAAAATGTCCTTGCAACAGACCAAAGAACCCACTTTAATTTGCACAGCTTAGAATGGGCCACTGGTTGCCCTGCCAAGGGATCCCTGTACCAGCTGATTTTCATATCCACAAACACACACACAAAAGCACCTATTTAAATATTGCAAATAATACCACATTGCATTTTTATTATGCTTTATAGTTTACAAAGCACATTACAATGCTACTTTATTATTCTTAGTGTGCTCCAATATAATTTCACTTGCCTTCTCTTTTCTCACCTTTTTCTCATCTTTAGTTTCTTTTTCCTTTTCCTCTCAGCATCCGTGCCAACTTTCCCCACACTCCAGCTTTCTTCCTTTCGTTTCTTCCTGCTCTTCCCTCTCCCTGCGAGTTGTGGAGGTGGTACCTTTCCCGAAGTGATCCCTAATTGAGTTTAGTCAGGTGTCAGTTAAAGGCAACTGAGGGGAATGAAACAATTCTCCAAGGAACAAAACAGTTGTAACATGGAGCTCCTGTTGTAAATAGCAGTTGCTATTTAAATCAAGTAAGAAGGATGGATTATTGTGCTTTAAGAAGGGGATGAAATGAATCCTGTATTTAAAGAGAGCCTGGGGGAAAGGGTTATCTGCATCTCACATCCCCGGCATCACTGTGTCTGCAAAACATCTTTCACAAAGTTTTCTTTGCAGTTAGAGAACAGCCTGTGAGAGAAATGCTCAAAGAAATACATAAACATGAGTACAAGGGGTGTGCAAACAGGTGTTGCACTGAGCGCAGAACCCATTTGGCGGCCCTTTGTCCTGGTTCCTTTGTATAACTCAGCAAGAAGTTGAGGTTTAGAAAAGGCAGGTTTGAGGAAGTGCCGTCTGTGGCCTCTTAACTGTGGACGTCACTGATGAGAACAGATCGAACTTTAGATGCCTTCCTTAGAAATTTTGTTGTTTTGAAGTCAAACCTCAATCACAATGAACAAATATATTTGCATAAGGAGAGGAGGTGTATAGTGCCCTGGCAGGAATTAAGACTAAAACGTGGGAGTAAAGCTGTAGATGCTTCTGTTGCTTTTTAACCAAGAGGCCACAGACACAGGCCGGGAGGCTGAGAGGGCAACCTGCCATTTGGCCAGCGTCACTTTGCGATTGTTATAAATACTTTATCATAGCTTGAGTACAGACATGCCTTTTCAATGAAATACATCCTGACTTATTTTGCAGAGGGTACTAGTTTCATAGGGTGACTGTAACAAATTAACACAAACTATTAATAGGTGGCCTAAAACAACAGAAATGTCTTCTCTCACAGTTTTGGAGGAGTTGGCAGGGCCACGTTCCCTCGAAGACTCCAGGTAAATCCCCTTCTTGCCTTCTCTCGGCTTCTGATGGCTCCCAACAATGCTGGGCATCCCTTGGGTTACAGCTGCATTGCTCCAGTCTCTGCCTCTGTCGATGTGTGGCCCGCACTCTGTGTGTATGTCTGTGTCTCCTCTTACAAGGACACCAGTCATATGGGATTACGGCTCACCTTAATGAATTTATTGTAACTTGATTACCTCTGAAAAGACCCCATTTCCAAAAAAGATCACATTCACAGGTACTGGGGGTTAGGACTTAACATATCTTTTGGGAGGACACATAGTAATAGAATCTACACAGTTTTTAGTTTAAATGAAAATTAGGGCCAGGTGCGATGGCTCATGCCTATAATCCTAGCACTTTGGGAAGCCAAGGCAGGTGGATCACCAGAGGTCAGGAGTTTGAGACCAGCCTGGCCAACATGGTGAAACCCCATCTCTACTAAAAATACAAAAATTAGCCGGGCATGTTGGCTCATGCCTGTAATCCCCACTACTCGGGAGGCTGAGGCAGGAGAATTGCTTGAACCTGGGAGGTGGAGGTTGCAGTGAGCCGAGATCTCACCACTGCACTCCAGCCTGGGCGACAGAGTGAGACTTTGTCTCCAAAAAAAAAAAAAGAGAGAAAAAATTGCAGTGACATGGTAACAAGAACACCAAAATGGGAAAGAATAGAGTAGATTTCCAGTTCTGATTCTGTGTGCCACAAACATTTCTGAAGTAGAACCTGAGGTAGCTCAAAAAGGCACCTCAGCTGTGGACTGGGCCGGAAATGGGTGTTTGGCTAGTAAAACGCATCATTTTACTTTACCAACATAGTACCAGACATTTAAGGCTAACAAATTCACTCTTGCTCAGAAGAGAAAAAGCCTACCAGATTTTTAGTCTTGATTTAGACTTTACCAAACATTTCTAAAGGATAGGAAAAGTCCATCTGAGGCTTACCTTCCGTTGCCAGGCACACACCTGGCCTCCTCAGTATCTGCTGCAGGTCTGGTTTACTTGTCTCTTGAGGTGGTCAGTGAGGATTTTGAACCAGTAGTGAATGGAGGGACATTGGTATGTCATGTTAGGAAGTGGCTGAAAAATTCAGGGAAGGTGCTTTCTTTCGTAAAGGTTTGTGATTCAAACACCTGAAAACTGGTACTGCTGAAACTTTAACCGTCCTTATTTAGAACATTTCAGGGACAAGGTAAGCAGCCTTCTAGATCTTTGAAAAAATGTGGATTTAAATGGAATTCCTCTGGGTTGAAACCAGAAGTACAGCTGATTTTGTTTTCATAGTTTGTGGGTGTTTGCCTTTTTCATCCCACCACGTTTATTTAAAAGGTTGTCTTCTTGAGATCCTCCATTGGAAAGAAAATGCAGTGTTGAAAAACAGAACAATGTGGATGGCAGGTGAGAGAGGGCACACGAGGAAGAACCAAGCCGGGGCTCCTCCTCGATGCTGAGGGGCATGAAGAGGGGTGGCCTGAACTTGGCCGCCCACTGCCAGCCACTCTTGAGGTGGCTTTTGGGGCCTACTTAGGTTCTGCCTCAGACACACACAGAATCAAAACTGGAAACCTAGTTTTTGTGTTATTAATAAGCCACTCCCAATTCTCTCTCTCTCTCTCTCTCTCTCTCTCTCTCTCTCTCTCTCTCTCTCTCTCTCTCTCTCAGAGACAGGGTCTACTCTGTCACCCAGGCTGGAATGCAGTGTTGCAATCACAGCTTGCTGCAACCTCTACCTCCCAGCTTCAAGTGATCCTCCCACCTCAGCCTCCCGAATAGCTGGGACTATGGGTGTGCACCACCACACCTGGCTAATTTTTTTTGTTTTTTGTAGAGACAGGATTTCACCATGTTGCCCAGGTTGGTCTTGAACTTCTGGGCTCAAGCAGTCCACCCATCGCGGCCTCCCAAAGCATTGGAATTACAGGTGTGAGCCACTGAACCTGGCTCCAATTCTCTTTTATACCAAAGTGACTACAGTTGCTCCTCAGTAGATTGAGAGATACATTCCTATATGGCCTTTTTCAGAAGCGTTGTAACATCAACTCATGCAGAGCTTAATTTAAAGTAGATAGTATGCTTTTACTTGTTTCCAGCTATGATATTAGACTAATTGAAATGAACTTATAGGTCCTTTAAGGTAAGATATAGAGAAAGCACAAAGTGAAATGTCTTATCTCCAAGAAGGGAAAACCGAAGAGACTTCTTTTGGAATATGGTAATTATTTAACCTGAGAAAATTATACTTTAGTAAAATGCTTTTGGTTTCCTTAAAACTATTGTTATGGGTTGAATTGTGTTTCCCCCCTGCCAAATTCATATCTTAAATTCCTAACCTTCCATATCTCAGAATGTGACTTTATTTGGAGGTAGGGACTTTATAGAAGGAATCAGGTTAAAGTGAGGTCATCAGGGTGGGCCCTAACCCAATACAACTGATGTCCTTATTAAAAGGGAAATTTGGACACAGATACACACAGAGGGAAGATGATGTGAAGAGACACACAGAGAAGACAGTCATCAGTGAGCCAAGGAGGGAGGCCTAGAACAGACCCTTCCCTTCCAGCCCTCAGAAGGAACCAGCCCTGCTGACACCTTGGTCTTGGACTCCAGCTTCTTGAACTGTGAGACAGCGTCTGCTGTTTAGGCTGCCCAGTCAGTGGTGCTTTGGTACCCCAACCCTGGCAGATTCATATGCTATGTTTAGAAAGTGGTGTTTTGTGTTTTTCTAAATAAGGTTCTTAACCCAGCCAGGCACAGTGGCTCACACCTGTAATCCCAGCACCTTGAGAGTGTGAGGCAGGAGGATCGCTTGAGCCCAGGAGTTCGAGACCAGCCTGGACAACATAGGGAGACCCCGTCTCTATAAAAAAATAAAAATAAATTAGGCAGGCATGATGGCGCACACCTGTAATCCCAGCTACTTGGGAGACTGAGGTGGGAGGATCTCTTGAGCCCAGAAAGTTGAGCCTACAATGAGCTATGATTGCACCACTCTACTCCAGCCTGGGTGACAGTGAGACCCTGTCTCAAAAAAAAAAAAAAAAAAAAAAAATTAGCCAATGCCACTCTTGTTTCAAAAAGGATTCTTTGAATTGTTTTATTTTCTTTTCATTGATCCCATCAGTTTCCTGGAGAAAGAAGCTGAAAAAGCGTTTGTGTCTTATCAGTGTTTGCTTCAGCACTGGATTGGATTGGGAATTTTCAGATTGCTTATGAGCTCTTGACACCATGTCCTGTAGATAAACAATTATGGGTTGTCTGTACTCACCCACTGCAGGGCAAGGCTGGCTCACCCACAGTGGTTGATGGCTTCATTCAAAGCAGTATAGCAGAGTTACCAAAAGGAGTTATTTGGGGCCAAGTTAGCAGCTTGCAGAAAGAGAATTAAGTCTGAACATGTAACTCTGACAAATAATGAGTCAATAAGTAGATAGATGTGTGGAGAATTTGCAAATGTTAGGAAAAGGATGTTTTCTCAATCAAAGAAACACAGCCTATGGTAGCATTTGCAGATTCAAGGCAGATGACATAAAAGATTTTGAACGTTCTTAAGAGAACCACATTTCTTGGAAGAGCAGGAGGCGTGACATGGTGCATTTGGTTCTCTTCCCAGGAGAGCACCCTTCTTTCCCTGCTCCTGACCCTGTGGGAAAAGAGGGCTATTGGCTCATTCCCAGCCAGGCTCTGCCACTCTTTCTCTGTTTTCATTCTCCTGGATCAATCCCTTAATTGTGTTTATCATCATTTCATCCTTGATGTTTCCCTGTGACTCATATTGTCCTCCTCATACTATTTGACAATGTCTCTGCCCCCGAGGATTACTTGATTTGCCATCTGCTCTACTTTCTACAGCATTTCTCCTGGGAAACAGCTTTACCCACGGGGACTCCATTTCCACCGAGGTGTTGATGACAGCCTTCAGGTCCACATCTCCACCCATGACCTTGCGCCCATTCCCTAACCTGGCTTTTT
Organism: Homo sapiens; assembly: GCF_000001405.40. Taxonomy (NCBI): domain Eukaryota; kingdom Metazoa; phylum Chordata; class Mammalia; order Primates; family Hominidae; genus Homo; species Homo sapiens. The sequence goes on along the minus strand of NC_000007.14, from coordinate 139,727,015 downwards.
TCTTGTTGCATATAGAACATTTCCTCTTTGTTGTTACTAATGCCTAAAACAAAATCTGCCCCAAACCAAGCCCTTCTAGCTGGCCTGTGCTCTTACCGTCAGCAGCACCATTCTCTTAGTCCCTTTGGGGCATGAACCTTTGATTTAGATCTTTTTCCCATTTGCTATTTCTCATTCTGGCCTTCTGGTCTTTTGGCTGTGTCCCTCTGTCTTTGGCCTTACCCATGAACTAGTTCAGGGTCACCTTGCTCTCTTCCCCTTCCAGTTAATCCCATGCAGGCCCAGCCCATCCTATTGATTTCCATTCCCTTTTCAAAGTGGGTGATCGTCATTCACAATTCAACCTAGCAAGTAGGAACTGGGTGCTGGTTAGGAAAGACCATTAGCTCCTGACACTTCAGTAAATTAAGCAATTTCTTGCCTCAGAGTTTCAGTATGAATAGCTGAACACTGGACATTTCAACGTAGATATCCCGTTAGTGCTCATAATTCAACATGTTGAAAACAGATTCTATTCTCCCCTCCCCCAACACTTCAACTCCACTTCCCATCTTCCTTCTCACTCGTGGAGCCCCACTCCTTCTGGCACCCCAAATGTGTTCTAGTCCCCTCTTTCCTTTGCTCTCACATCTCATCTGTCAGCATGTCTCACCTTTTCTCCTCTGCAGAGTTTTATATTTCTGCTGCTTCCTGTTTTCTCAGGCAGTTCCTTAGTCCGGGTCCCCCTTACCCCTCTGGACCAGCTTTCCCATTGGCTGAGCACTTGCCCAAGCTCCCTTAGCCCGGCTCTTCTTACTCAAGGCCACTTCTCTGCACTGACCCCCTATGCATCAGATAAGCAGTGGTTACCTCTTTAAATAGGTAAATGTATTTTATTTTAATCATTTCTTATGGTTATATTTCTCAGATGTCATAACCAGAAGACACAGAAATGAGAGATGACTCAGGGTCATTGTTGTTGACATCCACTATTTTATCAGGTGACGTATAGTCAGGTGCGTCCTGTAGTTTCAGTCTGTCTTCCTTCACTTATCAGCCCTCATTTTTCCTTTGGCTGGTGTGGGACTCATCTCGTTGTTTGGTGATTGTAGTCTGAGAACCTAAAGAATGAAGAAGTTTGGCTGGTGGCATGGATTTGGGAGTCAGGCAGACCTCAGTTCAAATCCCAGCCCTGCTAGCAGAGGCGAAGTGACTTTGGACAAATTATAGCTCCATTTACTCATCTCTAAAACAGGGAAACACTGTAGTTTTGTTGTATCGAGCAAACACCTGGAGTCTGACATATAGAGAGCAAAGGCAATCAGGACAGTCACCTACCACTTGTTGATGTGTTAGATGGCAGCCAGTGAGAGAGAAGGCGAAAGGAGAAATTAGATGAGCAGCTCTCATGGTTGGGCTTCCCCCCAGCTCTCTGAGTATTTAGAAATTACTTCTAGAAGATAGAAGTTATCAGAAGATGACAATTCTGGATAACTAGGTAGTTGTATACACAGTGCATACTGGTGGTTATTTATTGCTTTAGCATTTGTTATTGTATTGCCACTATGCAAACGCACCTCAGTTGTCTCCAAGCAAAGCCTGAGCTTTCTAGTACAGAGACCGCAGTGCTGGCCGCTCCCGCCATGAGTCTCACTCTCCTGATGGACTGAAGTACACTCTGTTTGCAGGATTTGGAGCACTAGCCTTCTGCCCCATCTTTCTAATTGCAGCTTGAGTCTTAGTTCTGCTGTGAAACTTTGCCTGACCACAATGCATAGTGACTCCTGCCTCTAAACTTCTAGTGTTTACTTTGGCAAGTTGTTTATGTTGCCTTAGAATTACCAGCTGTCCTTTTTAATTTGCATTGTACTTGGCAATCCCCATGAGATTCTAAGCTCCTTTAGGTCGGTGACGATGTCTTAGATGTCTTTGTGTTTCCTGTTGTGCTCAACCCTAATCTTTTTTTATGTAGAGGACCCTTAATACAGACTTGATGATTGATTTTATTTCATGTTTTTTGTTTTTTTCAAATGCCCAGTGCTGCAATCAGTAGTATTGTTATTGTCATTATTGACAAAAGAATTCTGTATGGCTGCATAGTATTCCATGGTGTATATGTGCCACATTTTCTTAATCCAGTCTATCATTGTTGGACATTTGGGTTGGTTCCAAGTCTTTGCTATTGTGAATAGTGCTGCAAGATGAAATTGGAAATCATCATTCTCAGTAGACTATCGCAAGGACAAAAAACCAAACACCGCATGTTCTCACTCATAGATGGGAATTGAACAGTGAGAACACATGGACACAGGAAGGGGAACATCACACTCTGGGGACTGTTGTGGGGTGGGGGGAGGGGGTAGGGATAGCATTAGGAGATATACCTAATGCTAAATGACGAGTTAATGGGTGCAGCACACCAGCATGGCACATGTATACATATGTAACTAACCTGCACATTGTGCACATGTACCCTAAAACTTAAAGTATAATAATAATAAAAAAAAAGAATTCTGTAGAGCTTGTGGTTGATCCTAAGCTGTGCTCTGGTGGAATATACTATATATTTAACATTGCACAACTAGTGGGTAAACAGACATTGATTGAAAATGGTATAAAAGCCCCAGGGACATTCAGTATACACTGTTTTGGAAATGTATCATTTAGAATGGGCTAACCTGAAATTATCTGTGTACTCCTTGTGAAATATAAACTTAATAAGCAGGATTATTAAAACTTTATGAATATTATTTAGTATGTCAATGAAGGAAACTTTCCAAGTACTTTTTGACCCCCTGAGGTATTAGATCACCATGTCATCCAGGGTTCTCAGGGGTTATACAGATTAACCCTTTCTAGGTGTTTAAAAATGTCCATTTAGATGCATATTTCCAACATTCATATATTTTTGACATATTCTATAATTTTGTTATGTCTTATGTGCATAATCTATATTAGACAGATATGGCATTTCATTAAATATGAGAATTAATCCTTCCTTTGAGTTCTTTATTATGAAAAAAAAAAAAAAAGATCTGTAGCATCTATTAAGTACTCATTATTCAGCCAGAGCTTGTGTCCAGAAGATTTTAGGAAGTAAGGAAGTTAGTACCTCTTAAAATCAGGTGTTCATGATTCCATTCTCTTGAATAATATAACTGGATTCTGAGCGGTAATCTGTTTTACATCTGCCAAACCCAAATTAAATATTACATACCGATAAAATTGGTGCCACTATTTTAGAGATCACCTCCCTGGGAATCAGGGCTTGAGCTTTGCTAGAATTCAGTGAAATTGAATTCAATTTATTTTTTTTTATTGTAGTTGAACCCTCACTCATCCTTGTAGTCTGATCTTCCAGTAGATAATTTATTTAGGGGTGGTGAAATGGAAAGGAAATGTTACTCAGATATGAAGCAACTTTTCAGTTCATCTAATTGTGAAATATAAAGTTATGAAGAAACTAAGTAAATAGTGGGGGGAAAATATGCTAAATGAGCCAGTCCCTTAACAAATGTCATTTTTTAAAAAACTGTGTGAGTTGGCTGGGTGCAGTGGCTCACGCCTGTAATCCCAGCACTTTGGGAAGCCGAGGCAGGTGGATCACCTGAGGTCAAGAGTTCGAGACCAGCCTGGCCAACATGCTGAAACCCCATCTCTACTAAAAATACAAATATTAGCTGGGCGTGGTGGCGCACGTCTATAATCCCAGCTACTTGGGAGGCTGAGGCAGGAGATTCGCTTGAACTCGAGAGGCAGAGGTTGTGGTGAGCCAAGATTGCAGCATTGCACTCCAGCCTGGGTGACAAGAGTGAAACTCTGTCTCAAAAAAAAAAAAAAAAGAAGAAAGAAAAAAACCGTAACTGTGTGAGTTAAGACTTCAAGAAATCATGAAGATTTTTAGATATTCTTATTATTACATTATTTGTAGCCCCAGACCAATGAATTTCTCATTAAACCATTAAGACAAAGAGAAACCAAAAGGTGCATAGAATTACATAGGTTTGAAGCCGGGCATGGTGTTATGCTCCTATAGTCCTAGCTACTTGGGAAGCTGAGGCAGGAGAATCATGTGAGCCCAGGAGTTCGAGGCTGCAATGAGCTATGATTGCACCACTGCACTCCAACCTGGGCAACAGAGAGTGAGATCCTGTCCCAAAAAAAAAAAAGAATTTAGATCTAGGTTTGAACTTCTGGGGTCAGGGTCTGATTTTTTTCACTTATCACAGAAGCTTAAACCCATCACATGACTTCCCAGTTTTCAAAGTAGGACCTTTGTGAGAATGAAAGTAGGGAGGGTGCTCTGAATAATTGAATTGGCCTAACAGGGTAAGCATACGTCCAACCGGCAGTAGGACGTATGCTTACCCTGTCCATAAAACATCTGTCCTGGAGCCTGCTGTGTACTTAGTACTCAAGATTTTAAAACCTGGAGACTCATAAGTGTTTTAAGAATCCTGAGGAATAGCAGATGAAGTCAAGTCTAGCATTTTATAGACATAAATGGCATCTATAATTAAGGCTAGAAGGCAGATGTTTTAAAAATAGTATTTTGAAATGCAGACTTGCATACATGCTTTTTATAAATGCAAAATGAGAATTTCAATAAAGTAACTAAAAGAAGGGTCAGAACCCTCATTGCCTTTAGCATATCAAAGTGCACCCTAAGTCTGGGTAACCTGGATTTGTTTCGGCATGAGAGACTTTGTCAGCTTTATGGTAATAAGGAATAATGTCTTACAAATAGTGGACTTTAATTCTTCTAACTATAGCATATATTTTAATGTCAGTTTTATAGGTGCTATTTTTCATTTGTCATATGCAATGAAGAGTTTATTATATATAGTTGTGTAATAGAAGTTGTTTTAAATTTTAATAAATTTGTTCTTCAGTGCTTTTTACTTATCACTTCTGTAGCAACCACATGAACTCGTGTCTGTGTAATTAACAAGCATGTAAGAACCCCATGCATATCTGAGATTCAGTGTTTATGACTTCAGCCTGTTTATGAGACAGAGTGGTATGGTAATAGGCATGCTACTTGTTAAAAGCTTTAGTTCTAGGTTATGGTGACTCCCTGTCCTTTAGTGAATGAAAATGTGGCCATTTTGACAGGTTTTATCTTGGGAGGCCACTAAGGCTTTTGTGGAAAAGTCTGGGTCAGGTCATTCCTGTAGGAGCAGGTGTGGTTATGGCAGATTTATCCTACCGTGACCTCCTGGGTTCCTCTTACTGCTCCCCATGGGCTCGAAACTTGCCCTCCCAAGTCCAGTAGTCCCCCTGGTCTCTCACCTAGAAGGAGTAAAATCCGCCTTCTCTTTCAAGAGCCAACTAGGAAGTGCAGAGATAACTTAAAAAGCAGTTGAGATTTTGCCATTGGATCAAACTGACAATGTGCATTAAGCCTCTGTTTTTCCTGAAAAGGATATTGACAAATGAGGCGGGAAGTAGCCTTGACTAGTCCAGAGGTCAATACAGAAAGAAATGAGAGGAGACATTTAGCTTTTACTTTCAAGTGGAAAAAAACATTGAGTCCCCCTCTGCACCCCCACTTTATTGTCCCTCACTTTAGGATCTGAATAAATAGAGAAGTAATACGTTGTGGGCTCAACTCTCTGAAAGCTAAACTAATAGGGAAGGTTTGTTCCAGAGAAATACTCTCAAGGAGAAATGTTTGGAAATAAGTGTGTTGCCATAAGATTATTTTAAGATTAAGCTACAAAACCACCAGCAGTGTCTTATTCCTTATGAAGGTATTTCAGGGATTTAAAAAAGTATTACTGTTAAAGACTTTAACTATATCTTGTTGGAGCATTTTGCTGCCTGAAGCAAAGTGGCCTCTGCTACAGAACAAAGGTAACACGTCTGCACTGAGCGTTGGGTCCAGTCATTGGAATAGCGGCTGTTGACTTCATAAAGGGGCAGCAGGGGCCACACCAGGCCAGGCCGGAGTCTGAGGCAGCCGGCTGTGGTGCAGGGTGTTTCCAGCCATGTAGGCCTCCTGTCTGATCCTGGGCATCTGTCATCAGAGGCAGCCAGTGATGATTTCCACAATTTTATGACCCTTGGCTGTCATCCCAATAACAAATAAGTCATAAGCCACCCTCTTCCCCTCTGTAAAATTCCACTTCTGCACCGTGGACGGCCTTTCCACCAAGATCTTTTTGAAACAGTGAAAACAGAGACTAGCACCTCACCTTCTTTATGTATGAACAGCGTATTTCTGCTGTCGCTCTCTCTGACCGCCCCCTTCCGGGTACTTAAAGACTGAAAAATAAGCAGCAGGCTTGACACGAAAGGATGAAGGAAATGGCTGTTTTGCTTTGACTCTTCAGTGGCTAAGTTACTGAAAGCCAAGTAATTGGTCATTTCTATATTGTATACAACATCTAGAACAATATGGATATTCACTTGATACTGATAAATAGGGAATAGCCATATTCTGTGTTGTTCTAGAATAAGGGGGATGTTGACTTAGAATAAGGGGGATGTTGACTTGAACAAAAAGAACAGTGGGAAGAAACGGGTGAAGTACGGATTCTGAATAAGCAAGCCAGAATAGTCTTGTCAGGCACGAGGATTCCTACAGACGTGCAGTCACAGTGCGTAGATGGAGGTCGGAGCTCAGGATTGAAGCAAGAAGGGAACACCCTCCAGCAGATCCATGGGCCCAGGGTGGAGGTGGGGCTCCAATCAGGTGCTGGATGTTAGCAGAACTGCCCCTAGGAAGTCAGAGCTGAAGTCAGATGGTACATATGGTAAGTGCTGTAGGAACAGTGAGTTGGGAATGATCACTGGGTTAGAGTGGTCTGGAAAGAGAAGGAATCTAAGCTGGCTGGTCTTTGGATAAGTTGAGAAAAGCAGCAAAGGCATGCCAGGTAAAGGAATAGTGTAAGAGTGTGAAGATAGGAAGTATAAGAGACATTCTAGAAACAGCGAATAGACCAGCTTCATTCAAGTTAAGGACCCAGGAAGGTTAGTAGAGCTGGAGCTAACAAGGTAGTTGGAATCAACATGTAAATGTATCGAGTTCTCAGCTTTATCTCCTTGACAGTAAGGAGCCAGTGGAAGTTTGGAGAGGGGAGTGGCATGCTCAGAGATGTTTTAGGAAGATTAATCTGGTAGCCAAATATAGGCAAATTAAAGGGAGACAGAGTGCTCAGGTAGATGAGATGTCTAGATTTGCTTTAGTCCTTCTAGAAAGTGATAAATACATTCACTGTGGAAGTGGCAGCAACAGCAGAAATAAAGAATTGGATGCAAGAGATGTTTTGAAGGAAGGAGAAATTAATAAGGCTTAGCACCTTCTTGTCTATGAATGTAAAGAAGAACCATCATAGTTCATAGTTTTGGAGCCAAGTGACTAGAACAGTCATGGAGATGTTAGGATAGAGGGTGAGATGGCTAGATTTTTAGGAAAAAATAAGGGGTTCAGCTTTGGAAGCGCATCTTTGACATTGTAGCAGGAGGCTGCAATATATCACTGTAACCTCTGAGGGAGAGCCCAGCCTGTGATAAACATGTGGGGGTCACCTACACAGAGGTGACGGCTTAAACTGCTTGAATGGATGATAGCTGCCAGAGAGAACAGAGTCAAAACGGTGGAAATGCCAACATTTGAAAGGAGGAAGAGGGCTGGGTGCGGTGGCTCACACCTGTAATACCAGCACTTTGGGAGGCTGAGGGGAGTGGATCACTTGAGATCAGGAGTTTGAGGCCAGCCTGGCCAACATGAAACCCCGTCTCTACTAAAAATATGAAAATTAGCTGGGCGTGGTGGCGCACACCTGTAGTCCCAGCTACTCAGGAGGCGGAGGTTGCAGTGAGCCGAGATAGCACCACTGCACTCCAGTCTGGGCGACAGAGCAAGACTCTGTCTCAAAAAATAATAATAATAAAATAAAGGAGGAAGAGGAACCACCCGAGCACACAGTGTGCAATCAGACACGGGATGGGGAGATTACAGATTCACTGAAGTCCAGAGAAGAGCATCAAGAAGGAAGTCGTGGTCAGCAGTATCAGATGTTGCAGAGGTTAAGAAGAACGGGCTGAAACAAGGCCATTGGATTAGGCAATTAGGAAGTCATTTACCTTCAAGAACAGGAGCCTATAGTGCATTAACGAGTTGGGGGAGATGGATTAAGATGTGGGCATTGAAGAAAAGGGAGCATAAACCATTGATCACAGGTGAGAGGAGGGAAAGAATTAAGAGGGGGGAATGCGGCTGTTACTCCTTTTGCCTTCCATGTTGGGAGTTTGTGTGTGCACGCACATGAAGGCAGAAGAAAAAGATGAGGTGACCGATTCATTTGGACAGCCATATTAAGTTCCTACTAAATACTTGGATCCAATTAAGTACAGGGAGAAATGGAAAGCTACAAGAGAAAGAACAGTGGTGGAAGCAGGTTCAAGAGAAAATGGGACAAATATGGATCATGAGAATCGGGAACTTTTTTAGTATTGGAAAAGAGCAACACCTCTTTCTCTCAGACTGGAGAGAAGGAATGAAGGATGGAGGATGATGTAGATTCAGGAATGTTCTGAAATGAAGAAGGAAATAAAGGAGGAAAGTAAGGCTGACCTCAGGCTTCTGGACAAAGTGGAAGTTGGGTCATCTACTGAGAGAGAAGGTGGACTAGGGTGATGGTTGATGGAGTGGAAAGGATTACCACTCTAGGTAATGCCAGGGGCTCAGAGAGACAGGAACACTAGGTTAGCCAACCCCCAACAGGGCTTGCAGAAGCTGCACTTCCTTGTGCTTCTGTGAGAAATGTTTGTTGATAGTGGCTTAGAAGATGGGCAATGTTTGTTACTCTTTTAACCTTTAAGGAGTTATCCTTCATCACCTTATTATTTTTGCTTAATATATTTTCTATGAATTTTTGTTTCAGTATCACCGTAATTTGTACAAGTGTTCCAGAATAACGGTCTCATAGGTTTCTAAGTTTATCTAAATTGTGGATGAGATGTTGGTATGAAATAATAGTACTTCTGGCCAGACACGGTGGCTCACGTCTGTAATCCCAGCACTTTGGGAGGCTGAGGCGGGTGGATCACCTGAGGTCAGGAGTTTGAGACCAGGCTGGCCAACATGGTGAAACCCCATCCCTACTAAAAATTCAAAAATTAGTCGGGCGTGGTGGCAGGAACCTATAATCCCAGCCTTTGGAGGCTGAGGCAGGAGAATGGCTTGAAACCTGGGAGGCAGAGGTGGCAGTGAGCCGAGATCATGCCATTGCACTCCAGCCTGGGTGACAAGAGCGAGACTCGGTCTCAAAACAAAAACAAACAAACAAACAAAAAAAAACAAAAAGAAATAGTACTTTCTAGAGAAATGTATTGATATATGAATTTAGCAGGAAGCGTGAGTGAATGGAGCCATGAATTGTGCTACCCAGTCCCCACCAGTAAGGCTGATAAAATGTTTTATGCTGTTGAAATGAAAAACGTCAGACCAACTGCTGATCCACTAAACCCTACAGAATCGATGACAAAGATGCCAGCTGGTAATTAGGGTTCATCCAGGATCCAGAAGATCCTGAGTGGCCTGGTGATGGGGCCTGTGTGGGAAGATGTTTTCTCAAACCAGTAAACTTGACAGGGTCTGTGGACAAGGCTGAGCTGATGATGTGGGCAACGAAGTACGTGACAGCAGAGCCTCCTGAGTTTCAGTAGAAAGCAACCCAGGGAGAACTGAGGAAGAATCCATTTCTGTCACAAGTAATGTTTACAAAAAAAAATGGTGACCTATGTCCTGATATTGGAATTCTGTTTCTGAGTCTCAGCTGTGTTGCTGGCACCTAATGGTGGCAAGTGGCACCCTGGAACCACTTGGTTCCACAAACTCAGTGACCAGAATGTGCTTCTGGGTGGAAGAGATTCACTTTTTCAACCTTGTTTTCAAGTGGGAGGAATATATTCTGTATGGCCCAAGCCACAGATGAGAACTGAAGGGGATCTGTTGAGTTTACTTGTACCAAGGTGACTCCGATACTTACTTTTCGTTTTCCTTTCCTTGTAGGTATGGCCTCACATGTGCAAGTTTTCTCCCCTCACACCCTTCAATCAAGTGCCTTCTGTAGTGTGAAGAAACTGAAAATAGAGCCGAGTTCCAACTGGGACATGACTGGGTACGGCTCCCACAGCAAAGTGTATAGCCAGAGCAAGAACATCCCCCTGTCGCAGCCAGCCACCACAACCGTCAGCACCTCCTTGCCGGTCCCAAACCCAAGCCTACCTTACGAGCAGACCATCGTCTTCCCAGGAAGCACCGGGCACATCGTGGTCACCTCAGCAAGCAGCACTTCTGTCACCGGGCAAGTCCTCGGCGGACCACACAACCTAATGCGTCGAAGCACTGTGAGCCTCCTTGATACCTACCAAAAATGTGGACTCAAGCGTAAGAGCGAGGAGATCGAGAACACAAGCAGCGTGCAGATCATCGAGGAGCATCCACCCATGATTCAGAATAATGCAAGCGGGGCCACTGTCGCCACTGCCACCACGTCTACTGCCACCTCCAAAAACAGCGGCTCCAACAGCGAGGGCGACTATCAGCTGGTGCAGCATGAGGTGCTGTGCTCCATGACCAACACCTACGAGGTCTTAGAGTTCTTGGGCCGAGGGACGTTTGGGCAAGTGGTCAAGTGCTGGAAACGGGGCACCAATGAGATCGTAGCCATCAAGATCCTGAAGAACCACCCATCCTATGCCCGACAAGGTCAGATTGAAGTGAGCATCCTGGCCCGGTTGAGCACGGAGAGTGCCGATGACTATAACTTCGTCCGGGCCTACGAATGCTTCCAGCACAAGAACCACACGTGCTTGGTCTTCGAGATGTTGGAGCAGAACCTCTATGACTTTCTGAAGCAAAACAAGTTTAGCCCCTTGCCCCTCAAATACATTCGCCCAGTTCTCCAGCAGGTAGCCACAGCCCTGATGAAACTCAAAAGCCTAGGTCTTATCCACGCTGACCTCAAACCAGAAAACATCATGCTGGTGGATCCATCTAGACAACCATACAGAGTCAAGGTCATCGACTTTGGTTCAGCCAGCCACGTCTCCAAGGCTGTGTGCTCCACCTACTTGCAGTCCAGATATTACAGGTAAGACCGTCCACAAGGAGACAGGAGCTGCTGAATGCCCAGTGGCACTCACAGAGAATGTGCCACCTTAGTCACTGTGGGGAGATAAAATTATATGTCTACAGTTCCTGCCTTCAAGTGATCTTAATGTACTTACGAAATTAGGACATGTGCACATTGCGATGTCAATTAGAAGTCACATTAGAACGGAGCCAGGTAAGATCCGTGGCACAGGTGTTCAGCGTTGGAAGGGCTCCCTGGGACCTGGGGTGCAGAGCAGAAGAGTTCCGTCCTCCCGGATGGGTAGGATCCAGACAGGTGGTGGAGAGAGAGGGATGTGCCATCCACAGTCCGCAGTCACACTAGTGGGAATTTACAGGAGACAAGAAGGACACCCGCCTGGCCAGAACAGTTTGTGAGTGGTGGGAGATGTGAGTGAAAGCCTGGTTGGAACCAGGTCACTGGGGGTCTTAAATATCAGATCAAGGAATTGCAACTGTATCCTCAAACCCAGAGCAAGCCCTGGAAACCTTGAACAACATAAGGTAACGGGTTGAAAGGGATGTTCCGAGAAGGTTCCTTGTCTATCCACGTGCAGAAGGGCTGGAGGAAGGGAGAGACTAGTCTGGGGCCAGCTGGGTGGCTCCTGTGGTAAGGTGACTTCAGGCTTTGGGTCAGGATGAGGGAGGAATGATAGTGTCCGTGGCAGGGAAGTGTGTTCAGTCATGGACTCACACATGCAGTCATTCAACAAGCTTTGATTTCACTTTTAATATGTGCCAGCCGCAGTGCTAGGTATAGGGATATAGACAGGGCCCTTGCCATCCTGGGGTATCTGGAAGCTTTTCAGGGACCCCTGTATGCAGTCAGGATTGGAACCGCTGCCGACATGGAGCTGAGATCGGAGTGCTGGCTTTGGAGTCAGGAAAGGCCAGAGTGAACCTGGTCCCTCCTCTCCTAATGGCCTGATTTCTCCATGCCTTCATTTCCTAACCCATGAAGTGGGAGAAATCCTCTCACCAGCCTCGTGGGCAGCTGGGAGGTAACATGGCTGTAACATGGCTTAGGTGTGTCACTCCGTGGCTGGCCATGGCGGGTGCACAGCGGGGAGGCGGCAGGGATGGAAAGCAAGACCCTGCTCTGTGGAACCAGCCTGGGGGTGTGTTTGGGGTGGTGCCGAACAGTGCAGTGGAGATAGAGGTCACAAGAAACAAAACTGAAACTCCCATGAGAAGATGGGACGGATGCACATTTAAGAGCGTGCCACGTAGGCAGGAAGACCGGGGTCCCCGGAGGCCATCCTGCTTGCAAGCAAGCACGCTCGCTTGCCCGTGTGCTTTCTCCATGCGCCTTTCAAGGCCACAGAGAGAAGGCTGGAACATGCCCCAGGGCCTTGTCGACACAGCTGACCTGTCACCCATTCCTGGGGCTGACCTGGGCCAGCTTCCCCTTCTTGCTCCCTGTCCGGGCCCCCATCCTGGCTGCAGGCAGAGCTGTTGCAAGTCTCCTCCCAGCCCCTCCCTCAGCCTGCTGGGCACCAGGCCCTCCTTCCCTGGGAGAGCAACAGCCCCTCCGTTCGGATCCCCAGATGCCCTCCCACCTTCCACCCCGTCTCCTTTCATCCTAATCCTGACTCACACAGGAGGTTTCGAGGCCTCTTCACCCATGCTGTTTCTGTCTCTTCCCTCTTCCCTTTAGGAGGCATTTCCTGAGTTAGAACAGCTCTCTGCGAGCCTCTTCTCTGCCCTGCCCTGAGGATTCCTTTCCCGCTCATTTCCTATGCGCAGAAAGGTCTCCACAGGCCTGTGCTTTCACCACCAGGCCCCGTGCGGACAGACGGGTCTACTGCTGCCCCTCCACTTGCTCTCCACTCCCTCGTCCTGACCAGGCCATCCACTCTGTGCCCCGCTGGCCCCAGAGCCAATGGCAGGGAGAAGTAAGCCCAGGGCAGGAGCCTCCAAGGAAGACAAGAAGCCTCTCCTTGTCTCCAGAGGAGAAGGATGGGCAATGGTTGAGTGAATCTGGAGGGTTGGGTGCCCGGTACCGACAGCACATATTCTCTGTAGAGAGTGCCTGGGCCTCTGAAAGCCAGCTCTGGTGGCCGTCCCGGGTACCAGCCCCATTGGGGGCTAGCTGGTGCTGTGCTGGCTCTGGGAGGCTGCTGTGCCACTTCGTATTTAGGTTGGTAAATTCAGCATGCCAAAGGCTGGCTCTTTCTAGTTCTTGGCCTGAATTCAGGGTGAACAGCCCCTGACTTGGCTGCTAGGGCTTTTATGTAGTTCATCTGAATTGCTGCATCATGAACACGTACCAGTGTTATTAACATTCACTGAAAGCTAGCATGGCGACTTGTAAAAAGACTTCGACAAACTCTGTTTAAAAGGCAGCACATCCTTAGAGCGAAACTTGGTGAATCGAGTAAGCTGAATTGGGGATTCTTAAGACCCCCTTGTCATCTTGCCTTCTGGTGCCCATGTGACGCTTCCTGGAGCCCTCCCTGCCCATCCCCTTGGACTCTGCGAGTTTTTCTTTGCTTTCCTGCCTGGTGCTGGTGCCCCTAGTGCTGAGGAGACAGGTCGCAAAATCGGGGATCCTAGCTCAGGAAGCCTGCGGCAGCAGTAAAAGTTTGCCTGTGAGGGTTGGGGAGGGCTGACTCCTTCACCTGGACTCACAGCGATCCTCTCCTGCCCCCCTCTGTGGGTGAGATCAGGCCTTTTGGACGCCTCTGGTGGGTGTGGTAGGCTGGTTTGCTGGCGGTTCCTGGGCCCTCAGGAGCCCTCTTTTCCCCACTTCGTGACAGGCACAGTCACATCTGGCCCCTGTGTCCCCACATCCCTCTGAAGGACCCTCCGTTTAGTTGTGATAGTACCCTCTTTTCACCCCTGAAATCACCATTGCCTAAAATTCTGAGCAAGAAGGCCTCTTTCTCCTTTCTGTGGTCACCTTCAGGCCCTCATGTCAGCCTCCCTGTGCCCAGCCCTGGTTCCAAAAATACGGTCAGCAGGAAAGACAGCGGCTCTTCTGCCTGAAATGAGGCTTCATTTCTAAGTTGGTGCAATGTTCTGTTTCTCCCTCAGGCCTTGTCTGAGCCCTGCAGTGGTTTGCCACCATATAGATCGATCCGATTTTTCGAGGACAGTCTCTAGTGCTCTGTCTCTTTTCGTCCCAGCTGTGTGGGACAGCCAGCTCTAGGCCATGTTTATCAAGTTGATTTTCCTGGTGGCTTTGCCTCTTATAGGAAAGAAAGGGGGCAAGAAAAGCTCTTTAATTGTCCATCGTTAAGGCCCATGTCCCAGAAAGAAGACGCTTTCAGATGCTTTCAGCTGCATCTGCATCGTGAGGGAATGGCTGTGTGTTTGAGCCGCCTGGGCTGGAGGAGTCATTGCATGCTGTGCATCCAGCCTCCCAGCAGGTTGGCCTTTGTCCTGCAGGTGGTGGGTGGGGACTTTCTCCCCTCGGCCCCCTGTATCTGAGCTGGGCACATTATCGTCCCAGGACATCTGACTTTCAAAAGGTAGAGTACTTATGTGTCCCTCTGTCATTTTGCATGGGACTGGGCTAAGTGTCTCATCCCACCATTGTCCCCACCTAGTGACACAGAAACGGTGTGAGACAAGGATATGTTATCCTCGCCTTGGGGACTTGGAAAAGGAGGTGGTGTCCCCGGAGCCAACTGTTTTCCCCAGCTCTCAGGCATGTGCCTGGCCACAGTGGCTGTTGGTATTCTGTGAGGCAAGCCCACTGGTGTGTTTTTCAGGAAACAAAGGCTGCTTTTTAAGTTTTTTTCTCGAGTCTGAAGCAGGGGTATTCCCTTCCAATTCGAAGGTCAGTTATGTCATTAACTGTCAGCTGCCCAGGTTCTCAGGCTTTACTGTGCACAGGAATCTCCTGGAGAGGTTGCTGGGAACAGAGTCTCCCTGGGAGTACCCTGGGAGAAAGTCCACACCCACCACCACAGAGACTTGCCTCAGAGAACTGGAGGTGAGCCAGGCAGGGGGTCTTAGGACCAGTCTTTGAGAAACACTATTCTGAAGGACAGAGGGATTTTCTTAATGGTGTCACCTTTCAGGTGTTGACACCCAAAAGAACAGAGTTGCAGGTAATCCTTGCTTGTATTACTTCACCTTGGGCGCCCCTGCCCTTTTGTTATTTAATTCTACATTGATGCCAGTTCATTTTGTTTGTTTTTAGTTTTTTTGTTTTTTTTTTGAGCAAGCAATAAATTGGTACTGGGGTATTTCCATTATCAGCAGAACCAGTAAACTACAAATAAGACCAAATGTTAAACTCCACTCTCAGAAAAAAACACAAACAAAAAGACATGCCATTCAGGCAAAGGGTAATCAGTGATTAAAATATATAGATTTTTTTTGGTTTCTACTCTGGATTATTCAAAATATTCTTGTCTAGAGTTTTTTGAAACACGTAGGACTGTTACCAGGACCCAAAAATTGAACATAAAAAATTAGGACATGAAAAATAGCAAATAATCCACTTTTTCAGAATAATCTAACCTTTTTTTTTTGAGACGGAGTCTTGCTCTGTCTCCCAGACTGGAGTGCAGTGGTGCGATCTCGACTCACTGCAAACTCCGCCTCCCAGGTTCACCCCATTCTTCTGCTTCAGCCTCCTGAGTAGCTGGGACTACAGGCGCCCATGACCACGCCTGGCTAATTTTTTTGTATTTTTAGTAGAGATGGGGTTTCACTGTATTAGCCAGGATGATCTCAATCTCCTGACCTTGTGATCCGCCTGCCTTGGCCTCCCAAAGTGCTGGGATTACAGGCGTGAGCCACCACGCCCAGCCTTTTTTTTTTGTCTGATTCTTTGGGGTGCAAAGACTGTCTTCAAGTTGATTTCATGGTGGTTTTAGGTGGGGGTGTGTATTATTCCATTCTTGCATTGCCATAAAGAGCTACCTATGACTGGGTAATTTATTAAAAAAAAAAAGGTTTAATTGACTCACAGTTCTGCGGGGTGTATAGGAAGCATGGCTGGGAGGCCTCAGGAAACTTACAATCATGGAGGAAGGTGAAGGGGAAGCAGGCACATCTTATATGGCTGGAGAAGGAGAAAGAGAGAGGTGGGGTAGGTGCTACATGCTTTTAAACAACCAAATCTCGTGAGAACTCACAATCACAAGAACAGCAAGGGGGAAGTGTGCCCCCATGACTCAGTCATCTTTCACCAGGCCCCTCCTCCAACGTTGGAGATCACAATTCAACATGAGATTTGGGTAGGGACACAGATCCAAACCATATCAGGGTGGAGATTAATTTTCAGTTCAATTCATCAAACATTCATTACTGAGTGTCCCGTAGTAGATATGTGCTCCAGAGTGCAGAGGGTAAGGCATGATCCCTAATCTTGCAGAGTTCACAGTCTCTTTGAGGAGATGGAAAACACAAACCAACTGCCAAGACTGTCATTCTGATGCTTCAATATTTTAAATGTTTGGTCATTCAACAGAGATTTATTGTGAACCTACCTTCTGCCAGACTCTAGGGAAACAATGATGAGCAAAGCCAGTTCAAGAAATTAAAAGTCAGTGAAAGATTTTGCCAGATGGGTTAACAGGGAAGTTAACATGAGATAGGGATGGGGAAGTCTAGGGGTCATGGAGACTGGAATAAATAAGGGAAGATGGGAGAAATGATGGTGACTCCTTAGACAGTGACACCTGGCGGGAGTCGAAGGCCTGTACTGGAAAATAATAATCCGGTGAGTGAAGCCTGACAATAGAGAGTTTTGAATACAGGCTTGAGGGGCTTGGGTTGAGCCAAAGTGCCAGAGCTGGGAGCCATTGTAAATTCTGGAACAAAGGAGAAGTTTAATGAAAATTAATGATGGTATAAATCAATTGGAATGGCAAAGAAAAAAAAAAGTTGTGGGGATGTTTTGAGAGCCAGAGGCTAGGAGACAACTGTTGTTACTCAGGAATGAAGGGATGAGGCCCTAGATTATAATGGGGGGTTCTACCCCCCGATAGTATGAATGTGGACATTGTTAGTGCATTTAACTTTTCCGATGCTTTGATTGCAGAATTGACTTAGAGGGAATAGCTTTTTGTTTATTTTGCTTTCTTTTGTTTAATGACCTTGCTGTCTCTAAGGCTCAGTTCTGAAGCTCCAGTCTTTCAGAGCCTAGTTTCAAATCCCACCACTGCTATAAAGAAATAGGCTCTGAAAGGAGAAACCAGAGACCTTAGCACCAGTCCTAGCCCTGCCCCAAGCTGTGTTCCATTGAGTCACGGTCAGTAGAATGTCAGCTGTGACTGTCCACACTCCTCCATCTGGATCCCATTATGACCTGGGCCTGTGTTTATGAGGCGGTTGGCCAGAATTGGTGGTTCAGTCTGTGGCCAGGGAGCAGTTTTCTCTCCTGTGGGTTGACCTTGGCCTCATTAGCTGAAACTGGGAACCCTCCATGATCCCCTGATCAACAGAGAACAGAGCATATTCTAAAATGCCATGCTCTGGGCTGGAAATATCAATCATTTCAAAAAGGGGCATAGCTTTATAAAGCCATAAATATAAGTCATTTCAAAAATTGCATAGCTTGTGCAGATTACAGCATATAGAAAGTGAGTGACTAGAAGTTAGGTTTGATTGAAAAGAGGGTCTCTGAAAGCAAGTGCATCGCAGGCATGAACTTTTAAAATTAATTTGTCTTTTACTAATAGAAACAACAGGAGAAGGTTCTAGTTTGCACTTGAAGATATGAAGTGAACTGTTCAACCCACCGACAACTTCATTTGCCCAGGGAGACTGTTATAAATACGTACATGTATGCGTTTCGGGTTGCAGCTTCTCTTTTGAAGAGAAGTAATCAATAAGTTATGTAGGCTGTTAGGTTATCTTCAAGTTTCCCTTATTCATCTCTGGGACCTTCAGCTGTATGGTAAAATACTTTGCAATTAAAATTTCTCTTAATAAGTATTATTATTTAATTATAAGTATGAAATAACTGAACTGGAATGCTCTGTGTATACTGCCCTGGTACTGCAGTCCCCTCTTCACACACACACAGGTGCACACACACACATGCACACACACAGACTCAGGCGACACAGTTTAAGCCCATGTGTGACATGCAGGCACAGGTGTGCTTATGAGAACCATGGTGACCAAGAAGCTGACACTCAGCCCTCCATACAGAGCTACTGATAATGCACACACGCCCACCATGTGGTGAAAGACACAAGGCACACGCAGCAAGCATGCTTGGACATGCAAGGGCACACGCACACACTTAAAGACATGAAAATACCCCAGTGTCCCCAGAGACAGAGGGCCCAGGTGCAGACGCAGTGTTCACGCCCTGGAAACTTGGCCCAGTTTTCTGCCTTGCCACAGAGCTGCCAAATACATGTCTCTAACCTGAGAACAGTAGGGCCAGAACTACTCTTGGGCTCAAGGTAGAGACCAGTCATTTTCCAAGTGGGATCTAAGGACCCTCCTGCCCCATCATCACCCAGGGTACTTGCCGAAACAAACCTAATGAGCAGGCCCTCTGGGGGTGGGGGGCCAGGTGACATGCATTTGGACAAGCTCTGCAGCTAATTCTTAAAAACACACACACAGTTTATTGAGGTATGATTTACTTACAGAAAGCTGTACATACTTAATATCCATGACTTGATGGGTTCGGGGCTGAGTATATACCCATGAAACCACCACAGCCTATGCCATAGGCATATCCATCACCTCCGAAAGTTTCCTCCTGCCCTCTTTATTTATTTTATTATTATCCTTTGAGAATTGTTGCTTAGATGGCATGGGCTCCAGAGTGTCAGCCCACCAGGGTGTAGTGTAGACCCTGTGGAGGTGAGAGGGTGCGGCCGGCATGACAGCCTGGCATTGAGCTGTCCGTCTGTCTCCCAAGTGGTTGAGAGCCCTTCTGCAGGGCCCGTTTGTCAGATTCCTTGTGGTCAGACCCTTTATGCCCCAGGGGTGGCAACAGAAGAGATCCAGAATAATTGGGGGGTACCATAGGAGGGGTCATGTGGGTTGGTGAACTGGCAAGCAGTGGGTGGTTAGGAGGGGAACGCCTGGACTGGGTGGGAATAGAAAGGTGAACAGCAGAGGAGACATGAACGTGCCTTCCTTCCTGCATGACTTACGATGGATAGCGCACTCACTGCCAAGGAGCTGCTGAACTCTCCCTGTAGCCACAGCTGGGTTTGGAGCTGTAACTCTCATGTATGCATCCAACAGGTAATTTTTTGAATTCCGAAGATGTGCCATACACTGTGTTGTGCTGAGGTTTCAGGACGTGAGTAGGAGTGCCCTCGGCTCTGCAGTATCTGTCCCCAGTCTGCGATGGAAGAGGCTGTCCCCGAGTAGACAGCCAGCCCCCACTGTCCTGGCCCACCCTGGTCTCCCAGCTTGAACATCTCTCATTAAACTGAAAAGGCAGAGTTTGTCACCTTGAATCATTTTGCCAGTTCCCCTGGCTTTTAGGGCCACTAGCATGTTCTGAGTCCTCGATGCCGCCCTGTGAGAGCAGGTCGCTGCGTCGCAGCAGTGCAGACAGGGCCACCCTTCTCTCGCTCACCAATCTCCCCTGCGGGGTCTTACGGAGGGTGATTGAAGCCAGCAAACCCACGGCCAGTGCCGGATGGAGCCTCAGGGCTTTGCGGGTATTGGGCTTGTGGCCCTTGTTCCGGGACAGATTGAGATGGTGCTGTTACAGAAGCAACTGTCTCGAATTTCCCCAAGAGCAAGGGCTTGGGTGCAGATCGCCTGTTTAGGAGATGATCACAGGCCTAAGGGAATCGGGAGAGTGATGCTGAGAGGAGTAAGCCCCATGATTCTGGGCTGCTGTACACTCAGGGCTCCGTCCCACCTCTGAGGAGCCTGCCCGAGGCCTCCAGGAGTGTGCCTGGGAAGGGCCAAAGGCGGGGCTCTGGTCGCAGGGGTTGAGGGCTCCCCAGGGTGTTAACTCCCCTGTGGCTTTGCTTGGGCAGAGCTTGTGCCAGGACTGAGTGGGCTTGAGCAGGGTCAGAGGTGGCTCTGAAGCAGAAAAGCAAAGCGATGCAAGGTGCACCTGACTGAGGCCACAGTGTGGCCGAATCAGAGAAAGTGTGACCCACAGTGTGCTGGGACGTCACTCTTTGTCCTTCCCACCAATCACATGTGTGGCATTTGTAAATGGAAAGAGAATAAAAGGAAAATGCCTTTATAGACAAATCTGAGAATGCAAGCTAAGAATTCACAGTTGAGCTCTAAACGTTTGCGAGGAGTTGGGGATCTCTACCTCCCGTGTGAGCAGGCGGGAGCCAGGCTGGGCTCTGAGATAGAATTCCAGAGCAGGGGAGGGGCTGAAAGCTGAAATACAAGCTCCAGAAACAGTAGAAGCAGGTTGAGCTCAGTTACTCTGTCCCATGTTTTCTCCCTTAATGCTTATTAAATGTTGCAGACACCATTTCCTAAGGCTCATCAGTGGAATGAGTGAATGACCGAATGCCTGCATGCATTAATGAATGATATGAGCGGCATCCCATGCCTTGTAGCTCAGCTCATCTCGTCACCCACCGGAAACCCTCGCATGCCCAGTTTCTTGTCATCTTTCATGCAGGAACTTTCACTGCTGCCTAAGTCCTGGGCCACAGCATCTAGCATCTCTGAACCCTGAATCACAGGGGCCGCCCGCTTCCGCCTCTTGGGGAACGTACACATCTCACCAAAAACACTTATTCCCATCTCGTCTTTCCACCTGTGTGAAGTTTATATTTAAGGCCTGCAGACAGCTGATTCAGCTTCGAACAGATCAGTTCCCTGAAATCAGCCAACATCTGTCTTGTCCCATTATACCTTCGCAGAAAATGAGAAGCGACTTCCCCAGCATAAAGAAGGGGCCAAATGCAGCAAGACCTGGCTGAGTCACCTTGAGGATAGAAAGACAGCATCATCCCCGGGGCCTCGTAACCTCCAACCTGCTTTTCTGTTTTTGAGGCTCTGTGGACATGCTGCTCACGTTCCTTGTAACTTTGTCTTCGTACGTAAGAGCTGCATGAACAAAGCCTTCCTGGAGAGAGTAAGGCCAATCGTCAGCTGCTCAACCCGTGCCTGGCACATAGTGAGCACTCAGGAAATGTTAGCTGCTCTTTTTTTTTTTTTTTTTTACTAATCTTTTCATCCTTGTTATTATTTGTATTATCATTACTATCATCTGGCAGACAGAGCTGGATTTGAATTCCAGATCTGCTACTTTACAGCTGTGTGACTCCAGGCAGGTTCCCAAACCTTTCTGAGGCTTATTGTTCTTTTTTCTTAAAAGAGAAAACTTCCTCACACCTGTAATCCCAGCACTTTGGGAGGCCGAGGCGGGCGGATCACGAGGTCAGGAGATCCAGACCATCCTGGCTAACATGGTGAAACACCGTCTCTACTAAAAATACCAAAAAATCAGCTGGGCGTGTTGGTGGGTGCCTGTAGTCCCAGCTACTCAGGAGGCTGAGGCAGGAGAATGGCATGAACCCAGGAGGCGGAGCTTGCAGTGAGCCGAGATTGCGCCACTGCACTCCAGCCTGGGCGACATAGCGAGACTCCGTCTCAAAAAAAAAAAAGGGGGAAACTACTAGCAGTTGGTAGTAGTTTTCCCTTTTAAGAGAAGATGAGGTTGGTAGGGACTGAATGAGATAGCCGCATGCGTGTAACTCGCCCTCTGCCATGCCTGGCACACAGCAGCTCTGTCACGAATAAGCACCATGCTTTCCCCAGCCTCCCCACCCAGATCCATGCTTCTGTGACAGCATGCATTTTCCTTGGCCTGGTGTCATCATTCATGATTTGTAAGCTGGGCATCCCCAGTATTCCCAATCATTTCTTTTTCATCTTACAGGCGCCTGGAGGCCCAGCATCGTATATCAGACTCACTAGGTCCCAAAGGAACAAGGGCCTGGATGTTGGGAGTGTGGTTAGTTGGTTTCCTCTGGCACCAGGAAGGGACAGGGCCCAGCATTTGGGGAGAGAGGAGACACCTCTTCCTGAGTCCAGAGGGAGGAGGACAGATCTTGGTTGCTTGGGGAGGAAGGTGGGGGTATACTTCCTGACTTGAGAGCTGCACCTCCAGGCTGCTGCTTCTGGCCCAGGAGCAACGCTAGAGTCCTGTAGTCCGACGGTGGAGTGCAGGGGCCTCCGAGGAGAGTGGTGGGACGGGGCGCTGGAGGCCTTGGGGGTTAAACTGCCTTTGACACCTGCTGGTACCTCCTGCAGCCACGTGTATCACCACTGACATCACTAGGGTCAAAAAGCCAAGGCTGGAGTGATGCCAAAGAGCCTGTTTAAGACTCCCCTGAAGACAGAGCACGTCTGTGTGTATGGGGTGTGTGTTGGGTGTGTTTATGTATGGTAGGCATGTGTATGGTTTGTATGTGTTCACATGGGGTATGTATATGTTGCTGTGTGTATGGGGTGTGGGGGTGTGTTGGGGTGTGTGTGTGTGTTGGGTGTAGTGTGGGCACATGTAGCATGTGTTGGGTGTGTGTGTGGTATGTGTTGGGGGTGTGTATGTTGGGTATAGTGTGGGTGTGGAGGGGGTGCATGTGTTGGGTGTGGTGTGTGTGGTGTGTTGGGTGTGTATGTTGGGTATAGTGTGTGTGGTGGGGTATGTATGTTGGGTATAGTGTGGGTGTGGAGGGGGTGTATGTGTTGGGTGTGGTGTGTGTTGGGTGTGTATGTTGGGTATAGTGTGGGTGTGGAGGGGTGCATGTGTTGGGTGTAGTGTGTGTTGGGTGTGGTGTGTGTGTTGGGTGTGTATGTTGGATATAGTGTGGGTGTGGAGGGGGTGTATGTGTTGGGTATGGTGTGTGTGTGTGGTGTGTGTGTGGTGTGTGTTGGGTGTGTATGTTGGGTATAGCGGGTGTGGAGGGGGTGCATGTGTTGGGTGTGTGTGTGTTGGGTGTGTATGTTGGATATAGTGTGGGTGTGGAGGGGGTATATGTTGGGTGTGGTGTGTGTTGGGTGTGGTTGTGTGTGTGGTGTGTGTTGGGGGTGTGTATGTTGGATATAGTGTGGGTGTGGAGGGGTTGTATGTGTTGGGTGTAGTATGTGTTGCGTGTGTGTGTGTGTGGTGGTGTTGGGTGTGTAGGTTGGGTATAGTGTGGGTGTGGGGGAGGTGTATGTGTTGGGTGTAGTGTGTGGGGTGTGGGGTGTGTGTGTGGTGTGTGTTGGGTGTAGTGTGTGGGTGTGTGTGTGTGTGGTGTGTGTCGGGTGTGTATGTTGGATATAGTGTGGGTGTGGAGGGGTGTATGTGTTGGGTGTGGTATGTGTTGGTTACATGTGCTGCTGTGTGTGTATCCAGTGGCAGCAGGTAGACTGGTGCATGGTGTTCTCTGTATTTAGAGCTCCTTCCTCGTCCTAATTCTCATGACTGGGGAAGTGTCATCCCCAGTCACAGCCTTATATATGTGGACGTTTGCCATAAAATTTATTTGGCCAGAACATGAGGGACAAACTGTTGGTGCCACTTCTTTGTCATCCTCTGACCTCCATGAAGGATTTCTCGTCCTCCTCTTTTTGTAAATTAGAACTTACATTGGCAAATAAAATGCACTAAGTACGAACCCCCAGAATATAAATAGATCTGGCACCAAGAGAGCCAGATGATGTCCGCACTTGTGAAAGTCAAACATTCACCCTGAGCAGCAGCGGGAGGTTTTAGGATGATGTGGCTGTTCTGTATTCTCAGTGTGGTGGTGGTCACACAAATCTATACATGGGCTAAAATTCATAGAACTTTCCGTTTTTAAAATATTTTCAAAATGATTTTAAATCTATTTACCCCTAATGACCTCTAGGGAAATTGTTGATAATATTAAACCCATAAGCCGTACCATGCCTAATTTTTCTTCCTGTTTTTGTTTTGTTGTGCTGTGTTTGGGTAAAAAAGATATGTTTGTTCATCCTGTCACAGGATGGCCAGGAGGGTAACCAGTCATTTCTGGAAACGGCCGGACAGGGGAACCTACGAAAACAACTCTGGGGCGTAAACAGCTGCTGATGGAGGAAGCATTGATAGCATGCAGTTTCTTTAGTTTATGTGCTGTTTTGTGTATGTGGCTCATCAACTTGTCCTCCAAAAGTTAAGGACTGACCACTAGAAACAGAGAAGTGACAAACTATTATGGCTGAAATAGCAGGACTTTGCAAGTCCAGAGAGAAGATGAAGGCTGAGTGGGGTTGTTGATCCAGCCTCCGTGTGCCCAGGGGTCCTCTGTGTGCCCAGGAGTCCTCCCCTTGCTTCTGACATGATTATTTACGCCCATGGCCTGCATGCCCATGCATGAGACATCATGGTTTTCCCTGTAATCGTTATCTCAAAACCAGCTTTCCCCTGTGGCAACCCTCCCTCCTGAGGGCATTTTCAAGCTTACTACAGAGAAGCAGCTGGCTTTGCAGGAAAGGTCTCCCCCCAGCCCCCAGGGAGAGAACTTCCTTTGTCCTGGATGTAATGGGGTACGTATCCTCATTCTAAGTGCTGGGCCTCGGCGAGGGTCCCTGTGCCTGGAGTGGTCCCAGCAGCTCGACCCGGGATATGCACCCCCGTGACTGGGCTGTGGCCCAAGGCCACATGCTGGGCTCAGAGCCAGGATGCTTCCCTGTCTCCACAGGGGCATTTGCTTATTTTTTTGGAGGAAATAAGAGGGTCGACAGCCTGTAAATGTCCTTCCACAGTGTCCTCTGCAGCTCAGAGCAGCCAGTGTAAGATGTGGGTTTTCAGGGCCACTCCTGGCAGCAAGAGGCCCCAATATTTGCAGAACTGAGCTTACGATCAGGCTGCCCAGCCTCTCCCGCCGCTGTCTCGTGCCCCGGCCTGCGCTGCTGGAGTCTGGAGCAGCACTGGGAGGGACTGCCCTTCCTTGCTCTCAAAAGACACCTCCTAAAGCGTGTTCTTCTTTCTCTGCTCCTCGTGTGCTCCCTGCTTGGCTCCCACGTCCAGATCCCTAACCTGGGATTAGAAGCTCTGGGATTCGAAGTCCTACTGGGTAGCCCCAGCCTGCCCCTCTGCCACTCTCTCCCGATGTGGCCTCTGCAGCAGCCTGACCTGCTCACCGTCCGTTCCAGTCTGCACGGTGCCTTTGGCATAAGGTGCCTTCCCTGCCTTCCCCCGCCTCCAGGCCTCCAAACCCAGTTCTGCCCCATTCCCCTTGTGAAACTCAAGTGCTACCTTTGCCATAACCAAAAGAGATTTATCCCTCCTCTAAATAATTTGCGTTTAGTATAATCCATCTTCTTATTCATTTATCCATTTGATCCCCAAAGAAATGATATATTTCTTAGGCCCTGGGTCTGGCTCTTAAACCCGGGGAGAGAACCAAGGCTGATTGTATCCACTGGTTGTACGGTGAACACGAATGGCCTGCCACCCTTGGCTTAGACTAGGGTAATGAGACAGAGAGACGTAGGTCTCAGCGTCCCGCCAGCTATGTGAGTTGGGCTAAGTCTCACCACCTCTCCGACATGACTTTGCCACAGCTCACTGGATGAGAGCCGACGTTCTAGGTGAGGGCTTTGGGAACAGGAAAGGTCTTGGTAAGTTTTAAGCCTCATGTCTAGCCTCACAGCCTCTTCACGTCCTGCAGTTAGCCGAGACTATAAATACATTACTATTTCTCACCGTGGCCTCTCTGTCCCTGGCTTTTCCCTGTTCTTCTCCTCCCGCTATCTGTTTGTGTTTCTAAGGTTCTCAGACTAATCCAGGTGGACACGTTGGAAGTAGATAGGGAATCTCCAGACACCACCCGACTTAGACACTGGGCACAAAGAGGAGAAATTCCAGCCTCTGGAGTGATGCCGGTTCACTGCTTTACCTTCCTCCATCGGGGCTGCCCTTGCAAGAAACGCATTCACGTGGCTCCCCACAGGACGCCATGCAGGTCCCAGTTAGTTTGGTGCTGGCGCTGACAGAAACAGAAAGATTGAAGATAGATTTTCTCTGAGAAATGTGCTATTTTTAAATTTTTCCGAACTGTTTCTCTTTCTATTGCATGTCAAGGTTTGTATAGAAAGGTCTGTCTTTTCTTTCTTCTCAGTGCTTGGCTTCGTAAAGTTTATTCTGCAAGTGATTTTGAATACCTACTATGTGCATGGCTCTGCAGAAGGAGGAGGCCGCTCTGGGTTTGAGGAATGTGCTGGGGCTTCTTTGGAGAGAGACCATCTCTTCTGGGCACACCCCGTTTGAGTGAGAGCATAGGAACAGGAAGGCCTCAGAAAAATGAGCCGCAGTGCTGCCTGCGAGACTCAGTCCCACATGGACCAAGAGGGGAATTCTGCTGAGAAAGCCTCACGAGAGAAATGAACTGAGGAGAGGAAATATCATTTATAGATTGACCAGAGTGGGAGGGTTAACTGTAAACGTGCAGATTTCAGAAAATACAGCGTGGATGTACACAAAGGAAATACCCATTTAAGAAGTTGGGTGCATGGCTCTCTATTTGAACTAAACATAAGAGTTTGTATTGAAGCAGGTCGTTGCTGATGATGGTGACTCACGTTTTCTGAGTATTTGCAGGAAAGGGCTTTTTGTGACCGTCATCATAGCTCTGAGGTAGCTCTTGCAGCCTTATTGTCCCCATCACGTAGGGCACTGTGTGGTCAGTGCGTGGCCTCAGGTCACCCACATGTTGGTGACCACTACAACGGTACAGCCTCTGTGTCCCACTCTGTCCAGATGATTCCTTGCAGAAAGCAGGCGTGTTGAGGGTCCCCAGGCTGTGGTGTGCACAGCAGGAAACCCCCAGCTCCTCTAGAAAGGCCTGGCCTCAGGCACCCTTGAAAACACGTCTGATTTCAGCAGTCTCACGTCAGCCCTCCCCTCCCCCCACCTCGCACAGGCAAGTGTCCTGCCCTCTAGAGAGCGCCACTGAGGATTTGTTTTCCTGTCCCATTGGGAACCTCATGCTTGGTTAGCACAGACGTCGTATATCTGCATCACTGCTCCATTCTGTCCGAGGCAATGATGATGCTGACACCACTGCACAGAGCAGCACTGCCCCTGCTCCAGAATTAATGATTCAGTGCCCCAGACAAAGGTGGCATAGTGTGCAGCCACAGGAAGCATGCATGTTTTCCAGGGTGTGCCTCCCGGGAGGGCACATCTGTGCATTCACTCCGCACACCCCTGGCGTGCGCAGATTGTGACCCAGTGCTGTGAGGGATTCAGACCTGGGGCAGCCTGGAATTGACCCTGAGAATGTCAATGGGAGGGATGCAGGTGACAGCCATGCCAGCTGGACAGCAGTCATCTCCTAAGATCACCAAAGGTGAAGGGTGAGGGGTTCTGCCATGGGAAAGGCCACCTTGTGCCTGGTGCAGAGGGACCTATGCCAGCTCCACCCTCCCCAGCTGCAGGCCCAGCCTTGCCTCCTGATAGCAGGGTGTACCTGAGGGGCTTACACTCTCCTGCTCCTTAGTGAGACTTCTCCTGGACAAAACGTAACTTCTTGCTGGGTTGGAGGCTGTGGATGGCAGGTACATGTGGCCTAAGCATGGTCCTCTTCCCCAGGTGATAAAGAGGAGGCGGGGAGGGAGCCTATACATATTCACATTATCCTCCTTTCCATCTAGCAAGCGAGACTCACCACACTTAAATACTTTCCATTTCGCCTGCACAGCGTGAGGATTGCTGAGTTTGTTTTGCCATAGAAATTGAATGTTTCTAATGAAACATGACAACATCGCCTTTCCTAGCAAGTAGGAAGGGAGATCTTTTTCAGGAGATGTACTCCCTGCGGCCCTGGGGAAATGAGATACTGCCCCAGGCTGGTGGGAGAGATGGCGGGTGCCACTCTCCAGTATCTCTGTCTCACGGTTCTTGCTGCCCAAGCTACTGTGCGTCGGCAGCCGGCTGGGCCGCCCTCAGTCAAGCAGGTTGTTCGGATCGTGGCAGCTGTGGTGCTGTGTGCTCTGCGTGGGTCGTCGTTTTTATTATTTATTATACCCGTCCTTCAAGGTCCTACTCAGGTTTCATTTCTCTATTCATCTTTCTTTGGGCACTCTGCTCTTCTCTGCTGTAACTTCTTGCTGCATGTAAAATCTGTGGTATAATATATGCCTCCTTGCATTTGATGGAACTTTTGAGGTTTGGAACTTTTGTTCTATAGCTGTGTCCTGGGTGTTAGTCCTGGTCAAGGAGCTAGACTGGAACCTTTCTGGGTGTCTGTGCTGGTGATTAACATATTCCCTGTACTTGATGGTGGCGGGGTGGGTGGTAAGGATTAGAGATTTCACAGGGCCTGTTGAAGGAAAGCTGTTATATAAATCGCCCAATCCTTTCATGAGCTACAAAGGTCAGTGTTAATGAAAATCATTTCAGGATTTTTGTTTCATAAATTATGTTTAAAATAACTTTTTCAGGAACGCTCTTACATCGCTGGTACGAATGTAAAATGGCACAGCCACTGTAGAAAACAGTTTGGCAGTTCGTCAAAAACGTAAGCATAGAATTGCCATATGATTGCTGCAATTCCATTCCTAGGTATACACCCAAAAGAAGTGCAAACAAGGACTCGAACAAATACTTGTACATGCATGTTCATAGCAACACTGTTTACAACAGCCAAATGGTGGAAGCAGCCCAAATGTCCATCAGTGGATGAACGTATATGCAAATGGTGGTATAGACATACAATGGAATATTATTTCGCCACGAAAAGGAAAAATGTACTGATAAATGCTACAACATGAACATACACCCAAAACATCATGCTAAGTGAAAGAAGGCATACACGTATCGTATGATACTCTTTATATGAAATACCCAGCATAGAAAAATCCATTAAGATGGCTAGGTGCAGTAGCTCATGCCTGTAACTCCAGCGCTTTGGGAGGCCAAGATGGACAGATCACTTGAGGCCAGGAGTTCAAGACCAGCCTGGCCAACATAACGAAACCTTGTCTCTACTTAAAAATACAAAAAACTAGCCAGGCGTGGTGGCGTGCACCTGTAATCCTCAGGAGGCTGAGGCATGAGAATCACTTGAGCCTAGGAGGCGGAGGCTGCAGTGAGCCAAGATCGTGCCAATGCACTCCAGTCTGGGCGACAGAGCGAGACTCCGTCTCAAAAAAAAAAAAAAAAAAAAAAAATTCCATTAAGACAGAATGCATATTGGTGGCTGGGAGGAGGGGATAATAGGATAAATTCTTAATAGATAAGGGATTTTACTTCCAAATGATGAAAATATTTTGGAACTAGATAGACGTGATGGTTTGTACAACGTTATGAGTGATGAATGTACTAAATGCCACTGAGTTGTTCACTTTAAAAAGACTAATTTTACGCATGTGATTCACCTCAATAAATTATTTTTTAAACAGAAAAGGGAAAAAAATTAATTTTCTGTTTAATTATTTTTTAAACAGAAAAAAAAAAACCTTTAGGCTAAGTAGGAATGGGATGAGATTTTTACCAGGAACTGAGATTCAGGCCCTTTTTGGTTTATTTGTACGTGGGACCTAGCATTGTTAGAGATGCCAGGTAGAATGAGAGTATCTTTGAGAGCTGTGTTTGTGTCGTCGCCATAGGAGCTGATTTTATAAATCCTGACAAAAGCAGATTTGCGAAGATGATTTATACTTTTCCGGCTGTAGGCTGAAACAGTAAGGTAAATATTTTGTTTTCTCCTTCACTCGGAGAGAAAAGGAGCAGCTTTACTGCAGCTCTCTCTGAGGCCCCTGGGCACCTGTGTGTAAGCAGAGCTCGGCGTTGCCCTGATGGAAGTGGTGGTGTTATCTGAAGAACAGGTGTAGTGTGCACAGCGAGGCAGGAGGTAAAGCCAGGCCAGCTGCCTCTGGGTGCTCTCTCTGTCTTACAAGAAGGACTGATCCCTGGCAGGGGGTCGGGGAGGAGGCGAAAGGGGGAGTATTTTGTCTATGATATTTCAATAATTCTAAAGTCTGTGGTATAGTTGGCTTTAGAGATGGTAAGCCTAAATAAAATTCCATTTCTGCAACTGACTACCCTCGTGTGTCCTTGGCAAGTTACTTAACTTTCTGCATCCCGGCTTCCTGACCCCTAAACTGGGGATCATAATGCTGTCTTATAGAAGTTTTAAGGATTAGATGAAATCCACACATGCAGTGCCTGGCCTGTGGGGATGCACAGAAACATTCATCTCTCTGAGGAAGCAATGCTCTGAAACGTGTCACCTCTGAGTGTTGACGCCAGGAAGATGTGAGTGTTCCTTTCAGCCTGTGTGACTCTTCCCCCTTTACTCTTTTCACCCCGCCCCCTTTACTTTTATGTCCATTTCTTTGTGCTGCCATTTAGAGGAAGTGAAAAGTATCTGGGTTTGGTTTTGTTTTATCATCAACTATCTTCCCTAATCAGAAAAGACTGCATTTTTCTTTTTCTACCTTTTTTTTTTTGAGGCAGGGTCTCATTCAGTCACCCTGGCTAAAGTATAGTGGTGCACTCGCAGCTCACTGCAACCTCAAACTCCTGACCTTAAGCCATCCCCCTCCCTCAGCCTCCCCAGTAGCTGGGGCTACAGGTGTGTGTCACTGTGCCTTTCTAGTTTTTAAAATTTTTTGTAGGGATTGGTGGCGGGGGGTCTCACTATGATGCCCAGACTTGTCTCAAACTCCTGGCCTCAAGTGATCCTCCTGTCTCCACCTCCCAAAGCGCTGGGATTATAGATGTGAGCCACCCTGCCCAGCCAAGACTGCTTTTTTTCTCTTCCCATTCCTGGTTTGCCACATGGATAATTATATTTCATTGTCACAGGCCTTTATATAAGAAAGAAATCTGCATCTTACCACTGTGTATTTACGTAGTTGCATCCCCCACCCTACTATCAACAAAATCACTGACCTTCAACAAACATCACGTTATCAATGGCTTTCTGGGTACATTCTCTTTGCCTTGGTTTCCTTCTGTTCATCTGCAGCACACTTTTTCTCCCTCTGGCCAGTTCTCCGAAGTCTTAAACATTGATTAGAATGTCTGTTCTTCCTCAAATCCTGATTTGTTAATACTTTTCTTCCCCCCTTAATTCAGGAAACATTTATTGGACACCTATTAGGAGCAAGACAGTGTGCTATGATGAATCAGAACTAGGCCCTTCCCCCAAGGAGAGTCCAGTGCAGAAAATTAGACAGAAATCACTCTGATCACAGTTAAGCTGTGGGACAGGATTTCACTGAACTGTGGTTTTGTAGCCATTTCATCCCTGAGTCATGCTTCTTCCATAGTTTTCGGTAATTTGTCCAAAACATCTTTGGCAGATTATATTTTGGAACTATTGTAAATCCTCCTTTCCTAAATTTTCATCTTGAGTGTGTGTTCTTTCTACTCTTGGAAGTTTATATGGGTTTTAATGAACTGTTTGTCCTGTAAACCATTCTGTAGAGCAGTTCTGATTTGTTCTGATTCTTTGCTTTCCCCTGGCCTCTTGAATAACTTTTTAATGTCCTCAAGCTTAAATATATCTACTTCTATTCTCAAGTACAGAGGTTTCCTTCCCATGTAGCATTGATGTCAGGCAATCAGGTTGGCGTTCTCAGCCCCATTTCCCATTTCATGGTGGCCCCAAGAGATGGAGTGGCGAGCCCCCAAGGCTGTCTAACTAGCGGGTGGTGAAAGGCAGCCCCGGGCCACACAGTAGTCGTGCAGTTCCGGTGAGGCCTAACCCTCCGTTCTGAGCCACCCACTGTGATGGTCACTTTGATGACGAGGACCACGGCTCCCTGGGAATCGGCCCGCAAGCAGCCTGCTCCTCTAATGATGGAACACTTATGGCTGCTGGCAGTGGGAGACAGTATGAATATTAATAAACTATATTTCACTTTTATTACTTTTTCATGGAGATGGTGTTTGTGAGTGAAGTCCGTGCACTGAGCTACAGACAGGCGTTTTGTTTTCTTGACAAAATGGCGAACCTCGCAGCCAGAGGCAAGAGCACGTTTAGGAGCAGCTAGCTAGGAAAAATGCCAGTAAACATTAGCAGGCCATATAATAGGGGGCGAGCCTGTGGATTTCTGTGTTTTAACAGTTTTCTGAGGCAGATAAATATCACAGGTTCAGCAGTTTTGCAGGATATTCCTTGTTTGACTGTTCCTTTTCTGTTGTAATGTCTGCATGCAACTGTTAGGCCATTGCCTTGCCCCATAAATGGTTGCCAGTCACCTGTCCTGGGGTTAACAGGCAGAGCCTTGTCCTCCTGCCCATTCACTCTGCACCTTCCAGCCCTCATCCTCCACCTTCTCTGTTCAACTGACATCTTTCCACTAAACCAAAGCAGACACTACCTCCCCCATTTATCATAGCTGAGTGCCCCATCTCTGTTTTTATGTGACCATGGACCATGCGCACAGGAATGATCAGGCCACCAGGGAATGGTGGGCTTGTCTCAATCAGTGAACCTTGGCAGGTGGCGAGAACGCTTTGAGACCCAGGCAGACCACAACAGACTCCCCACGTGGTTCCAGAGACCAGAGGTGGATCTGGGCTGGGGCAGGAATGACCCCTCAGCATGACAGTGCCCCGTGCCTTTGGTCCTGCCTTGGGAGGAGACACCTGTCGGAGCTCTGAGCCGTGTGTTGCTGGGATACGTCATGATCATCGATCTGAGGTATCTTTGTGTTGGTAATGGGTATCTATCACTGGGCTAGGTGACAGAACCTTGCTCTGTTGATACATATCTGGTGTCTTGTGGAGCGTGTAAGGACACACGTGTCTCTGGCAGAGTGGAGCATGGCAGACTGTGAGAGTTACAGGAGGATGGATTAAAGTTCATCCGTTTATTTCATGAGTCAGAAAGAGCAGATGAATTTTTGCTAATTCGAAGTGCATCTATTACAGCCAGGTCAAAAGAGAAATCTGAGAAACCTTCTGTACTGAGTAATGCAGACCCTTCAGACTTAACCTTTCTTGATGATTTATTGAATAGGAAAAAAAGTATATTTCTGCTTTTGCAGTTCCAAGTTTCTTCTCGGTTTAGAATCAGTCACTTCAAGGAAAGACTGCACTCTTTATGCATGTGGAAGTGGCTTGTTTTTAGAGTTGGATTATCACTCCTTTCATGTGTTCAGTTTGCAGCAAGCATTTATTGAGTGCCTGCTGCCTGCGGGATACTGCATTTTAGTATCTGATAAGTGCACATGTTTTTAGAAATGTTTACCTGAGTCACACATTATTGGAGAATAAAGATATCATGTGTGTATACATTTCCCAAGTGACTAAAACTTACCCATTTCAACACCATACTTAAAATGTTTTTTTTTTTTTTCTGGACAAAAATTTAACAGGAAGACATCATAGCATCCCATACCTTCTGATATAGAGTAGAGGACGAAGGGGAATGAATGGCACTGGCATTTTAATAAGCATCTGCTAAAGGCCAGAGGCCTACATTTAATCTTTGGGACAACTCCCCATTTAGTGGATGAGAAAATTGAGTCTGAGGAAACCAACTGCCAAGTGGCACAAGGCTAGAAGTAGTGCTGCTGGGATTTGAACCAGGTGTGTCTGACCCCCAGACACACGTTTCTTCTACCAAGTGCTGCTCTCTCTCCAACTGAACCCCTTCCTAATCCCTCAGGGTTATTATAAATGTGATGAAATGTGTTCAAACACAGACATGCACTTAGGTGCTCTACTTAGAGTTTAATTCTCTTTGCTCCAGTTAAAAGGCTCCTTGTATCTGTGTTCATTGAGTTAAAATTCTAACTCTAGCTGCCATTTATTAAGTGCCTGTTATATGCAAGGAATTTTACATGCATTTTCTCTGTTCTTCACAAGGCATTTTTTCCATTCTGTAGATGAGGAAACAAGCTCAAGGAGGTTAAGTAACTTGCCCCAAATCCTATAATCACTAAGTGATAGAGCCTTTGGAGTCTTTCTGCCTCCAAAAGCTTTGCATCTTCTCACAGTGGTTGGTCTCTGTTCCTCTTGGGGTTAGGAACTGTTGTCATTATGCCAGCCCCTTCCTGCAGTGGCTCTCTCCTGTTCTAATGTCGTGTTCCCATCTCTTCATGACAGCAGAATCAAGTCACCAAACCTGTTGGAGGTAATGGAAAAAATATTGGCATAGGAACCAAACGACCTGGCTTCTAGCCCCAAGCTGGGCATGTGGCCTTAAGCAAGCCCTTGGCTCCTGAAATTTAGAGCCGTACTTCTTCCCTGCCTAGGATGGGCATTTATCACGAATGTGTGAGAATCTGCATATGCTCCACCCACATAATGGGTACTGACGAAATTATGTTTGGGACGTAAGCACATAACTGTTTTTTTTTCTGATGCATATAGATGCTATTGTGATTAATAAATTGGAAAATGTGACTTGCCTACTGTGACTTTTTGGTATTTTGTATTTTCTCAATTGGGAGATAGTAACAATGCAATTACTATCATGTGGGATCTAACCATTCCCCCACCCCAAATTCTACAGATGACAATAGAAACCTACTTCATGTCAGGGAGCCACGGTCACCCCTCTCTGTACACAGGAAAAGAACCTGTCCTGCTCCCTTAGTAGGATTGCTGTGAAAGTCTAGGATGTGGGAACATAGTGCAGGGTATACAGAGCTAGCTCTATACCTTTGACCTTGGCATTAAGCAGGCTCTCGGGGAGGGCCTGACACCCTCTCTGTAGCCAGTGTGCATGAGCTTAATGCACAGATTTTACATCTATTTTTGGTGCTCAAAGGCCTTTTTGAGTTCACTTCCAGGTTCTGGGTTATGTTCTAGGTAGTTGTTGGTGCCAAATGAAAATGAGCTTCAAATGTTATTAAATGTATGTATTTCTTTAAAAAAGAAAATACTGTTTCAGATACTTCAGAATTAGAAACTGCACCAGGTTGGTCATTTCTTTGAGCACTGGCCTATTTAAAATTTTTAGAAAACCAAAAAGCTGTCCATCTACTGTCTACTGATATGCCTGTAATGTTATATCAAAAACCTGTTACCTTAAGTTTTATTTTTTAATATATGAATGCGTAGAAATCATCTTTTTATAAATATCCTGGTTTTGGTGGATTTAATACCTTCCCTGAAAGGAGAAATAAGTATACCACGTATATTTCTATTCCCCAAAAACTCTGGATTTTTTTCATAGGCCACGGTTTTTAATGTATTATTTATTTTTGAGGTATTAATACAATTTTGTACTTGACAGAGCACCATGATGTATACAGTTTCATTTAATCATCAGAGCAGCTCCGTTTCATCCCCACTTGCACAGGTGGAAACTGAGAATCTGCCCTGTCCCTGGACGCAGAGCCAGGAAGGAGTCAAGCCAGCTGGTCCCCAGCCAGCTCTCTCCACACCAGGCTCACCTCCTTATCCCAGCTGGTTTTGCTGCTGTGGGGCAGCTCACTGTGCCAGACTTTTCCCACATGGTTTATGAGGGCTCATGAGGTGAAGGGTCAGGCTTTCATTTTGGTCCAGTGTTTCACATAGAAATTGTGCTCCATGCAGCAGTGCCAGGTCAGAGTGTAAGTGATTCCAAGCCACATATTACTCTTGGGTAGGCAGGGAGCAGGGTTGCAAAAGAGCAAGACTTAATGACATTGGCTATCTGCTATTATTGTCTTATTACATGAAAAGAGGGCCTAAGTTTGTTGTCACTCTCTCCGCAGATATGAACACTGAACTTTCTTAGTCATAATGGGGACGGGCTCGTCAGAGTGCTAAATTACCAGCAACTGCAGTGTTATTTGATGTTCGGTTTTATCAGCAAGGGTGCCAGATGTTTGCACAATCGAAACTATGGAACTATAGAGACATATAAACCAGCTCTGCAGCTAGCCACATATAGAGCCAATACCACACTGTGATAGTAAGGGTAGGGGGGCGTTTTCCTTTTGTCCAAAGAAAAGAGGTTTCCCACAGAATCTCAACACTGTGTCCCTGAAAGTGATCTTGGCAATTATCTAATCTCACCTCCTTCATTACAGATTCCTGTTTTTTATGTCAAATACATTGGAGGCTTAAGGCTCTCGGCCAGATGCTAAAGGTGAGCATTTGCAGGCTTCCCAGGCCGAGATTGTCCAGGATCAAACACCCGGTTCGTAGGATGTCTGAGTCCCTTTAGTGTTGCTATCAAGGAATACCTGAGACTGGGTAATTTATAAAGAAAAGAAGTTTATTTCGCTCATGATTCTGATGTCTGCAAAAGTTCAAGATTGGTCATCTGCATCTGGTAAGGGCCACAGGCTGCCCCCACTCATGGCTGAAGGTGAAGGGGAGCTGGCGTGTGCGGATTACATGGCACTGGAGGAAGCAAGGCGGGGGCAGGGGAGTGCCAGGCTCTTTAAATTTGTATTTATTTTATTTTATTTTTAAAATTTATTTCTATTTTTTGTAGAGACAGTGTCTCACTATGTTGCCCAGGCTGGTCTCGAACTCCTGGGCACAAACGATCCTCCCACCTTGGCCCCCCACCCCAAAGTGCTGGGGCTGGCTCTTTTTTACAACTAGCTCTCGTGGGAACAAATAGAGCAAGAACTCATTTATTACTGCGAGGACAACACTAAGCCGTTCATGAGGGATCTGTCCCCATGACCCAAATACCTCCCATTAGTTCCCACCTCCAACACTGGAGATCACATTTCAACATAAGATTGGAGGGGGACAAACATCAAAACTGTAGCATAGGGAAGCCAGCATCTGTCCACAGCCTGCTGTATGTCCCTACTCTTCTTGGCCCTCTGCCCTCCCCTGACTCTGTGTGCACTGCTCATACCACTAAATAGGGACCGATGCTCTAGCAAATGGCCCTTGTGTTGATGCATTCACCACCCCTTTACACTGACGTAGTTGGGCAAGCAAGTGTTCAGGAATGGGTCTGAGGGCTTTCTGGGTGCAGCTCATTTCCCAAGCGCTTTCCCCTGGCATCCCTTTAAACCTGCTGTGTCAGCTGTCCCTCCCCGCACTCCCCCACCCCCGCCCCCACCGCTTCTCATGGACCTGCATAGATTGGGCCCCACCTTGAGGCTCCCCCAGCCCCCTGTGCACACCGAGGTGCCCGGCACCCTGCGTGAGCTCTCACTGTGGATGGTGAGCAAGGACATCCACCCAGCGTCTTTCCCCCTCACAGGCTGCCTGAGGCCTTTGTCCCTGTCCTGTCAGGGAAGCTCTGCCGCTCTCCTGTTGATTGACTCACCACCTGACTCCTTCCCAGTCCTCTTTTTCTCATTTTGGAGTTAGAAGTCTCCAGACCCCAGTTAGTCCTGGCTCCTCTTCAAGCAAAGCGCAAGCCATAGCTTGGGATTTCTGAGCCACACGATTACATGTAGGGCCAGATATGACCCTTGGACCAATGGGAAGCTGTGTGTGGCAGAGATGGGCAGGTTTGTAATAGGAAAGTTCCAGGCTGGGCTCATCAGGTGAGAAACATTTCTGCACACCTCCCCCATAGCAGACCCAGTATTCTTCACCATCAACAGACATAAGGTAACTGAGACAGGAAGATGTTACCTGTGAGGAACTTGCAATTTAGCTAATACATATAAATGATGTTGTGTGAAAGTAATTCTGGGCTGTTTCACAAGAAATATTTATTTTCATTCCAAATTGGATAGCAAGCCAATTCTTTCTTATAAGACAGCATATAACATACATAACTTCAAAATGACACACTTGGACTGCCTAAATCTTAATCCTGAGAACTTCAAGGTTCCATTTGGTATGTGGGCTTCATTGTGATGATTGAATTAGGCAGCCCTGTTAACGCCAACAAAATATGACCGCTTTTCTCTGATTGCATTTCCTGACTTCTAAGTTTTCCCGATAGCAGTTTTCCCTACCAGCAGTTCATTTCCCCAGCTCTTGGGGAGCACTCTGTGGGGTCCGTGGCTGCATTTACACCCCAGCCAAACGTGGCACTCATCGGGCGTCTCCAGGCTGCACGAAGATTCAACTTTAGCTTTGGCTCTTGGTCCACCACTTGGCAGTTAGGAAAGTTTTCATTTTGAGAGTTTCTCTTCATTTGCCTTGTTAATATTCAGGTTTGACTTGTAGTGGTACCATAAGGTATAAACTCTTAGTAAGACTGGAAATAAAATTGTGGTATTTTACTGTACATAAGCCCCTGAATGTACCCAGAAGTCTTATACAAGTTGTTGGTCACTTTGACTTTTTTTTCATCATGTTCTATACTGGTGGCATTAAATTCACATGCAGGCAGAATCCGTCTTATAATGAACATTAGTATTTTTAAGTTTTGCTGTCTGGATTTTGGTGAGGTGGGAGGTGGGAAGAGGGAAAGTGATTTTACATGGGAACTCATCTCTGGTGTTAAAAATAGTCAATTGAGGCATATGATTGATAACAAATATTATCCTGTGCCACATTATTCAGGGGAGGACTTGATGCTAAGATTGTAGGCTGCAGATGAAAATAAGTAGCCTACCAGCCCTCTTAAACATCTCCCTTTAACTGGGATCATACCCCCAACCATAGCCCTTGGAAGAGAACCGGCAGCAGCCATCAGCTCCTGCCTTTTGGCCCTTGACATTGGCCCAGACTCTAGAGTTGAGGGAGTGAGAAGCCCGTTCTTCCACACCTTCCTGTGTCTTCCAGTCTCTAGCTGTCTTCAACTGCTTCTGATATTCAGAGGTCAAGTTATCATTTACTTGACAATCACTCCCAGTTAGGGGGAGCGGTAAGGAGAGGAGTTTGAAAAGGAAAAAGTGGAAAAGTGGAGGAGACTGCCAGACCAAGAGAATGAGAGGAGGGAGTGCCTCTTGATCTCGATGAATGAGTCATCAGCTCCAGATTCACGTGGTCACGAAAGAGGAGGAGCTCACACAGGCCTGGTCTGGCCAGGCTTCAGAGGGCAAGAAGAGGGATGGGGTGTGTGTGTGCCCAGTGGATTGTCCCTGCAGGCCCAATGGGCTGCGTGTGTGTGTGTGTTGGCCCAGTGGATTGTCCCTGCAGGCCCAATGGGCTGCCTGTGTGAGTTGGGGTGACAAGAATCCATGCTGCTTGAGAACAAGGGTGAGCTTATCCCTGGATGTGCTCAAGCACAGCTTTGCAGATCTTGGCTAAGGAAGATCCTAGAATCTGGTTCTTCCCAAGGATCTTTGCCTTCTCTCTGGGAAATTTCATCTCCTCTCATCTCTGGATCCTTCTCCCAATCACCCATACATCCACCAGCCCCCAAACTGCCCCAGAATATTATTAAGCACAAATCTAAGCTGTTTCAGCCAGAATTGTGTTTAGCCTGGGACAGGAAGAGCTGGTTCCTCTGCCCTGTACTGCCTGAGGTGTGCAAGTTTAGGAATCCAGGAGACTAGTATTTTCTCCCAGGTTCTTGGCATACCAATCCTAGTGAGGGGTGCCTGCTGAGGGACTTTAGACATGGGATAGGATGAGATGGGATGGGATAGACTGAGACAAGAATTGGGGGCAGCTTATCACCCATACCCTGTGTTAAAATTAAAACCAAAATTCTTAAGCAACATTAAATATCCTGTATTTACTATGTTAGTCTGTTTTCTTCACCAATGTATTCTATATCCCAACCACCTAATAATGCCTGGCATATTATAAATACCTCAGAGATATTGCAGGCTTGGTTTCAGACCACCTCAATAAAGTGAATATTGCAATACAGTGAATCACATGCATTATTGTGGTTCTTAGTGCATATAAAAAACTGTAGTGTAGTCTTTGTGTGCAATCATTTGTACTTACCTCATTTGTATGCTATATCATGTCTAAAAAATTGCACATACTTAATTTTAAAATACTAGAGCTAATTTTAAAATGCTAGAGCTAGGCTTGCACCTTTAATCCCAGCTACTTGGGAGGCTGAAGCAGAAGAATTGCTTGTAGTGATGAGTTGAGACCAGTCTGGCCAACATAGCAAGACATCATTTTTAAATAAATAAATGAATGAATGAATGAATAAAATACTTCATTGCTAAAAATGCTAGTGATCTTCTGGGCCTTCAGTGAGTCATAATCTTTTTGCTGGTTGGAGGGTCTTACCTCGATGTCAATCGTTGCTGACTGATCAGGATGGTGGATGCTAAAGGTTGGGGTGGCTGTGGCAATTTTGTCAAAATGACAGCAGTGAAGTTTGCTGCATCACTTGACTCTTCCCTTCACGAAAGAGTTCTCTGTAGCATGTGATGCTGTTTGATAACATTTGAGCCACAGTAGAACTTTCAAATTTGGAGTCAGTCCTTTCAGACCCTGCCACTGCTTTATCAACGAGGCTTATGGAATATTGTATTAGTCTGTTCTCACGCTGCTATGAAGAAATACCCGAGACTGGGTAATTTAAAAAGGAAAGAGGTTTAATTGACTCACAGTTTCACAGGGCTGGGGAGCCCTTAGAAAACTTACAATCATGGCAGAAGGTGAAGCAAACACATCCTTCTTCACATGGCAGCAGCAAGGAGAAGTACAGAGCAAAGTGGGAGGAAAGC
Source organism: Homo sapiens (assembly GCF_000001405.40). Taxonomy (NCBI): domain Eukaryota; kingdom Metazoa; phylum Chordata; class Mammalia; order Primates; family Hominidae; genus Homo; species Homo sapiens. The sequence goes on along the minus strand of NC_000007.14, from coordinate 139,686,571 downwards.
CCCTTATAAAACCATCAGATCTCATGAGAACTCACTGTCATGAGAACAGCATGAATGCAACTGCCCCCATGATTCAATTACCTCCCACCAGGTCCCTCTCACAACACTTGGGGATGATGGGAACTACAATTCAAGATGAGATTTGGGTGGGGACACAGCCAAACCATATCAAATATTCTAAATCCTTTGTTATCATTTCAACAATATTCACAGCATCTTCACCAGAAATAGATTCCATCTCAAGAAACTACTTTTTTTGCTCGTTCATAAGAAGCAACTCCTCATCCATTTAAGTTTGATCATGAGAGTGCAGCAATTCAGTCACATCTTCAGCTCCACTTCTCTTTCTGGTTCTCTTCCTATTTCTACCTCATTTACAGTGACTTACACCACTGAAGTCTTGAACCCTTCAAAGTCATCCATGTAGGTTGGAATCAACCTCTTCCAAACTCCTATTAATGTTGACATGTTGACGTCTTTCCATGAATCATGACTGTTCTTAATGGCATTTAGAATGGGGAATGCTTTCCAGAAGACTTTCAATTTACTTTGGCCAGATCCATCAGAGGACTCACTGTCTATGGCAGCTATAGGCTTACAAGATGTGTTTCTTAAATAATAAGACATGAAAGACAAAATTACCCCTTGATCTATGGGCTACAGAATGGATGTTGTGTTAGCAGGCATGAAATCACATTAATCTTGTACATCTCCATCAGAGATCCTGGGTGACTAGGTACATTGTCAATGAGCAGTCATATCTTGAAAGAAATCTTTTTGTTCTGAGAAGTAGGTCTCAACAATGGGCTTAAAATATTCAGTAAACCAGGCTTTAAACAGATGTCCTGTCATCTAGGCTTTGCAGTTCCATTTATAAAGCACAGGCAAAGTAGATTTAGCACAATTCTTAAGGACCTTAGGATTTTCAGAATGGTAAATGAGCACTGGCTTCGACTTAAAGTCACCAGCTGCATCAGCCCTTAACAAGAGAGCAAGCCTGTCCTTTGAATCTTTGAAGCCAGGCATTGACTTCTCCCCTCTAGCTACGAAAGTCCTAGATGGCATCTTCTTCCAATAGACGGCTGTTTCATCTACATTGAAAACCTGTTGGCCGGGTGTGGTGGCTCATACCTGTAATCCCAGCACTTTGGGAAGCTGAGGAAGGAGGATTGCTTGAGCCCAGGAGTTTGAGACCAGCCTGGGCAACATGGCGAAACCTTGTCTGTACAAAAAATTAGCTGGCTGTGGTGTTGCATGCCTGTAATCCCAGCTACTTGAGAGGCTGAGGTGGGAGGATCACCTGAGCCCAGGAGGTTGAGGCTGTTGTGAGCTGAGATCGTGCCACTGCCCTCCAGCCTGAGCGACAGAGTGAGACCCTGTCTCAAACAAAAAAGAAAATCTGTTGTTTCATGTAGCCACCTTCATCAATGATCTTAGCCAGATCTTCTGGATAACTTGCTGCAGCTTCTGTATGGGCACTTGCTGCTTCCCTTTGCATTTTTATGTTATGGAGATGGCTTATTTCCTTAAACCTTATGAACCAACCTCTGATAGCTGCAAACTTTTTTTCTACAATTTCCTCACCTCTCTTAGCTTCCACAGAATTGAAGAGTTAGGGATTTGTTCTGGATTAGGCTTTGGCTGAAGGGAGTGTTGTGGCTGGTTGGATCTTCTATCCAGACCACTAAAAAACCTTCTCCATATCAGCAGTAAGGCCATTTTACTTTCTTATCATTCCTGTGTTCACTGGAGTAGCACTTTTAATTTCTTTCAAGAATGTTTTCTTTGCATTCACAACTTGGCTGTTTGGCACAAGAGACCTAGCATTCAGCCTGTCTCAGCTTTTTTTATGTTATTAAGACAGTCTCTCTCTGTTGTCCAGGCTGGAGTGCATTGGTGCAATCATAGGCTACTGCAACCTCAAACTCCTGGATTCAAGTGATTCTCCTGCATCCAGAGTACCTAGGACTATAGGTACACATCACTATGTCCAGCTAATTTTTTAAAATATTTTGTTTGTAGAGATAGGGTCTCACTGTGTCATCCAGGCTGGTCTCAAACTCCTGGCCTCAAGCAGTCCTCCCGCCTTAGCCTCCCAAAGTGCTGGGATTACAGGCATGAGCCACCACAACCAGCCCTGTGTCAGCTTTTGACATACCTTCCTCACTAAGCTCAATCATTACTAGCTTTTGATTTAAAATGAGAGACATGCAACTCTTTCTTTCGCTTGAACACTTAGAAGTCATTGTAGGATTATTAATTGGCCTAATTTCCATATTATTGTATCTCAGAGAAGAGAGAGGCCCGAGAAGAAGGAGAGAGATGGGGGAACAGCTCATAGATGGAATACACACCACATGTTTGATTAAGTTTGCCATCTTATATGGGTGCAATTCATGGCACACAAGTACCATTACAATAGTAACATCAAAGATCATTAATCACAGGTCACCATAACAGATATCACAATGATGAAAAAGTTTGAAATATTGTGAGAATTACCAAAATGTGGCACAGAGACATGAAGTGAGCACATGCTTTTGGAAAAATGGTACTGATAGACCGGCTCGATGCACGGTTGCCACAAACCTTCAATTTGTGTAAAAAAAAAAAATCATGGTATCTGCAAAGCTCAGTCAAGCTAGGGGCAATATAATGAGGTATGTCTCTCTATATATATGCCCCTCCCCAAATTCCAAGCCCATTCAGTGTTTAAAACTATTTTCTAAAGTATTTGTAGCCCTTCAAAACCACAGGAGAGTGAGTAAGACCTAACTGTTGGTGTAATACAGAATAATGAATCTATCTATTTTACTCTGGAAAGGACATAGCCAACCCTCATGAAGCTGTATGACATGCCATTGCCTGCCAATGGTATGAATGCCATTGCCAGGGTATGACAGTGGCAGCCAACCTCCAGGAAGGCCCCTAATGACCCTCACCTCCTGGTATTCACCAGGATTGGTCTGTGTGACCCAGAGAATCTGGCAGAAATGACGGTGTTTCACTTCCAAGATTAGATTCTGAGAGGTTCTGCAGCTTCTGTCTTGGTATGCGTGTGTCTCTCTCTCTGGTATTTCTCGCTTTGGCTCCCGTGTTGTGAGCAGTCCTGTGGAGGCCCCCGTAGGGAGGAGCTGAGGCTCACAGACCGCAGCTGCCTTGGGGAGCTTGGAAACATCTTGATCGCAGCCTCATGAGGGACCCTGCACCAGACCCGGCTAGGCCGCTGCTGAAGCACTGGCCTAGAGCAACCATGAAGTAATGGTTATTTTAAGGCACTAAGTTTTGCGGTACCTTGTTACACATTAACAGGCAGCTAATGCAGTCTCTGTTCGCATTTTTATCCTCGTGTGTGGCACGCGTGTTATATAGTTAAGCATGAAGCAGGTCACGTCCAGGCTCCGAGGTGAGAGCCAGGCCCTTCCAGGTAATGCTAAATATTGTACAAACAGCAAGGTTTTGTTCATCAACCCAGGAGTGACCTTACTGAGTGGCGTGTTGGTGGTAAAAATGCCTTATATTTAAGAGAGAACACACATTCTCCTTTCTCTCCCACCAGAAAGTCTGGTTCTTGCTGCTCTGTCATTTCCCAGAAAGGACCAGCCTCTCTTGCTCCACCCCACTTCCTGTCTGTGGCCCTGTGATGCCAGGGGGCCCTCCACTGTCCTACAGAGGAGGGGACAAGGGGCAAGAGGGGCCAGAAGCATCTCTGGAATGCACACAGCTCATGAGCAGCTAGGCTTGCTCCAGCAGTCACATGTCCTGACTGGAGTCTTCCAGCGCCTTCTGTCCCCTCTGTTAGAAGAAAGGGGAACGCGGGTCCTTAACACAGTGCTTTTGGGAGATTGCCATTGACTCAGAGTCTGAGATTTACCATTAGGCGCATTTGAAACAATAAACATGCATGGAGCACTTACTGTGTGGCAGGACATGGTGCAGGGTGCTGTGGGGAGGAGATGAGTAAAACAGTGTTCCTGCTCTTGAGGAGCAGTCAAGCACAGTCATTACGGCCCCACCCACCACAGGGACCCAGAGGAGGGCACAGGCACGCAGCGGGAGGGATGAGGGAAAGCTTCCCGTAAGAGGTGGTGTCCACACTGCACCTGAAGAAGGTGGAACTGACATCTCTGTCCTAGGTGCCTCAACAGAGCCCTTCATTCCAACCCCTCATTGCACATGTATAGTTACAGGTCTGGCTACCCCTGCTCATGGATGAGTTTCTTGAGGCTAGAGATGGGTTTTACCCAGTGTTCCTGGTGCCAAGCCCAGGTCTTGACTCACTATGGGCTCTCAGTGGATGTTTGATGAGTGAGTGAGTGAGGGCATGTGGTGGATGATGAGGCTGGAGAGGTAACAGGACTGAATCATAAGGACCTTGCCTGTCGTGAATATTGAACAGCTTGGCAATAGAGGGGGTTTTCCTTCTGAGGAGTGGAAGCAACGTGGTCTATGGTATGTGCCAAGTGAGGGCAGAAGCTGGGGCAGTAGCCACATTGGCATCTCACCATGAGTCCTCTACATGGCCCAGGGTCTGTACCAGCATGACATAAGCCGTGCACGAGTAACAGGAGTGTCAGCCAGATCCGAGGGCTCCACTGTGATGCCTGCCCTGGAAAAGATAGAGCCCACTCAGGCCAGGCCATGGTGGTTTGAGCACCTCCAGCACCAGGGGAGATGCTGTCCTAGAACCAGGGCCCCCAGTCAGTGGACAAAGAAATGTAGGAAGATTCCAGCTCAGAGAACATCAGACCTTCTGCTCCCTGGAGCAGTGGTGGCTGCATGGACCCAGGGCTTGGTGCATGGAAAGTCCAGGCTCCGCACGCTGTGACTCTCCTTAAAGTGAGAATATTTTTCCCAGGAGTGCAAGGGCCTTTCATGTGAGGAGTTTTAAATGTGCTCTCTGGTGGTAGCCACAGCATCCTTAATTTTCTTGTACAGCAAAAGTCAATTTGGAATTGCAGGAAAGGAGGCTTTGTTCTCAGGTGATGTTGAGCAGCCTCTTTTGTGGTCACCTCTTGACACCCACACTGAGCGGGAGGAGGCGAGGGGAGTGCAGCACTGGCGCTGATTATAGAAAACAGCAGGGGTTCCGGAAGAAGCCTTTGGCTTTGGAATTGGGTTTGTGCTTCCATTTAAATGTGGAGGTGCCAGGTGTTCTGATAATTTCACTGCAAAATTTTGAAATCCGCTAATAAAGACCATTTAGAAGGACCTGAGAAGTGGGCTGTGTCCTCCCTCCTCTCCCACCCACCTCTCTCCTGCCACCAGCTCTGACCTGGGATGGACGGCAGCATGCTTCTGTTATCAAAACAGGCCAAAAAGAATGAAAAGCTAAAAGCAGGGAAAACTTCACAAGTTTAGATAAAGTTTTCAAGTGATTAAGTGCTGTGGCAGTGAAAACATTGACCCAATTGCAACTTGTAGGCTCCATCAGAGAGCTGTGGTTGACGGGCTCTCCTGTACATTTATATCAGGAGAGATGTGTTACCGGCTCCCTCAGAGTGTAAAGTGTACCCAAAATAGAGCTTGAAGAGTGGCTTTATCATGGAGTGACTCAGCGCCAGCTAAGAGGAAAGATGAATATAGCGTGACGATGTTCTCCACAGGAAACCCATGGCACGAAAACCAGGGGCGGGGAGGGTGCTTGTAGCACAGTGGCCCTGTGGCTGCCTCACTGGGCCCATGGCTGAGTAATGGGCTGACTGATGGCAGCCCTGTGGAAGCTGGCCTCAGACAACACAGGAAGCCCGCTCAGATTGTCTCTCAGAGCCTGTTCCCAAATGGGAAGCCACCAGCAAAAAAATCCCAGTGGGCTGTGCTCTTCATGTCCTGGTTGGGAAATTCAGGAAGCACACGTGAACACACACATGCCACAGACATGAAAAAGGTTCTGTCTTCTGAAGGCTGTTGGCCGATCTTAACATGAATTTTAAAAAATGATTTGCTACATTTGAGGCATTTCTTCAAGCCAGTTTTGGACACAATCCCTGGTTACTTTGTTCCTGGGGACATTCAGTACCCATGTCTGCCAAGCCCTGTAGTTTTGAAAACATCCCTGGCCCTCACAAAAGCCCTCATAAAACAGCATCCCCTCAAAACCCAAGGCACCTGGTAAGGAAAGAATTAAAGCCAGTGACGTGAATTTAATGTTCGATCCCAAAACCAGAGTTGACTTGGCTTGTCTGGGTTGTTCACCCAGGGGAGGGCTCTCCTCCACAAGGCCCAAGCCCTACTGGGGCTGCTTGGGCACCAGCCACGCTGTGGGGAGGGTGTTAATCGTGACTGAATCGTGATTCCATGTGGGAAACAGTCCTGCAGTCGGGGGACAGGAGGAGCCAGGCTGGAATCCAACACAAACAGTCCAGGGGCAGAGGGAACATTCCCGGGTACCTGTGTCCCTGAGTGACTTGAAAATGCTGAACTTATGCTGAATTCTGTTTAATGATTATTTGCGGGAGGGGAACAGGCATTCTTAAGAGATCGGTTTACCTTAGGAAATCCTGTACTCCCCCTGCTTTCCGGCCTTCCGGCCTCCTTGTATCCTGCACACGCTATTCCTTTGCATACATTTGCAGCGAACTTTGCTCCCCAGGGTATCTGGCTTTTGGGATAAAGACTAATGTCCATGTCAAAATGATTCTTGATAAAAGCATCCTAGATGTTAAATATTTATTTTAAGCTAAATGTTCTACTTCTGAGAGGTTAAAAAACAAATGCCTTTTCATGCAGAGCCTTTTGCCAGTCAATGTTTGAGTTTCTTTAGGCTTTTTTATTTGGCTCTGCAGCAGCTAGCTAACCAACTGCATTCCTGAGATGAGCTGACAAGGAGGCAGAAATGAAGAAATAAACAAAAAGCCATGTTAATTTCAAGCTTCAGTAGGAATACAAAGAGAAATATTAACATTTGCTGAATGACAAATAATGAAATGGCTGGAAAATTTTAATGCTTCTAGCATGCTTTTATAAGCTCTCCTGGAATTTTCCCCCCATCAGGTATTGCACATTTATAACCAGCAGTGCACCATGTAAAGGCAGTTCGATAGGTTGTTTAATTTAAAGATTGGTATTTCTGAGCATATAGTGTTCCTAATGCAATTCCTAACCCCATTTACACTTCTCTGTCTACCCGAAGTACCCACATCTTCTTAGCATAATCTTTATAATTGTTTGTTGCTATGGTTTTAATGGGTCCCCTTCAAAATTCAGGTGTTGCCAATGTGAGAGTATTAAAAGATAGGGCCTTTAAGAGGTGATTAGGCCGTGAAGGCTTCTCCCTGGTGAATGGGTTTAAGGCCCTTTAGAAAAGAGGCTTCATCATTCCCTTTGAAAACTGGCACAAGACAAGGATGCCCTCTCTCACCACGCCTATTCAACATAGTATTGGAAGTTCTGGCCAGGGCAATCCGGCAAGAGAAAGAAATAAAACGTATTCAAGTAGGAAGAGAGGAAATCAAATCGTCTCTCTTTGCAGATGACATGATTGTGTGTTTAAAAAACCCCATCGTCTCAGCCCAAAATCTCCTTAAGCTGATAAGCAACTTCAGCAAAGTCTCAGGATACAAAATCAATGTGCAGAAATCACAAGCATTCTTATACACCAATAATAGACAAACAGAGAGCCAAATCATGAGTGAACTCCCAGTCACAATTGCTATAAAGAGAATAAAATACCTAGGAATCCAACTTACAAGGGATGTGAAGGACCTCTTCAAGGAGAACTACAAACCACTGCTCAATGAAATAGAAGAGGATACAAACAAATGGAAGAACATTCCATGCTCATGGATAGGAAGAATAAATATTGTAAAAATGGCCATACTGCCCAAAGTAATTTATAGATTCAGTGCTATCCCCATCAAGCTACCACTGACTTTCTTCACAGAATTAAATTTCATATGGAACCAAAAAAGAGCCTGTATAGCCAAGACAATCCTAAGCAAAAAGAACAAAGCTAGCGGCATCATGCTACCTGACTTCAAACTATACTACAAGGCTACAGTAACCAAAACAGCATGGTACTGGTACCAAAACAGTTATATAGACCAATGGAACAAAACAGAGGCCTCAGAAATAATGCCACACATCTGCAACCATCTGATCTCCGACAGACCTGTCAAAAACTAGCAGTGGGGAAGGATTCCCTATTTAATAAATGATGTTGGGAAAACTGGCTAGCCATATGCAGAAAACTGAAACTGGACCCCTTCCTTATACCTTATACAAAAATATAAAAACCCTAGAAGAAAACCTAGGCAATACCATTCAGGACATAGGCATGGCAAAGACTTCATGACTAAAACACCAAAAGCAATGGCAACAAAAGCCAAAATTGACAAATGGGATCTAATTAAACTAAAGAGCTTCTGCACAGCAAAAGAAACTATCATCACAGTGAGCAGGCAACCTACAGAATGGGAGAAAAATTTTGCAATCTATCCATCTGACAAAGGGCTAATATCCAGAATCTACAAAGAACTTAAACAAATTTACAAGAAAAAAACAAACAACCCCATCAAAAAGTGGCCGAAGGATATGAACAGACACTTCTCGAAAGAAGACATCTATGCAGCCAACAAACATATGAAAAAAAGCTCATCATCACTGGTCATCAGAGAAATGCAAATCAAAACCACAATGAGATACCATCTCACACCAGTTAGAATGGCGATCATTAAAAAGTCAGGAAACAACAGATGCTGGAGAGGATGTGGAGAAATAGGAACACTTTCACACTGTTGTTGGGAGTGTAAATTAGTTCAACCATTGTGGAAGACAGTGTGGTGATTCCTCAAGGATCTAGAACCAGGAATACCATTTGACCCAGCAATTCCATTACTGTGGCGGGCTAGGGGAGGGATAGCATTAGGGGAAATACCTAATGTAGATAACTGGTTGATGGGTGCAGCAAACCATCATAGCACATGTATACCTATGTACCAAACCTGCACGTTCTGCACATGTATCCCAGAACTTAAAGTATAATTTAAAAAAAATAATAGAAAAGTGGCTTCATGTAGCTGTTAGCTTAGCTTGCTCTCTTGACCTTCTGCCTTCCGCTGTGTGAGGGCTCAGCAAGAAGGCCCTCCCCAGACACCAAATGCCGGCACCTTGATCTTGAACTTCCCAGCCACCAGAACTGTGAGAAATAAACTTTATAAATTACCCAATGTTGGGTGTTGTTTTATAGTAGCACAAACGAACTAAGACATTTTCTCACTAAATGAAGTCACTTTACCCAGCTAGAAGGATGGTCACAGGATCATTATTGTTGTTTAAAAAATGTGTATATATGTGTGTGTGTGTGTGTGTGTCTCCATATATATATATAATATATATAATATCAGCCCCTCTCTCTCTACATACACACACACACACATACACACACATCCCACATTAGAAATACTATGGTTTGGCCGGGCGTGGTGGCTCACGCCTGTAATCCCAGCACTTTGGAAGGCCGAGGTGGGTGGATCACCTGAGGTCAGGAGTTCGAGACCAGCCTGGCCAACATGGTGAAACCCCATCTCCACTAAAAATGCAAAATTAGCCAGGTGTGGTGGTGCATGCCTGTAATCCCAGCTACTCGGGAGGCTGAAGCAGTAGAATCACTTGAACCCAGGAGGCGGAGGTTGCAGTGAGCCGAGATCATGCCATTGCACTCCAGCCTGGGCAACAAGAGCAAAACTATCTCAAAAAAAAAAAAAAGAAAAAGAAAAAAAGAAATACTATGGTTCTAATACTTGTGTTCATTTGTCAATTAGATGTATGGCACTATTAATTTCAGTTTAATTCAGTTTAGTACATGTTTTTCGAGTACCTACTGTGTACAAGGAACTGTGTGGGGTACCTTCTGAGCACTTCACCTGCTCTCCAGAGATGCCTACTGAGTGTTTCATTGCAGAAAAGAAGTGCTATGGCATGTTGGAAGAAGGGGGACTCATATCTAGCTTTGGTCTGTTGAACCAAATAAACAGATCTGTTTGTTCTTCCCTACTAGATCTTAGTGCTCACAGAAAAAGGGCTGTCATTCACTTTGTATACCCAGTATCTGGGAGGTGCTTGGCACATGGTGGGTAACCAACAAATATCTGTTAAATGGATCACATTGGGTGAGCACAAAGATGTGATGGAAATCTGTGAGGCGGGCAGAGGAAAGTGTAGGGCTCTTGACTGTCAGTGATGGATGTGAGGATACTTCTGGTAAGGAGACTATTGTGTAGGCTCAGACACCCGCAGGAGGGCAACCAGAAGTTCAGCATGGGTGAGCCCAGGGATTCCCTTGCCAGGGTTAGCAAACTAGGGTCCACAGGCCAACCACATCCATTCATGTACCTGTGGTCTCTGGCAACTCTTGTGCCACGTCAGCAGAGATGAGTAGATGCAGCAGAGAGGAGTTGCGGTGTATAGATAGCCTGGTAAGCCGAAAAGACTTAGTATTTGTTTCTTTATGGAAAGTGTTTGCTGAACTCTGCCATAGAGGCACAGAACAAAAATGAGCGCAGTTACCTTAGGGGGCCCCATTGCAAAGTGACGATGCATACTTGGTTCTCTTTTGATCAGGAGACGACTGACCTGATTGGAGATATGTAAGGTTTAGGAAAGTTGACATGAGAATGATTCAGTGGACTGGAGCTTTTGGGAAAGGGACCAAGTATGAGAAAACCAATTAGGAGTATATTACAGCCATCTGTTCAGGCATCATTGAAGAAAGAGCATCATTTTGAGTCTTATCTAAGCGTTGGGGTTGGCAAGTATTACCTCCTAGGCCAGAAAGCCTTGTCCTTCTCCCAGTCCCAGTTCATGTCACTAGATTGGGGGTCCACCTCACAGCTCCAGAAACCTCAGGTCAACCCCACCCAATCGGTCACATGCTAACTTCCTCTCTGGTGATCTTTGCACAAACATATAACTCACAGCATGGTGTCTGGTTCTTGCTGACATCAACTTTGTAACTGTTTTCAGATTATTTTTTCTTTTCTCCACAGTAACTCTCAGGCTTCTTGAGGTCAGAACCATGCATTCTTGTTTTGCTGCCACCTCCCCACCTGCCTGCCCCTCATGCTGTGTCGAGTCCGCATGTGAGAAATAAGATGAGAGTCACTGGCAGCAAAGTGAGTGCCGACATTTAAATATGGAAGCAAGTCTGGGGCCCCAGACTCCAAGCGCCTAGTACCTGTGGCCTTGCTCACTGTTTTTCATATGCTGTCCTCTGGTCTTGTTTGTAAAGTGACCTGTTGCACAACCTGTCAGTACCCTGAAGGTCAGTGACTGTGTCCACACCTCTTTGTGTTCTCGGTGGTTAGCATAATATTTTTAACATAACGGACTCTTTTTAAATGTTTGGTGATGACACAGTCACTGAGCAGGATGTGCTGTAAGAAGAAAACATACTCTCCCTCATTCTGTGAATTAGTCAGAATATATCAGGTTAATAACGGTAAGAGCAAGCTTCTGTTGGTCTGATGCACCAGCATCTATTGGATCAAGCAATTAAACCCATGTCAGTCATTTTGGTACAATAGAACTAAAATTAGACACAGCATAAATACAATCAAGACGTGAGCACGTTTCCCAGCATTAGCCTTACGATGACAAAGGCAAATGCAGAAGTGTGCGAACTTCCAGGACAGGTCCGGAGATGGCTGTTCCAGAGAAGAGCCAGGGTGGATGGCAGGAAGCGGCAGCTGGGATGGAACCTCCAGTCCATATGTGGCACCTCTTTTACATCTTCATCGTAAGCGCTACCAGGAGTTTGAAATGCAAAAGTTTTAGAAATATAAACCAGGCTTTACTTAGTAATATTCATTAATGACCTAAACCAAGAGAGAATCTCCTACTTAATGAAGTGATTAATTAGCTCTGGGAATTGAAGTCGAAAACAGAAGACTAATTGATTAATAGATTACTGTGTTCATTTTTCTTCCTTTCGTGGAAAGGAGCCAGAATTTGGTCCATGCCAGGTTTGCTGCTTTGGGCTAGCACCATGCTGCCTGGAATCTGTTCTCGCCTTTCCCACGTAGCCTGTCTGCTTCCCATCCTCATGCCTTTCTTCCTGCCCTCTCCACAGGTGGAAGGCCTTCCGTTTAAAACCTTGCTCTTTCAGGCTCAGCACGCATCTCATCCCCAGGATGGATTTGCGCTCTTCTGACACTACCGAGCTCTCCTTTAAGTCACCGTTTTACCTAATCAATACCATACGGCTTAGCATTTAATTTTTCTTATTGCTTTATGTGTGGAATAATGGAAAAGAATTAAAAGATTGAAAAACCAAACACCCACCTCACTCCACATTAGGTGTGTCAAATCTGAGCTGATGAGAGGCCTTCCCCACCACAGCTCTGAGCACCAAATGAGATGATGTAGGGAAGATTCCTTATAAACTAAAAAGTGCCGCACAACATTTAGTTATTGGCACCGTCTTTTTTATATATTAATCTTAACTTCTCTACTATATTTGTAATTAAAATCTCCAGCCAAAAGTCAGCAAATTTTTCTTTTTTTTTTTTTTGAGACAGTCTCACTCTGTCATCCGGGCTGAAGTGCAGTAGGCTCATCTCACTGCAACCTCTGCCTCCTCAGCTCAAACGATTGTTCTGCCTCAGCCTCCCGAGTTGCTGGGACTACAGGCGTAGTCTGCAGTCTGCCTAGCTAATTTTTTTTTTTTTTTTTTTTTTTTTTTTTTTTTTAGTACAGATAGGGTTTCACCATGGTGGCCAGGCTGGTCTTGAACTCCTGACCTCAAGTGATCCACCTGGCTCACCCTCCCAAAGTGCTGGGATTACAGATGTGAGCCACCACGCCCTGTCCAAAGTCAGCAAATTTTTTAACATTCCTTAGGAATGGGCTTTGCTCTGTGCCAATTTTAAAAAGTCAGACTTCTTCAGGTTACCTACCATCACTGTAGGTAGAAGGATAGGGAAGACCCCACATGAAACAGTTAGAGAACTTACATGATAATGGTAAGCACCTGGTGTCAGCCCAGTCTCTACGTCCCTCCTCACAGCTCCCTCAGCCCCTGGGAGTCCTCACACAGATGGCCTATGACAGCCCTCAGCCTCCAGGGGCTTCCCCAACCCACTTAGTGTTACAAAAAGAGGCAGAAGCTGATCAGAGAGGAGGTTGGGGGAATTTGGCCGTATGCTCAGAGGCATTGGTAGCTAAGTGACTTTTTCCCAGACAGGCTGGTCTCCTGTAAGAGAGAGAGAGAACTGACAGATTATGCGAGAGAATGCGGCTCCGCCACCATCAAGGTCAGAAGCCTGCCCCTACTCTCATTATGTGTTGCTAGCCAACACACTCCTTCAGTTTGTTTCCAGCTGATCATCTTTCTGTCTTCTGCATTCCCAGTTCGTAATCTGCACTCTCTTCTCTCTCCACGGGCCCCAGAGCAGATGGGTCACTTCTTTTGGTTTCAAATACAATTTAGTGGCCATCTTCCCTCCCATCTTTTTCATTAAAAAAAAAAAAAAAGTTCTAACCACTGCTTTTCTAATCACCACTGTTCTAGCCACTAGGACTTTCTGTCCTCCACAAATCTATTGCTGTTAAAATATTTGTTTTGATTGTTCCAGGTGGTAAATGTTACCTTATGGGCTTTGTTCCAGCTCGCATTACTTTTTGCAAGGAGGATACTAAGTTCTAAAACATTGAGTCATACCATGACTGAGAATAGTGAAAGTGCAAATTCTTTATTAATACAGAAGTTAAAGATGAGGTAGTCATGTAGAAGACAACCTGCGATGATTAAATAAACTATGATTCTGGTTCAGTGATTCTAATTAATCACCAGAAGTGAATAAAAATGTTACTTGTGGCCAGGCGCGGTGGCTCATGCCTGTAATCCCAGCACTTTGGGAGGCTGAAGCGGGTGGATCACCTGAGGTCAGGAGTTCGAGACCAGCCTGGCCAACATGGCGAAACCCCATCACTACTGAAAATACAAAAAATTAGGCGGGCGTGGTGGCAGCGCCTGTAGCTACTCAGGAGGCTGAGGCAGGAGAATCACCTGAACCCAGGAGGCAGAGGTTGCAGTGAGCCGAGATCGCGCCATTGCACTCCAGCTGGAGCTACAAGAGCGAAACTCCATCTCAAAAAAAAAAGTTACTTGTAATTATTTTTTTTGAAGTCTTCATGTTCTAAGTCAAGACTTAAACTGACCATTTTTTTTACAAATAGTTAATGGTTACTTGGTATGACATATTTAGAACTTACCCAGTAGTTTTTATCATCTTGACTGGTCCTCGCTATGAAAGATATTTTATAATTTCATGCCAACTTACATAAATGTAGCATTTGATTTTCAGGTAACTAAATCACTAGCTAATCAATTCTACTTATCTTCAAGTGTTATGAGGTAGATGTAAATTCCGTGAGGGCAGGGAGTCATCTGTAGGCGAATCATCTGTTTTATTCCCTGCATTATCTTTAGCATCTAAATCAGTGTTCAGCATACACTGTGGTCACTAGATAAATATTGAACAATGAATGAGTAAGCTATAGACATAAACTATAAGAAACTCATAAAAATCTTTTATAAAAATCTAGAATCATATAATGTTAAACTTCAGATGTATCTTTTTAAACCAGAGGTATAAGTAGCAAACAAATGGGAGGAATTAAAAAATTCTTTGCCTTGAATCTGAACTATCACATTCAAGGCTTAGATTTTAGTGATGACCATTTCTCATAAATGCATTAAAGTCACTTCATTAAAACTTGATTCTCAGCCGGGTGCAGTGGCGCACACCTATAATCCCAGCACTTTGGGAGGCCGAGGCAGGCAGATCACCTGAGGTCGTTCGAGACCAGCCTGGCCAACATGGTGAAACCCTGTCTCTACTAAAAATGCAAAAAAATTAGCTGGGGTGGTGGCGTGCGCCTGTAATCCCAGCTACTTGGAAGGATGAGGCAGGAGAATTGCTTGAACCAGGAGACGGAGGTTGCAGTGAGCCGAGATCATGCCATTGCACTCTAGCCTGGGTGGCACAGCGAGAGACTCTGTCAAAAAAAAAAACTTTATTCTCAACTGAAAGTACTACCAATGAGTCTAATCCATTTTGGTACACAGATCAGATAAACAGTTCTTAATCATCTTCAATTTTCTGATCTACATTCAGCAGTGTTTATGGAGACTCATGTAAAGATAGGTGCAGGGCAATTACAATGTTAGAAAAAATGTCACGCTAGAAGTTCTTTTTAAGTAAGTCAGTAAATACAAAGTTCACCAGTGTTGTTTTCTATAAACCTGTCTTTGGTATAATTACTATTTCTTTTAATTATTCTACTTTTTACCTTTAGAATCTTCTATTATTGTTTGACATGCCAATTTCAATTCCCTGAATTCCAGTTGTAATACTTTGTTTTCAAGTATTATAAAAATATCTTAATGTTCTTTCTGTAGCAGATCACTCTTTTGGTTCATTGTTTCCAGTTGTGGAGTTTTAAAGTGTTATTTTTCAAGTTGTAATGAGAACTAGAAGGTATTTAAAATTGGCTTTAAAAACCTATTTTGGGCCGGGTGCGGTGGCTTACACCTGTAATCCCAGCACTTGGGGAGGCTGAGGCGGGCAAATCACTTGAGGCCAGGAGTTGGAGACCAGCCTGGACAACGTGGCAAAACCCTGTCTCTACCAAAAATACAAAAATTAGCCAGGCATGGTGGCGCAGGCCTGTAATCCCCGCCACTAGGGTGGCTGAGGCAGAATTGCTTGAATCTGGAAGGCGGAGAGGGCAGTGAGCTGAGATTGTGCCATTGCACTCCAGCCTGGACAGCAGAGCAAGACTCTGCCTCAAAAAAAAAAAAAAAAAAAAAAGAAAGAAAGAAAGAAAGAAAGAAAGAAAAGAAAAAGAAATAAAACCTATTTTGAATGATTGGGAATGCAAAGGTGGTAGCTACACACCTCCCTTTTTAATAGCTGCAGTCAGCAGGAATCAAATAATTACACCATTTTTTTTTATTTTTCCTTCACTTTTTTTGTTCTTTTTTTTTTTCAAGACAGGGTCTTGCTCTATCACCCAGGCTGGAGTGCAGTGGTGCAATCATGGCTCACTGCAACCTCAGTCTCCTAGGCTCAAGCAATCCTCCTGGAGTAGCTGGGACTACAGGTGTGTGCCATCATGCCCAGCTAATTTTTTTTTTTAACTGATTTTTTGTAGAGATAGGCTCTCGTTATGATGCCCTGGCTGGTCTTGAACTCTTGGCCTCAAATGATCCTCCCTCTTCAGCCTACCACAATGCTGGGGTCACAGGTGTGAGCCACCATCCCCAGCCACAGTTTCCTTAGACATATGAAGAGCTGGGTGGCAATGTCCAGAATCTCAATTCAGAATGCAGATCAGGGGGACTCTTTGAGTCTGGCAACCCCAACCCGCCCGGAAAAACAAACAGCCTTGTAGGACAACAGCCTTTTAGGACTTGAACCTTCTCAGGCCCGCCTCTCAAAACAATATGACTTGAAAATGTTTAGTTTTTCTTGTATTGTCTCACTTGCCAAACCTCCGAAAGCAATTTGAGAGTAATTTCAACCACATCTTTTAGCAGGCCTTGTGAAAAATAAATTTAACAGGTTAATTGTGTGCCGTTTTGATTTGTCTTGGCATCTCAATAAGTAAAAGGTTAAAATCATGGCCACAAAAAGTAAATAAAGCTTGATTATTCCAGTTGAAAATTCATCCATGGGTACTCTAGTGCCTGGCTTTCGTGTTGACCTCATTGCCATATGACCACCATCAATAGCTCTTTATATTTAATTAATTTCCTAAAAAAACCACACTCACACATTTGTAATGTTTGTAATCTTTTTATTCCATGATAATTGATGTAGCCTAGCGTAATTGTAGTTTTTGTGTGTGTGTGAAGTATCTGACATTCTGTGCTTTAGTACGTTTTATTTCATCACTTAATGTGTCCCCCCCACCCGCCCACTGGCTGTGACAGTGTTTTTGCGAATGAAACAGTTCAGTGAGACCTGGGAATTTCCTGTGGCATTTATGTGGTCTCATGCTCATCTCTATTTGCCAGATACCATCCGTGTAAGAACCATGCTCAACAGATACATTTTGGAGAACCAGATGTCTCATTTTGTCATTCACCAATGAGTCTTGAAAGGCTGAATTCAAGAAGACAACTTTTTAAGATCTTTCTCTCTCAGTCTACAAAAGAAAAAACGGGCTTATTACTGTCACCGCTGCCTTTAATTATGTACAGTCACAATACAATTATCTCCCTATTTGGGTGTTATCTCCCCTGCCAGATCACCAATGCCTCAAATTGGGAGAGCACGGCTTCTGTTTATTGTTCATCCTTTGAAATGACTTAAAAGGAAGCTGAGTACACAGTTGACCCCCTAGCCAAGGGGATTGATAGTGGTCTCGGGCTGGGGAGAGGACTCTGTGATTCTTCCCAAAAGGTCACTCCCTATCCAGAATGATAAGTCCTCAGTTTTTAGAATGTAGTTGTTAGGTAAAGGGATTAATCCAGAGAAAGAGATTTTAAGGCTGCATCATTGATTTTATTGTTTTGGATAAGAACGTGGAATTGGCTTTTCTGTAAATTGAGTACATTATATAAGGCACAGGTTAAAGTGATCCTTCCACGTGAATTCTTTCATGGTTATTTGATTATTTTCAGAATATCTTGACATTTGAAAGGCATACAGACAAAAGCCAATCATGTAAATAATTGCATTTCTAAAACAGTCATCAGTCTTCTTTTACTTCACCATTTTTAACCATTTGGATTCAAAGCTGGATTTTATCTCAACTAAATAGAACAGCTAATATCCAATTTAATGTGCAACTGTAACCAGTCAGACCCAGAAATTTTGAATAGCATTTGTAACTTTTAATCACAAAATTAATGGCATTAAACTCTAACAGAATAGATTCCATTTGTTAATTTTTTCTAATCAAACTTCAGATATTTATCCATGCCTCAGGTGAGAAATGTCTCACCAGACACCCAGTTAAATGAAAAGTAAATCATACCTTTTTTTTTTTTTTTGAGACAGAGCCTTGCTCTGTCACCCAGGCTGGAGTGCAGTGGCGCGATCTCACTGGAGCTTGCTCACTGCAAGCTCTGCCTCCCGGGTTCACGCCATTCTCCTGCCTCAGCCTCCCGAGTAGCTGGAACTACAGGCACACACCACCATGCCCAGCTAATTTTTTTGTATTTTTAGTAGAGATGGGGTTTCACCATGTTAGCCAGGATGGTCTTGATCTCCTGACCTCGTGATCCACCCACCTCGGCCTCCCAAAGTGCTGGGATTACAGGTGTGAGCCACTGCACTCGGCCAGTAAATCATACCTTTTTAAAATAGCATTTCACATTAATTATACTTACTTAGTTAACACTGAGGTTATCTATTATTGCATAAGATACCGTTGATTTTAGTTGCATATCATATGCAGGTAACTGCTTGCTTGCTTGCTTTTTTTTTTTTTTTTTGAGATGGAGTTTTGCGCTTGTCACCCAGGCTGGAGTGCAATGGTTTGATCTCGGCTTGCTGCAACCTCCACCTCCTGGGTTCAAGCGATCGCCTGTCTCAGCCTTCCGAGTAGCTGAGATGACAGTGCATGCCATCACACCCGGCTAATTTTTGTATTTTTAGTAGAGACAGGGTTTCATCATATTGGTCAGGCTGGTCTCGAACTCCTGACCTCAGGTGATCCACCCATCTCGGCCTCCCAAAGTGCTGCTGGGATTACAGGTGCGAGCCACCGCTCCCAGCCACAAGTAATTGCTTTCTTTGTTCTTACCTAAAAGATAAGCCAAAGTAAAATAGAATATATTTACTACTTAACACCTATGAAACTAGATTGTTCTAATGTATAAAGGAAATTAACCAATATGTTTTATATATTATACAAATGTACAAATATTTTCCCGAGAATCTGGCAATGTTTCTAAAAAGCAGCTCATTCTTTGTTGTTGTTTTCTGATTATAAAAGCTAGTGAGTCAGTACCACTTCTGAAATGGCAGTCACTACATTAGGATCCTGCAGCAGTGATTCAGCACCAGATTAGTGACACTCTGCAGTGTTACTAGTTGTCACAAAGGGTAGATCAAAAAGTATAAAATTAATTAAAAACTATGTATGTGTACAGTTCTTCTAAAGGTCAGTTTTTCAAATCATATCCCCAGCCATGAATATTTTTATATCCTTTTACCTGATGATCTCATTCCTTAAAATTATAAGTAATTAATTTTTTAAAAGCTATATGTGTATATGTGATTATCCAACTGTTTCTAAAGATTAAATATTAAAAACAACCAAAATCAGCAAATGAGCAGTGACAAAGTTTATAAGATGGAATATTAATAATTGGTGGACTTGATTATAAGTAGAAAGACCAAAACTATGCAAGGGTAACTATAGGCTATCAAGTGACAAAAAGAATGCAAAATTATATGATACTATGATTACAACTATGTATTTAAGGAGTTAAATGAAAATTTATTGTGTTAGAGTTAGAGTGTGGAGTTTTTTTGTTTTGTTTTTTTTTTTTAAGAAGGAGTCTCGCTCTGTTGCCCAGGCTGGAGTGCAGTGGCGCAATCTCGGCTCACTGCAACCTCTGCCCCCCAACAAGGTTCAAGCGATTCTTCTGCCTCAGCCTCCTGAGTAGCTGGGATTACAGGATCCTGCCACTACACCCAGCTAATTTTTGTATAGCAGCAGAGACGGGTTTCGCCATTTTGGCCAGGCTGGTCTAGAACTCCTGACCTCAGGCCGTCTACCTGCCTCGGCCTCCCAAACTGCTAGGATTATAGGTGTGAGCCACTGTACCCAGCCAGAATGTGGATTTTTTAAATTTTGTTTTCTTCATGTTGTTACGAAGTTGTCTAATACATTTCTAACATCTTTTTGTTATATCAGCACTTTATGGAGGACTAGAAGGCATCAGTCCATATCCCCAAAATATGGTGTCTTGTTGTACTGTGGTGCCTCTTAACAAATGATTGTATTCATTTGTGGCCTTCTAAAAGAGTGACTGCTTTTCTGAGAGTCTTTTACCTACTCCCAGAAAGTTATTTACTCTGTGGGACAGTTCATTCTGTTGCATCTTATCTGAGTACTTAAAGCCCCAAGGAAGAAGATGATATTTGCCAGTACATAAACTGACATTTTGGCACCTAATCTTTGACTTTAAGAAGAACCAGAGGACCCTTGATGGTTCCAGTGAGCCCTGGGTCTTCTGTGCTTTCGTGGCGAAGGCCTCTTTCAGAGGACACACCACGGCAGCCCCTGCTCCTCAAGTCTCAGAAGGCCTGAACCCATGGTAGCTGGAAATAATAGCTTGACATTCCTCCCTCATTTTAAACTGTGATTTTTTTTTTAAACACTCTTCTTGACCTTTTCTTTGAAGGAGGAACAAAACAGGGAAAACATTGCTCTTCAGTACACTAGTGAATTATTTTGACAATGGCAGTCTCCCGAAACAGGCTACCATGTCATCCCTACGCTTTTCTCTTGTGTGTCTTTGATTGGGTGTCATTGCCAGTCCTTACAGAAATTGGCTTCTGGCCCCCAATAGTCACTGTCTATCGGCAGGACCTATCACATAATTGCTATCTTGAAAGCACCATCTGGGCAGCTCAGTGTTTAAAAAAAAAAAAAAAAAAGGCAGACCTCCTTATTGACTTGAAAGAGCTTACAGTCTGCTTGTAAACAGAAGACATGAAATGACTGAAGAATGTTCTCAAAGCTCAACATGAACAAGTCACATTACAGACATTTGAACTGAACTGAATGCTGAAGGACCTTGAACAAATGAGCATCTGGGTCAGATTAGCTAGGCAGATGGCACTGGGTGCCCAAATGGAGTGAGCATGCATGGAAGAAAAAGTGAAGGCCCAGGCACTCATTTAGAGGGGAGGAGTTTGGTAATATAATGAGGATAAAGAATGCTTGTAGATTTCTGGTTAGTGAGTAGTAGAATAAAAATTGTGACTAAGCACCATGGGTGGATGGATGGATGGATGGATGGATGGATGGATGGATGGATGGATGGATGTGGCCAGGAGGCTGAAGGCAGTGCTCTATCCAGGAGAGCCAGGTCAGCGCATGCATAGCTAGGGCATAAGCTAAGAAAATGGGGAAGACACAGCAAATTCCTGATACTTTACATAAAAGGAGTTTGTTGGGTTTTATTTTAAAAGTGTTGAATGTGAGATAAAAAAGAAGAAGGGTTGGGATCCCTAATGTAGATGAATAGCTTTGTTTCAGGTCCGCCCTTCTGGGCACAGCGGGTCACACCTGTAATCCCAGCACTTTGGGAGACCAAGGCAGGAGGATTGCTTGAGCCCAGGAGTTCAATACCAGCCTGGGCAACATAGTAAGACCTCCATCTCTGTAAAAAATTCAAAAATCAACCTGGCATAGTGGCATGCAACTGCAGTCCCCGCTACTCAGGAGGCTGAGGTGGGAGGACCACCTAAGCGCAGGAGGTCTAGGCTGCAGGGAGCCATGATTGTACCACTGCATTCCAGCCTGGGTGACAGAGCAAGACCCTGTCTAAAAAAAAAAAAAAAAAGAGAGAGAAAGAAGAAGGGTAACCAAGGAAAGAGCTGGAAGGAATTTTAAGCCTTTGGAAACTGTTGTTATGGTGGTGTTAGAGACACTCTGTATTAAGGTCAGAGGAAGGAGTCTGAGCGCTTGTTGGTATGTTGTAAATAGCTGATATCTGTAGGATGTCTATGCAAATGATTAAGGTAAAAAAATAGGGAGCAGTTAGTAGCAGAGATTAGGTTTTTTGATCATTTCTGCTTTGGCTGAATTAATATACAGAAGGAAAAACTAGTTGAAAGTCAAAGGGGCACCTAAGTTAATGGTGGAGAGTGAGAAAAGAGACAGCAGAGAAATTTAGGGCTACAGTACAGCTCAGAGCCACTCACTACCAAAAGAAGAGACCAGCGGAGGTGGCCCTCGTTGTCCCCTGAAAGGGATGTTGCGCCATAGCAGGAAGGGTGGAAGCCATGTGGGAGGAATAAAAATCAAGGGTTTGCAGGAGAAAAATCCTCAAGCTACTTTTTTTTTTTGAGACAGTCTCACTGTGTTGCCCCGGCTGGAGTGCAATGGCTTGATCTCGGCTCACTGTAAACTCTGCCTCCCAGGTTCAAGCGATTCTCCTGCCTCAGCCTCCCTAGTAGCTGGGATTACAGGCACCCACCACCATGCCCGGCTAATTTTATATTTTTAGTAGAGATGGGGTTTTGCCGTGTTGGTCAGGCTGGTCTCGAACTCCTGACCTCAGGTGATCCACCTGCCTTGGCCTCCCAAAGTTGCTGGGATTACAGGCTTGAGCCACTATACCCAACCCCTCAAGCTACTTATTGTAGTTGAGAAAGAAGGGTGCGGATGACAGGAAAAATAAGTAGATGAATGCAAAGTGAGATTAACATGAGATATTTGGTTGGTTGGTTGGTTGGTTTGCTTGCTTGTTTGTTTGACTTCAGGAGAAACCTGGATCAGATTGGGCATGAGGGGAGGACGCTGAAGCGAGATGACCAAGTGTGAGAGGAGGGTCGTCAGGGACTCGGTACCAAGCGTGGGGGCAGAGTCCTCCTTGAAGAATGGCCCCTTGGCCCAGGCCTCTGGGGTTTGATCCCTGGTCACCCTGTATGTGGACACTGGCTTGGCAGAAGTCGAGGACAAGAATATTTCTGAGAGCTGGTGAAGGAAGACTCGTGGGCCGGCATTATGGGTGGGCTTCGGGAAAGCAGGAGATAGAATTGAGGAAGTTCCTGGCTAGTTCCTTCTCCTTGCTCAGTCTGTCTCCAGCTTCAAAGGTCAGCACTGTGGAGAGTGCTAAAGTCTCAAGGTTAAATTTTACCCCAGAGTCTAATTGAATTTAACTTTTACATTTTGTTTGTTTGTTTCTAATGTCTCAAAAGCCTGTTTTACCCAAAGCTATTTACAGTTGCCGTTGGGTTGGGATCCCTAACGTAGATGAATAGCTTTGTTTCAGGTCTGCCCTGCCTGGAGCCCCTCCTTCCCACCAGTTACCTTTATGGTTACATATGGTTTGGCATAGAATACCAGTAAAATACCAGTAGACACAGCTGAGGTGCTCTTTTTTGTTTCTGAAGGATTTTCAGTATAGTGTCATATCCGAACGTCAGGACAGTGGAGGAAGCCCACGAGGCCTCCAGCTCATCAGTGGCAGAGCCAGCATTCAGGGCCCCTGTGACTCTCCAGCTGCATTGCACTGCTGCCCCTGAGCTGTAAACCCGCTTCCTAGTTAGGAAGAAAGCTGAATTAGGTGATCTCCAGTCCAGCCTTCCAAGTAAGGCTTCTGTGAATCCATGGCTGTAAGCATTTGAATGAATGTCGTATAAAGAAGGTGAAGGTCAGTGGAGACCAGAACTGGGAGGAGAAGCTTCATGGTGGAGGGGACTTGAAGTGCACTCTGAAAGGCCAGTGGGCATGAGAAGGGCAGGATGCAGGGAGAGTTCCTGGGCTGAGGGAAGTGTGAGCAGGAATTAGTGTCGAAGGTCATGGACAGAAAGGAGCTGGCCTGAAACCCAGTCAGAGGCCATGGTGGCCAGTGGGAAGGTGGGGTCTGATGATGGAGAGCCCTGATAGTCAGAGACAGGACTTGGATAGTGTCAGGAATGTCTGAACAGCAGGGCAACATGAAGAAAGTGGCATTTTAGGCCAGGCACGATGGCTCATGCCTGTAATCCCAGCACTTTGGGAGGCCGAGGCAGGCAAATCACTTGAGGTCAGGAGTTCGAGACCAGCCTGGCCAGCATGTGAAACCCCATCTTTACTAAAAATACAAAGATTAGCTGGGTGTGGTGGCGTGCACCTGTAATCCCAGCTACTTTGAAGGCTGAGGTAGGAGTAACGCTTGAACCCAGGAGGTGGAGGTTGCAGTGAGCCGAGATCACGCCACTGTGCTCCAGCCTGGGTGACAGAGCGAGACTCCGTCTCAAAAAAAAAAAAAAAAAAAAGTGGTGTTTTAGGAAACTTCGCCTGGCAGTCGTACACAGGAGAGACAGCTAGGGACAGGCTTGTACACCCCTGGTATATGGCCCGAGTGGTAAACTCAACCTGAATGTGATTGATTCCCAAGGAAATTTCTTACAGGATTTCTTTGGCAAGTGGTTTATAAGCAACGATAGAAAGACCACAGGGTACCCATGTGACCTCACTGAGGAAAAAGGCATGCCAAATGAATCCCATTTATTTTCTTCATAACATTCTCAGAGAGTTCTGGCAGGGAAATAACAGACAAATCCTTACCTTTATACAGTGCTTTCCTGCTAAAAGTACATTCTAAATTTCAACTAGGCACTTGACAAGTGTGTGAAATTCTGTGAGCAAGATGGAGAAACATAGATTGGAGAGTGGTGCCGCTGGCTGGATGTTAGCTAAGGACTATACTCAAAGAGCATGGATTAAAGAGGGCGAGGTCCCTTGTAGATGCTGCAAAAATCTATGTGAGTGAATTGAATGAAGACATAAAAGGCTTTTTAGCACGTTTGTGGGTAACACCCTTTGGAAGAATAAAGAAGATCTCAGTAGAGGTCAGAAGCCAAGCTAAACATATAACAGTTGGTGAGAATAATGTAGTCTTAGCAAGTGTATTTTAATAATCAATTAATGTGAAAAACCTGAAATAATATTAAAAGACTCTGGGAGGAGGGAAAGGCTTTGGGGGAGATAGTTATGTAAGGATGAATGGTTAGTATCAGGTGGCTGTCAAAAGGGTTAATGCAATCTTAGGAGAGTAAGAAAAGCATAGTATTTAGAGCAAGCTTGTCCAGCCTGCAGGCTGCATGCAGCCCAGGACAGCTTTGAATGTGGCTCAACACAAATTCCTAAACTTCCTTAAAACATATGAGATTTTTTTGTGTGTGTGATTTTTTTTTAACTAATCAGCTATCATTAGTGTTAGTGTATTTTATGTGTGATGCAAGACAATTCTTACTCTGATTAGCACAAGGGAGATAATGGCCCCATTGTGTTATGTTACATTTGGGACATTTTTATGTTCATTGTATTGTGGGTGGGCTGTTATACTTTTGATGTGAAGGGTAGTAGAAGGATCTGGGGATATGTTTCAGCATGGAGAAGAAAGGAGAAGACCCCAAGGTTCATGACCACTGTCTTCAAGTATGTAAAAGGTTGCCATGTTGAAGACACCACAGATGGGTAGACTTATCCTGCACTTCTCCAGTGGGCATACTTAGGGCATTCTAAGCTAGGCAGATGTTAGACTTCATGAGCAGCTCACCAGTGGAGAGCAAAACAGGTTTGGTGTACAGCTGTCAGGGATTCTGTAGAAGAGACGCTTATATTGGGTGTCGGATTGTTCTCCAGGGTTTCTAGTGTGTTAAGTATTATCCAGTGGTGTGCTGGAGCCAGTTCATACCAGCTTGCAGGAGCTGGTTGTTAAATAATGAGGATTTTTAAGGGCTAGTAGTTAAAATGTTGTTTGCTTGAAATGGGCCATGGAAGCAGTATTTATACCAAGGAAATTGGCAATAGATCAACCCCACCCCACCCCACCCCTACCCAGTGTCAGCATGCCAGCATACCACCAGTATTATCCATAATAAAAAGGTGTCTTTTAGAGGCCGGGAGTCTCTGGAATGTGGAAGAGCAGACGGGTGTGGGAACATCCACGTGCGTGTTCTTTGGAGTTTTCAGATTCTGTTTCCTTGTTAATGGTGCGTAGCTCCCCTTTTGTGCTCATACCACTTCCTATCTCCTGCCAAGATCTGGGGCCTGTGAGTTTCTCTGTCTCTGGATCTGCCAGGAAAACGCAGATATCTTCTGTTGCTTGGAATAATTCTTTCCTTGTTACGTATCTAGACTGGCTAGCCCTCTGTGAGAGGTGCCTCCCACCTCATTCTCAGCACTAGCCTCAAGGACTGTGAATATCAGATGAATTCAACCAGTGAAATAGGATTTGGAAACACCTGGGCTGTTGAGAACAAGTGATTGTAGGAGTAAGGTCCAACCCACAAATATAACAAAGCCCCGCAGGCCATATGGCAATAACAGCCCAACCGATGGGGCCTTTGGGTTGACCTCAGATCAGCCTCTGTCCCCATGCTGCCTGGGCAGAGAGCAAACAATGACTTTATTTCTGTCACTTTTATCTCCCTTATTTCTTTGTAAAAAGGATTTAAATAAAGTCTGAGTCATGCTGTAACCAGGAAAAGCAAATGTCCTGTGGTATACATGATAGGCGAATTCAGCTGTGGTCATGCAAATTGTATTTGAGTTTGGTTGAGGCTCTAATTAAAAACAACAACAACAACAACAAAAAATTGGTTGTTTTTACTTTTCTTAGTTGCCTACTGTGTTCTATTTGAAACCCTATAGGCTTTGCCATTTTCCCCAAGGGTGCCTACTTCCTACTCTTTCCTTTAGTGGTTTCCCAAGAGACAGACAATAACACCCTTGACCAGTTGGGCTACAACCAGATATGAGCTTCTCAAACTATGGGAGGCCATTCCAGTAAAGTGTGTATTGCCAGCCAGTGAACTGTTTGTTTTTGATAAAAGGTTTTCTTGGCAAAACAACCCGCCCAAAGGTGATTTTTGAACCATGGAACAATTCCGAATTTCAAAATTCAAATTATAAATAAGAGAGCTGAAGTATAGGTGTTGCATTTAACATGCAGTTATATATTGGGAAGCTATAAATAGGTCTGTTTTTGAAGAGACTAAACCCAAGTAAAGATTAGCTATATGCCTGTATGATGGTGGCATATGTAGAGGGATCAGGGAGAACTGAATAAAGGAAATCAAGAAATAACCCTAATTTTCTAATAGGGTGTCAGGAAGAAAAGAGCAGAAAAGAGAGAGAATGCAGCTCTAGCCAGCCAGAAGTTCGTGGGCTGGAGACACACCCTTTAAAGGAAGGGTCTGTCTTCCTTTAAAGGGCATAGGCATAGGCCAAGGCATAGGCCAAGGACAGGGAATAAAGAGAAAACTGAATGCCTACTGCAGAGACTATAGGATAGCAACAGCAGAGGTGACAGTGACGACCATATTAACCAGAGTCCAGACCTGGGACACTAATAGCCCAAGCAGGAATCTCTCTCTATCCGTGCACAAGCTGCAGCTGCAGCCGGGGGTCTGTGCTGGGTCTTCTGGCTGGAGATCTGACCCCGCGGCTCAGGGCCAGGGAACCTACCAAAAAGATGGACTCAAAAAAGGCTGCTCCTACTTGAAGGGTGCAGAAAGAATCGGATGTTATTAAATTATGCCTGTTGAATCTTCAGCTGCATGAAATGGCATATCTGTGAATGCTTTTAGAGTAGAAAATTTGGTTTGAATGGCCTAATTGTGATGCGTGGCAGGGAAAGGGTTAAGACGAGAGACAGTCCCAGGAAAGAAGTAGGGCAGTGAGGGAAATGTGGACACAAGCGGCATAGAAAAGCAAGTGAGTTCATTAAGGTAGTGCTCCTCAGTGAAAAAATCCCTCCCGGCCCCCTTGCAGCAGAGACAGGGCCCTATTGTTTTTGGTCAGCCAATGCCAATACCACATGCCGTCGGCCTCAGCGAGAAATATGTCCATCAGTCAGTGTTTAGCCTTCCCCAACTAGGGTTCCCAGGGAGAAATAAGCCCTCCTGCTTTAAGACATCCATTGTAGTGAATCGACTCCTCTCCTGGCCACTGAGAGTGGTATATAGGAAGGTTACAGTCACACAGATCATTTTCTGTGCTCTGTAGTTCAGATAGAAAACCCTGGTTGAGAAAGACTAGTAGTGCAGTGACCCAGAACTGGCCTTCCAATATAAAATTAGCAGGCACTTCAGCAACCTGGGGTTTTGCCTGAAGGAGATGGCAGAAAGCAGTTGTAATAAAAGGGCACTCAGAATTAGGATGTACAAAACAAGATCTTATCCCCACCTTCACAGCACCTCCCAACTCTGCCGTACCTACCAGAACTCTGACTGTCTCCTCTTCCTACCTAGGTTGTATATTGTCAAAGACTCTTCTCTGTCCAAATTTCTGGTATTTGGTTTATAAAATAGGTTAAACTAGTGTGGGCATTAAATTAGTTTCTATGGAGAAAATTTTGCTTTCGCTTTCCTACTTCTCATGAAGTCACTTTCCCTGAAAATAATTCAGTGGAATTGAAAACTCTTGGCTCATCTTCATTTCATAACATGGCCATTTGTGTAGCATACATACATTGAATGATTTGAGTGAGTGAATGAGTTAATTAAACATACAATGAAGTTTGTCAAATATGTCAACACTCTGTTTGCCTTTTCCCCGTTCATTTTTTTTTTTTTTTTGAGACCAAGTTTCACTGTTGTCACCTAGGCTGGAGTGCAATGGCACGATCTCTGCTCACTGCAACCTCCGCCTCCTGGGTTCAAGTGATTCTCCTGCCTCAGCCTCCTGAGTAGCTGGGATTACAGGCACACACCACTCCACTCAGCTAATTTTTCTATTTTTAGTAGAGACGGGGTTTCACCATGTTGCTCAGGCTGGTCTAGAACTCCTGACCTCAGGTGATCCCCTATTGATTCTTAAGGTGATCAAGTAGGAATGGCTGCTACCATCTTATGGCTGAGGGAACTTAGGCTCATAACATTTAAGTGACTCAACCAGGAACACAAAGTAGATAGTGACAAGGTCATGTGGAGAACCCAGGTCTCCTGATCCCTGTGCAGACCTCTTAAAGGGCATCTGGAAGGATGGTGGCCAGTCACATGGTGTGACACAAAATAAGTCAATCAGTTGTGTTTTCGTGAGCACTTATTGTGTAACACTGTGTTCAGTGATAGCTGTCCAAGAAAGGAAGGTGCCATGTTTCTGTTTTTGTTTTTGTTTTAATCAAGAAGCTTATAGCTTAATTGGAGAGATTAAACTGCTACACCTAGAAACAAGTGCCTGGCATGACTCTTACAGTTTAATGGAAGGTGTGTGAAGGGAAAGAAGAGCCTTCTGGAAGGCATCAAAAAGTTCCTCAGGAAGAACTGAAACTGAACATTGTGCAGAGATAGCACTGGGTAAATCCAGAGGCCAATGAGAGTAAAGGTCTACCCAGGCAGGGGATGATGGCCAAGAATCATTTGGGTGGAGGCAGAATGTGCCAGTCCTGTCTCTGTCTAGAGATGTGCAGCTGAAGGTGAAGTCTGATAAGCTCAGCGTAGATAAGGCCTGGGGATTTGGGACCAATACAGTGAAAAATCGAATGGACGAGGTCTGAAGGAACATTTGGGTCAACACAAGCCACCCTAACAGCATAATCACTACCTAGGATGGTAGATGAATGCTGTCTAACAGACGACTCTGACTGACGTAGTACCTCCCACGGAGGGTCAGCGTGCAAGGTGGACACAGTGCAGTCCAAGGCTCTTGACTACAGCAGAAGCCTGGGTGAGCTGTCGGGGGACTGCTAATAGAAGTGGACGTAGAACTGGCAAGCCAGGCATGGGGGCTCATGCCTGTAATCCCAGCATTTTGGGAGGCCAAGGCTGGAGGATCATTTGAGGTCAGGAGTTCGAGACCAGCCTGGCCAATGTGGTGAAACCCCGTCTCTATTAAAAATACAAAAGTTAGCCAGGCGTGATGGTGCAAGCCTGTAACCCCAGCTACTCGAGAGGCTGAGGCAGGAGAATCACTTGAATCCGGGAGGTGGAGGTTGCAGTGAGCCGAGATTGTGCCATTGCACTCCAGCCTGGGTGACAGAGCAAGACTCCATCTCAGGAAAAAAAAAAAATGGAGGTAGAACTGAACTCTGAGGATGTTTAGGATTTGAATAAGAGAAGGAGAGAGCATCGCAGATGAAGAAAGCAACATGCACAGAAGTGTCGAGTAAGGAGAGTATTGCGGTGTGCACAAATGACAGGGAAGGGTCAGACCTAAAAGAAGAGGATGTTATGAACTGAACACAGAAAAACATGATGGGGTAAGGGAGGGCAGCTGTGGGGCCTTGGGAGCAATTAGAATTTGGATTCCGTGTGATAGGCAAGTTGGTTCTTGAGGAAAGCTGTGGGATGATGAAAGTGAGTCAGGCAGCAGGCTGTAAATTGGATTGGACGGAGGGAAAGATTAGAGGCAGAGAAACTAGCCAAGAGACTGTTTCAGTTATCGGGCCCAGGCCAAGGGAGTAGTGGCATTGAGAATAAAGAAGAAAAAGTGACTGTGAGGTAAATCCCAAAAAGAAGGCAGAAACTCAAGAAATAAAGGTAAACGTGATAAGCAAAGATGACTCTTGAGCATCCTAATTTTGGAGATGAAAAAATCATGGTTCTGCTGGAATAAGTGGGGTGAGCTGGAGAGGAGCCCCGTTTTGTGGGGGTGGAGGGACATGATGACTTCACTTTGAGGCATCCAATTAGAGATACTTAAGTCAATGAGAATATGGTACTAGAACCCAGGGAGAGATTGGGGCTGGGAATGCATCTGCCTGGTGGTAGATGCCTGGCAGTGAATGAGTTCACCATGGAGGTGGACCAGGGTACAGAGTGAGGGAGTGGGAGAAGGAAGAGGAGAGAGAAGAATGATGGGAGAAATGAGCAGAGACCAGCAAAACACATTAGCAACCCTAAGGGGACTTGGAAAGCGAGTTGAGGTCAACAGGGTCAGTTATCAAAGAGAGGCAAGGCTGAGGATGAGAACCAAGGGAAGGCCCCTGAGTCCCAAAAGCAGCTTGGTGGTGATGTGTGAGTGCAGCCTTTCCAGCTTCCCTGGCACGAGTCTCCTCATCCATGGTTAAATGATCATCCAATTATCATATAGGCCTCCTGACTTGCCTCCCCACCCTGAGCCTTCTTGACCCTAATTCATTCTCCAGTTGCCCATTACAAGAGTGTGCCCTTCCTTTAAAATCATAACCACAATCAATCATTATGTTTCCAAAATACAAATGTAATCATACATCTTCACCTGGACTTGTGGGTTGCTTAGGAAATGAAAGAGGGGTGTGTAGACCCCTCCACTTGTGCGTCCATCAGTGCAGGGCAGGGAGCAGGGACAAGCATTGCCACCTTAAAGGAAGAAGGAGAGAAAGGGCCAAGGAGAAAAGAAAGAGGAAGTGAGCATGTTCAGAAGCAAGAGCCAAGAAGACCCTGCCACGTCGGATAAGCGGAAAGACTCCAGAGGAAGACAGAGTTGCTGTGCAGGTTCCCACACGCCTTCTGTCTACAGCCACCTGCAGAACTGCAGGCAGCAGCCTCCTTGCCCGGCGGGAGCCTCTTGCACAGGGCCTCCCCATTCACTCTCTACTGGCTCCACTGCAACTTACGTCTTTGTCCCAAAGGGAAGACTGACATTTGTTTGTTTATCATAACTAGCTTCGCTTGCTCTGAATTTATTTGTGTGCCTGCTCAACCCTTTTCTGAACTATTTTCTGGTTTGTATTTGTCATGACTGTGGTCCCTTAACTGACTGTGATCCTTGTCATCAACTCTGCACCTTATGGGCACTGAGAATTCAGTAACTGGCTCATCAATACTCAGCTCCAGGCTGGGGACCCTAATTCCTAGGGACACTTTCTTATCCAAGCGAATTCCCCCCACAGTCAGAGCAGCCCTTCATGTGAATTAGCTATTTTCTATTGCTCTTTGTCGCCTGTGAATATGTAATTGCATGGGATCGGGAGGAAGGCAGTGATAGAATCCTAGATTGTGTGTTGGCAAGGGCTTTAGAAATCACCCTATTCAACCTCCCACTCGCAGGAATCCCTTCAACAGCTTTTATTTAACTTATTAATAGCTTTTCTCTTGATTTAAACTGTTCCCAAAAATAAATATTGGGTAGGTGATCCAAGGAGTAGTTTGAGAGTTGATATTACCAGGAATATCGTAATGAACAGGCCTCTTCTTAAGCACTCAGAATTTGGCTGGACTCGTGAGCGTCCATGTTGCGCTTTGTCCTTCCCATCTGAGTTTTGTTATCTTGCTACTGACTGCAACCCCGCCATGGAGACAGCACTCAGAGTTTTCACAGGGGCTTGGTGAAGCCTCAAGCCCATAACAGACCACCATAAGGACTCCATGCTCCCTAAATGCATTAAACAGTTCCAAAGATGTGTTTTTTGCTTTGGGGTTTTTTGGGGGTTTTTTGTTTGTTTGTTTTTGAGATAGGGCCTTGCTCTGTCGTCCAGGGTGGAGTGCAGTGGCGTGATCATGACTCACTTTGGCTTGAACCTCTCAGACTCAAGCAGTACTCCTGCCTCACCCTCCAGAGTAGCTGCGACTATAGGTGTGCACCACCACACCTGGCTAATGTTTTGATTTTTTTTTGTAGACAAAGTCTCGCTGTGTTGCCCAGGCTGGTCTCAAATTCCTGGGCCCAAGCGATCCTTTTGCCTCAGCTTCCCAAAATGCTGGGATTACAGGCATGAGCCACTGTGCCTAACCTCAAATATGTGTTTTTAATGATGTTTAAGAGCCTCACTTGTATAGCAGCAGCTTTTATGTGTATCTCATGCTGTTAAACCTATAGGAACAGGGGCCTGGCAGCCCCTGTGTCATTGAGGCTCTGTTTTGCTGCTTTATCATTCAATAAGCTGGGCTGCACATACACAAACCTGTCTCTGTAGTAAAGAAACAGTTTTGGCTGGGCACAGTGGCTCACGCCTATAATCCTAGCACTTTGGGAGGCCGAGGCAGGCAGATCACTTGAGGTCAGGAGTTTGAGACCAGCCTGGCAAAGATGGTGAAACCTCGTCTCTACTAAAAATACAAAAATTAGCCGGGCGTGGTGGCAGGCACCTTTAACCCCAGCTACTCAGGAGGCTGAGGCAGGAGAATCGCTTGAACCTGGGAGGTGGAGGTTGCAGTGAGCCGAGATCATGCCACTGCACTCCAGCCTGGGCGACAGAGCGAGACTCCATCTCAAAAAAAAAACAACAACAGTCTCGAGGAGGCCAGAGGAGCATGTTTTGTTCCCCCCACCTTTGGAAAGAAAAAAACATTGTACAAGTGGAAAATCTTCACTAATGCAACATAAAACTTGGCGATTTTCATCACACCAGGTCAGGTAATCCCAGGCTGTGCTTCTTGAGGCAGTGGAAGCTGATTTCCTTTGCTCACTTATCACCTGTGCCTCTCAATGGCATGTCTGTAACAGGAGGCAGAGGCCTCCTTCCCGAGGTCCATGGGTCAGAGTTTTACCATACGAGATGGCGGTGTGGGAGGTGTGATTTGTCCCATAAGATCTCTAAATCCCACCACCCATTCTGTAACAGTTGATAGTCCTCAGCACTGCATTTTCCAGTTACTCATGTTTACAGACAAATGTCTCTTTGTCTGTAGTTGCTCTCTGAAGAAATCAAAGAGCAGCTGTTGTCCTGCCTCAGCACCATGGCATAGGAGGTCCAGAGTTAGCATCGAGGATGACAGTGACGCTGTTTCTGCTCTGGTATCACTTGCCCCTTGCTCCTACTGCCCTAGCCCTTGTGTCACTTCCTTGTTCTCCTGAACAGTTTTTTTTTTTTTTTTTTTTTTTGAGACAGAGTCTTGCTCTGTCACCCAGGCTGGAGTAGCAGTGGCGTGATCTCGGCTCACTGCAACCTCAGCCTCCCAGGTGCAAGCCATTCTTGTGCCTCAGCCTCCTGAGTAGCTGGGATTACAGGCCCCCACCACCACACCCATCTAATTTTTGTATTTTTAGTAGAGGTGGGGTTTTACCATGTTGGCCAGGTCTCAAACTCCTGACCTCAAATGATCCACCCACCCCGGCCTCCCAAAGTGCTGGGATTACAGGCGTGAGCCACCGTGCCGGCCCTGAACAGTCTTCTTTGTGTTTTCCTGCCTCTGTACCTTCGTTAATGATGTTTTCTTACCTGCAGTGCCCTCTCCCTTCTCTCAACTCTGAAGTCGGTGGTACCTAACGATTCTATTTAAATTCTGCCTCCTTGAATTCTCTCCTGTTCTTCCCAGCCTGGAGTGGAGTCCGCTGAGGTCTACTAGAGTTCAAGTTCCATGAGAACAGAGACTGTCTTTTTTTGTTCACTCTCTAATTAGTGCCCAGCACATAATGGATGCTCAATACATGTTTATTGAATGAGAGAGATTGCTCCCTCTAAACGTAGCTGGCATCTGACATTCATGATTTCTGTCTGTATTCCTTTTTCCATACGTGTACACGAGATGATAAGCTTCTTGAGAACAGCAACCATGACTTGGTATCACCCTCTAGCAGAGTCTTGAACATGCTGGGAGCTCAATAAATATCAGTGATTGAACTTACTACATAATCACTCAATAATCCAATCATGTCCCCGAGCTCAGGGGAAGGGGGAGGCAGACAGAATGCCTTCCTCCTGCTGTCTTATACAAAGCCACTCGTGAGCAGCGTCTTATGCAAACACAAGGCCCCATTCTCCCCCAGCCCAGCACTTGCCCACCTAGGAAGGATATTCTCAAGAACATGAGGCTGTTGACATCACATTCCTTTTCCAAAAATGTGCAAAGGACTACAGAATTGTTCAAGAAGCAGTGATCCAGTGCTTGGCTAGTTAATTCCTGAGTAAGCCACTCTGAAAACTGATTATAATCCTGTTTCAAATGGAGAATTGGGAGAAGGCCAATAAAGGGTATATTATTGTATCTTGTAGGAGGGAAGAATCCGGCAGATATTCACTGAGTTATGGCGCCAGAGCCTTCCTCTCTAATGTTATTGTAAATAATTGTTAGAGTAGAAAGCCAGATCAGCAAAGTGAGACTCCAGCATTGCAGTTCCTCTCCACGGAGGTCTTATATAACGAAGACCTCCATAAACAAACATTGCAGAAACATAACATCGGATCTCTCCTCTTAAAGTTCACACTGTGTAATGTAAAGTGGAATAATCATTTTACATTCCTTGTAAGTTCTAAGAAGTCCCTTCTGGGGCAGCTGTTTGCTAAACCTTTTTTGTTTGTTTGTTTGTTTAATAAAAGAAAACAAATTGTGTACCTCTCCACAGTGCCCCCGCTATAGAGCTAAAAGCAGTGATTTCATGTAAGTGTTTCATTTGTCCCCCTCCAGCTCGCCTCTCTCCTAGGAGTCACGAACTCAAGTGCCTCCAGGGCCAGGTAGGTGGTCAGTGAGCTGGTAATGACTAAGGTCTGCATCTGGTGACACACACGTGCAGAGGGCAGCCTTATCCAGCCCCAGGTCATTGTGACCACGAACTGACAAGTGGCCCAGAGTTGCCAGAGCTTTTGATTTTCAGCAGGAAATCCAAACTTTTAGGAATATCACCTGAGTTCTAAATGTTAATAGCTAGTTGAAAAAATTTAATATCTATGCAGGCCAAAGAGTGTCTGTCTCTGTGCCGGGTTCATCCTGTGGAATAGCAGCTTGCAAACTTCATGCCATCCGTTCAGTCTTGCCTGCATTTGGGTGCTTGGAAGTCCTCCTCAGGCTGTGTTTTCCTTGTGCCTCCTACCTTTTTAGAAAGTGCTTCATTGGTTCCCATCAGGGCAGGGCAGGGGCTGGATGGAGGACCTAGTGATGTGTTGGGTATCAGGGGGTGCTGACCTAAGGCTTGTTGGAAACACAAATCCAGAGCTTCTCTGCGTGCTCCCTCCCCTCTTAGAGACGCCCAATCAGTATCTGTCACTGCATAACGAAGTACCTCAAAATTCCGTGGCTGACACAATAAACATTATCTCACCGTTGCTGTGCTCCAGGAATTTGGGAGCAACATGACAGGACGATTCCCACTCCAGTTCTGTCATGAGGTGGCGGTGAGCTCTTAGCCCAGGCTGCAGTCACCCAAGGGCGTGACTGGGGCTGGAGGGTGTTCTTCCCAGGTGGGTCACCCTTGTGGCTGGCAAGCCAGAGCTGGCTGTTGGCCAGAGGCCTGGGTTCCATCCACGTGGATCTCTCCACAGGGCCATTGAGGGTCCTCTTCCAGAGTAAGTGATTCAAGGCAGAGCAAAAGCAGAAGCCACATGCCTTTTACAGCCTAGTCTCAGAAGCCACACATTGTCATTTCTGCGCTGTCTTATTGGTTACACAGGTTTGCCCTGCTCAGTGTGAGAGGAGACCACACCAGGGTGTTGACTTCCAGGAGAACTGGGTCCTCAGGGGCCATCTTAAGGGCTGGCTGTCACAGCTGTGATCACAACCCTCAGTCGGTCCCTTATGAACAAATGGTCCAACCCTGAGAATAGTTTAAAAAAAAAAAAAACCCGAAGGGAATAAAATATATGTCATAGTGATTTGCACCTAATATTCAGCCCACTTACTATTGTGTTCCCCAGATCAGCCTCAGAAATTAAATATCCTTTTTTTTTTTTTTTTTTTTGAGATGGAGTCTTGCTCTGTCGCCCAGGCTGGAGTGCAGTGGCACAATCTTGGCTCACTGCAACCTCTGCCTCCTGGGTTCAAGCGATTCTCTTGCCTCAGCTTCCTAAGTAGCTGAGATTACAGGTTCATGCTACCACACCCAGCTAATTTTTGTATTTTTAGTAGAGATGGAGTTTCACCATGTTGGCCAGGCTGGTCTTGATCTCCTGACCTCAGGTGATCTGCCTGCCTTGGCATCCCAAAGTGCTAGGATTACAGGCGTGAGCCACCATGCCTGGCCTAAATATCCTATTTTTATATCCCATCTTAGAACTGTCTTCCCTGAATGTATCTAAAGTCACTTTTTAAAAATATTTTTTAAAATCCTACCCATACCACCTCTTCAAGCGATAGACTGAGGTGTACCAAACAGAAGAACCCTTGCTTTTCAAGGGAACCCTTTCGCTTGCTGCTTACCCCTGTCTGCTTCCAGGGGTATTCCTAGGTCTCTCAGTTGCTCGAGCAACTAAACCTAACCAACTTCTCTACTAAACCTAACGTTTTGTAAAGATTTGAAAGGAAAATCACTCTGAACAAAGAGTAGTCCCTGCTTTGGTATACCAGTAGCACCTGTGAAGACAGGTGGCCCCAGAAGTTTTCTGGGACCCTCTGAATTGGTAGGAGAGGGGCACCAGTTAATCAGAGGCACAGACAGGGAGGAGCAGGGTTGCTCCTGTTCCTGCAGCAGTATCCATTTCTGGGACCCACTTTCCAAACCACCCCCCCGAATTCTAACAGCAGGAGACACACACACACACATACCCTCAGGCTCTACATCACCTCTGCCTCCTTCAAGACCACCCTTAATATTCATTTTAACCAGATTTTGCCTGAATAAAAACGTGAAGGGGAAGAAAAGGTGCCCCAGTGTGTTTTCCCCTAGGAAAATCCCTACTGGTAACTAGTCTTATTTGCTCAATAAACAAAATCTTAGGCTGGGAACTGAAGGTCAGCACAAGCAGCATCTGCGGGTGTGCACCGGGGCTCTGGGGCCCTGTAACATTTGCGCGTGTACCTGGGGGAAGGGGTGCTGCATCGGCCCGCCCCCCGCAGCCACCCGCCGCAGCAGTGGTCACCGAGTCAGGGTGTGGGGAGGTGGAAATGAAATGCATAATTCATAGGCCGCTGTGGTGTCCAGTCTGTGGGAGGGGTGGTAATTACAGAACTGAGAAATGAGGCTGCAGCGGGCAAGTCACCTCTAGGTTAGAGGCTGCTATGATAGATGGCCTGCATTGTTCTCTTTCTGACCTTTTTCTGAACTTCCCCTTAGAAGAACAGAGGAAATATGGTGCTGCCTTTTCCCATATTGTTTTTGAATAATACCTTCAGACGCCAGCTTTTAGAGTTTCTGTTCTTCCGTTTGGGGTTTTGCTTCCCCCTCCACCCGCCCAATGCCTTGCTTCTTTCCATAGAAAAATCGAATCACTAATGACTTTATCCTAGTATTAATGGTAAATACAGACTACACAAATATTTGTCCACACTGAACACAATACATACGGGGAAAGGAAAAAAAAAACCCGCAGCACCCTCTCCCTCCTTCTGCTCCGCCCTCCACTGCCAAGCAAGACAATCCCAAGAGCCGTCCTCCGTCCTCCGTAATGATGCAGACGGGGCTGATGAGAAGGGTGGGGGGCGTTGCTCGGTAGGAAGTGATGGAACCTAAGCTCTGGCTTGCAGAATAGAATCGTTTTAACCGGACGTGAAGGTGCAAGCAGGAATGATGCTCACTCCCATGTAAGCTATTGATGCTATCCCGGGGGGATAAAGTAACAAGGCTGGGGACTGTGTGCCGTATTCCCTTCATCAGCCTTTCCACTGTGTAACCCGAAAGCCGCAACGTCGTTTCCCTCCACGCTTCTCTCTGCCGCTAGTGATTTCCTGGTCTGAACTGTGACTCCCTAGTGATGGCCTGTAACTTTGGGTTCTGTGATCATCTGAAGTCTATCAACCTCTATATAGTCAGGGAAACCCAGAAGAGGGAAGAGGGAAGATTTCTGTTTGATTTTCACACAAGCAAGACTTACTAAAGAGTTAGGCAGAATTGTTCACTTAGCCTTCAATTCAAAATTGAATCTCAGGTTGAAACTTTGGGGTATGTGGGGTTGTTTTGTTTTTTGAAAAATGTACCCCTTTTGAGGCCAAATGAAAAGGAACTAGACAGTTCTGTGTCAGAGCCTTTCAGACTGGGGGTGGAATTTGGTTAGCTCCATTTAGCGGGTTAATGTTGATTGAACTCCTGCTGTGTGCATCACCACCCTGAGCTGTGTGGCAGCTGAGCACTTCCCTGGGAAGCAAATATAGGTTCTGTCTCCTCAAGGAACTTTTGATCTCTTGGGGGAATCCAGGACAAGCCTAAATACAACCATACAAAGACCTACTTACACAGCTGACACTACAGAGACAGGCCTGCCAGGCAGGCCCTCGCTGATTTCCAGTGATGCCACAAAACTTTTCTTCCTTGGCAAAAAAGAAACTAAGCTGTTCATACCAATGATCACTGTCATTCTTTCAAACATCTCACAGGTTTTTTTATGGGTTTAATTGCTTATGGGTTTTTTTTAATTGAATTTTCAAAATCTCCCTAGCTGCCTCCTCCCTATCTCCACTTATTCTCTCTTCTTCTTCAGGTAGGTAAATAGTATCTCCTTTATCACCTGCTTTTCACCCACTATTCCTCAGCATATATATAGATATCTAGATAGATAGATATAGATAGATGATAGATAGATACAAACTCCCTATGTCAAGCTTCTCCTATTAAAAAGTGGAGCTTTATAGGTTTCTATTCACATTTCACCATTGAAATCCTTATTATCAGAGAAGAACTAAAAGAGCCACTTATTTCCTTAAAAGTAAATAAACAGTAAGAAATCCCAGTTTTCACTTCTTCTTCACACAATCAGCTACTCAGTTCAGCAAACATCTGTGTATTGGGTATTTACTGTTCTTAGCACAGTGCTTGGCGGTAGGAAAGAAGATAATGAAACCACAGCTTCTTCCAGCTCATGAGTGTGAACAATGACACCCAATGTCTGCAGACACCGACCCTCTCACCCCAGTAGACAAGGCTGTACGCTGGGTGCTGTGAGGTGTACAGAGATCAGTCATGCACAGGCCATGGCCTCGGGATGCTTCCAGTCTAGGAGCTGATTATAGATGATTCTTATTTAAAAAAAAAAAAAAAAACTATCAGTGCAAGGATGAGTGAAAGAGCTGAATTGGCAGTAGAGACATAGTTAGCGTTGTAGGAATAGAGCACAGGAGGGAGCCTCAGTCAGCAGGGAGTGCTAGAGCAGGTAAGGTTTGAGTAGAAAGCTTCAAAGGCTTTCCATGAGAGCCAGGCCAGACATGCTTTCCACAGGGCCACTGACAGAGGTGCGGAGGGGAAGCCTGGGTGTGCTCAGGGAGAGTCTGGGACCACCAAGAGTCTCAGGTGCTGCCTCACCGCCCCTCACTCTTTCTTCTCTGACTTCCCTCAAGAGTCCCTCCCTCCCTTCCTCCTGCCTTCCTTTCTTCCCTTCTCCACCCAAAGCCCCAGCTGATGTGTGACAGCTCCCTGATTCCATAAGCTGGTTAGCTCAGTTGGCTGGAGTAGTGTTTGGGGCTCACGAGAACAAAATGAGCATTCTCATCTCTTTTGCTGAATGTTGCTCCGTTCCAAAGGCACTGTAGGAGAGTCCCTGTTCTTGGACTACAAAGAGGCCCCATTGTTAGGATAAGAAAACTGGTTAATGAGAAGATGGAGCAGTGGTATCCTCATCTGAAAACTTTCTTTTCTTTCTTTCCTTTTTTTTTTTTTTTTTTTTAAGACAAGGTCTTACTCTGTCACCCAGGCTGGAGTGCAGTGGCGTGATCACAGCTCACTGCAGCCTCGACTTCCCAGGCTTATGCCATCCTCTTACCTCAGCCTCCTGAGTAGCTGGGACTACAGGTGTGTACAACCACTCCTGGCTAATTTTTTAAAAAATTTTTTGTAGGGACGGAGTCTTACTATGTTGCCCAGGCTACTCTTGAACTCCTGGCCTCAAGTGATCCTCCCGCCTTGGCTTCCCAAAGTGCTGGCAGTGCATGGGTGAGCCACCGCACCAGCCTTAAGGGAACCGTTTGTTCCCTTACCCAGTGGGTCGCGTCCCTCTGTCTCCATGGAAGTTGAAGGTTCAGGTGGCTTTCCGAGCCTGTGTCTGTTGCACTTCAGCGCCCCCTAGTGGGAGGTGTAAAGAGCCAGCTTAGTATTTCCTCTGTGACCCAAACACAAGAAGGCAAACTTTGGTTTGGTTTGGTTTGGTTTGTTCTTTTTCAGCTCCTTTAAGAAAAGTTGAGTGTTGGAAGGTTTCCCCTGAGTAAGCTGCCCTTGGCTGGAGACCTGGAGTTTATGCCCATTTTGTTTGGCAAGATCTTCTTGTTCCTAACTCCTGCTGGAATAACCAACCAGTCACCGTGAGAGCTCGCTCTTGTCCGGACCACAGCAGGTCCTAACCAGGAGTGCTGTGAGCAGACGGGCCATGGCCACATTTACTCTGTGGATGCTCCCTGCTCTAAAATTGGGTAAAAAACATACCCTCAGTGAGTCCTGTTTTGCTGGTTTGATGGCGTGCACGTCTCCAGAGAGCAAGGCCAGCCTCATCCACCTGGCTCCCCTCACCGCACTCACACCTGCCTGCTTAGAGTCAGGCCGCATCCTGTACTTACAGGATCAGAGCCTACTCCATCGGCCAGGAGTAGTGGCTTTATTTGGAAAGTTGCTTAGGTAGGGTATTAGTGGGTTTCGGCCCTGCTTTCTCAGTAGTTTTCCACCTAACACACAGTGCAGTGGGGGAGACCTCCTCAGACGATACCTGTTTTATTGGAATATCCCTTAGGCTGCAATGGAAATTCACTCTCTAACTTGTGTTTGACATTTTTACTGAGTGGGTTCCTTTTCATAGCTCAAGTTTCTGGCTTCTGTTCTCTTAATTGGTATGTCTCCGGCTGGTGACACTGAATGTATCTCCCTTTCAAAGAAGGAGCAAGTTTCTGTCTTTTATCCCAGACTGTCAGCCATAAAGACTGACTGTGACTTAGCTCCACAAGCCACATGATCAGATGGTGCTGTAAGGAAAGAAAATACCCCAAAGATGAGCCTTGTCTATGGCACAGTCACTCATCTGAGAGTTGGGGATTCGGGGCTTCTCCAGTGGAGGCACTGGGAACCTTGGAAAGGAAAGCATCGTGTTTCTTCTGCCTGTTGTTGGTTCATTCATTCATCCAGCAAACACTTATTGAGGCCTCACCATGAACCAGTCGAAGCTAAATGTTGAAGCAATGAGAAGTTTTGCATTTAAATCAGTAAAGTTGCACATAAGTGATGTTACTTTCTTAGTATGCATCCATCTAGAGTAGAGGGTGAACCTTGAATTAATGTGTTAGTGTGGAAGAGACCAGCCTTTTCCCCAGCCTCACATCTCATGATCACTATAAGTGGGTAACATCACCAGGCTGAATAAAGTGAAGACGCCACATCTGCAGTTGATCCACAGGAATTGAAATTCCAAATCCCTTGCCAGTGCAGAGAAAAGAAGAGTGGTCCCAGAAAGCTGAAAAGTGACAGCAGGTGACAGTGGGACTTGGGTTAGGCCTTCCCAGAATCAGCAGGCTTCCCAACACAGCTCTAAATGCCCAGTTTCAACCCTCGGCTTCAGTCAACAGACTAACAATGAATCGGAAGAAAAACAGTCAACAAAAGGATCCATGATGAGGACCATCATAAAAGAATGGCTGAGGCCTGGCTCCTTTCTCAGCCACTGTGTTGGGATTCCCAGCCTCTGGCCTTTGCGCTCACCTGGGCAGGAGCCTCATCTGAGCACAGTGGCAGAGCACAGCGAGGCATGGGGGCTGCCACACCGATGTGCACCCATACCCAGGCTTGAGTGTGCAGGCTGCATGTCACCTCCCACACATGGTGACTTCAGAGCCCCTTTGAGGAGGAGGGACAGCGGATGGGAGGAAATACCACAGGGCTTTTGTGATGTTGACAGTGCTCTGTTTCTTCACCTGGCTGGTAGTGACACTGGTCTTTGTTTTCCAATAAGTTGTTAAGGTATACGTTTTTGTTGTATACTTCTTTGTATATATATTCTCTTTCATAATTAAAAAAAAAGATAAAAACATTTAAAAAGAGCCTGGAGCAGTATACATATGAAAAGATTACATAGATAGGCACCTGCAGAGACACATGGTTCCATTTCTCTGGCTGATAGGTGCTTCTGCAAACATTTGTTGAGCACATTCTTTGACAAAAGTCACCAAGCATAAAGCGTGGCCTGGTGACACTGTAGTCTGGTAGAGTGCTGGGAGGTCAGAACAGGCTTTCTCCAGCAACGCAGAGCTTCATGGTATAGCACCAGAGACCAGATTGGGGGATATTGGGCCACCCAGGCCAGGGATGGGTAAAGCAGGCACAGCACGTGTCAGGAGTATAAGGATCTCAGGAATTACAGGGCAGCGTGAGTATCTTTGAAATACTTATCATGGAGTCCAAACTGGTTCTTCTAGGAACCTTCCTCATTGACATTACAATTCATAGTTTTCTTTTTTTCTTCTTTCCTTCCCTTCTTGCTTTTCTTATTTCACCAAGTCAAGTCAATATCGTTTAGGTGGATCCATGTCCCTGGCTGTACTTTCTTCACTTTATTCTACATGCACAAGCACATAACCACAAATTTAGAGGCCAGTATGCTCTGGACATCTGAGAACTGGTTTCCAGTTTGCACCAACATCACCAGAAGCCTTTGGAGATTATATTCATTTCAGTTGCAGATGCAACCTTCTCCTCTGGCATGTAAACAAGTGAGTTAGATTTTGGTGCTACGCTTAGCAGAGTTGGAGCAGGACTAAGAACGAAGGATCAGTGTGAAAATGTGTGTGTGTGTGTGTGTGTGTGTGTGTATTTAGTACATATTCAGAGCCAAGATGTTCAC
The DNA here is from genome assembly GCF_000001405.40 of Homo sapiens. NCBI lineage: Eukaryota > Metazoa > Chordata > Mammalia > Primates > Hominidae > Homo > Homo sapiens. The sequence continues at coordinate 139,643,349 of NC_000007.14, read as the reverse complement.
TGCCAATATGAATAGAAAAAACCGCCAATCTGATTCTAACATTATACAGGGAATGGCCAGTTGAATCAAGGAAGCCTGCATCCTTTAAGAGACTGTCCAAGTGTGCCATGAGAATGATGTCAACATCTAGACCCAACTGCAATTATATCAACCTCCATATGGATATGATGGTTCATTCTGAAGTCTTCAGCACTTGTATTGGTGATAGCTGAAGATACTCAGTTATGACAGAATCATCAGTGAGGGTCTGAAATGATCCTCCTTAGCACACAGTTTTATGGACATCAGTAGCGGCCCCTTAGGTAGAAAATCTCTGCAACAGTGGTTCTACGTGTATTACATCAAGCTGCAACCACCCAGAAGTTTGGGTGTCGTGTCTGTCCCCCCAGCTCTCCTTTTGGAGTTGGAACCCTGTTCCCTTGCAGCAGCTCTCCACCTTAATTTCTTCAGCTTATAACCAGGCAAAAGTACCCTGCTGCAGAGTGCACAGAGATCTTGGGGTCCACGGTGTTTGGCTTGGCCATTCCAAGGATGGCTCCGTGGAAGCCAGCGCAATGGGTGGGCCCCTTGTCAACCTCCCCCATGTTTTGCTCCTAGAGCTTCATCTCTGGGTCCCTTTTTCCTTTTGCTTGTCTGCCTATCACCCTAATCAAAGACAAAACTATTTCTCTTTGATCTCCTGTTTGCCTAGGAAGCTGTGTGTCTTTTTAAGAATCCAATCACAGGTTGACCTGGGATTAGCTCACCTCAATGGCCATCTACATCTCCACTTGGACCTTCTGGATCCCCCTAGGCATGGTGTGGATTCATCCTGTGGGGAGGCTGCCCCTGTTTTCCCAGCAGGCTTGCCTGTGGTCACAGGGCGTGTTGTCTCTCCATGCAGCTGCCCCGAGGTGCTTTCCAGCCCTTGCCTTTCTGGCTGTCTTCTGTGCAGCTCTCTCTTACCTCTGGCTCCAATTCCTCTGAAATAGCCTCCTCCTCCTCCCTGCTCTTCAGATTTCTGCCACTGTTTCTTGGGTCCTGTGCTGCTTCACTGTAATCCCTCGCCTCCCACTCCCGGTCACCAGCTCAAACAGCGGCTCAGAGCTCAAGACAGCAATGCAAGTCTCCTTATTTTTGCAGTGGAAACATAAGATTTAACAACCCATCTGAAATACAGTTTTACATTTTGATTGCTTCTGCCCCAGCCATACTGAGGTTACTTTCAATCTACATATATTTGTGGGAACGGACTTTTTCTCTGCAGTTCGAGTACACCTTATAATACCAGTGATTATAAAATACCATGGACTAATAGAGTGTCTTGCTTCCAAGGAGTTTAAACTGTTTTATAATTCTGCCAACCATAATTTATCTTCATAAGCTGCCGTAGAGACAAGAGAAAAAGTGAGATTAATAATCACATTTTATAGATGGTGAAATAAAAACTCAGAGAAATTGAGTAACATTTTTCCAGAAATGCACAGCTCCGCCTGTGCGCTCCGATTAGCGCTGCAGATTTATTACCCAAGTTCGGAGTGGCAGTGAACCCTGCCCTTGTTTTGTCAGTGAACTATGTAAATGAGCAAGACATTGACTCTGGTCTCAGACTTGACCAAAGTGTTTGGGGTGAGCAAGGGACTATACCCTGAACCCTGCGTCCCAGCCCTTGTTGCCGCCGATGCCATAAGCAGACACAGTAATACAGGTTGACTCTGCCCACCGGGGTCCTCAGACCCACGGGACCACCCTCCCAAACCTGTTCCCCGGGCTGTGCTCCCTGGGCATCACTCTGACCTCTAGCCTGGCACACTGTTAGGACTCCAAGCAGCCCAAGCGCATGGCTGTCTTTTCAGTCTTCATTGCCTAGTGTACTGCATGTACCCAGCATTCATGTGAGATGAAATAAAAGGAACACTAGGTTACGGTAGTATTTCTCCACACAAGGAAGAAGCAAGAGGATTGTGGATAGGGAGTTTTATTCCTTTTTTTTTTTTTTTTTGAGACTGAGTCTTGCTTGCTCTGTCACCCAGGCTGGAGTGTAGTGGCGCAATCTCAGCTCACTGCAACCTCCACCTTCCAGGTTCAAGTGATTCTCCTGCCTCAGCCTCCCAAGTAGCTGGGATTACAGGTGCGTGCCACCATGTCCGGCTAATTTTTGTATTTTTAGTAGAGACGGGGTTTTGCCATGTTGACCAGGCTGGTCTCGAACTCCTGACCTCAGGTGATCCACCTACCTCGGCCTCCCAAAGTACTGGGATTACAGGCGTGAGCCACTGCACCCGGCCAGGGAGTTTTTATTTCTAAAGCTAGGTGGTAGGTACTTCACTGTTGGTTATATTAATCTTTTCAGCTTTTTGTGTAAATAAATGAAACAGTTGTTTAGTGTATATGCTTTAATGTATTTCAACAGAGTGTTCCATATCAGAAAGAAAGTGGCTTTAAAAAATGAGGAAGCTGGGTGCAGTGGCTCATACCCATAATCCCAACACTTTGGGAGGCTGAAGCGGAAGGATTGCTTGAGCTCAAGAGCTCAAGAAGAGCCTGGGCAACATGGTGAAACCCTGTTTCTATGTGCCTGTGGTCCCAGCTACTCAGGAGGCTGAGGAGGGAGGGTTGCTTGAGCCCAGGAGGTGGAAGGTGCGGTCAACCAAGATTGTGCCACTGCACTCCAGCCTGGACAACAGAGCGAGACCCTGTCTCAAAAAGAAAAAAAAAATAAGGAAGAGGGATGATCTGTTTATTTCATTGCTTTCACATGGACTTAGACGTGTTATAGATAAGTGGTTTAGTATTGTTCAGCTGACTACTCTATGCCAGGCCTCTGCAAGGTGCCCCCCTATGATGCTCTGTTTAACCTAGTCTTCATACCTGTACCCAGAAGTAGGTACACAACCAGTACCTGACAGGGCTGGGATTCAACCCGGTGAACACTGGGATCCCAAGTGCGGGCCACGCCCTCTTGACTTCTGCAGCCTCTACACCTCCACTGGAGGCCATTCCCCTGCAGGGTCATATGATCTGGACATGATCTGGGAATGCTTCTCAGTGTGTGCAGTCAAGAGAGCGAGTGGAGCTAAATCATCAAAGCTTCCATATTGATGGTGTCCAAAATGACAGTTGTTTTTCCTCTTTCTTTAGAAAGATAGAATTTTCAGTGTCTTCCTATGAGAATGTTGGAAAGAAATTATCCCCCTCTTTCTTAGGTGCAGATTTTGTCTGACACTTCATGTGTGTTTAAAGTATTTTTGATGTCCCAAAATAGTAATGAGGCGATTCTTTAAGATGGTTCCATGGGGTGGAGCTGTAGCAGTGAAGGTGAGGAAGAGCAAATGAGAGATCAGTTATGACAGAACCTGGAAATGCTCACTCACAGTATTCAGGAACCAGCAGCCCTACCTGCCTGAAACCGAACCGAGAACAGGAACAGCCCCTGTGGAAGCAACCGACATGTGATGATCAACCCAAAAAACCATGTAAACTCTGAAACAGAAAGGCCAAGCTGTCTGCCTCTCACATAGGAGGTACTGACAAGGTGGCATTGCCAGCTCCAGGGAAAACTGGCAACTGCTGAGGGTGTGCACTTGACATAGACTCATTCCTTCTACAAATGTGTATGGAGCACCTACATGCCCAGGCTGCGTGCTAGGCGCTGGAGATACAGCAGTGACATGGGGGTTGGGGGACTTGCGCTGCTCTGTGTGTGGTAGCCACCCCTGCCTGGCCACTTACTAAGGCTCAGCTCAGACTCCTCCTGGGAAGCCCATCCTGCTTTCTCTCTCCTCCTCCAATTTCCCCCATCTTTGTGTACTATGTACACACTTCACACATTGTATGTCAGATGTCGCTATGCTGCTACCTTGGCTAGACGGTGAACTCCTGGAAGAGCTGCAGGGTCTGGTTTACTTTTTGATCTTTAGCACCCAGCACAGTACCTGGCACAGAGGAAACACTTAGTAAATGGTGGTTGAATATTCTAATAAGTGAGTGAGGACAGCTTGAAACAAATTCTGGCTCAGAATGACTGTCAGAATGAGCTTCCCTGAAGATTAAGCATGCTTTAGCAACCATCCAACATGCTTCAGGTGGGCTGGATGAAAAGAAACATTTTAGACTTGACTTTGAACTTCTAGGACCTCAGAGCCTTATAGACTAGCAGAGCAGGGGGACAAGGCCTCTGCAAGATCAGATCCCAGCAAAATGGTCTGAAGTCCCCAAAGATTCCTGGGGGCCAAATGGGGAACTACCTCCCTTACCTGAGGGTTTATGGGCTGGGTGTTGAGCAGCTGTTTACGAAGCAGCTTCTGTGTGCCAGGCTGAGGATCAAGGACAAGTGAGATGCAGACCCTGCCCTCCAGGAGGTATAGTAGAGGCAGATATGCAAACGTATTTGTGTGTCAAAAATGACAATTATTGGCTGGGCGTGGTGGCTCACGCCTGTAATCCAGCACTTTGGGAGGCCGAGGCGGGCGGATCACGAGGTCAGGAGATCGAGACCATCCTAGCTAACATGGTGAAACCGCGTCTTTACTAAAAATACGAAAAATTAGCCGGGCATGGTGGTGGGCGCCTGTAGTCCCAACTACTCAGGAGGCTGAGGCAGGAGAATGGCGTGAACCCGGGAGGTGGAGCTGGCAGTGAGCCAAGATCGCGCCACTGCACTCCAGCCTGGGCAACAGAGTGAGACTCTGTCTCAAAAAAAAAAAAAAAAAAAGACAATTATTTACTCTCTTTCTCCAGAACAAGAATGTTTAGTGGCTTGCTTTGGGAATGTTGGAAAGGAATGAGTCCTCTTTCTTAGGTGCAGATTTTGTCTGACACTTCATATATATGTTTAAAGTATTTCTGATGTCCCAAAATAGCGATGAGGAAATTCTTTAAGATGGTTCTGTGGGGCCAGTGGGTGCTCAGTTAGTATTTATTGGACCAATCTGGTCTGAGTATGTCATTGATCTTTGTATGCTTGTCACCTGGTAGAGCCAGCACAGAGACAGTGGGCAGTGTCTGTTTGAATAAGGAAGAATGGAAGCGGGCAGGGAGGGGAGCAGGCTGTATCTGAAACATGTCTCATGAGTGCAGAGAAAAGGCTGCACCCTTAGGGGTGGGAGAGGGATCCAGAGTGGATTGGAAAAGGTTAAAACCAAAGGCAAGAGAGCAGCAGGTGGCTGTAGTGAGGCCCAGATGGAAGAGCATGTGATTTCGCATGCTGCAGTGGGACTGCGCAGGATAAAGTCTTCAACATAAGAGCTAAGGTGGAGGCTCTAGAGGGCGTAATGACAATGGCCATAAAATAAGAGGTTTGGGCTAAATCCCTGAGGTCCCAAGTCCTAACCCTGCATGAGCCAGGTGCCACTTCTAGCCCTCCTGTTCCTCCTCCCTGTCATTTTTGCTGTAATTCTTTTGTTGGCCACCTGCAAGTAGGTGTCCTTGGCACTCCTGCTGTCTGCCCTGCTGTGGTGAGTGTGAGCCGGGTTGCTCGTGCCCCTCTCTGAGCCTCAGCTTCTGCTCCTCCTTGGGCTAAATCCTGCCCCCTCATGCCCAAACCTTGATTGCTGCATAATGATTCAGCCCTTCTACTCTCTTTTATCTGCACTGCCTTAGAGCTTTGTCTTAATCCATATTTTAACACTTTCTTATATTTAATAAAGGTTTATTTGATCAACAAATGCTTAATGAGTGGCTACCGAATGCCTGCGCTGCCCTCATAGACTTGGTCAGGGAAGACAGACAGTGAGCAGGTTAAGAAAGTGCTGTGAAGTGGCATTTATGGCACCCTATATGAAGACTAACTGGTGTCAAGGGAGGCCTGTCTGTAGCGTGACAGCTGAGCTAAGATTTGAGGGATGAGAAGGAGGCAGCCATGTGACAGCCAGCAGGGAGAGCATTTAAGGCAGAAGCAACAGCATCCCACGAAGACTCTGGCTCCAAAGGAGCTCCAGGTACTCTTGCAAATGGAAAGGAAACCAACGGGCCTGCAACGTATTAAGCTAGGAGAGTGGTTGGCAGTGATGGTGGAGAGGTGGGCAGGGTCCCAATCGTGGAGGCCCCATGGCCATGGAGGGGTCTAGATTTCATTCCAAGTCCAGTGGGGAGCCCCTGAAGGCTTACGGCAAGGGGGTGGGGTGCCATCTGTTCCCTGTGGCTGCCATGGAGGAAGTGGGCACAAGGAAGGGAGAGACAAGTGGAAAGGCTGCAGTGGAAGCTCCAGGTGACGCAGGGGTGACCAGCGCCACTGCTGCGGCAGGGGGGATGGAGAATCAGGGGCTGACTTGAGACTTTGGAGCTGGCCATGTTAGTGGATAGATGGTGGGGATGAAGAAATCAAACATCTTTCCTGGATTTCTGCCTAAGCAGCTGGAGGGTGGTGGTTCCCTTTCATAAAATGAGGAGGACAGTGGAAGGAATATGTTTAGAGAGGGGGATCAGAGAATAGTTCCCTTCTAGACGTGTGGAATTGGAGATGACTATGAGACATTCCAGAGGCAATACCAGGCTTCCAGAATGCAAATCTAGAGCCAGAAGGAGAATTCCAAGATGGAGACAAACCTGGGAATACAAATGGAATTTAAACCTATGGAGCGAGTAAGATGACTGTCAGTTTCCTAGGGCTGCTGAAATAGGTACCACAAAATATCTGGCTTAAAACAAAAGACATCCAAAATCAAGGTGTCAACAGGGCCATGCTCCCTCTGAAGGCTCCAGGGGTAGAGCCTTCCTTGTCTCTTCCTGCCTCGGGTGGCTCCAGGTGTTCCTTGGCTTGTGGCAGCATCACTCCAATCTCTTCCTCCCTTTTCACATGACCATCTTGCTGCTGTGTCAGTATCTATGTCCAGATTTCCCTCTGATATGGATGCAAGTCACATTGGATTAGGGCCCACCTACTCCAGTGTGACCTCATCTTAGCTAATTATATCTGCAGCAACTCCATTCCTAAATAAAGTCACATGCCAAGGTGCCAGGAATTAGGAGTTCAACATAACTTTTAGGGGGACACAATTCAACCCATAACAATTATCTAGGGCTGGGTGGAAGGAGAGAAGACGGTGGGCTTAGGACTTGGCCAACACACAGCAGTTGGATAGAAGAGGGCGAGCCTACAAAGGAAATGGGCAAGCCACAAGCAGAGAGGCGGGACAGATATGGGGAGCAAGCGATGTCATGAAAACCAAGAATAAGTGTTTCAGGGCAGGAAGGAATGATCACCCGCGTGAAAAAAATGTGGCTCCCAGGTCACAGAGCTAAGAAGTTGATCAACAGATGTGACAGCGTGGAGATCACTGCTGATCTCAACAAGTGCAGCGCGTCAGTGACGCAGAGTGTCCAACTCCAATTAGAGGAAGCTGAGCAAATGCTGTGAGGTGAAGAGGTGGGAACCACAGGGGGAGATGACTCTCTCCAGAGAGTGGGCCTTGAAGGGGAGCTGAGAACTAGGGCAGCAGCTGCTGGGAGACGAAGGGATTAGGAAAGGTTTGTGTTTGGGGCTTTTGTTTTGTTTTTTGTGTTCTGTTTTGTTCTTGTGTTCTGCTTTGTTTTCTAACGTGGGAGCCGCTAGAGCATGTGGTGTGCTGTGTCGGCTCGATTTTTATGTCTGTGTCTTTCTGTGACACACGTTTTGTATTCGACTCGAGTTGTCCTGTGTGCTTTGATGTGGCTTTCGCAGCATCAGAGGCCTTCGCAGACAGTACTGTCTCCCAGCCACCTAGCCAGATGCCTGGGCATTTGTTCTTTACGGTCGCAGCAGGAACATTCTGCGGCACGTATCATGGTACCGTGAATGGCTGCCATTTCATTTTCTTGGTGGACTACAAGCAATTTTCCCAGGCCCCGTTCATGTCACGTCAGTCGTCAAAATCTATGTCTGGTGTTTCCTGCTAAAGAACATCACTAAAGTGCCTTTGTGTGGCCATTTTAGTTGTTGCAGTCTGCCTTGTTCATCACTGGGGAATGGAAACTGGAAAACGAGGTTTCCGTGGGTTAGGAACAGCCTTCCGGGCCATGAGAACCACGTAACTAACCTGATAGGAAGGGCAGGCCCATAGTCAAGTTCAGAGAAGTCCCCTGGGGCCAGACCGGCCTTCCTAAGACTTACTTGAGTGTCAAACATCCAAACCTACAGACTGGAGCGTCAGACTTCCAAACGTCAGGCTGCAAGAGGGCAGGGGCCAGCCAAGAGGCCAGGTGACAAGAATCGGGGGACAGAGGTGAGAATGTGCTTGATCCTTGAGCCAGCAGTCCAGGCCAAAACTCTCCTCCCATGAAGAGGCCTAGATCCACGTGAGAGGAGGCAGGAGGCCACCCCTGACTCTAGAACAGGGAGGGCAGAGAGAAAAGCAGGTTCTGACACCATAATACTTTTTTTGGTAGTGTTCTTTTCAGATATTCCCTTCTTTTCTGGCCAGGTATGGTGGCTCCTGCCTGTAATCCCAGCACTTTGGGAGGCTGAGGCAGGTGGATCACTTGAGATCAGGAGCTTGAGACCAGCCTGGCCAACATGGTGAAAACCCGCCTCTGCTAAAAATACAAAAATTAGCCAGACCTGGTGGTAGGTGCCTGTAATCCCAGCTACCTGGAAGGCTGAGGCACGAGAATCGCTTGAACCCAGGAGGTGGAGGTTGCAGTGAGCCAAGATCATGCCACTGCACTCCAGGCTGGGCAACAGAGCAAGACTCTGTCTCAAAAAAAAAAAAAAAAAAAAACCTGAAACAGATAGTCCCTTCTTTTTTCTAAGGGATGTGATGTTTTAAATAAACTGAAACGATCTCTAAAGGCACTGCTAGAGGCAACCTGGCAGTAATCTTATCAGTTACACACAATGATGAGTGAACCTGGGGGCCCTGGTATGTGGCCAACACTGACACAGGTGGCCTAGGCAGGTGGTGGGCTCGTGGTCACATGGAAGACAAGGGTGCAGCAGGGACATGTCTTGGAGCCACCACAGGCATCCCCAGCTCATCAGTGCCAGTGAGTAAGAGTGGCCCCTGACAATACATGCGCAGTCCAATGTGGGGACCAAAGGAGACAAAGGCCAAAGGGGGTGAAGTGCCAAGCAGAACACTGGCAGCTGAAGACGCCCAGCAGCAGGCGATGGGGACAACGGAAGGTTCATTAAATAGCAACAAGGCAACTCACTCCAGCCCCCAGCGGTCACTCCTTCTGCTGCCCAGACCGGCAAGTGTGACTGGTACTCTAGAAGCACGTAGTAGCCAGTACCCAGTCTCTAGTTGTGAGGAAAGGAATAAACTAAAATTTTTTTTTTTTTTTGAGACAGGGTCTTGCTCTGTTACCAGGCTGGAGTGCAATGGTGCAAATCATGGCTCATGGCACCCTCAAACTCCTGGGCTCAAGCAGTCCTCCCACTTCAGCCTCCTGAGTAGCTGGGACCACAGGTGCGCACCTCCATGCCTGGCTTTTTTTTTTTTTCTTTTTGCGACGGACTCTTACTCTGTCACCCAGGCTGGAGTACAATGGCACGATCCCGGCTCACTGCAGCCTCTGCCTCCTGGGTTCAAGCGATTCTCATGCCTCAGCCTCCTGAATAGCTGGGATTACAGACCTGCGCCACCACGCCTGGCTAATTTTTGTATTTTTAGTAGAGACAGGGTTTCACCATGTTGACCAGGCTGGTCTTGGACTCCTGACCTCAAGTGATCCTCCCACCTTGGCTTCCCAAAGTGCTGGGATTACAGGCCTGAACCACTGCGCCTAACCCCTTTTTTTTTTTTTAAGAAACAGGGTCTCACTCTGTTGCCCAGGCTGGTCTGAAACTCCTGGGCTCAAGTGATCCTCCCATCTCACCCTCCCAAAGTGCTGGGATTCCAGGCATGAGCCACCACACCTGGCCAAACTCCATTTTACTTGTGAAAAATCAGAACTTGGTAATAAGACATTTTTGGGTTTTGTTTGTTTTCTTCTTTTCAATACTATTATATAAAGAAAAAAGATTAGCAATGAGAACAAATTTAAAGGGGGAAGAGGAGGTACTTTTTCAGTAGAGAAAAATTCAGCTAGAAGATCCAAGACCAGTGGGGGTGTTTCTGATCGCCCTCTTCCTCCCCACTCTCATGCTAGGTGTGTGAAAGGTAACCAAGAGAAAGGTCTCCCCAGCTCCCTTCACTCCCACTCCAGGCTGCAGAAAGGGTAGGAAAGTAGCCTCTTCTACCATCTCTTAGTGAAGTGGAAAATTTATAGAGAAAACAAAAATCAGGCTAATGCATTTCATTATCAGCAGAATGCCTTGAGCTACTTTCTTTCTTTTTTTTTTTTTTTTTTTTTTTTGAGACAGGGTCTATTTCTGTCGTCCAGGCTGGAGTAGAGTGGTGCAATCTCAGCTCACTGCAACCTCCACCTCCCGGGTCCAAGCAATCCTCCCGCCTCAGCCTCCCAGGTAGCTGGGACTATAGGCACACACCACCGCACCCTGCTAATTTGGGTTTGTTTGTTTGTTTGTTTGTTTTTGGTAGAGACAGGGTTTTGCCATGTTGCCCAGGCTGCTCTTGAACTCCTGGGTTCAAGCAGTCCACCTGCCTCAGCTTCCCAAAGTGCTGGGATAACAGGCATGAGCCACCGTGCCTGGCCTTGAGACATATTTTTTTAAAAAAACATAAGCTGTGTTCATATCTCAAACTTTGAGCCTGGTTTTGTCCAAAACATACCCCTACCTAATCATGACAGATTCTTAGAAAAGAAGATGTACCTGGGTGGTCTCTTTAGTGTTGATTACCAACTCCCTGTGAAATGTTCTCTTGGGGTTTAGGTGATTTCCTTGAAGGGACAGAACTCCTGCATTCAGGAACAGGTTGTTCATGGAGTTTACGCTGGAATCCTGGTTGATACCAGACTCTGTATTCATGAATGGGGTTCTATAATTGTAATATTAGGTAACTTCTAAGAAGATTAGCTTTTTAGAAGCTAATAAAAAATAGCAATGTTTCCTTAAGAAAGTGTGATGTAAATTCTTAAGAAAGGATAATTGGCATAAACAGATATTGGACTTAATCCCGTTATTTTGGGAAGGGGACAGCTTGTTTTACATCTTCCTGAAGATAGAATACCTCGAGTTAGGTGTGGTTGTGCATTCCTATAGACCCAGCTACTCAGGAGGCTGAGGCAGAAGGATTGTTTGAGTTCAGAAGTTCAAGACTATAGCGAGCTATGATCATGCCTGTGAATAGCCACTGCACTCCAGCCTAGGCAACATAGTGAGTTCCCATCTCTAGATAGACAGAAGAAAATAGAAGACCTGCGTTTCAGAACTCCTTTGTAAAAACCAGGCATTCTCTGAAGATTAGTTTCCCAGACTTTCAGCTACAAAAGATAACTTCAGAATATCTCTAAAATGGTTGTTAGCTCATCTGATTGGCGTGTGAAGGTAATGAAGTCAGTAGACGTGGTTCTCTGTAGGTGTGTTCTAAACACACAGACTTATCCTTCATCTCAGCCAACCTTCCAAGTGGGCCCTCCACTAATGGAGGGGACCAAGCCAAAGAATGGAAGGATTGTTGTAGCACAGCGCCTCTCCTGAGAGCCACAGGCCCTTCAGAGGAGGAGTCAGTAATGGCACCCCAGGTTTGAAAGATAGTATTCATATAGAAACAGCTTCCTGCATTTCCAACTTGCTAATGGTTTCTTCCATTCTTCCTTTTCAGGGCCCCTGAGATCATCCTTGGTTTACCATTTTGTGAGGCAATTGACATGTGGTCCCTGGGCTGTGTTATTGCAGAATTGTTCCTGGGTTGGCCGTTATATCCAGGAGCTTCGGAGTATGATCAGGTGGGTCCAGATGACACAGATATTCACAAGACCTCATTCTTCATCTGGAAAATAGCCTGGATTAGCATTTCATTGATTACATGACAAATGGGCGGGACTGTGGAATGTCACGTTGTCTCCCAAACCTTGCTTCCCTTAACCTTGCTATTTTTTCTTTATTCCTTTCTCTTTTCCCTTTTTCTTTTTTCTCTTTTTTGTTAACTTCTTTCCCTACAAAAATTGTCATTTTCATTTTTCTCAAAGCCAGCAGAGCCATTAGTATACCATATGTATAGTGACAGGAAAAGCCCTGACCTCATTCTTATCTTTTCTTGCAGATTCGGTATATTTCACAAACACAGGGTTTGCCTGCTGAATATTTATTAAGCGCCGGGACAAAGACAACTAGGTTTTTCAACCGTGACACGGACTCACCATATCCTTTGTGGAGACTGAAGGTAGGAAGAGCGTCTCCTCCACTCCTCACAGTGGCCCAGCGCTTAGGGAAGAGGGCCGTAGACCCATTAGTGGGGAGCTTTTGATTCAGTCAGCAAAATGAGGGCACTGGGGGTGCTGTTGTTAATACATGGTATGGCTGAATCTGAATGCTCAGAAGCCCCTCTTTCCCTTGGCCTATCGCCGCCTGTGAGAGTCCAACCTTATGATTGCTGAACTCCCAGGATTTAATCCGATAAGCCTTGATGACTGTCTGATTTGTGCTAGGGAGAGAAACGAACCCCACTCTGCCCTTGAGAGCTGGCAGTCCAGAGGGAGACAGGACCATGTGCCACAAGCTCCCGCCCACTGTAGTAAGGGCCCTGTTCCTGGTCAAGAATGGGTGTGGGTGCCAAGAGGAAGGAGCATTTAATTCTGCCTGCAGCAGAGGGGCAAGGAGGAGCATTTGAACTGGGCCCTAAAGAATGAAGAGGGAGCGTGGTGGCTCACGCCTGTAATCCCAGCACTTCGGGAGGCTGAGGCGGGTGGATCACTTGAGGTCATGAATTCGAGACCAGCCTGGCCAACATGGTGAAACCCCGTCTCTACTAAAAGTATAAAAATTAGCTGGGCGTGGTGGCATGCTCCTGTAATCCCACCTACTCAGGAAGCTGAGGCACGTGAATCACTTGCACCTGGGAGGCGGAGGTTGCAGTGAGCTGAGATTGTGCCACTGCACTCCAGCCTGGGCGACAGAGTGAGACTGTGTCTCAAAAAAAGAAAAGGAAGAATGAAGCGGGTTTGCCCAGTATAGAAGTGTGGGGTGGCGGCTGGGGTGATGGGGGTTAGGGAGAGGGGTTCCAGGCAAAGGAGGCTGCCTGGTGAGCCCATGGGAATATCCTAAGGCCCAGGGAGGTGTCTGGTTCACACAAGTAACCATAAACCTGAAACTCCGGGGGCAGGGGCTTCACTTTAACAGAAACATAGTTTGCTTTCACTTTGATCTGTGCCTAGCAATTAAAATCAAAGTATTTTCCTGGTAAAAAGAAAATAATAAAGTCTTAAATATGTTTCATTTTAGGTATTTCTTTTTTTGCAGCAGGGTGGGTGGGTGTTTGTTTTGTTGTTGTTTTGGATTTGTTTTTTTAATGGAATCTGCAGCCAAATCCTAATATGGTTTAAAGATAATATATATCCAGTAGTCACAAAAGACTGAGAAAAGAGATTTGGGAACTGAGCAAGCACTCAGGCTATTGATGGGAGGCCTGGCATTTGGCAACTGTGAGGGTGAGTGTCAAGGTCAGGTCCAGTAAAAAGAGTCCTCCGGTGGAGGAGGGTGAGGCTGGAGTTTGCTGTTGTGTTTTATTGAAGAGCCTCAGTCCCACATGTCCAGCTGTTCCCAGGACTTAAGCCGCTCCAGGTGTGCTGTCCTTGAGTGAGATTTTGAAGACGAATTACCTCTGGATTACCTCATGGATGAGTACAGAAATCCATAGTAATTGGAAACAGCAGTATCTCCAGCCATTTGGGGAATGTAGGTCTGTGTCTCAGCCACCAATAGAGGGGCAGCCCAGCCACAAACTCTGGGGCCAGCTGCCACCTATTGGCCATGTGACCATGGCAAGTGCCTGGAGCTTTCTCTTCCTGTTTCCCCATCTGGAAAATGGGGATAGTAACTGTGCTACCTAATGTGGTTGTCAAAACTATTAAATGAATAAATGTGCTTTAGAACAATGTCTGGCACGTAGCAAGAGCTATGTGCATAAGGGTTTATTAAATAAAATTGGAAAATGCATGGGAAAGCCCTTTGCTTTTCCACAATGGAATCTTGCCTTATTCCTTAGACTCAGAGAAGGCTGTAAGCTGATCGAGGATGTGGCATACCTTGATCAGCCTGTGGTATGGAGCAAGACTGCTCCATACCTGACCCGGAGCCAGCCCCTGACACGTGTGCATAGGAAGGAGGAGGGATGGGTTGGTGTGGATGAAGAGAGAAGGGAATTGCAGGTGTGCAGGTCATTGAAGAATCAAAATCTCTTCCGAAATGTGGGAAAGAGACCCTCTGTGAGACACAGGAGTTCCAAGGCTTGAGTCCCAGTGATGAGGAGCTAAGTCACGCTACCAATTGGCTTTTGCCTCTCTTGACAGACACCAGATGACCATGAAGCAGAGACAGGGATTAAGTCAAAAGAAGCAAGAAAGTACATTTTCAACTGTTTAGATGATATGGCCCAGGTAAGCTTCATGGGTGAGTATGCAACGTAAGCCCTTTAAAACCAAGGGCAGCAAGACTTCTGCAATAGTAATAGAAGATAATGGGTTGAAATCCACATTATTCAACTGCAGTGGTTGACCTTGACCTTAAATAGTTACAGCCAGTCTTAGTAAGAATACCATTTGGTGTGTGAAACATTTTTAAAACTTCATACCAGCTCCTTTAAAATCGTTCCAGTTGGCCAGGCATGGTGGCTCATGCCTGTAATCCTAGCACTTTGGGAGGCCAAGGCGAGTGGATGACCTTAGGTCAGGAGTTCAAGACCAGCCTGGCCAACATGGCGAAACCCCGTCTCTACTAAAAATACAAAAATTAGCTGGGCATGATGGTGAGCACCTGTAATCTCAGCTACTCGGGAGGCTGAGGCAGGAGAATCACTTGAACCCAGGAGGCAGTGAGCCGAGATCACACCACTGCACTCCAGCCTGGACAACAAGATCAAAACTCCATCTCAAAAAAAACAAAAAAACAATCATTCCAGTGTATTGGTTCCCAGTTGTAATATAGTACTGGCCTATCTGCCTGATGTTATCATGAGAAGAATTCCAGCCCATTAGTACCCATGGGTTTAATGCCCATAATTTAGTGTGTATGTTTCCTGGGGCAGCCGTTAGAAGGTGCCATGAACTGGATGGCTTAGGACAACAGACTTTCATTCCCCCACAGTTCTGGAGGCCAGAAATTGGAAGTTGGGCTTCAGCAGGCCCATGTTCACTGTAAAGGCCATAGGGGAAGAGCATCCGTGTCTGTCTCCCAGCTTCTGGCAGCTCTGGCAATCCTCAGCGTTCTTTGACTTGTAGCTGCATCCCTCTAATCTCTGCTTCCTTCTTCACATGGCTTTTGTCCTGTGTCTCCTCTGTGCCTCTGTGTCCACATCTCCCTTGCCTTGTCACTGGGCCCACCCTAATCGAGTATGACCTCATCTTAACTCAATTTGATTACATCTGCAAAGACCCTATTTCCAAATAAGGTCACATTCACACCAACTGGGGACTGGGACTTTAATATATCTTTTAGAGGGATACAATTCAATCTGCTACACAGTCTCAGCTCACTGGCAGGGACCGCAGGCTCTCACCTTTGTGCCCCAGAGAAAATTCTAGAACTTCAGCTATTTTTAGTGTGAAAATTAGTCTGAAACCAGGGCAACCCAAAGTGAGTTTTCTCTTTAAAGCAATGAGAAACAAAGCTATACACCAGTAAACACTTAGCACCCCTCTTACTGTAGATGACTATAACCAAAAATCATGATTCTGAGTAAAGTGTGCTTGTCAGTTGATTAGCAGCTTAGATTGTCTGAGAAAACTGAAATTGGTTTCCAGACCATGTCCTGGAAAATACAGAAATCACCACAAAACAAGCCTTTTAAAGTCGATCCTAGTATAGACTCACCCTTGGAAGAAAAATCCTGTGTTCAGATATCCTGCCTGTCTTGGCCAGAGGTGACTCCATTGAACACAGGGACTAAAATAATTCTGGCCCTAACTGGGGAACCCATGAGAAGGATGATATGCTGTAGGTGGAGGACGGGCACACTCAGGCCCTTCCACTTCCCTCTAAAGGTTAAATACATGCATACATACATACATACATACATACATACATACATACATAGACTTTTTTGTATCTTATTTGTACTGCTTGGCCGTGACTCTTTTTTAAAAATTGTGGCAAACACACACATAGCATAAAATTTATCATCTTAGCCTTTGTTAAGGGTACAGTTCAATAGTATTAACACTCCCATTGTTATGCAACCAGTCTCCAGAACTCTTTTCATCTTGTGGTTATTTTTAATGAGGAGTGATGAAAGCTGCATTTCAACTTAACTGATGAAAGCAGGAGCAGTTTACATCCTGTCATTCAGATATATTTGCAGGTCCCAGCAGCAGCCCTCTCCCCTTCCTGGGGCACAGCCCCTCTCTGCCTTTCCTGCAGAGAGAAAAGCCACATCCTGTGGGCAATGACAACATGTGGGTGGTGCCTCCCATAGGGGCAGAGTTCCTGGGAACTGAGAAAGGGGGCTTGAGAGATCAGGAGGAAGTTACAGGGCAAAAAATAAGGGGAGCCAGGAGAGGGGAGGCACGCTGGGGTCTTCCTTGGTAACCTGTCCTTACTTGCGTCCAGGTGAACATGACGACAGATTTGGAAGGGAGCGACATGTTGGTAGAAAAGGCTGACCGGCGGGAGTTCATTGACCTGTTGAAGAAGATGCTGACCATTGATGCTGACAAGAGAATCACTCCAATCGAAACCCTGAACCATCCCTTTGTCACCATGACACACTTACTCGATTTTCCCCACAGCACACAGTAGGTGTCCTGCCTGATGCTTCGTACCAGGGATCGGCAAACTTTAAAGGCCCAGACACTAAATATTTTAGGTTTTGCGGCCATAAGGTCTTGGTAACAACTACTCAGCTGTCACTGTAGCTGAAAGCAGCCACAGATGCAATACATAAACAGATGAGTGAGGCTGCATTCTAATGAAACATTTATGAAAGTGGGCAGGGCTGGGCGTGGTGTCTCATGCCTGTA
The DNA here is from genome assembly GCF_000001405.40 of Homo sapiens. Classification (NCBI taxonomy): domain Eukaryota; kingdom Metazoa; phylum Chordata; class Mammalia; order Primates; family Hominidae; genus Homo; species Homo sapiens. The sequence continues at coordinate 139,626,375 of NC_000007.14, read as the reverse complement.
ATCCTAGCACTTTGGGAGGCCCAGGCAGGTGGATCACCTGAGGTCAGGAGTTCGAGACCAGCCTGGCCAATATGGTGAAACCCTGTCTCTACTAAAAATACAAAAATCAGCTGGGTGTGGTGGGGCGCACCTGTAATCCCAGCTATTTGGGAGGCTGAAGCAGGAGAATTGCTTGAACCTGGGAAGCAGAGGTTGCAGTGAGCCGAGATCGCGCCATTGCACTCCAGCCTGGGCGACAGAGCGAGACTCCATCTCAAAAAAAAAAAAAGGAAAGAAAAAAAGAAAGAAAGTGGGCAGTGGCTGGACTGGGTCCCTGGCCTGCAGTTGGCTTCACACTGAAAAGGAGGGAAGAGGAGAGCACAGAGCTGGATGAACCTGACTCTGGGTATCTGTGCAGGAAGAGAGGTGCCCGAAACGGTAGTCTCTGTAGCGCAAAACTAGTCTCAGGGCCAAAGATTGCTCCCAGAACCTTCCCAGAGTGGACCCAGTCTAGTTTGGGTTTGGATTTGTTCATTCATTTCTTCAGCGTGCTGTGTGCCGGGGTACAGTGGTGAGCAGAGCAGACGGCCCTGCCCACTGGAGCTTGCAGTCCGTAAGAGAGAGAATGGTATAAAACAAGTGATGCCCAAATCACCAGGCTGCTATGAGGACAAGTATCAGGTGTGATGAGAGCATACCCACAGGGGAGCCTCATTTTGGGGCAAACCAGGAAGACTCCCAGGAAGTGGCCTGTGAAGGATGAGGAAGAGGATGGGCATGAGCAGGCAGGGCATTGCCTGTATGGACAGGACACTCCCCCATGGGCAGGACCATGCACCCATCCCAGAAGGCAGTAGGTGAGACAGTGAGGCATCCAGTCAGCCAGGGCAGGCCGTACATGTTAAGGTTTTTAATCTTGATCCAAAAAGCAATGGGAACTCATTAAATGATTCTTCAGCAAGGGAATAGCTGGTTAGATCTGTGTTGAGCAAAGATCTGTCTGCTGCCACACAAGTCAAATGAGTCTGGAAAAAAATGTCCATTCGGTTTAACAACTCACAAGTTGTCAGTAACGCAGTGGCAGCCATTCAGTGGAGTGGTAAAAGCAGAAACCAGTTTACCAGGTTGAAAGACCAAGTGAGAGGTGAAGAAATAGCAACCTTTCATGAAGTGAGGCTATGCAAGAGAAGAAATAGAGGGGTGACTGGGGAGGGGTCAAGGGGATTGTTTTTAAGACAGGGTTCAGAGCACAGGGATGGGCCAGTGTCATTGGAAGGATAGATGGACGAGGGGCATGTGGATGTCAGCGTATGTGCTGGTCTCATGGAGAAAAGTTGAGGGAGTCCTGTCAGACAGCTTCTGCTTCTCAGAAGTAGGCAATGAGGTTATCTGTTGAGAACGAGGTGGAGGGTGGTTTAAGAAGGGTAGAAAGTTTAGGTAGCTGGAGCAGAAGGTGGCAGAGCAAACTGACCAGAGAAATACGGTGGAATTGTTGAGCCCTGAGGTTCGACATGAATCGTTTATAGTGTAACTCATCTCCCCAGGTGAAGGCATAGAGAAGACAGATGAGTCTTCTGATCTAGGTTTGTCCAGGTGGAATTTTTGCCAGGCTGGTAAGAGAAGAAGACAGATTGACAAGGAAGCTGATGAGGCTAGCCAGAGAGTAACTGTAATCCAGAATGATGTCTATTGGAGACTTTGCCCAAAGGGAAAGGAAGTGAAGATGGGAGGGGATCCAAGTAAACGTGGTGTTCTGGTCAATGCAGAGAAGGGTTATCATAGTCATAGTGGAATGAGCCAGATGGAGGAAGAATGTGGCTGGGAAAACAGGATGCTTAAACTTGTAGTTTCTGGAGGTGGAGCAATTTCAGGTTTGACGGTCCAGGGAATGAGTGGCTGTACTGGGTTGAGAACAAGAGTCACTGGACATGAGAAGTAAGCGGGAAGCCAGGGTATTTAAAAAGGGACCTGTGACTTCTGAAGCCTTCCTAGCGAGGCAGGGAATGGCTTGGAGAGGAAGGTCCAGCCAGTGGCAAAGGCCTCAGTGAACGAAGGGGAGAGGAAACGAAGTCATGGCCGGTTGCAGTGGCTCACACCTGTAATCCCAGCACTTTGGGAAGCCAAGGAGGGCGGATCAGCTGAGGTCAGGAGCTCAGACCAGCCTGGCCAGCATGGTAAAACCCCATCTCTACTAAAAATACAAAAATTAGCCAAGCGTGGTGGCCGCACTTCTGTAATCCCAGCTACTTGGGAGGCTGAAGCACAAGAATCGCTTGAACCCAGGAGGCGGAGGTTGCAGTGAGCTGAGATAGTGCCACTGCACTCCAGCCTGGGCGACAGAGCGAGACTCCGTCAAAAAAAAAAAAAAATAGGAAGCCGTTGGTGGATGGGAAGGTAATGGAGGGTCTCACTTCAGCCTCTCAACCCTGAGGTACTTGGGATGTAAAAGAATAAATAATCACATCCTACGTCTGCAGGGAAAAGGGGTGTGCTCAAGAGAGCAGCAGATTCTATAAGGATCAGGAGGGGAAGGGAATCCTGTGAGAAGAGCCTGGAGATGTGAGAATTGTGCGTATCATGGCGGGCCCTGCTGTCTCCAGAGTCAGAGGGGGCTGGGTCTCAAGGCTGGACCCGCCCCTTTCTGGCCTACAGGAAGTGAGTGGGTGGCACCACCATGGATAGTGGGGCCTCCATTTCATTTCTGTGCCTTACTATCAGTGAAGCAAGTCAAATGGCATTGCAACAAACAGATAGTGCCTCTTTAATGTAAAACCATGCTTGAAACAACTGAACTCCGGTACAAAGGAATCTGGACCCATCCCTCCCCTACTCTTGTTATGGGATTTGTCCTTTTTTTCTTTTTTTTTTTTTTTTTTTTTGAAGTAGAGTCTCACTCTGTTGCACAGGTTGGAGTGCAGCAGTACGATCTTTGCTCACTGCGTCACTGCAGCTTCCACCTCCCAGGTTCAAGCGATTCTCCTGCCTCAGCCTCCCGAGTAGCTGGAACTGCAGGCACACGCACCACACCCGACTAATTTTTGTATTTTTAATAGAGACAGGGTTTCCCCATGTTGGCCAGGCTGGTCTCGAGCTCCTGACCTCAGGTGATCTGCCCGCCTCGGCCTCCCAAAGTGCTGGGATTACAGGCGTGAGCCACCGTGCCTGGCCTGGATTTGTCCTGTTTCTGAGTGCCATAGGGGTCAGCCACAGAGCTGTCCATCTGTACCACAAGAAGAAGAAAAGCAGACTTGGCAATTTACTGGATAGGGCTCCCATGATTTCAGTCTTTTGATATCACGGGTAAAATGGGATGACTGAGAAACAGCTACGGATAGGAGACTGAGGATAGGGGTGCCCTCTACAGAGGTCCTCTTAGCCGTCTGCACCAAAACAGTCAGATAGTCACCCCCATAAAGCCTGGGGCTTTAATGACCTCAGAGTCCTTCCACCTCTGGGTTCTGTAAGGAAGAATCAGTAGAGTGTTTCACGGCTTGGTCACATGGAGACCGTGAGCATCAGCAACCAATTCAGAACTTCATCTGGGACCCAAGAGGGGCACTGACAAGTCAGAACTCAGAAATTAGCCTAAGAAGGAAAGGTGGGTCTCTGAACACACCTAGGCTTGCCTGAAAGTAGGCCTGATCCCTAAAGTTCTCTAGAACTTGCTGGGAAAACCTTGAAGAACTCCAGGGCAAGGATAAATCTCCAGGCCCATGCAGCTGTAGCGCCCCTGCCCTGGGAGCTGAGCCACAGCTACTGGATTACTAGGTGAAACAGACCCCACTCCTTTCTCCATACCAGGATTCCAGTGCACAATTTTTAAAAAACCAATCTTCTTATAAACCTAAAGTGAAAGGACTTGCCCTTTCCTAAAACCCAAAACTTGAAATATTTCAGTTGGAAAATTCTGAAGGGGTATGGAAATTTTGTGTTGAATTGTCACGAAACCAAATGCTTTAAGCCCATTCCAAAAAGAATATAAAATGCATTGGTTTTATGCTGCAGCCTCCACGCACAAGACCTTGGTACTTAGTAGGAGCTGAAAACACACTGGCATTAACAGCATTATTAGGAGTATTTTTACCTACTGGATACCGCAGAATATGTTTTCTTTTCTCTTCAGCATCATCAGTCCGTAAATGGTTATGTCGTGTGCATGACGCAGCCAGTGTAAGTGGTCAGAATCTTAGAAAGAAGTAGGACTCTCTAAGTCGCGTCTCAGTCAGTCATTTGAAACTTGGAATGCATTTTTCACAGGATGTTTGGGAATAGCCCACAGACACCTGCTTAGCCCCAAAGATAGCATACCCACAGAGTACTGAAGTAGTACACGTTTGTAATCCTAAAATAGTAGAAAACTTTTATTTTACTCATTCAGTTATTACATTTTTTATAATTAAAATAGACATTTTGAGTTGAAAATTAAATGAGTTTTTTTTCTTTTTCTTTTAATTTTTTTTTTTTTTTTTTTCCTGAGACAGGGTCTCACCCTGTCACCCAGACTGGAATATAGAGGCCTAATCATGACTCACTGTAGCCTCGACCTCACAGGCTCAAGTGATTCTCCGACCTCAGCCTCCTAAGTAGCTGGGACCATGCGCACGTGCCACCACAGCCAGCTAATTTTTATATTTTTTTTGTAGAGAATAGGATCTCCCTATGTTGTCCAAGCTGGTCTTGAGCTCTTGGACTCCACCCACCTTGACCTCCCAAAGTGCTGGGATTAAGGCGTGAGCCACCCCACCCAGACTAAAAGGGATTTTATTATCTTGAATATTAGCATTTGAGGAAAAGTAAGTTTAACTACAAGAAATGAATGAGAAGCGCTGTATAAATTCTGAAGGACACTTTTTGGTCGATTTTCAAGAATTTGGGTGGCTGAAGCCACTTGTGGCTTTCCTTTTCCCTGATGCTGGTTTCAGCACCACTTTTATACTTTACTTTTGTAGTTGGGGTTTTGTTTTGATACACAGATGCAATGGGGGAAGAAAAGGAGAAAATTTCTATTTCATGTAGCTGGACAAGACTTAGACAAGAAAATGAAGGCTGAAGTTGGTGAAAGAGGACGTATGTGTATACACGAAGGTAGCCAGTGATTACCTATCCTTGGCAAACTCCCTACCTCCCTAAGCTTCAGCCTTACTCGTGAAGTAGGGACGAGAATCATGTCTCCGTCTTATGGATGTTGCCGGACCGAGTGAGAGGTTGCAGAGTATTATTATTAGGACACTAATAAATGTTAACCACTATTATTAATTATTAGTATTATTACTGTTTCCATTACCTACCTGCACAACCCCTGTGGGAGAAAGTGTGGCAATAGGGTCACCATACTGGGTTGGAGAGTTCCTTGGCCGTCCCCTAGGTGGTGCTGGTGACCCAGGGTAGCTGAAGCAGGTGACTACAAGGGTTGTCTTTGGGAAAGGTGGAGGCGGGTTATAAGTGACTAGTTAATGTTCCCATTCAGAGAGCTTATACATTGGTTTGTGGGCCAGAAACCAGGCTGAGAGTTGAGAATGAGCAGTGATGCTGCAGGTGGACCTGATGTGAGAATGCAGTGTGAGCAGTCAGTTTTGTTGTGATATATAGAACCTATATGGAGAAAGGGTAGTAGGGCACTGGAGAAAATTCATCTGAATAACCGTGCCTGTTGCAAATGCACAGGCTTTGCACAAGCAATCCAAGAAACTTAGACCTAAAGTTTAGTTTCCCTGCTTGTCCTGTTTACTGAATTAACCCTTCTCTCCTTTCCTTTGTTTTCTCCCCTTCATCCCACGTTACCCTCTTCCCCTCCCCTTATGTCTCAATATGCCTCTGCCTTTTGCATGAACAGCGTCAAATCATGTTTCCAGAACATGGAGATCTGCAAGCGTCGGGTGAATATGTATGACACGGTGAACCAGAGCAAAACCCCTTTCATCACGCACGTGGCCCCCAGCACGTCCACCAACCTGACCATGACCTTTAACAACCAGCTGACCACTGTCCACAACCAGGTAAGTGGGAAACAGAAGGGAAGGAGAGGCGGGGCTGCACAGTGTGAGCCTCAGGACTTGTATTTTCCATCATACCTAGTCAGGAGGCAAAATTCCTGCTGTCATGTTCAACAACTAAACAAAGTATTTGCATCCAAGGTTATTTCCTTTGAGGGACCCAGGCACATTTTGTGTTGACTTCTGGCCCCATTGACAGGTCCCAGAAAGGACTGGTGAGGGCCATTCTTTCTGAGATGGTTCCCCTTACTGCTTTCCTCTGTCCTGATGTGGGAATAGGGGGAAGGGGGTGCTATGATCCTTTTATGCCTGATATGTGCCTGGTAAAGAATTCTAGAACTGGCCAGGCACAGTGGCTCATGCCTATAACCCCAGCACTTTGGGAGTTCAGGGTGGGAGGATCACTTAAAGCCAGGAAGTTCAAGAGTAGCCTGGGCAACACAGTGAGACGCCATCTCTACAGAAAATACAAAAAATTAGCTGGGTATGGTGGTGCATGCCTATAGTCTCAGCTACTCAGGAGGCAGAGGTGAGAGAAGTGCTTGAGCCCAGGACTTCAGGGCTACAGTGAACTATGATTATGTCATTGCACTCCAGCCTAGGGGACAGAGTGAGACCCCGTCTCAAAAAACAAAGAAAAAGATCATGGAAACATGGATTTAATCTAAAAAAAATAAAGATTCTAGAACTGGGAAGGACTCAGGGAATCACCCAGTTCAGGCCCTTCCCCTCGTCCCCACATGGCTGGATCTACCTGATCTCCTTTTGGGACAGATAAACCCTGTCCTTTCTCCGAGTCATGGAGAAAATCAGTTCATCAGCCTGTCACCAGAATCCCAGCAGCTGGAACTAAATGGGATCAGGAAGCTAAGGTTTTCTTCCCACAGATTTCCAGGAAATTGGCAGAAGGAGCAGCTAACATACTGCTTGAAACTTGGATGACACCCAGGCAATATTTATTGAATGAATAATCTCCAAGTCTGAGCTGAGACTGCCTCTAGTGTCTAAGAAACTGTAACTCCTACTCCCATCTTTCAATCCTCCTAGTTCCCCTAAAGAAGGGCCCCCAGATTTTTGTTCTTAATATCAATCTGGAATGAAAAGACTTCTGTGTGGATGTGTGTGTACCTGAAATGTGAATACCTTATGTCCATTCTTTTTGAAAGGTCCCTCCTGTCACTGAAGAGTCACTGCCCCCTGCTTTTCAGCCGCTCCCCTTCCCACCCTTTTCCCCTAGGCCATCCTTGTGGCACATTGGCCTGCTCAGGCCTAGCTTTTCTTCCCAGCCTGCCATCTCCCTTTGCCCAAATTCTAGGAGACACCACCTGGTATCTGCTGCCCTCTGGGGGCCGTTTGCATTCTTGAAGCTCTCCTTAGGGTGAAAGAGCTGTTGGGAGTCCGAAAACTAACCTTGCCCAGCCCTAAGGCTAAAGCATCCATAGCCAGACCTGTGAGCTTCTTGACAAAAATCAGCATGGTTTTGTTCATTACCTCCTTGAAGACATTTGTTTCTCCCACCAGCCCTCATGAGGCACCTGGTCTTAACTCCCTAACCCCAAACTACCTGTCCCCATCTAACATCTGCCCCATCAGGTATCAAAGGCATCTGTGAAACAGGAGGAAGGAGCACCCCTCCAATGCAGGCGTCATGTCAAGTGGAGTCTCCCCAGCAGGCTGTCCTTCCCATGGATGTCTTTCTGCCAGGCTGGAGAACTGTGGTCCCTGACCAGACGCGGGGTGGGGGGCCACCGCCATCTTGCTGGTGATATGACAGCCAGCATATCCACTCCAAAGGGTGTCGCAAAGACTCTGCAAAACTAAAAGGGTTGCTCATCAAAAGGCAGTTGTCAAATAAGAACACCCGTCTTCTCCACGGCACTGAGACCATCCAGATCTGGCTTGGGACTGGGGTGAAGTAGGAGTAGCTGGTAACTTAGTGTGATGCTTGGGCCAGAGTCGTGGGTAAGGGAAAATGACATCCCACAAAAGCAAAGGGTCCAAGAACAGGATTTCTGTTCTCTTGCATTGGATTCTACTACTCCCTACTTTTGAATACATCAGGAAAAAAAAATTACTCAGGACACACCTAGCCTTAAGCACTAAGGCATGCTTTCCCTCCACTGATACTGTTGTTATTAAATAACATCATTACTAATAGCTAACACTTATTATGTGCCAGGCTTTACTAAGCGTACCATAACTCTTAATCCTCCCAGCAACGTTGTGAGATAGGTTTTATTATTATCATTTCCATTTTAGAGGAGGAAACTGAGGCACCGAGTGATTAATTCTCTTACCCAAGGCCCTTGCTCGTTCATGAGAGGTGGGCTTAGGCTTTGCAGCCAGCAATCTGGCTTCAGAGTCTGGACTCTTAAAATATACATACACAGCAGCATAAGTAAGTCTTAAGTAAGTCTTATGGAGGTCCCCAAATGCCTTTCCTAGGTGATGTCTGCTCTTTAAATCCAACAAGACTTCTTCTGTTCATTGCTGGTTCTAGTAGCTAGCTTTCTACATGAGCTCCTTGGAGCTGTTTGCCCATTTAGATATTTAGAAGCAATACAATATATGCATAGTTTTATGTTAGAAGTTGAAGGACATTAAACTACTTAAAGAATCTCTTGCTACCTTTAACATATATCCAGTAGACTAACCAAAGAACCATTTCCCAAATGATCATGAATCTACAATCTTTTAGGTCTCAAGGAAGCTGGGTCAATAATTCATAACCCGTTAAGTCTCAAGGCAGCTGACTTCCTCTACTTTCTAAAACTTTCAGGTTACCCAGTTGGTAACATGTTGAATAATAAGTCTTCTCTCAGCTATTCCTTGTTTATCATGTGGATCAGCAACTTCTCTAACATTTCCGTGGAATTCTATTATTTGGACCTAGCCTTCTACCAAGAATTTGAATTTGAGTTTATAGACCAAGCTCAAACCCCTTCCTTCTGGAACCATTTGAACGTCTACTACAACTGCTTCCAGGAATCACTTCTTCCATTTTTGGAAAACCTGTGTCATCAATAAACTTGCTTTTTCACTAGGCACAGTGGTGCACACCTGTAATCCTAGCTATTTGGAAGGCTGAAGTGGGAGGACCACTTGAGTCAGGAGTTCAAGTCCAGCCTGGGCAACATAGCAAGACCCCAGTCTCTGATTTTTTTTAACTTGTTTTTTCTTGTTATTACTATCTGTCAGCTGCAAGAGCTCTTCCCAGTTCTCTGTGTGCTCCTCTCTGGCAAGTGATAGGCTAGCTACCTTTCTGAGAGCTAAAGGAGGATATACAGAAGTAGAAAACTTTTTGTTGCCCTCACATGGGCTTCTTCAACTGGTCCTTAAGCAGGGTTCGAAACTAGGGGAAAACCTTATGCATGTCTGATGGTCACACTGGAGACTGGGTCCATATCAGGACACAAGTGCCATTTGTCCTTGAGTCTACAGAGCTGGAAGATTCAGCCTCTCAAGGAGCTCATGGTCTCCATGGTGAGACAGGCTGTAAGCAAAAATAGTTTAATCAAAATGCAGAATAGCATGTACTAGGGGCCAGGTAGACAAACAGATTATGTGTTACAGAATCGAGAGGAAGGAGAGACCACTGCAGGCTGGAGGAAAACACCACTAAGACACAGCCCCTCCCTCCCAGGAGACTTTAGGCTGGAAAGACCAACTGTACTGTAAGGCAGATTGTAACAGGAGCTGGGCTAGAAGGCTATATTGTACTGTGTGATAGCAAAGGAAGGAGCAATTCATTTCCATTAATGGTGTCTGAAAGGGTTTCACAATGGGGCATGTGGGACCCAGGCTAGGCCTTAAAGCCCAAAGGCTTGGAGAGAATGCTATGGGTCAGAGAGCTTGTATGAAGGGAAAGGCCTGTGCTCACAGTATGCTTGGAAAACAATGAGTAAACTAATCTTGGTGTCAGAAGAGTGGAGAGCAGAGGGAGATAAGTCTAGAAGGTAAGGTTGGCCAAACCAGGGAAAACAGGGCACTAGACCAGGCGCATACCATGTTCATCAAGCTGTAATTGGGATTTTGGAGCAGGGGTGCTGACATGCACAAAGGTGTCTTGTGGAAAGAATGATCTACCCTCTGTGCTCAAGAAGGCTGGAAGGGAAGTAGAGACCAGAACATTTCTAGTCAGGGCCTTATAGGTCCCAGGCACCAGGAAGTCACAACTGAAAAGAGTCAGTGGATTCCAGGGACATCAGGAAGGAAGCAGCAGCAGGAGCAGTGGCTGGCAAGAAAGTGGAACCACCGAGCAGAAGTTTGGGAACCTAGAGGATACAGGTGCCAGGACCCCCAGCAGGGACACCCACAGGGGCTAAGGGCTGGGGGGAGTCTAGATATGAGCAGACCATGGGGAATGTGGAGGGTTGAGGGGGAAGAAGCCTCCGGAAGAGATCGCGATATGGAGAAAACAGGAAATACAAGTCATGTCATCTGACAAAACACAGACACTGATGCCCACATATGTACACACGTGTCCCAAGCAGACTATGCGACGCTGCAAAAGCACACCCACTTTAAAATATGTGGCTTAAAATCAGACATCTGTGCCACTCAATTTCGTGATTATTTTCAAACAAATCAATTTGCTTTGCAATGAAATTTAGCACAAAATCTAAGTATAGAAAACATATGTAAAATAAGACTTTGTCCTTTTTATCAAATGTGACATCCATACACACCCTACTTGAAATTCTATTTGTGTCCAAGATATCTTCGTGGTTTCTTCCTATGTATTCCCTGGTCCTTGTAACTTCTAGAGGCAAAACCTCTTGTAGACAGTGCTGAATGTGAAACCACTGGTAACCACCTATCTTGCTAAAGGATCAGTATGAAGGCTAAGATAGGGGAAACTGGAGAATTCCAAAGTTGGAATTTATTTTCCTTATACAGCCTCATTTTTCATGCAAGTTCAGTCTCAAGTGATGTCTTTTTCTGAAAAAGAAAGGCAAGAGGACATAATGTCAATGGCTTGTGTTTGTCAAAGCCACCTCCATTTCAGTTATCTGGACACACCAGCATCTTTTCTATCTGCCAGGCTTTGTCACTGCATACCAACATGAATGCATGGGATGCAGACACAAAGCCCCAGGCTCAACATGTCCCTCTCCCTCTCTGCATACATCTCCTGTACTTCTCTAAGCTTTGCAGCCATCTAAGGACATCTGTAAACAGTACTGCCCATAGTCCTGAGCCCCTCCTCGGCCCTGCTCTCCGCCTGTTGCATGTGCTCCTGTGCCAAGCTCTGGGTACTGAGACCATAGTCCTTTAGGGCCTGCAAGAGCCTCCCCCTGGATTTGTCCTCCCACATGTGGACTGCACCCACCAGGCCCGAGGGGAGTGTGAGCAGAGCTTGGACGTGCAGGCTGGCAGGTCCAGGCACCCAGAGCTCATCATGTTGTGGGATGGAATGGGGCTTGGGCAGAGAGAAGGAGGGCAAGGTCCAGCTCTCTCCCTGTCACCATGTGTCAGCACAGAACCCAAGGAATCCCATAGTCCTCAACTCACGCCTGGTCTTCCCGGTTATTGGGAAGGTGTATTTGTCAAAATGAAAAGGCAGAACATTTTATTAAACAGTTTTCTAGCCTAATTTTTAGCCTTTTCAGCATTTAGACATGGTAGCAGGCATCCGTGTGTCCTCTTGTCTGGGCCTCACAAATGCCAGGAGCAAGTCTGAATGTGAACACCAAGGTGACTGTCTCCCATGTTTTCAGGGACCTGCTTTTCCCTGCGACTTTCAATCGTGTTTCCACTCCTCTCTGCTTTTGCCTTTCTGCTCTTAGTTTTTGTTTGTTTGTTCTTCTTTGAGTTCATTTATTTGATTTAGATTCGTGTCTCCCAACATGCCACCTCCCTCATTTTTTATTTTTGTTTATTTTTGTTTAATCCCCATCACTCCTTTAGGCTCCCTCCTCTACCAGTGCCACTATTTCCTTAGCCAATCCCGAAGTCTCCATACTAAACTACCCATCTACACTCTACCAGCCCTCAGCGGCATCCATGGCTGCAGTGGCCCAGCGGAGCATGCCCCTGCAGACAGGAACAGCCCAGATTTGTGCCCGGCCTGACCCGTTCCAGCAAGCTCTCATCGTGTGTCCCCCCGGCTTCCAAGGTAAGATTGAGCAGCCACAGCCTCTCACCTGCTTCTTACAGAACGGCCTCTGGGGCTCCGGCACCTGCAGTTTTCTGTCACGCTCATTTTCATGGAGAAAGGCCCTCCTCATTTCTTCCAGTGAGAGCGCTGGTATCACTGAACTAGAGGGCTCCTCTCCTACTGTGGCCAACCTAGAAACAATAGGGCTTATGCCTCAGCACCAAGTCAATCCTTTGTGACTCTCACACCTGCCAGGGACTGTGTCCCTGGCCAGCTGTCTGTAAATAAGTACATAGTTTGTGCTTTCATTGTTATGCTGATGTCAGCTCTTGCTTTTCCTCGCATGAAATATCCTCTGTGTGGGTTATCTGTAGAAAACTGCCAATCTCTGACAGCCGACATAGTCCCAGCTCCCATGAAGAATATCCATCAGTCTGAAAAGTACTTCCCTGGGACCCCTCCTCAAAACAATTCTTTGGCCATGACCCCAGCACTCCTCTCCTGTAGACTCTAAGAAGCTAGACTGTGTACTTTGTTACAATTTACCCAGAAAGCTTAAGAATTTATTTTTGCAAGCCTCATGGTGTAAACTGTGTGGTTACAGTCAATGCAATTCCAAATGGGTTCATACATCTCCCCAACACCCCTCATTTTGACATACACAGGTACATCTTGATGGTCAGAAGCCCTTGTTTTCCTGTTGTAATCTGCGAGCATATCTGTCCTACTTTTGGCCTTACAGCCTCCTTAATCTGACCTTCTAGCCTTTGAAGACATTCAAGATTTCAGGAGGAGTTTTGTTTTTTAATTTGTTAGAAGCCAAAGGGGAGACTTCCAAGGACCAGGCAATACCTGGTTGTTGTCAGTGACCAGTGCAAAGGGAAGCAGAAAGTTGACATAACTGCCCAGGAAGGTTCTTTTCATCCAGCTGTTCACAGCGTCTCAGCTAACCCTTCTCTCCCTCACACTGTCTGGAACAGGCTTGCAGGCCTCTCCCTCTAAGCACGCTGGCTACTCGGTGCGAATGGAAAATGCAGTTCCCATCGTCACTCAAGCCCCAGGAGCTCAGCCTCTTCAGATCCAACCAGGTCTGCTTGCCCAGGTAATTCTTTCTCCTTTATTATTACTGGTATTACCATTACCTGTGTTAATGTTGTTCACAAAAGATATATATCTCCACTCCCTCTCTCCCTAGTAATGAGTTAGGTGCTTCTAGTCATTGGAATGTATCTGTAATATTCTAAATGGTCCCCAAGTGAATTACCTTCCTAAGTATCTGCTTACAATTCCAAGAAGAAATTTAGATACAGGGAGAGTCTGGGGAAATTATTATTATTATATCTTTGAAATGCAAATTAATCTGGGATACCTAGGTTTTAATCCTAACTGCTAGTAACTTGTCTATGACCTAAGGCAAGTCAGTTAATATCTCTTTGCCTCAAATTTCTTTCTTGTAAAATAGAAATGAGTTTTTAGAGCCAAAAGGAGCCTTGGTGATTATCCTCTCATTTTATAGTTGAAAAACCAGGCTCATGGTTACTGTAAGCTGGAACCTTCTATCTCTGTATCCATGTAGGTGCTCTGATGGTAGAATGAGATGGCAGAGATGAAAAATGGTTGAAAATTTGTAAAGTGTTATGTAAACGTAAGGTAACAGTAGTGATGCAATGATAACAGTAACAATCCTTAATGACACTCGAACCCTGATAACAAATACATCATCATTATACCAGGGCACTTTACAGTTGTTAATTGATTTAATCCCCACAATGCCACAGTATTTGTCTCCATTTGACAAATAGGGAAACTGAAGCAGAATAACTTGCTCATCAGAGTCACACAACAATTAGGTAACAGAACCAGGACACACACCCAGTAAGTCTGATGCCAGCATCTGTATTTCAACCACCAAGCTATACTACTTCTGTATAATCATTTCTACTATTGAGTAGCTTGACCTAAATGTTATTAGTTTAGAAGCAGCTTTATTTTTAAATAAGGTAGGTTCACAAAGGCTTTTCCCAAAGACACTATTTGTCCTGTCTTGTTAAATGGAAGTTGTTTTTGTTGTTGTTTAATTTTTAATTTAAAAAATTAAAAATTTAATTTTTATGTAATCAAATTGCGTAGGTTTGTTCTGTGCTCTTCTATTCCATTGGCTTCTCTAATATCCTGTTGTCTTAACCATTGTAACTTTAGTCTGTCTTGGTATCTAGTAGGGAAGCCCTGTTCCCAGAGAGTTCTTCAAATTTTCCTTGTCTGTTCTTGTCCCTTCATGTTTTTAAGTGAATTTTAACATCACTCTTTCATAAGAATTTTAGTTACAGAAACCAAAAATCTGCTTTATATTTACTGGATATACATTGAATTTATATTTACTTCAGGAACAACTGACATCTTTAAACGTGTAAGTCATTTTTATCCATGAACATGGTATAACACTCTGTAATGGGTGTGGTGGTGCACACCTGTAGTCCCAGGCCTGTAGTCTCAGCTACTCAGGAGGCTGAGATGAGAGGATCACTTGAGCCCAGGAGTTCAAGGCCAGCCTGGGCAACATAGTGAGACCCCATCTCTACAAAAAAAAATTAAAAATTAGCTGGGCATGGTGGCACATGCCTGCAGTCCCAGATACACAGGAGGCTGAGGCAAAAGGATCACTTGAGCCCAGGAGTTTGAAGCTGCAGTGAGCTATGATCACATCATTGCACTCCAGGGTGGGCAACAGGGTACGACCCTGTCTGTAAAGAAAAAAAAAAATTAATAGAAACACTTTATCATGTTTAAGTTTTGTAATGAATATTGAATTATATCAAATGTTCTTTCTGTATCTATTAAGACACTCATATGCTTTTTGTTCCTTAATCTACTAATGGGACAAGTTATATTAATATATTTTGTAATATTAAACTACCCTTTTATTTATGATATAAACTCCATTTGCTCATGTGCTTGATATGATATGCTTTTTAATATTGGATTCAGTTTGTAAGTACTATAGTTAGTATTTTTATATCTATGTTCATAGGTGAAAAATGGCATATAATTTCCCTTTTTATAAAATCCTTATCTGATTTGAGTACAAGGTTACACCAGGCTCATAAAATATCTTCTTCTTGTTGTTACCCACACGAGTGGGTTTGGTCACTTGACAGGTACCAACCCAATGACCACAGACAAGGATTTAGCAAGGGGATTGTATTACTTGTAACAAGTAAGGAGAACACTGGAGATAGTTCCCAAAGCAGTGTCTCTGAGCAAAGGGCTGGGTCAGGTTTTATAAGCATAGGGTAATGAGGCATGATCTGATTGGATCTTGCAACGAATTGATATCAGAGGCATGATCTGACTGGATCCTGCCATGCAGTGATGCCACAGCTCGATCTGATTGGATCCTGGATCCTGCCATGTGGTATCCATTTCTAAATTCCATTCACTCGCCTCAATCCAGGCACTTAGGTTCTGCCTGTTGTTACATACCTGGTTCATCTGGGCATGCTCAGGTTATGTGACCTTTAACCTGTGGATCCATGGCAAATGAAAAACAACTCACAACTTTGTTACATAAAAGTTGAACCAGACTGCTGTGGTTACATTATTATCTATTCTGTTTTCCGGAACAGTTTGTTTAAGATCGATATGAAGTATTCTTCATCTCTGTGCTTAGGTCCAGAATGACACTGTGCAGTTGACCACTAACACCAGTGACTGGTAGCACACAAAGTTTTGTCTTATTGAAAGTTTGTAAACAGAGAACTTTTTGTATTTAAAACAGGCCTTCTCTTCGTTCCTCTCTCTCCAATGGGTCCTTGTAGCTTCCTTTTATTTGCATAGTTCAGTAGCGGGGAGTTCAGAAAAGGCCAAGATAGATCAGAGAAAGAACTACAGCTCAGTCCAGGGGCAAAAAAGCTTCTTCATACTTTATCTGAGTGGCAAAAATCCACACCAGTCTCCCAGTGCTCCGCCTTTGTGAGCCCAAATCTACAGAACTCACGTGTGCTTTTAAAGGATAATTACAGATCTTTTTTATGTTTGCACACTTAACCCTAGTAAGCCAGGAGCCATCTCTGAAAGAAATAATAATTAGCATTTCTTATTAGCCAAAATAGGGATTCTTCGTTGTTCAGTTTGGTGGAACCAGTAGACTCAGCAGTCAGAATTTGTTTCAGTCCTTTAATCGTAGCAGGGGAGAACTTTACCTTTTGCTTCCTTGAAAGAGAGTCCCTAGAGTGTTGTAAATCTCCAAGTAGATTTAACCTAAAGCTGTAATTAGGAAAGTGAACAAAAAATACGTGTGTAAGGATTTTAATTGCTACTGTGTTTATAACTGAGATTGTTGGAAGAAACTTGAATGTTCGTCAGTAAGGGATTGGTTAAATAAGTTGATGCACACGTAAAATGGAACACCATGTAGCCATTAAAAGAACATGGTAGACCTTTGTGTCTTGACATGCAGAGATTTCTAAGATATATTAAGTGAAAAAAATCCTGCCCTATCCAGTATCGTGTTGTGTCTTTTTGTCAGTTGCTTTTTATTTTTCTCTCTGCTTGTCACTTAATCCATGCCAATATGTTAGCCTGTTGAGATGGGCTCTCTCCTAGATATTTTTAAACATTCCCTTCAAAGGACAAAAATAAGTTAATTTATAAAACTCTTATGGTGGCTATAAAAAAGCACAATTAAGCATTTAAACTGAAGGCTTCGTTTTTCTACAGTTAAATTTCTAGGCACCAGGCAGAGGCATTCCAAATCCTATTATTTGACATAAATGTATTCAAAAAGTTGACATTGTTCTTTTTCTCTAAATACTGAAAATCTTTTAAAGGATTTTACTTATGAACACTTAGAGATGGAGTCTTTGAATCCACTCCTCATGTTAATTTCATTTTCTTTGCCCTTTTCCTCCCCACCTCCCAGCAGCATCACATAAAACTTTCAGGGAAACAGGCCTCTGTGGGGCACCCAGAGGATGTGTGCATGGCAGGTGGAAATGGTAATCATTCTGCTTATGTTAGTGATATGGGAGTGATCTTTGTGGATCACCTTGCAACAAAAGCTTTTTTGGTACTGCCTAAAAGGAGCTGTCAACTCCATCCTCCCAAGCCCCATGCCACAGCTAGCATCTTGGCCACCAACAGAAATTGTGAATGAGTAGGTAATAGTGGAGAGATGGGAAGCACAGTTCTTGATTGAGACAGTATTGAATTTATCTGACTTGTCAAATGTCAGGATCTAAAATCTCCTTTGACTAGCAGGGTTAGAGAAATCACTGTAGACTCCACCCTTCCATGAAGTGTTTTGTGTTCTTCTAGCCAATCAAATCATATCACCTGAACCTCTTTATTTTTTACTTATTTACTTTATTTCTTGGGCTCATATTTGACCAACTGAGCCTTTAAATGTTTCCCTGAAAACAAACTGTTGGCTTGAACCCTTTAAACTGTTCGAAATACAAAATTTTAATGTTTCTCACTCAAAAGTTCCTCTGATAACATTTTCAGCAACCAGTCTTTCCAACCATTGTCCTGCTGTCTGCCTGTCTCTTGACTGGCACCTGATATTCTTAGAGAATAAGGAAGACTTGTTCATGCCACCTTTATGCAGTTACCACCAATGCCTGATCCTGAATAGGGGCCATTATTTTTGTGTATTATCAACACAAGGAGAGGTGTATATTGGCTGAAAGCATGGGCACTGGAATTAGGTTGCCCACATTCAGATGGCTGCCTCACCACTTACTGGCTATATGGCTTTGGGGAAGTTATTTTTGAAATTTAAATTTAATTCCTTTTCAAAGTAATACATGTACATAATTTTTAAAAGTTAATTAATACCATAAACTTATAGGAAAATTATAGTCCTCTGCTCTATCCCATCCTTAATGTCTCCTCCCCATAACAATATATATAGTTACATTATATATGTATATATGTATATATATACACATATATATTATCCCTGTTATATATATATTTTATATATATAATATATATTATCCCTAAAAGTTTTTATTTATACACACACACACACACACACACACACACACACACGTATTTTTTTGAGACATAGCCTTGCTCTGCCACCAGGCTGGAGTGCAGTGGTGCAATCTCAGCTCACTGTAACCTCCGCCTCCTGGGTTCAAGCAATTCTCGTGCCTCAGCCTCCCGAGTAGCTGGGATTACAGGCATGTGCCACCACGCCCCGGCTAATTTTTTTTTGTATTTTTAGTAGAGACTAGGTTTCAATGTGTTGGCCAGGCTGGTCTCAAACTCCTGGCATCAAGTGATCCACCCGCCTTGGCCTCCCAAAGTGCTGGGATTACAGGTGTGAGCCACTGTGCCCTGGCCATAACGATAATTTTTAACTTAACTGTTTAATCTGTTCTTTAACTCTGTGTTTCTAAATAATATGCTTAGACTGCTTTTTATGGATTTTTTTTTCCATTTTAGGTATTATCCATTGACTTCCTATTATGGAAGATGAAGATTTAGCTTTCTAACCCACTGCCATCCCCATAACACACACAATTTCTCTCCTGTTCCTCCTTTCACTCACTCTTTTCTCCTATTCCTCCCACATAATTTTGATTCAACTACTTTGTAATATTTACATAATTATCAATATTATATAATATTATTCTTAGTTGAGCCTTATAATATACTGTGATTATGTTTTCTTTCTAACACATCTTTTTGTTTTTCCTGGAGTTAATGATTGCCTCATTTTTCCCATTGGGTTAGTTTTCTGTATATCTCATTATACAGCCCCAAACCCTTCCAGAGCTATAAAAGGTTTGTATGTTTGATGTGTTGATGTGTTTGAGCACACTGATCTCAGTATGTTGTTTTTTCTTTCTCTGAAAGCGACTTTCTCCTCATCCACAGTGGACTCACATTTCATGACTACATGCCTTCTTTTGGGTCTTTTTTCTTACATTGTCCTGAACACCCTATTTGCCCTTTTAATCTGGATTTTTTTTTTCCTTTGATAATTTCTTCCCCTCCATTTTCTCTGTTTCTCCTTTGCAGAATTCTTATTAATTGAGTGTTGGTACTTCTAAATTGATCTTCCGATTTTCTTATCTTTTTTTCCCCTCTATTTCCTATATATCCTCTGTCTGCACTACTTTCTAAGAGATTTCTTAAACTTTTTTGAAACCTCCTTTTGAATGGTTAATTTCTGTTGTTGTAGTTCTCATTTCCAAGAGTTTGTTCTCTGCTCCCTCCATACCAAAAAAGAGCATGTTCTCTGAATATAGATATTGATTCTTTATATGATCTTGTTTCATGGATATATTTTTTAACTCTGTAAAGGCATTAATTATAGATTTTAGAAAATTTTCTTCTGATTCCCACACTGTTTTTGTTTCCTCTTTCTTTTGTTTGCTTATTTTATTCTCTTTCAGGTTAGAGGCTTCCTTTACTGTCTGGTGATCATTAGCTATTCATTCCTATTTAAGACTAAAGCACTAAAAAACTAATTGGAAACCTGGAGGGTAGGGGAGAGACTATTGAATGTGGGCTTCTCTATAGACTGAAAAGAGGCAAGTCCAGCATTTTCACTGACAGATCCCCTGATCCTTAAATGTCATATCTGTAGTTATTTTCTCTTGGACTAGTCATTTCCCCTAGAGAGAATTGTCTAGCCTCCTGCTTTGGGGCGGGGAGTGGAGGGTGGTATAAGCATGTACACCAAGGATCTGGGAACTAAGGGGAAATGAAGACCTGATCTTAGATTCCTTCAGTCTGTTAATTCACTTAGTAATTGTCCATCAGTTTTTCAGCTTCTAAAATTTTATTCATGGTGATTGCCTCTCTCCTACTCTCTTTGCCCTTATGAATCTGTATTTTTTATTCCTTTACTATCATTTTAGTTGAGTGTAAAGAAGGCAATAAATGTATATGTTTAATTTACCATATTTCAGGGCAAGTTATTAATATTATTAACCTCTCTGTGTCTCAATTTATTAATCTTAGAAATGGAAGAAAATAACAGTCCCTACCTCACAGAACTGGTATTAAGAAGTCAGAAAAAAGAAGTAGTCAGAAACTCATTTATGACTTAACTCTGTGTTTGGCACACAATATCCATTAAGAAATGTTCACTTCATTCTTGTTAGTAGTAATAAATTATAAAAATGTCTGATGAAGCGTTGTCACAAATGAGCCAAGCATATCAATCAGTGAAATAAGTCAAAAATAGTCTTTCTACCCTATCTCTTTGAGGTAAAATGTTAATATCCATTTCAGGGAAATAGAAGAAAAATGATAACCTTAGCTTGATATCAAGATTTATTTTTTAAATGACATTAGTTAAAACTAATGCTTTTCATGAGCTCTGAAATGAGTTCCAATTGGCTAAGTCAGTAGAAACCTTACTGCAAACGAAATTGTTATTTATTTAATATTTGGAATTTGCAACTGTTTTAATCAATTAAATTATGTTTCCGCTTTCTGTGAGTTAAGTAAACCTGAAATACAATTAACTGTAGTTAATAGCGTTGGTAGAGTTGCTTCTTTCATTTTATCAACAGATATTAAGCACTCATGGTATGCGCATGGTCCCTGAGCTTCTGCCTATATCAAAAGCAAACAAACAGTATCAAAAACATCTAAGAGATTGCACTGGGCCTCAGGTGCAACATGAAAATAACGGAACAGGTGAACTGGTCCACTCAGCTCTCAAATGTGATTCTCTCATTTTTATAAGCGTCAATGTTTTTTAGGCCCTGACTCAAATCTGTAATCCATTTCCAGAATTGCGTATTTGTACCTATAAAACACCCACACTGAGCACATGCACAGTTTGTGAAGCACTGCATTCGATAAATTACCCAATGTTAGTCACATCCACTCTGATAGAAAGAGAGATGGCTAAGATATCAAACCTTTAAATATTTGATCTGTCCAAAAGGTATTTTACCTTAGTGACTATGCTTTAAGTGTCCAACTTTAGGCAGTGGTATTCAGTCTGAATCATCTAATGACCAAAGACAAGCAGAATAGTGATCATGGATTAAAAGAGCTTAAAACACAACATACACACACACACACACACACACACACACCAGTGAATCTATCAAGGAAGAATCACAAACGTTCATTTTAGATTTCTTAGAAAAATTAGGTTCAAGCAGTGACTTCCGCCTCTCTCTCATTTTTGCTTTGAGAAATCAAAGTAATTCTCAATTAAGCTATAGTCACAGCTAAGAATTTTACTTCATACTTGCTTGCTCTCAGATGTAGGTTCCAGATATTTGGTGATCTTAGAATTGTGTAAACTTAGATTCAGAAGATAACACAAGCTGGAACCTAGATTCTAATTGATAAATCAAAGGTAAAATGTTAAATAAAGGATACTAGGCAGAAAGCTTCTTGAGGGCCAGCGGTCACCCTCATCTAGCTCAACTCAACTACCCTAATCCCCTGTACATAGTTGTGGGACAGAACAAGTAAATAAATAAACTTTCAGAAACTTCAAGCATTGCTCATTAGAGCAAATTTATAAAGAAATCATTCTTCAACATGAATGAATCCCTTCCATACAGCTGTGTCCCTGTACTTAATTATCTTCTACTTAGTTCATATATGTTCTTTTTTTTTTTTTTTTTTTTTTTTTTGAGACGGAGTCTCGCTCTGTCGCCCAGGCTGGAGTGCAGTGGCGCCATCTCGGCTCACTTCTTCAAGCTCCACCTCCCAGGTTCATGCCATTCTCCTGCCTTAGCCTCCCAAGTAGCTGGGACTACAGGTGCCCGCTACCACGCCCAGCTAATTTTTTGTATTTTTAGTAGAGATGGGGTTTCACTGTGTTAGCCAGGATGGTCTGGATCTCCTGACCTCGTGATCCGCTCTCCTCAGCCTCCCAAAGTGCTAGGATTACAGGCGTGAGCCACTGCACCCGGCCTGTATGTTCATTGTTTATCTCCCCTTACTTTAGTTTTTGAGGCCAGAGACCAGGCCCTCACTCTCACACCCATGAGAATGTCTAGCACAACCCCAGGCACAGAATAAGTGTGGGTTCATGCAAATCAATTATGTGATTAGCAAACATGGTCATTGCACATGTCCTGTGTTCTACAGCAGGCTTGGCCAAGTGGGACCCAGCAGATCCTGCTTCCCCCAGCATGGCAGCAACTGACTGGAGTGGCCACCCACACATCAGTGCAGCATGCCACCGTGATTCCCGAGACCATGGCAGGCACCCAGCAGCTGGCGGACTGGAGGTAAGCAGGAAACCCCTCTAGGGTGAGTGGGTGTGTCTGGGATGGGAGGCACGTCCACTGCCAACACAGGGCTGCCAGGCTGGCCTGTACTTCAATTCCCCGGTTTGTAGAGAGCTTTTTAAAGCTTCTAAAAATATTGTGTGGACTATGAGTGCAGGGTAACAAGAAGCAATTTTTAAATAATATACCAGGATACAAGAAAATCAGTTTCATTAATTTATGCTTGGTTGTCATTTCCACCCAGAATTCAGTTATGTCATTTACTCATCAGTGTAATTCACCAGACTTGGTTCTGGATGATGTTTGGTAGTTTCTCAGAATTAAATTCTACGTTCAGAAAACAAAGGTCTGTCACCAGTGAAAGAATGCAGAAGAGGGTCCCCAAAGCCCTAAGCAATTCTAGAAAGTGTTCTGAAGATGTTTGAGACGGGGGTACTCTGGAGTCTATCTGACCTCCCACGGGATGGCTTGACAGAATGGGGTTTATTTGGAAGGGTAAATGCTGGCATGTTTGCTGAGTGTGCCTCTTCAGTTAATAGTCATATCTTACAGATCAGAGTCTACTTCCCACACACCCCAGAGGCGTCCACCTGACTGCCTGCCAGCACAGCATACCCCCTGCATCTGTTTCCAGAACTCTACCCTGCCCAACTCATGATTTCCTCACAGATGCGCTCCTCTGTTATTTTTATGGCTAGATACCCTTGTACCTTCCCCCGAACACCACCACAATGGCCCCTTCACCAGTGCAGAGCCAGATGGCAACCCTCCAAGTTGTCCCCAACTCCTCATGGCCCTATTGGGCTATCTCTCATTCTGCACGAATATCAGGACAGGTCACTCCCCTCAACCCCCTGACAGCCTCCATATCACACAGGGAACCTCCCACAGTTCTTATTCTGACCTACAAGGCTATTGTGAATTAAGATCTCTCCGAGAAAAGAAGAAAGGTGGTGATATAAGCCCCCAGTCAGACCCCTACTGCAGCTTCCTCCATTCCTCCAGTTCATTTTCTGCCCAGTACAGAGTACCTGGGCCCTTCCCCACAGTCCCACTCACTTCCCTTCTGGCAACGCCCTCATGCCACCACTCCAGCCTGGGCAACAGAGTGAGACTCCATCTCAAACCATGTAGAGCTGAGTTCAATCCTGGCTCTGCATGACCTGGGGCAAGTTAACCTTTATGCACCTCAGTTTCTTCTTCAATAAAGTGGGGATAGTAATGCCTGCTTCACAGGATTGTTGGGAGGTTTAAAGTAAGATAAAATACAAAGCACTTGGCCTATATTTAACATGCACCATCGCAGTGCCCGGTACATGACAGGCATTAAATAAACCTGTCATCTTCCCTCCCCACTATCACATCGGCCCATGCTCAGCAAGATTGCCTTTCCTCCTCCAGCTCCTTAGGAGCAGCCGAGTGGAAAGCTGTCTGACCAACTGGGTTTTTTTTTTTCCCTCGCCCCTTTTTCTCCTAAAAGACCACACACATGACATATTCCTTTTTTTCCCTTTTGTCTTTCAGCATTTATAGCTCATCTAATTTCAGAAATACACATACACTTACTAATTCCTACATATTTTCTTATTCCTCCTCCCTCCTTCCTTTCGTTTTGACATCTCTTACCTAGTGACCACAGGAGACATCTAAAGCCAGCATACTCTCTTCCTGGTCTCTCTCCATTTCATGTGTGAGCCAAAGAACATCTATTATTGTGGCTAACAAACAGAAGTACCAGTGCTAGGCCTGACTCAAAAGAGAAAGAGTGCCACCTGTCTACAGGAGAAAGAGCTACAACAAAATAAAGAAGCCATAATATCAGTTTCTTGGTCGGATGCAGTGGCTCACGTCTGTAATCCCAGCACTTTGGGAAGCCAAGGCAGGCAGATCACCTGAGGTCAGGAGTTTGAGACCAGCCTGGTCAGCATGGCGAAACCCCGCCTCTACTAAAAATACAAAAATTAGCTGGGCGTGGCAGTGCACGCCTGTAATCCCAGCTACTCGGGAGGCTGAGGCAGGAGAATCGCTTGAACCCAGGAGGCAGAGGTTGCAGTGAGCCGAGATCGCACCACTGCACTCCAGCCTGGGCAACAGACTGAGACTCCATCTCAAAAAAAAAAAAAAAAAAAAAGAAGCCATAATATGAGTTTCTAAAGTCCATGTAAATGCCCAAAAGGCGCTATCAAAATCCCTACAAAAGTGTTCATCTACTTCTTTTTTCCTGTTCATCCTTTTCCCCATGTTGCAACAATAGGTTCTTATAATTTTCTAAAATTCAAATGAATTATCCTTTAGCTTTGAATTTTATTATGTGTTAAATGAGCTCTTATGGGCCAATCTCTGAGTCAGTCACCACCTTTAACATTTCTGTGGGAAAACAAGGCTTTAAGCTTCATACAACCCAAATTATAAGAATTGTGAAACATAACCCGTTTTTAGGATGAGGGCTGCCAGTATTTCTATCATGACTGTTATTAATTTTGATTTAATACCAACTTTATACTTGTCTAGTCAACCTTCAGTTAATCTAATTATTCATTCAGCAAGCGTGTAATTAATTGATCAGCTGCTATATGCCTGAGCATTGTTCCAGCCACTGAGGGAATTCAAAAGAACATTAACACTTCCTAACACCAGAAGCATATGGCTCCCAGGCTTCAAAGTTTGTTTTTCACGTAAAGTATAATTTCTTCTTTAATAAAATGGTATTGCTAAGATATCCTGCCTACGTCACAGAGTGGAATAAAATAACCCATTGAAGACACTGTGTAAATTCCGCTTTTTCTTCATTTAAAAATTTTTTTTATAAAATTAAGGTGAAACTTTTTTTTTTTTTTTGAGACAGTGTCTCGCTCTGTCACCCAGGCTGGAGTGCAGTGGCACAATCTCGGCTCATGCAACCTCTGCCTCCCAGGCTTAAGTGATCCTGCCACCTCAGCCTCCCGAGTAGCTGGGCCCATAGGTGCACCCCACCATGCCCAGCTAATTTTTTGTATTTCTGGTAGAAAGGGGGTTTTGCCATGTTGCCCAGGCTGGTCTCAAACTCTTGAGCTCAAGCCGTCTGCCCTCCTCGGTCTCCCAGAGTGCTGGGATTACAGGTGTGAGCCACCATACCTGGCCTGTAAATTCTAAAATAGAATATTGTTCAGGATAAACACCTAGGTGCTCAGGGACTTTAAAAGTTGGAGGGAATATTTATCTCCAGTCCCTAGAACTTAAAAACTTGGAGCCGGTGTACTTGGCATTCTTCCCACTTGAAAGTCCTCTTTCTCACTCACAGCCAGTTATGTTTCACCTACTCCTTATGAGTAGAAGAAACCCACCCGTTGAGCACACATGGCCAGGCTCATCCCTTCAGCAGCTGCACAGCTAGTGAGATAACCAACTGCAGTCAGCGTTTAATTGGGGAGGAAGCTTGATCTTATAGAGGAGCTCTACTTTTAGAACACCTCTAAGGCACCTTGTTGTCCCGGTTGCCTTTCAGAAATACGCATGCTCACGGAAGCCATTATAATCCCATCATGCAGCAGCCTGCACTATTGACCGGTCATGTGACCCTTCCAGCAGCACAGCCCTTAAATGTGGGTGTGGCCCACGTGATGCGGCAGCAGCCAACCAGCACCACCTCCTCCCGGAAGAGTAAGCAGCACCAGTCATCTGTGAGGTAGGTGGTGAGAGCCACCCTAGGGAAGAGAAATCCCAGGGGATGTGAGTGCTAAAGAAATGTAGTTTAGGGAGTATCAGCACCCACTCTGAACATGGGACAGTTGCATGGGATGGGGGCACTCCTCTTCCTGCAGTGACTAGCAAAACATCCTGTACCACCTGGTTTGGCCTAGGGTTTGCAGGAAGCACTTGGTTTAAGACCGTGGTAATAGTGTAGGGATGGATGCAATGGAATCTTGCAGTGGGCAAGAGAGATTGGGCTCAACTCCATACAGCGTGGGCGAGTGAAAATTTATAGCCAAGGCAGGGTTGGGGGGTGTCGGTGGATGGGAAGTTACTAAGAGGAAGCATCAGGGGTAAGGGAGATTCTGCCTAAACTGACCTAACAGGATTCTTGCTAATGACAGGCCCGGGTGATCAGATATCACACCTGGAGGATGAGGAACCTCATCAGATATCGAGGGTGATCAGATATCAGGGATGGTGGGTTCTTGCTAAACTGACTTAGCAAGGTTTTTTGCCAAAAGTAGATTGTACAGCAGAGTGCACAGTTAGACCTAGGAGAAGGTTCACAAGCCTGACTAAAGTTTGGTGAAGCAAATTATCTTTTGTCACTTTCTACTTGTCTGGAGAACACTCAGCTTCACCTGAAGTTTCATTTTGGAAACAATTTACCATAATAATTGTTTTAAAATATTTTAAAATGTTGAAGTTGTTTAAAAATGTTTTAAAAAATACTAAAGAAATGTGCTTTCTTTGTATCTAAGATCAGAAGTTTAACTGATTTAGCACCTTGCTTAAATAGAAGCAATAGCTTGTTTAATCCCAGACACTAACCAGCAGAACACAAATCTTTCCCATTCCCTTTAAATCCATTCTCATCTCAATGAACACTTTGAAAAAATCAAGGTCAACAAAAGGCTGCATGCTGTATGATTCCATCTATATGGCATTTCGGAAAAGGCAAAACATAGAGACAGAGATCCGATTAGGGCTTGCCAGAGACCAGTAGGAGAGGAGGAGATTGACTGCGAAGAATCCTGAGGGGAAAAGCTCTAAGTCTGGATTGTAGGGGGGGTTATGACTGTGCATTTGTCAAAACTCATCAAACACTTCAAAGGGAGAAATGTTGCTATATGTCAGTTATACCTTAATAAACCTGACTTTTTAAAAAATGGAGATTTCCAAGCCAGAGAGAGAGAGAGAGATCGTGTGACTACAGGATTGCTCCTGCATCTCTTCCTAATGGCACAGCTTTGAGGTGCTTAATTGCTTATTTGCGATAAGTCAATCAAGAGAAATCTGGTATACAAAATGTCTAGTGATTTTGGTTTTCTGCTTCCTCATATAAGCAGATACCAGAAACTAGGCCTTTTTCTTTTCATTCTTATTCAAAAATTCATCCAAGGGCTGAAGTTGTCATCCTCCAAGATTCCTTATTTGGGTATTTCTGACAACTCAGGGAAATTTATCTCAGATCATTGGCAGCTTTCCAGAACGCTTTTGTTTGGCAGCCTTGTGACAGCTCACCCATGTCATTATTAGACTGGGTGGCAACAAAGTCCACTGTCTCAATCCTCATGGGCTGTCATGCCCAGCAAGGTCACATGGAGCACTACTCTGTCCCAGGACTGAGCTTAGCATCTTTGTGGTTCACCTTGGCTGAGTAGGGGCAGTAAGAACCCTTAGCCTCCCAACCTGTTTAGCAAGTCCCTCCTTTTTGTTTACTCACCACCCAGCTGACTTCATGAAGCCTCATTGCCAGTACATTTCAAGATCGATATAATTATAGTGAAAGGTATGTATTTGCTTATTTTTAAGACCAATGCCTTAGCAAAACAGTCTGAAAGACCAGAAGTCTCTCCCTTGTTGGTGATGTGGCCAGGCATACTTTTCCTTAACAATGCCAAGTGGAGATACTAAAACCATTGGTAGTGAAAAACATAATCTTAAAATTGTAATGTATTAGCAACGACAAATACATAGGTTTATAGTAAGTACAAACAATGGTACAATCATATCAGTGAAACATATTACCAGTCCCTAGAAGGAGCAAGCAATGTATCTGGCACTAGCTAGATAGGAAAATAAATCCACCTTTATTGAATTATTTTCATTTTACTGCCATCCCTTTAGCTAGAAGGTGCTAGAATCTCTAAAGACATATAAAAGTCTGAGTTTCATTATACATTGCTGTTAGTCTCTCACTGCATAGATACTACAGGTTGAGCATCCCTAATCCAGAACTCCAAAATTGTCCCAAATTCGGAACTTTTTGAGGATTGACATGATGCCGTAAGTGGAAAATTCCACACCTGACATGTGGTCTCAGTCAAAACTTTGTTTCATCCAGAAAATTATTATAAAATAATGTATAAAATGACCTCAGGCTATGTGTATAAGGTGTATATGAAACAAAAGAATTTTGTGTTTAGACTTGGGTTTCATCCCCAATATATCTCATTATGTATATGCAAATATTCCAAAATCTGAAAACAAAAATCCGAAACACTTCTGGACCAAGCATTTCAGGTAAAAGATGTTCACCCTGTGCCAGAGTCAGTGAGGATCTAATAGGGAGGGGAGAAAGTATTTTTCCCCTAAAGTTACCAAAAATCACACTGGTTAATTTAGTAAGGAATTTCAAGTTGATCAAAATTAAGATTAAAAGTTCTCTTTTTAAGAGTGCTTTTTCAAAACTCTTGCACTTTTCCAAATTTTCTATTACAATTTAGACTAATGCGCCTCCCATGAGGCTCCACGAGGCAAAATCCAGAAAAATCATTTTTAAGGTTTTTAGCAATTATATGCACACAAATACTTTGATGGTCATGTTCTTTTTCCAGAGGAGGAAAGAAGGAAAACTGAACCACTGGTCACCAAGGTTAGGTCCTTTAGATCCTGAAACTCTTAAGGAATGAATGTTTCAGTAGAATAACCATTAGCAAGGAAACCAAAGCTTGATGTGGCAAACACCAATTCTTCCACCACCCCCAAAACAAGACTTAAGTACCTTTGAAGGGATGACACAAGACAGAGCTCAGAAGTAGGGCCTTGACCCTGAAGGCGAGGGGGTGTGTTGGGGCAAACACAGCTGGAATCCTGGCATGACATCTGCTCCTACAAGACCTGTAGAGCCTGGGGCACAAGAGCCCCCTCCCTGCTCCGAAAGCCCTGGCTGCTCCCTTTGTCCTGCTGGGAGCAGGCATGTAGATCCAAACCAGAGCCCAGAGAAGGCCTGTGTAGCCGCTCACTGAATGATCCCTTTCCCAGTCACAGATGGAGGCTCATTGGGCAGCCACTGACGTGTTTTACAGAGATTTGGCAAAGCAGGTGTTTCTAGGCAATTGGGCTCCTTCGAAGGAGTTGTGGGGCCTGACCTTCCTCTGTGTGAGAGTGTGGTTTTCTCATTACAGAAATGTCTCCACCTGTGAGGTGTCCTCCTCTCAGGCCATCAGCTCCCCACAGCGATCCAAGCGTGTCAAGGAGAACACACCTCCCCGCTGTGCCATGGTGCACAGTAGCCCGGCCTGCAGCACCTCGGTCACCTGTGGGTGGGGCGACGTGGCCTCCAGCACCACCCGGGAACGGCAGCGGCAGACAATTGTCATTCCCGACACTCCCAGCCCCACGGTCAGCGTCATCACCATCAGCAGTGACACGGACGAGGAGGAGGAACAGAAACACGCCCCCACCAGGTGAGGCAGTGCCACCTTAGCCTTCCAGGAAGGAGCCGGGAGGGTTTGCATTGTGTGCAGATCTGACCATCTTCCATCATCAAACATAAGGATCCCTCTCTTCTGACCCTTACAGTTTGGTTTTGCCATCTACTGTGGTCCTAAAGTTATTTCAAGGGAATGTCAAACAGGTTTTCCATAATTGTTTAAAACCAAAATAATGTCGAATCATGTTGGTCTTAAAAGATAATTATAGGCCCTATACATTTGGGGAACTTGAGACCATAAAAATCGGGCACACAATGCCAGTGTATTTCATCCTCTGTAAGTTTAAAAGTCTCTGCCTCAAGCTAGTGAATTTATTCCCAGTTGGTCAGGATATTTCTCTAACATTGCCTTGGCTCACTCAGAATACGAAGTAATTGTCCAATTAATCAGAAATTTCCCTGTGTCTGATTAACCTAATCTTTCAAAACTGCCAGTTGGCTCTTCACCCAGAGAGCATTACTGTTTATCCCAAAGTAATAATAATTCATTTTAGTCTTTGTGTGCTTCCTGGGGAGAGGGAAGAAATCTTTATTATATTTACAAAACTACTAACCCTGGCGCCAGAGCCTCTTTTTCTGTACTGCCCAGCCAGACTTCAGCAAAATGTGGTTTTTGTTTGGGCCACTCAGCTCAGGTTCTGAGCAACCCCTCTAGAACAGTTGGCCTCCTGGCCTTCTGCATCCCTAGAGTGTGGCCTTGTAGAGCCCAAAATCTCATGGCCCCACCCTGCTGGCTCCTTTGCACTGGAACCGAGAGCCAGGGAAGGGAGGCCTGCCCCTCCCAGGCCCAGCGCTGCCAGTCAGCACGCATCCTGCAGCTGGATATGAAGCCTAATTCACAATTAGGCTCGAATTATTAATTCCTGATTGGATGCAATGTAACTAATTAGTAATCACAAATCCTTTGATTAGATAATAAATTCTCACATTTGAAATCATTACAAAATGTATAGATAGACTGATGAAAACATTCTCATTATAACTATTCCTGCATAGGACGTTCCCTTCCCTCTTTATAATGAAGTCCAGTGGTTTTAGTTTGTTTCTGGGTGGGGTTAGTACATGTCTCATTCAAGTGTCCTCTTCCCACCAATTAGGTACAGCCTAATTGTCATTGTATTTCAGAGAAGAATGTAGTGGAGCACTTGTGGCCGTAGCATTGTGCCAGGTGTCAGAGGGGACCCAGGTCAAAGGTCCAGGCATAGCACTGAATACTTTGGCAGCCCAGGACTGCCTTTTACTCCCCATCTGCCTAGTCCAGAAATGGCCTCAGGTCCCTTTTTGATGACAGCCTCAAGTTGAGTGAATGGTCCATTCTCCGCAGTGCCCCCACACCACCACCCAGGAATACTGTCGGTTCAGTCCTCACGTGGGCTCAGCAGTCTCTTCACAAAGGGGACGGCCCTGCCCAGCCCCAGACTGAAGCCTGGCCTTGAGCAGCCACCCACACGTGGGTAGCCTTGGTCATCAGAAGGGTCCAGCAGCCTTGCCCGGCCCTTTGCCACAAATGGAAAAAAGCAAAAGCAATTTAAAATCTGACAATCAGCTAGATTGGAATCTCATTCCTAACGTATGAGATCTGAGTTGACACAGACTCTCAACATCTGTGCCCAGGAGAGAATTGAATAGCGTGTCTGAGAAGGAGGATGAGAGAGCCGTCTCTCCACCAGTCAGAGAGCTGACAGGGCTGAGAGTGGAACGCAAAGCCAGAGCATGTCCGTGCCTCTGCGGCAGCCCCTAAGGCCCCCAGAAAGAAATGATAGAACCGAGAGGCTGGGCAGCAGATGAGGACCTTCATGGGAACAACTCAAAGAAACCTGGGAGAGAGAGCCAGGTGCACAGGTGAGGGGCAGCCACAGACAGACAGTAGCAGTGGCTACTGAGTCCCACAGCATCCTGCAGTGAAGAGTGGCGGGGACTGCCAGCCTGCCAGGGTCGTGAAAATGTGCCGGACACATGAGGCTGAATAGGGAAGCTGCAGACTGAGGCTAGGGAGTCATCCAAAAGGCTTCAGCTGTCCACAGTTGTGACTGGGAGCTCCCAGAATAATGTTTTCTAGAGAGATCTAATGGCAAGTGCCTTAGAAAATGTCTTTGCACTCAAGAAGGTAGGAAAGTGTATTTGAGTCTGAGTAGGATAAAACAGAAACCAGTAGCTGTTTTATTTATAGAGAAACCACTGTGTAACTGTGATCACATTATTGTGACTACATTTTGGGATCAGAAAAAAAAAATGTGGGGAAATATGATTACTTGTTCTTAGAAGTCAGAATTATCATAAAATTTAACACAGTCAGTATTTATTGGCCCCACTAGTGTAAGATATTATGCTGGGAACTGCAGGTGTTACATAAATAAGGTAGACAGTTTGTGTCCTCATGAGGTTTGCAGGGTAATAAACAAGACGAAACACATACAAATCATTATAACACAAAACACAGTGTCAGTCCCATAAAAATGAGCAAAGTACCATGGGAACTCAAAGGGAAAATAGCTTAAGGGAATAGCAGGGGAGGGGGGCTTTGAAGGCCAAAGGTCTGGACAGGTCCACACAGTAGAGGAGGTGCGGTTGCAAATTCAAGTGAGGTGATTGATGGGGCAGAGCCTCCAAGGCAAGCGAACAGGATCAAGACCCCTGTGCAGGAGCTTATCCAAAAGGGGCTTCAGGATGGAAAGGGGGTTGGGGAGGGATCTCCCCTTACATGGGGGTGGTCAGCTTTGTCAGGAGATACTGAGGGGCTCAAGGGGAAGCATCAGTCCTGGGAAAACAAGGATGCACCCCCAAGTGCAGCCACATGGAGGGGTCACCTGGTCCCTCTCCAGCTGAAGAGCTTCCCCAGCCCTTCTGTGTCCCAGCTGGAGCGATGGAGACCTTCCCTCCTACACATTGATCATCCTTGTTCTCGAGCCTGATTTCTCCATGCTGTGGGCATGTTGATTCCCACCTTCTGTGTTCCCAGCCTCGTTTTCTATTTGCTACTTACCCCAGTGCCAGTCCTGTAACTTTGCCTAAAATGCTGGTTAATTCCCCTAACATGGCTCAGCCTCAGCTTGGCAGCCAGAGTCAGGCAGCCGATGACCTTCAGAGGGATGGCAGTGCCTCCACCACCAAAGGGGCTTTTAGACCTGATTGAGGGTGTCACTAAACCTCTAGGACTAGATGATATAGCCTAGAATTTTTAAAAGAAAGCCAATGCAAAATCATTATTCCTGACCCCACGTATGTGGCACTGTTGGTTGCACAGCAGATGGCTGGCCAGCAGCTCCACTCGTAAGAACTCCAGGGCATGTTGGAGGCAGATGCTGGGAGACACTGAGCTAAAGACAGGAGAATCATAGCAAACATGCACTGGGTGTTCCACCCGCACTAGCTCCTCCATCATTTGATGGGGCATGCAAGGCTGATATTTCTATTCCCATTTGATAGATGAAGAAACTGAGGCTCAGGAAAGGTAGGTGACTCACCCAAATTGATACAGGTTCTAAATAGCAGAATTGGGACTCAGGTGCCATGCTCTTGAAGAAATGTCAAACTTAATAACTGGCAAAAATAACTGATTTCAGTCATTCATTCAATGAATACAGATTCTATCCTGCTCCCTCCTGTGACTACCACTATGCCACTGTGTGCAGGTCACCATGCCAGGGCCATAGGGAGTCTAGAGTATTGTCCACTGAGCCCCCTCTTGGTGCTGGGCGTTTGTCAGAGTGCTGGAGCCATGGCACTGAGAAGGGCGGAGTCAGCTCTTTTTAAAGTAAGAAGGGCAGGGAAGAGCCAGGGAACTCCTTTTCAGTGAATTACTGTTGGACTAGGGGACTCTGGTCATGGCTAGAGAATTGGCCAAAAGATAAGACAAACAGATATTGTTCTGGGTCCCCCAGGATTAAGTAGTAGAACTGGTCTTCTTTTAAATATTTATAGACAATTTCGATTAGAAAAGCATTTAATTGTCTACACATACTGAACAAGCCATCTTTTCTCTCCTGGACTCTCTTGATCCACGTCTCCTGATCCAGACCCCCCTGCTATCTTTACCTTGTGTTGAAATGGTCTTGTAAAGGCTGTAGCATACAACCTTTAGTCATGAGGGTAATTTCTTTTTTTATTTTTGTAAGAACTAGAGACAGTGTCTCACTATGTTGCCCAGGCTGGTCTTGAACTCCCAGGCTCAAGCAGTTCTCCTGCCTTGGCCTCCCAAAGTGCTGGGATTACAGGTGTGAGCCTCCATGCCTGGCCGAGAGTAATTTTTTAAGTGTGTAAACCAAAGTGGTTCACATCAACTGATCATATAGAAATGATTTTGTCCAGCTCCATTATTCATTCACGCATTCACTCATTCAGTTACCTGGATATTTCTGGTAGGTGGGTTGTTCTGCTTAGGTCATCAAGTGTCTCCTGCAGGCTGCACTTCACTGTGCCTGTGTAAGCAGCCACTGTTTCAGCCGACGTTACCAAAAATGAAAACTTTAAGAAAATTGATTCATAAATATCATTCAGTATTTTAGATATAAAAACAGTTACTTAGCTCACTCTTAACATGTTTATATATAAAAAAAATTTGACCCGAAATGTTTTCCTTGTTTATACTAAGTTGAAAGTCTAGAGAAATCATTATAGATAAAGCAAGGTTAGAAAACTGATAAACTGCAGCTCAAATTACTTTGGCCTGAAAAATTAACATCCACTTAACAGAGGGAGCAAAAACCACACACACTCATTTATTATTGCATGGGCAAAAAGCCCAAAGTGGGATTAGCCTCCATTGCTACCTATAACCATGTAGCTTGCTCCATCCTGCCATTGGTTGAGAAGCTGCTACAGCCAGCCTCCTGCCATGCTCATGGAGACGTGGGAATCAGGCTTGAGTGAAGGAACAAAGGAACCCAGACACACAGTGCCATTTGAAGGAACTTTGGTGTCTCTCCATTTTGAGTACAATACATCCCCAGTTGAAAAATATTTCAGTCATGTGACTCATCTCAAGAGGTGATGGTAGGATCTTTTGTCCAGCTGACTTCGCCACACCCTCTTTACAGGGCTCCATTTAAGACACTCCAGTGGGCTGAGTAGAGTGGCTCAGGGGTGTATTTTGAAGAAGAGACACTTCACCCTACTGTCCCCAGCTGCTGTCACATTACAAAGCTGTCACTGATATGCCACAGCTTCCTGGTTTGCTCCTTGCTTTCCACAGGGAAGAAGGAGGAAGAGGGGTGGCAGAGGGTTGGATACCATAGGGCAGAGCGGTGCTCAGTGGATAGACTGAAGGTGATGAGGAAAGATGAGTCAAAACTCCCAGGCCAGTTGGGAAGAGAGAGACTGGACTTCAGAAGAAGATGGAAGGAGAGCAAACACTTCCTTCCGCTGCATCTGATGGGACAAGGACGAGGTGACTACTCATGGCTACTTCTGCGACCCTGTTTCTGATTTCTCTAGAAAGTAGTCATGTAAAAATGATCTTAAGGGTGATATATGTGTATTTATATACACACACGTGTAGACATAGACATAGACATAAATATGCAGATAATACAATTTGAAAGGAGGAGCCAGGCATGGTGGCTCACACCTGGAATCCCAGCACTTGGGGAGGCCAAGGTGCCAGGATCACTTGAGGCCAAGAGTTTGAGACCAACCTGGGCAATATAGCAAGACCCTGTCTCTACAAAAAATTTTTTTAAATTCCCCAGGCACAGTGGTACGTGCCTGTAGTCCCAGCTACTTGGGAAGCTGAGATGGGAGGATTGCTTCCGCCCAGGAGTTCGAGGCTGCAATGAGCTATGCTCATAACACGATACTGCAGTCTGGATGACAGAGTGAGACCCTGTCTCTAAAAATAATAATAATAATTTGAATGGAATGTATGTGCCATATTAAAATGAAGATTTTTTTTTTCTCTCTAATGACTCTAAGTCAGCAGCTATCAGGAAGGAGCATACTGGTCTGGAGGCACACTGGAATTACCAGCGTGAGCCACTGTGCCCAGCCAAAAGTAGTCATATTCTTTACCACATCATCTTGCCATGATGATTAAAGGAGATAAACATATAAAGCACTTTAAGCTGTAGTTAGTATGCATCCAATAAATGTTACCTGTACTTAATAATCAGCATCATAGTAATAGAACACATAGCATTGACTATGAAATCAGAAGGGTAAAAGAAGTTATTGGAGGAGATGAGTTTTGACCCTGGTCTTGAAGGATGAAATTGACTCAGATTAGCAAATAGAAATCAGAGACACATTCCAGATAAGACCCTACAGGGAAGGGGTCACAGGTTATATCTGATCTTCTGCCAGTGCTTTCTCCTTTAGGGATTTCTTTACTTTTTAGCTCCTTATTTATTTTCATCATTTTGAAATGATGAAAATTATCTATTGCCATGACAACATAATGCAATTGTGAACTCTGACAGCTTTGTTCTTTATTCAGAAGTGATGTTCTTCCAAGGCCATTTCAGCAAATATTTCTCACTCTGCCCCTATCGCTATCTCTCTCACTTGCATTAACCAACTCATAATGGGATTGATAAGCTGTCAATAATAACTAGACGCAATCATGGAATGAATCCCAGTAGTATCGATAGATACGAGCCTAAAGAATCTGCCGTAGTCATCTGAAATGTGTGCTCATTTCTAAAGTGACTCATTTAACAGCTTCCCATTAGTTCTCTAATCTGCATAGTGTGTTCAGGTAGAGCGCAGAGCTTTCTAACAATGGAAGAGATGAAAAACAGCTAGCAAATGAATTCACCTTCTGCAAATAAATGTGTCACTTGTAAATCCAAAAAGGTAGGCAAATCAGCATCAAGCTGTGCCGTACATATTTGCTCATTAAGCCAGGGGCTCCCCAGCTACAACAAAGGGATGGGACCTGGGAAGAGTTTATAAAGGTTTTATCCCACACTCCTTGTAGATAATTAGACACTGACATGCAGATTCTTCAGTCTCTTCAGTGGGAGGCTCACTACCTGTTGGGTTTCCATCAAGGAGATGGCCCTCAGTTCTCACAGGTCACCCACGCCAAGCTGTCAGCTCTCACAAGACTCATGCCAGAAAGCCATTCTTCAGTGACAAGAAGCTCAGTGACTCATGAAGTGGCTGTTGTGTCTTGAGATAGTTCTAGTTGTTAGAAAATTCTTATTCATATTAAGCTGAAGCTTCTCCACAATTTCCACATTTGAGTGAAGAGCTCCAAATATGCCCAATTTGAATTTTACTCGAGGGCAGATTACAGTTTTGCCAAAATTAGTGTGTGTTTTTGTCTTTTTGTTGTTTTTTTTTTTTTTAAATGCTCATTTTCTAAACTACTCAGATCCTAAGGAAGATATGATCAGCAAGAACTGGCCAGATCTGGGTCTATAGGTAAGGTACATCTGCTAAAAGGATCTCTTTCCTCTCCAGATTAGGGCTAGACCATTCCTATTTTAGAATGTCTCTAGGAATCTTTCAGAGATCCTCATAATGGCTCCTTTAATGCCATGAGTAATCTCTCTCAATGAATTTCAGAGCAGATTGGAGCTGGATGGATGTTACAGGTTATCCAGGCCACTGTCCAGAGCCACACCAGTAAAGGAACAGCAGAGCTAGGACTGCAGTGCCAGCTCCCAGGACACATTTGGGAGTCAGCCTCCATCCTCACCTGGGGTCCTCCACCCACAGAATGGGCACCTGCAACAGAACATGTCTGCGTTTCATGAGATGACCAGAGGCATGTTCATCATTCAGGAGTAGCTGTGCCCGAAGCTGAGAGTGAAGGGCAGGGCAGCGCCATCTCCTCACCTCCCCTCGGGAGCCAGCAGCTGCTCCCAGTCATGGCTCCCAGCTCTTCCCCTGGCCCTCAGAGTACTTCGAAACAGTGTGAGGTGGGAGGAGTTCCCTTATTACACAAGAGACTGCAGCAGACCAGTTGTTTCCCTTTACTCCCCCGCATTCATCCCAGAAGACAGCTGCAGGTTTCTCTGCCCTTGTCTTCTTAAGGCAGCTCTCCTTCCCTCCTGCTCCCTCCTCGTCCTCAGCCTCCAGCATCTCCCTGCTTTCAGATCCCTCCTCCCTACCTCCTAGCTCAGAGACCTCCTAGAGTCCCACTTCCTTTTTTTGCTTAATTTATATTTATAAAATATTTCGAGATATTCTTTTTTGTTGTTATTGGTAGACAGCAATCTTTTTTTTTTTTTTTTAAGACAGTCTGGCTGTGTCACCCCGACTGGATTGTAGTGGTGTGATCTCAGC
The DNA here is from genome assembly GCF_000001405.40 of Homo sapiens. NCBI lineage: Eukaryota > Metazoa > Chordata > Mammalia > Primates > Hominidae > Homo > Homo sapiens. The sequence goes on along the minus strand of NC_000007.14, from coordinate 139,588,461 downwards.
TCACTACAACCTCACCTCCTGGGTTCAAGCAATTCTCCCACCTCAGCCTCCCAAGAAGCTAGGATTACAGTCATGTGCCACCACACCCAGGATTGTTTTTTGTTTTTTTGTTTTTTTTTTTCAGCAGGGGGCCAGCGCGGTGTGGGGGCAGAGTCTCACTCTGTCACCCAGGCTAGAGTGTGGTGGTGTGATCTCTGCTCACTGTAACCTCCACCTCCCGGGTTCAAGTGATTCTCCTGCCTCAGCCTCCCTAGTAGCTGGGATTACAGGTGCACACCACCACGCCTGGCTAATTTTTGTATTTTTAGTAGAGACGGGGTTTTGCAATGTTGGCCAGGCTGGTGTCGAACTCCTGACCTCAAGTGATCCGCCCACCTCGGCCTCCCAAAGTTCTGGGATTACAGGTGTGAGCCACTGCACCCAGCAGATTTCTTATTTTTAGTAGAGACAAGGTTTCATCATGTTGGCCAGGCTGGTCTTAAACTCCTAGCCTCAAATGATCTGCCTGCCTTGACCTCCCCAAGTGCTAATTACAGGTGTCAGCCACCGTACCTAACTATTTTTATTTATTTATTTATTTTCTTTAGAGTGTAGGTCTCTTTGTCACCCACACTGGAGTGCAGTGACACGACCACAGCTCACTGCAGCCTCAAACTCCTGGGCTCAAGCCATCTTCCTGCCTCAGTCTCCCGAGCAGCTAGGACTATAGGTGCACACCACCATGCCTAGCTAATGTTTTTATTTTTGTAGAGGTGGGATCTCACTGTGTTGCCCAGGCTGCTCTCAAACTTCTGGCCTCAAGCGCTGGGATTACAGGGGTGAGCTACCGCACCTAGCTTCCACTTTGTAATTCTTGTACTGGATCTCAGTGCCCTCCCACCCTCTGGGTGTCTCTACTGAGCCCTGATGTACAGCGGCGAAGTGCCCAAGACTCTGAATCTCTTTTGCTTTTTTTTTTTTTTTTTTTTTTTTTGAGACACAGTCTTGCTCTGTCGCCCAGGCTGGAGTACAATGGTGCAATCTTGGCTCACTGCAAACTCCACCTCCTGGGTTCAAGCGATTCTACTGCCTCAGGCTCTGAGTAGCTGGGATTGCAGGCCCCACCACCACTCCCGGCTAATTTTTGGTATTTTTAGTAGAGACGGATTTTCACCATGTTGGTCAGGCTGATCTCAAACTTGTGACCTCAGGTGATCCACCCACCTCGGCCTCCCAAAGTGCTGGGATTACAGGTATGAGCCACCTCACCCAGCCTGGACTTTGTTTTTGATGGAGATAGAATTCATGTACTGTACTGTATAGTTCACCCGTTGAATGTGTACAATTCAGTGGTTTTAGTCTGTTAATTTTTAATTGTGGTAAAATATAAAATTTGCCATTTCAACCATTTTTAAGTGTAAATTCAGTGACATTAATTATATTCATAATGCTGTATAGCCATCACCGTTATCTATTTTCAGAACTTTTCCACTACCCCAACCAAAAACTATACCATTAATCAGTAACTTCCCACTCTCCTCTCCCCTAGCCCCCAACCTCTGGTAACCTCTAATGTATTTTCTGTCTGTATGAATTTGCCTGTTCTAGATATTTCATATATGTAGACTCAAACAAACTATTTGTCCTTTTGTGTCTGGTTTATTTCATTTAATATTTTCGAGGTTCATCCATATTGTAGCATGTATCAGAACTTTTTTTTTTTGGAGACAGGGTTTCACTCTGACACCCAGGCTGGAGTGCAGTGGTGTGATCATAGCTCACTGCAGCCTCAAACTCCTGGGCTCCCACCTCAGCCTCCCAAACAGCTGGGACTACAGGCATGCACCACCATACTTTGCTTATTTTTTTAATTGTTTGTAGAGATTGGCTCTTACTGTGTTGCCCAGGCTGGTCTTGAACCCCCAGCCTCAAGCAATCCTCCCACCTCAGCCTCCCAAAGCACCGAGATTACAGGCATGAGCCACCCCTCCCAGCATTCATTCATTTTCATGACTGAATAGTATTCCACTGTATGGATACACCATATTTTCTATTCATTCACCAGCTGATGGACACTCGGGTCGTTTCTACCTCTTGGTATTTTGAATAGTGCTGCAGTGAACATTGGCTTACATGTATCTGAGTACCTGTTTCCAATCCTTTGAGAATGTACTTAGGAATGGAATTGCTATAGGGTAACTCTGTGTTTAGCTTTTTGAGGAACAAGCATATGGACATTTCACATTTAAACTGTCATAACTGGGAGGTGTGGGTCTTTATTAATTAAAATTTATCTACTTTAAGTTAACATGAAGAGCCATAAATATATGCAACCAATTCATTCCTCACCTTCTTCTGAGTTCTTAACAATTATCATCTGTACGATTCATCTGACAGTTAATCACGGAGGCTTTGTGACATCCATTATTCTCTCTAACTGGTTATTTTAAAGCTTTTACTATTTAACTTGTCATGTTGTTATACAGTCCTCCACTGAGATTTTAATCTCCTCGAGGGCAGAGACACATATTTCTTTGTATAGGTATTCCCTGTAGTACCCCGCGTAGATCTCCGAGATATCATGAGTTTTAATTTTCTTTGATTTCAATCTTCTGGTTTATTCATAAACTAGAAAAAAGGAAACTTTTCCAGCAAGTCCTTACCCTGATAGAATTCTCTTTGCCTAAATAAGTTTTTTGCAAACCTGTTTTCACATGTTAACTAAGGTAACACAACTTGTAAGAAGAAGAAGAATAGCAGCTATTATGGAATACTTACCATGTGTTGTGTATCATTGAAAGCACTTGTATTTTCTCACTTAGTTCTCAAAACAAGCCTATGATATAGGTACAATTATTACCTACCTTTTACTGATGAGGCCACTGAATCACTGAGAGGTTAAATAGCTGCCCACCGCCCTGTCACCAGCACATGCCGAAGTTAGACAGCTGACTCCAAGGTTCGTGTTCTCACCCACGAACACGGTTAGGCACCCTGAACCAGAGAGGACAGTGTCCAGCCACTGGAAGAATTATCCAGCCTAGATGTCAGGAGCGCTGGGCGTTGGGGAGCAGGGCCAGCGCCTCCTGGGGACTGCACCCCCCAGATCCCCCAGCCTTCTGTAGCTCAGCAGACAGGCTCTGCTTCTGTCCCTCCTGCCTGGCTGCTGTGGGCTCTGGAATTTGCCCACTTCCCTGCTGCCTCTAGGGTGGTGGAGATCCATCATGGGAAGAGCCTGGCCTGGCTGTGTGGCCTCAAACAAGATACCCGGGAGGTGGCTGTGACTCTATGAGGCTCCGTAAATACCAGCTGCTTCTCTCATCCAATTAGCTGGAAACTGACCAGTTGCCTAGGCAATTTTTATTTCTTAAAAATAAATGATCAATATATAAAAATAGATGCACATTCATTTTAAAGTCTTAAATAAGCACACAATAAACAATAAATTTCACATCCATCATGCCAGCAGCCTCTCACTGAGTTTGAAGACAAACAGAAGTAGTTCCCAAAGTAACCACACTAACTTAAATATCTCTGAACAAACATGCCGGCCAAGAGCTATCCAAAGCCAGTGCCTCCCTATTGTATGAAGTTCCACATATAAGATGAAGGCCAGGGCTTCAGAGTGGCTTTCACACAGCATCAACCTGGCAGGGGCCTTCCCACCAGGCCCCGGTGCAATACCATCTCCCCCGATCCCTTGGCCCAGGCAGTGGAAAAGCTGCAGGTGAGCCTGGCTCCTGAAAAGGGGACTGCAGAGGTCGTAGTGGCCTGCACACAGCCCACAGAGCACACTCAAAGTAAGGAGAGGCAGAGGGTGTCAACTCTAGCTCTGCGTTCTCTGCAGCATGTCTGCACTGTGCTGTGTGCATGCAGCCCCCTCAGAGCCTCACGCTGCATCCCATTGGACATTCTGCTCCCTCCTGCATAAGCTTTGCCAGGCCGCAGGCACCAAACCTAAGCTTATGACATTCTTCTCCCAGCGAGGTTTACTCCTAACCCAGGTCCCCAGGTTGCTGGGTTCTTGCTGGTTCTCTCCTTGCTCAGATGTCCCATTCTGGCAGGCCCACGGGGGTTGTACCCAGCTCTGGGCTGCAGGTGCCTCCCCTGCAGCTCTGCTGAGCTCTGCTGCACAGGAAGAGCCCAGGCCAGCCCGGAAGCATCTCACTCCCTAGTTTCCAGAAGCCCCTGTGGGTCCAGCACCAGCCCCTTCTCCATGTCTTCACATGTCCCCCTGCTGCCGGCTACACAGGGGACTTTTGCATGCCCAGTCTCCCTATGGGGGTTAGGGAGGGCAAAAGCCCTGTTCCTGCCCTCTCCCCTCTGCCTCCCTCCCCTGCCCCAGGGCATGAAGTGCTAGTTGGGTGTCTCACCTCACGGCCTTCTCCCACCTCTGACTTCTCCCTTTGCATTTTCAGCACTGTCTCCAAGCAAAGAAAAAACGTCATCAGCTGTGTCACAGTCCACGACTCCCCCTACTCCGACTCCTCCAGCAACACCAGCCCCTACTCCGTGCAGCAGCGTGCTGGGCACAACAATGCCAATGCCTTTGACACCAAGGGGAGCCTGGAGAATCACTGCACGGGGAACCCCCGAACCATCATCGTGCCACCCCTGAAAACCCAGGCCAGCGAAGTATTGGTGGAGTGTGATAGCCTGGTGCCAGGTAATTTGGGGCCAGGACAGGGCAGGAACCTCTCCCTGGAGAGTGGTTTTCCTGCTTTTCTGCTGCTAGAAATGTTGCTGTATGGGAGCTAGTACAATAGAAAGTGCCCAGTGACTGCAGGCGACCCTTACCGAGGATTTTATTCAAGTATCCAGGGGAGGCTTCTGCTGAACAGCACATTGTATAAGCAGCGTTTTCCTTCTTTAATCCTGTAATCAATACCTCTCTGCCTTTACAATGGCTCTGCTTCCAACTAGGTTGATTAATAGAAAATAAAAGCCTCCTGGTTCTTTATGCCTGAGCCTGGAAGAATACCTGGTCTGGGGAGTTCCTGGCTGACATCTAGCACCACTCTCTGCCAGGAAGCCCTGGTGGTCAGATGGGCTTCTTGTGTAGGAAGAACCTCCTCCGAGTCTTGCTAGGGAAGGGTGAAATTGGCCCCTCTCAGCCCCTCCTCGGAATCAGCTGCTGGGCGGCGAGACCAAGCCATGTGTGTTTCTCTGCTCATGCACTGCTATCTTCAGAGGACTCCTCCTGTCCCGCGAAGGCTTGTCTTGAAAATTGGGCCCTGGAATAAAGGCTGAGAACGTAACCTTCTGAATAAACTCAGTGGCTCACTGTAGATTTTGTAGCATCTATTTAGCGTTTCCCTTGCTCATGCTCACAGTGGAAGAATGTGGGGACTAAACCAGAAGAAGTCTGCGCGTCCCGCTATTCCGCCACAAACCACACCCAAGCCAGCCTGCACCTGCGTGGCGGCATAACTGAAAAGGGAAGGAAAGGGAACGCCAGGAAGCTTTTGTCTAGATGTGAGAAGCTGTTACTTCTCAGGAGGACCTCATGTCTGTCACCTGAGGTCGCTACAGGAAACTGGGGACTCTTCCTGGGTGGTGACCACATGTGAGACCCAGTGGGCGCAGGCCCCATTCAGGGGCTGCCACTGAGGATGAAGCGTAGAGGCAGGATGGGGTCATTAGGGCTTTTCCAGCCCAGTGCCTCAGGCCAGCCTGCACGGTGAGGGTCAGAGCCCTGGCACGCTCTCCCAAGAGCTCATGGCATTGCCTGGGATGGGGCCCCTTTTGCTGAGAGGCTCTGCCTAAAGGGGAGATGGTGACAGCCACAGGCTTGCGCTCCCCGCCACCTACTTCCTAACCCAAGGCAGCATCACCCTTTCCGACATTTGCGGCGAAGCTCTTTTTCCCTGACTTTGGAGTTACCCCAGCTACCTTTCCTCTGAAGAAATGCTTGTGAAATGCAGCTTCTCAGCACCCTGCTAAAACGTCTCCTTTTGCAAGTCCTGGTCTGTCCCCAACAGTACCGTCATGACGATGCAGCCTCCAAGCAGCTTTGACATCAGAGCCAGCGCTCCTGTGGGCCTGGGGGCAGGGGGTCGTGGTGCCTACAGCGAGAAAGACACACAAGCAGCACGCAGCTCGCGCTGTGCTCTCTCGGAAGAAGGAGACCTTACCTTCAGGAAAAATAGAGCCACAGCAGTGCCACATGCCAGGGCGAGCATTCTGGTTGACAGGGGCCAGGCTGTACTTGCTGCTAGGGTCTGGTGACCTGGGGCCAGAGAAGCAGGCTGGAGCCCTCCCAAAATTAGGCATCTCTGTGAGGAAAAGAAAATGAAGCTGTCCCTTCCACAAGGCTACAAGGACATCTCTCTCCAAAAACCATCTTTTTCCACCCGGGCAAATGTTTTGGTGGAAACCCTGCCAGGAAGCAACATTCTCTAGCAGTAACCAAAGGGCCCTGGGAGGCACCCGAAGTCATTCCCGGGAGCCAGGATTCCTTAAAGAGAGCTGCATACTTTTCAGCTCAGCTATCCTTTAAATATTGTTTAAGGGTATATGCAGCACACATTTTTAAGTTTAAATATTTGCAAAGGATAGAATTTGTCTTGTATCATTATTTAAGTTCCTTAAATATATGTTTGTGCAAACCTCGAAGCTGCAGACTGAACTCATACCATATGCGGGAGTGCTGCCTGTGCCCTCACGAGCAGGGGCATTCCTCGTCTGGTGCCTGCCCTTCCCCAGCCAGTGGCGTTCAATACCGATACACACCTTTAGCTGTAGAACCCACCTAGGCTTGGAAAAGTCGGGAAAGCAGCCTTCCTCAGCTCCCTGGAGCCCAGTGATGCATACAGGCCAAGGTACAGCCAGTTAACAGCTCCCCCAGCTACAGCACCCAGAGCATGGGAGAGTTCAGCGCTCCCCCAGCCCTCTTAGGCCAGGATATGCACTGCTGTTTCCCCGCCATACTCACCCCCTCCTGTGGCTCTCAGTCTTTCAGTCCTTCTCAGGTTGGGGTTAGTGAAGTTTCTTTTGGAAGCAACAGAATGAACTCTACACTGGCTTAAGACAAACAACTTATTGGAAGGATGCAGGGCTAAGGGAAAGTTCAACAACTAAGTCCCAGGCAGGGCAGGAGCCAGAACCCCGGGGACCTGAGCCCTGGGGGCCAGATGCCTGCTCTCTGAAGCTGCCTTCACCCGACTCACCGACAGCAGCTCCCAGGCTCCTGGTGTCCCATTTCCAGGAGACCAGAATTGATTGTCCCAGCTTGGAGAGACACTTGTCGTTGCTTTTTTTTCCGGAGAGGAGTCTCGCTGTGTCACCCAGGCTGGAGTGCAGTGGCGCGATCTCGGCTTACTGCAACCTCTACTTCCCGGGTTCAAGCAATTCTGCTGTCTCAGCCTCCCAAATAGCTGGGACTACCGGCATGCACCACCACGCCCGGCTAACTTTTTGTATTTCGGTAGAGATGGGGTTTCACCGCGTTAGCCAGGCTGGTCTCGAACTCCTGAGTTCAGGCAATCCACCCGCCTCAGCCTCCCAAAGTGCTGGGATTACAGGCATAAGCCACCATGCCCGGCCAAGACACCTTTTTTTGAGCCTCAGCTTTAACCAGGAGACAGAGTTCAATAATGACACCAACAATAGCTAACACTAAGTACGTAAATGCCAGATACTCAATACTTAAGCCCTTAGATGCCAGATACTAAGCATTCTACACTTGTTAACTCATTTAATCCTCATCACAGCCCTACATGGAGCTGCCATGATCTTCCCAGTTTCCCAGGTTAAAAATGGAGGCACAGAGGGGTTGACCAGCCTTCCCAGAGCCATGTGGCTGGGCCTCCCAGAGGTCTGGCCCTGGAGCTTATCTGTGCTGTAAGCACCCCTGCCAACTCACCTAGTGTAGACAGGGCCACTGTGGCTGTTCTCAGGACAGGAGATCACGGAGAGTAGCTGGACAAGGCATGACTGGAAAACTCTAGAATGTTTCCTCACTGTTCCAAAGTATACATTAGGAGGTTGACCAGCATTAGCCCATTGTCGCTTTGTCCATCGCCACAGGAGGAGTTACTGTTATACTTTAATCTCTTGGTCCCCTTCAGGACGTCCTCCCTTACTCGGGGCTCTCGTCCTCTGAGAGCTTGGCAAGCTCTGACTCAACCCCCATCTCCTGTCCCCATGATGATGGTAGCATCAGGGCTGCATTACGCCCATTTCATCTAACATTCCCTAACCCCTTCACTGATCCCTCGAGCTCAGTGTTTCTCCCTCAAATATCATTACCACAAAATGCCCAGGAAGTTGGAATAGAAGAAGTAGGTGACATGCACAGCGGGGCCCAGCACAGTCTGTGACCCGCCGCAGAGCAAGAAGGAGGCTTCCCCCAACACAGCCACATTGTGGCTGCAGAAGGCAAGAAGCAGGCTCTGCAGAGCCAATGTTTGCAGCTTTCTATTTTTCTTTTCTACATTGAGTCCACAAAAATCCCTCCATCCCTCAGGTTTTGGGGGACCTTTGAGTCTAATGGGTTTGGCTTGGGCACAGTGTTGGGTCGCAAGGCCCTGATTCCCAAATGCAGGTCTGTTCAGCCAGGGCCAGGAGGCTCTGGTGTCCTGGGAAGCTTGCTAAGAATACTGATTCCGGATCTCCCGTACCTACTCGAGGGATTCCGATTCAGTGGATGGGGTGGGAGGGGCCCCAGGCGCAAATGCACGGTTGGATTTGCGGCCTCTGAATAGCACCCACTGCCCCCATCCCCACTGCGGCAGCTCACCCTTCACTTAGGGCAGGGGGCTCTGAGTTTTGGGGTCAGGAAGGCCCCCTTCCACCTGTAGTGAGCACCAGAAACTTCTGTCCCCAGGTTTCCGGTTTTCCTTTGACCTTCTTGAGAGGCTGAGACCTCTAGAGGCACATTTCTCTCTTCATCAACAATTAATCAGCATTCTTTCTTGCTGGCTCCAGCCTCAGGCGTCTCCTCTTTGACTTTGATTTCATCGCCCTGGGATTTGTAATAGAATTGATCCAACCGAATTCAATCAAGGGCCTGGTCGTTTCCATGCATGGCTCATTAATATTTAGCACCTCTGCCCCAAGAATGACCAGATTCTCTCCTTTTACACTAACCACCCATAGGATACTTCATTGAGACAGTATGAGCCTTCCAGTTCACCTAAGATGCTCAGGCCCCAAAATGAATGCTCCGAATTCTTGCTTCTGAACGTGAGGTGTAGATCTGTCTTTGGACATCTTGCAATATGTTCTTGCTGCCTCTCCCTTCATATGAAACATTTTACCTGATTCGTCCTTTGAACACCCCTACTTTGGGCACCTTCCTCAAATGTGGACTGCTTTAGAGTTGGGGCTCTGTGGAACAATAGCACCGCATTTTGGCGAATGACTGGATTCCCTGGCCAAAGCTCTTTCCCATACTCAGTTATTTCATCTTTCCTCTCCTAGGGCTTCCTTACGCTTTTCAGTGTCACCAGGCAGTAATCCTAAAGTCCAGCAAGGTTTCCAAAAAATATAAATCACAGAAATATAGCTGTCCGGCACGGTGGCTCACGCCTATAATCCCAGCACTTTGGGAGGCCAAGGGTGGGGCAGATCACCTGAGATCAGGAGTTCGAGACCAGCCTGGCCAACATGGCAAAACCCCATCTCTACTAAAAAATACAAAAAATAGCCAGGTTTGGTGGCACACACCTGTAATCCCAGCTACTCGGAAGGCTGAGGCTGGAGGATCACTTGAACCTGGGAGGCAGAGGTTGCAGTGAGTCGAGATTGCACCACTGCACTCCAACCTGAGCGACAGAGCAAGACTCCACCTCAAAATAAAAAAAGGAATTTAGCTGTCCTCCATAGAAAGTCAAGGTGATAAAAATATTTCAAGCACATTCCAGAAACTTAATGAAGAAAAATAACTGAGTACAAGATACAACACATGAAGTGCTCAAATCAACAAAGGATGGCGGAAAGGAGGTTACTCATTACCTTTCTCTCTTAAAATGCGCTCCCTTTTTCCTGGGCAAAGTCTTCCTCAGTCTGGTTCTTAGACTAAGAATCAGTACCATGGCTGGGCACAGTGGCTCACGCCTGTAATCCCAACACTTTGGGAGGCTGAGGCAGGCAAATCACTTGAGGTCAGGAGTTCACGACCAGCCTGGCTAACATGGTCAAACTCTGTCTCTACCAAAAATACAAAAATTAGCAGCTGGGCGCGGTGGCTCATGCCTATAATCCCAGCAGTTTGGGAGGCCAAGGCAGGTGGATCACAAGGTCAGGAATTCGAGACCAGCCTGGCCAATATGGTGAAACCCCGTCTCTACTAAAAATACAAAAATTAGCTGGGTGTGGCAGTGGGCGCCTGTAGTCCCAGCTACTCGGGAGGCTGAGGCAGGAGAATCACTTGAACCCGGGAGGCGGAGGCTGCAGTGAGCTGAGATCACGCCACCGTACTCCAGCCTGGGCGACAGAGCGAGACTCTGTCTCAAAAAAAAAATTAGCTGGGCGTGGTGGTGCATGCCTGTAATCCCAGCTACTTGGGAGGTTGAGGCACGAGAATCACTTAAACCTGGGAGGCAGAGGTTGCAGTGAGCCAAGATCACACCACTGCGCTCCAGCCTGGGAGACAGAGCAAGACTCCATCTCAAAAAAAAAAATCAGTATTGTTTCTGTGCACATCTCACCCCAGCAGGACTGGTTGCCCAAGGAGGCAGGACAGCCCCCAGCCCCAGCGCCAGGCTCTTGTTCATTCCCTGGTCTGCCCTGCCCTTCTTGGTGGGGGACCATCTGCCTGTCTTTCCACCTGGAAGATGTTTTCTTCTCCATTAACTCTACTGTTCTTTAGCGTTTAAGGAACAGAAGCAATGCTTGTTGTAACTATGGTTTCTAACTATACAACACAAACCACACAGTCTTCAGGCTGCTTTGTCGTAGCCTTCACTTACTAAACCCCTCTTTTTCTGCTTCCGTTGTCATTGAAGTTAGAGAAAGGTATCTGGAATTTTCTGCCTCCCACACTTTCCTAGGCCATTATGCAGTTTGCTCCTAAAGAAGCCCAGTGTTGGCCCAGCGCGGTGGCTCACGCCTGTAATCCCAGCACTTTGGGAGGCCAAGGGCAGGTGGATCACCTGAGGTCAGGAGTTTGAGACCAGCCTGGCCAACATGGTGAAACCCTGTCTCTACTAAAAATACAAAAAAGTTAGCCAGGCGTGGTGCCGGGTGCCTGTAATCCCAGCTACTTGGGAGGCTGAGGCAGGAGAATCACTTGAACCTGAGAGGCAGAGGTTGCAGTGAGCCGAGATCGCACCATTGCACTCCAGCCTGGGCAACAAGAGTGAAACTCCATCTCAAAAAAAAAAAAAAAAAAAAAAAAAGGAAGCCCAGTATCTTCTCACTAGTCTGGGTCTGTTTGTTGCTTTTGCCATTACAAAAGTGCTTGCATTTAATGAATGGCTATGACTGGTGCATCTGGGTGCATTTGATTGGAAATTTCATTTAGGTGTGTATTAATACTGCACTGTGTGTTAGGCAGCCCTCTCCTGGAGGAGAGCTGAGGCACAGGGACATGGGGGGCTAGTAAAGCATCTCTTCTGCTTTTATCAAGGGGTGATGGTCCTGTCTGCAGAACTCCCCAAGCTGGGGTGGGGAGATGGCCCCCACTCGGCAGCAGAGCTCCCGCCCTCTGGGGCTCTTGCCCCTGCTGGGCTGGACACTCATGCCCTGTCCTGCCCTGTCCTGTTCCATCAGCCTTCTTGGACTTGGGCTGTCCCTGACTGTCAGCGTCTTCATCTGGTTTATCCTCTGGCCTCGCCACCTCATCTGCGTGATCTGTGATGCCTCCTCCTTATTCACGCTCTCAGCCTTCTCCCTGCCACCCCCGTCCCTGGTGGTACACAGTCACCGTCCTTAGCACAGGGCAGGAGCTCAGAAAATACTTGGATGAGTTAAAACCACTGGGCTCTGAAGAGGCTCCTGGCTCCCCTGGCTCTCTGGCTGGGTAACATGGAAGCCATCCAGCTCAGGGTTTAACCCACCTCTCTCAGAGCCCCTGGCTACTCAGAGCGTGGTCCCCCAAGCAGCAGCACTGGCACCCCCTGGGAGCTTGTCAGAAATGCAGGTGCTCGGGCCCCCCAGAGCTGCTGGCCAGAGTCTGCACTGAACAAGATGCAGGAATTACATTTGAGAACTGTTGATGGAGCCACCTGCTGACCATGAGGTCACCTCTGGAGGGTTGCAGTGTTTTTTCCACTCTTCAGCCCCCTTGGCAATAACATGGAGGCAGTTTTGTGCTTGGCCATGTTTGGCTCACAGGGCCATTCCCCGGATGATTTAGTCTCATCCTGCCTAGAGGCAGGTAACTGGACCAGGTGACTCTGAGGGTTATTTTAGCTTCTAGTAGTTTATTAGGTCCCACCACAGACACTGTCTCCTCTGATACTCATAGTCACCCATGGTGGGGACCAAGCAGGGATCCTGTCTTAGTCTATTTTGTGTTGCTGTAACAGAGTACCTGAGACTGGGTAATTTATAATCAATAGAAGTTTATTTGGCTCACGATTCTGAAGACTGGAAGTCCAAGAACAGGATGCCAGCATCTGGCAAGGACCTTTGTGCTGCATCTTCCTAGCACAGGAGGCAGAAGGACAAAAGAGCATGAGGGTGAGGGGGCCAGACTTGTTTTCATCAAAAAAGCCAATCTCTCAATAGCTAACCCACTCCCGAGATAATATTAATGCACTGATGAACTCATACACTCATGAGGGCTCTGCCCTCAGGACCTAACATCCCTTACTGGCCCCACCCTAAACACTTGCACTGGGGACTAAGTTTCTAACACAAGAACTTTGGGGAACACATTCAAATTATAGCAGATCTCTCCTACCCATTTTCCAGATGCTGAAAGTAACACCTCCCAGAGGAACGGCACTGGGCCTGGCCTTAGGCCACCAGCCCACCTTGCCTCTCCTGATTCTTTTCCGCTTTCCCTTGCTTCATTCCCTCATGCAGCCCCGACCACCCTCCCAGCCGAGGGAGTGAGCCAGAGCCCCACTGCATCCAGAGTCAAGGCAAAGTCCTAGTGGGTCCGGGGGAGATGAGGCTGATTTGTTACTGCCCGGCCTCAGGCACATGTTTCTTCCTGGAAGACCACTGTTCTCTGGTGGGGTAGCATCTTCTGGGCAGCTGGGACCCTGCCACTGATCTGACCTCTTTCTCCTCCCGCCACAGTCAACACCAGTCACCACTCGTCCTCCTACAAGTCCAAGTCCTCCAGCAACGTGACCTCCACCAGCGGTCACTCTTCAGGGAGCTCATCTGGAGCCATCACCTACCGGCAGCAGCGGCCGGGCCCCCACTTCCAGCAGCAGCAGCCACTCAATCTCAGCCAGGTAAGCCCCACAGCTGGCGCCCCAGGCCAGGCAGGGCCCCCATCCCCTCATCCTTCCGCTTCAGAGAGGATTGCTGTGGCGGCCCCTCACCCACCTCACAGGGCTGCAGTCCTGGCCACGGGTGGCAGCACATGCCCTTGGTGACCTCTGGTGGCTTTTTCTACCACAGGTCACCCTTGGGGAAGTTGATATCACCAGTGCACAGAGTGCTGGCCCAAAGCAAAGCGACTTGTCTAATGTTACAAAGCCCTTAGTGACATGGTGCCAGAGCTTAAAAATAGGATGGCCCACATACTGCTGTTTCAACCCAGCAAAGGGTAGAGCACTGTGTCCCGGCCCTGTCGGCCTGGGACATCAGGGACAGACCTGCATCCGACTCATTGCAGGGAGGGCCCGCACACCACAGCCCCCAAGTCAAGGGTAAGATTTGTCCCAGGACCTGGAGGAAGGGGGGTGGGTTGAGGTGAAATGTGAGTGACCTGAGTTTCTGTGGGTGCAGGGCTGTCTGTGTCAAGGGCTCGGCATCAGGCCTGACTCACGTGGTGGACTCAGGGCCCTGTTTCTCTAGAAACAAAGTGAGATAAATGGGGTGTTTGTGTTCAGAGCCCCTCATCTGAAGTGCTGCCCCAGGTCATCAGTGGAGCCCGTGTCTCTGTCACGTGACTTAGGTTCACCAGGTAGAAGAGGGCTATTTTATTTGGACTGACAGAACTTCAAACAGCAACGCTTCTGAGAGCCAACTTTTTTTTTTTAAGACAGGGTCTTGTTCTGTCACCCAGGCTCAAGTGCAGTGGCACTGTCATGGCTCTCACTGCAGCCTCTGCCTCCTGGACTCAAGTAATCCTCCACCTTAGCCTCCCGAGTAGCTGAGACTACAGGCATGAGCCACCACACCCAGCTAATTTTCAAAATTTTTTGTAGAGATGTTGTGAGAGCCAATAATTTTGAGAACAAGATTTTACAGTGAGTAAGAAAGCAACTGCTGCTCAAAGAGAGTGTCCTGGCCGGGTGCGGTGGCTCACGCCTGTAGTCCCAGCTTCTCGGGAGCCCAAGGCGGGGGGATCATTCTAGGCCAGGAGTTCAAGGCTACAGTGAGCTAGGTTCATGCCACTGCACTCCAGCCTGGGGCATCCTGATACTTCACAGCTTCTGTACGTCCTTGGGAGAAATATGTTCTCCTATAACTTTGCAGCTGGCTTTATCCGTGTATCATCCCAGCCCAGTGAGTGGCAGGCCAAGTCGGGATTTTCTCAGTCCAAGTAAATTTTTTTTTTTTTTTTGAGACAGAGTTTCACTCTGTCACCCAGGCTGGAGTGCACTCGCGTGATCTCAGCTCACTGCAACCTCTACCTCCCAGGTTCAAGTGATTCTTGTGCCTCAGCCCACCGAATAGCTGGGACTACAGACAAGGCACGTGCCACCATGCCCGGCTAATTTTTTTGTATTTTAGTAGAGACGGGGTTTCACCATATTGGCCAGGCTGGTCTCGAACTCTAGACCTCAGGTGATCCGCCCACCTCTGCCTCCCAAAGTGCTGAGATTACAGGCGTGAGCCACTGCGCCAGGTCCCAAGTAAATTTTTACTTTCTCAACACACAGAGGGAAGCCCCTTCTATTACTTCTGGAGTCTTTCCCTTCTCTTCCTCCTCCCTGCCCTCCTGCCCCTCCTCCCATTCCTTCCTCCCCATGTGTCGGCCCCTGACGTCTCTCTTGGTGCCTCTCCTCCCCAGGCTCAGCAGCACATCACCACGGACCGCACTGGGAGCCACCGAAGGCAGCAGGCCTACATCACTCCCACCATGGCCCAGGCTCCGTACTCCTTCCCGCACAACAGCCCCAGCCACGGCACTGTGCACCCGCATCTGGCTGCAGCCGCTGCCGCTGCCCACCTCCCCACCCAGCCCCACCTCTACACCTACACTGCGCCGGCGGCCCTGGGCTCCACCGGCACCGTGGCCCACCTGGTGGCCTCGCAAGGCTCTGCGCGCCACACCGTGCAGCACACTGCCTACCCAGCCAGCATCGTCCACCAGGTCCCCGTGAGCATGGGCCCCCGGGTCCTGCCCTCGCCCACCATCCACCCGAGTCAGTATCCAGCCCAATTTGCCCACCAGACCTACATCAGCGCCTCGCCAGCCTCCACCGTCTACACTGGATACCCACTGAGCCCCGCCAAGGTCAACCAGTACCCTTACATATAAACACTGGAGGGGAGGGAGGGAGGGAGGGAGGGAGAGAATGGCCCGAGGGAGGAGGGAGAGAAGGAGGGAGGCGCTCCTGGGACCGTGGGCGCTGGCCTTTTATACTGAAGATGCCGCACACAAACAATGCAAACGGGGCAGGGGCGGGGGGGGGGGGGGGGGCAGAGGGCAGGGGGACGGGTCGGGACACCAGTGAAACTTGAACCGGGAAGTGGGAGGACGTAGAGCAGAGAAGAGAACATTTTTAAAAGGAAGGGATTAAAGAGGGTGGGAAATCTATGGTTTTTATTTTAAAAAAGAAAAAGGAAAAAAAAAAAGTCAATAACAAAAAACCCAGCTCAAGAACCCATTCTACGCCAAACTGGAAAGGAGAAGAGAGCAACAGGAAGATTCCAGAAACGGGGGGCCCCAGTTTTTGAAGAACTTTATGAACTTTTCAAAGATTATTTTCATATGGCAGCAAGTGATACGGAAGACTGCTGTCAGGGACACCTGATATGGAAATCAAATAGATTTTTAATTAATTGAACATAAGATTTAGGGATTTTTCCAGAACTCGAAAGGGTCAACAGCCCTCCAGAATGTCGGGCTGCAGCCTGAGGAGGCTGATGTTTGGAGC
This sequence comes from Homo sapiens, assembly GCF_000001405.40. Taxonomy (NCBI): domain Eukaryota; kingdom Metazoa; phylum Chordata; class Mammalia; order Primates; family Hominidae; genus Homo; species Homo sapiens. Next base: position 139,572,307 of record NC_000007.14, on the reverse strand, counting down.
TGGTGTGGGATTGGCGAAGCCCAGTCCGGGCTCCCTAGTCAGGAAAGACGGGGGACGGCCAGGCTGCTGGAAGGCCCCCGGGGGCGCGGGGCGAGTTTTCTTTTTCTGAGCACTCTGGATAAATCCCTAAGCAACGTTGTTTCTCAAATGTCATTAATAATGTGTGTTGCAAACTTTAGGTTTTTTTCTTTTCTGAAAATGTATTTTCTCTTTGAATCCACCCCTAGTCGCGTAGCGTAGGGCTAGCGGTCGTCACAGACACCCTAGTAGAATGTAGCACTCAGCACCCTTGTCTCCTACCTTGTGTTCAACTCCAATGATACCAATAGAATATTCCTCAATGTAATTGCACAAAAAAAAGCGATATAACATAGGCATGTAACCAATGTGGCGGTGCAGGTGTGCGGGTGAGCGAGCACGTGTGGGTGTGCACGCGCCGCCCTCCCCGCGTGGCCCTCGGCGCCGCCACCCTAGCTGGCGCAGTCTTGACACTGCATCCTTCCCTCCTAGTGCCTTACCGAGCGACAGACGCGGCGTGAGGGTTTACTTCCACTGGTACTCCAAGAAACTGAGGCTAGTCAGACACAATCTCAGCTCTTCTGTTGTGCTGTTGTAACAGTTTACGCTGGCCTTTTTTTTTTCTTTTTCTTTTTCTTTTTAAAATGTTAATGCCCGTTGTCTTTCCTGGGCTGTTTGCTAGCGGAAGGATGCCAGGGAAGCCAGCAGGAGCTAGGAGAGAGTCCGTGGATCTCGAAAGAAATATGGGAGACAGATGCCCGGCGGGTGCGTCTGGAGATGGGGACGGCGGGAGTTGAGTTGTGGCAGTAGTTGAGTTGTAATTTGTGGGCGGAGGCCCAGAGAGACTCCCCACCCTTCACCCCTGCCCCACTCTGTCCCCAGTTCCGCCATTTGTGAGGCCAGAGGTTTCCGGACTGTTGGCCTCGCCAGGCAGCCGTCTCCCGCCCCAGGCGGCATCCCCCAGTCCCTCCCGCCTCCACGAGAGCCTGGAGCTCTCAGCCTCGCCCGGGGCTCCACTCTCTCCTCCGGCTCCCTGGGCTGTTTTGCTCTAACGATCTTGCCAGATCCCTCCCTCTGTAGACAACCACCAACCTCTGTTTGCTGTTGAATTCTCTCCTCACATTACCCAGGTCTGCTCAAGACATGATTTTGGTTTTGGTTTCTGAGGGTTCTAGTGGGCAGAAGGTTGGAGGGACACTTATGAGGGTGGCCGGGGGTCTGACGCTGCACTTTGGAAAAACTCACACAGTTGAATTTCCAAAGAAATCTGCCCTTTGCCCTCTTTGCACCTTTGATACATTCTGGAAGTTTTCTCAGGCTTTGGACACTTCTGGGGATGGAGGTGTGGAGAAGTGGGGAGTTCCCTCTCTTCATAGTAAATAACTCTGAAATATGTGAATGTGAATGGCAGGAGAATCTGGCCAAGGATGGGGCCGAAAAGGGTGGTTCTAATTGTTTGCTTCTGATGTTGAGTCTTTAGCTGACCCCACAGGCAGGTTTCCAAGGTGCAAAGAGATCTTTCCCGAGTCAGCGGCCCCATCCTCATCCTCCCTCCCTTTACTTCCTCACTGTGCAGTCTCCCTCAAGGATCTACTGTGAAAGGTGTGTTTGTAGTGATATCCAACCTAACTCAGTAACGAAGTCGTTACTTAGCTCTTAGCTGTGAAATAACTCTGGAAACTTCCCCACCCCAACCATAAATTCTTACTTATAAAGAAACAGGTCCCCAAACTGGAAACAGCTTAGTCCAGGCCTCAGCGAGAAGGAAGGACACCATGACTGCTCCATGCTGGGCACAGCCGGGCAGTCTTGCCAAGTGCCTGCTGGAGGCTGTGCCGGCAAGAGGCCTGCAGCAAGGAGATTCCCTTCCCTCGGGCCATTATCAATACTGTCTTTATCTGGAGGTGGGGAAGCGCAGCCCTCTGAGACAGCAGGACAATGGTCAGTTCAGAGAGGGTGAGGGCAGCAAACGCTTCAGAGGACACAGAAGCCAGAGGACCCCCCCCCGCCCCACAGCTGGGTCAGCCTGGAAAATCCATCTATTAGGGACTTTTTGGCAGCCAGATGGCAGCAATAGCCCATTAGGTCTCATCCCGAGTTCCAAGTCTTGGCTGCAAATGAGCCTCAGTTCGCCTTACTGGAGAGCACCCCCAGATTCCTGGGCACAGTTCATTTCCAGCCCTTTCTAGATCTGATCTTTTAGGGGGAAAGACAGCTTAAAATGTTCTTTTCATTTTAAAGAAAATTATTCTGTCTGCTTAAGTTGGAGGCTACTTACTCTTTCACCTGACATTTTCTTTCCTTTTATTCTTCCAGATCAGGAATGAAATTTCCATGCTGCTCATAAAGATAATATTATTGTACTAATTATTTTTATTACCATTGTAATTATGATCATTATGTTGATATTTTAGTCAGGGTTTTAAATGCACATTTATTCCAAGTATCTTTGTGTTTTCTCTTTAATATTTAAACTTATTCTCTCTGTGAGTATATAAGTAGACTGGAGGGACATCCAGATGTCCAGTTTTGTCAGGCAAAAAAAAAAAGGAAAGACTTAGGAAGTAGGAAAATTGTTTCTGTCATCTCTATCCCAACAAGAGACGTCAAGAAAGATCCACCACAGAACAAAAGTTTAAAGAAGAATCAAAGCCTTGATTGGGCTTCTGACAACATGGTCACCATCAAGGTTGTCATTTTCTAGATCCCAGAGGCCTGGGATGCGACGTCAGGTGGCATCTCATGGGCTCGGGGAATGTCGAGTCACTGACTGTCCAGCCCTTAGCCAGCTTCTCTCCCACATCCTCAGAGCTCTCCTGTGCTTCTGAAATCTGTTAACTAAATCTTTGGCTTGCCTCTGGTATTTAAGCAAGAAAATTCCCTCCCAGAGGTGACCCCATCCGCTTCCCCACAATCCATCCTTTTGCCATCGGCGCACCTGGGGCGTGGCTTAGGTTCTTCAATGCAGGGACATTTGCCCCCTCCCAGAAGCTGCTGGGCACAGTGAGGTGGCGTAAGAGTGACTGGCAGGTGGTACCTTCCCCAGGAAATTTCACCACACCACCCAGTTCCTCAGCCTGCCCCCTCCCCCTGTGATGCATGCCCCCAGCACCCAATTCTAGCCAGCTGGAAGTGGGTGGAGGGACAGCAGGAGGCCAGAGAAACCCTGAACAAAGCTGGGCGGCTGCTCAGGCATCACAGGCTGCACCCCCTCTGAAAGCATCCCCACTGGGCTCCGGCCACATCTTCAGTGCACTGTGCTGTGTGCGCTGGGTGCTCACACGCTGTCCCCAGACCCACAAAGTGCTAGGCCCCAGTTGAAGAAAGGGGTGAAATAGCCAGCTTCACCGAAGGGAAGGGAAGGGAAGTATTGGGCGATGCCAGCCCCACAGACGCTCAGCAAACATTAGTGCACATTCTCCTAGTCCTCACCCAATGGCCTCCTCTACCCCCATGCATGGAGCTGCCACATCAGAAGCCCCAAGAGAAGCTCCCTGCAGGAGAGGCCAGCTCCCTGGATGCCCAATTGCATACCTGGCCGAATCTGCCATTGAGTCACCTTAGCAAATAGGCTGCTGTCACTAGGACCAAGCTCTCAAGCAGAGGGATGCCAACCTAGTCCTTACTTAGCCCACGAATCATCTAGAGCATCCTCTAGTCTTTTGTGGGCTCCCTCCTTCCCATTTGAAGAGACATTGTTCAGAGGAAGAGGGGAAGATTTGAAATGTCAGGTCACGGAGGAGTGTTTAACTGGAGCCTGGTGAACCGCAGGGCAATTTGCTTCTGCTCACTGGGTTCTGACTGGCCCGTCTGGACGTGGGCCCCCATGTCTCTGTGCTTAGGGCCTCTTCATGATGTTTTGGATGTTTCCAAGGGAAGTGGGTGAGCAGATCAAGGGGTGGGAGAGTCGAGGCTTGATGCCAGTTAATACTGTGAAGTGGAGCGTGCGGTCAGTGGAATTCAGAGGAAAAAGAAGGGTTGGAGCAAAGCGGCATTCATCTCCTGGACTGTTAGCCTTTCTAGTCTTCCTGGTGGCTGAGGTGTTCACGGGCTGGGGGAGCCAGCTGACCTTTGTCCTCTTCAACCTAGAAGACTCAGCCCGCCCAGACACCAACGTGTGAGACGGATGGACATCAGGAAGGGAAGGGGAGATTAGCCCAACTGCTGACAGAACGATTTCCCTTGGTTGGACCTTGGGAATGGCAAACACTCATATTGGAACAAGCTTGGGGTGGAAGATTTAGGCCGTGTGAGCATGTGTGAGTGAGTGGAACAAACTTTCTTGGAAACTGGAGGGAGGAGATGAGGAGGCTTCGGGAAGTATTACTGATGGCTCATGGTTGAGAGAGCGACGTGGGGACCCAGCTCGCCCCAGCTTTTGTCCCAGGTTCTCTTTGTCTGATGCTGAGGGCAGGGTGGGGTGTGGGACCACCACTCTTGTTGGCCTGTCAAGTAGACCCTAGGACAGAAAATGGAAAGAAGGAAATGGCTCGGTGCTCTCAACTAGCAGAGAGAATTGAGGAGAGGTAAGGGTTCCTTCTGCAGGCCAGCCTGGGACTCCACAGCGCCAGCAGGAGTGACTTGGCCACAAGACATTCCAGCCCCAGGGACTTTGCAGGCTTCATTCCCTGTCTGTGTCTTTTCCTTCTGGTGTGTTTTACAGACTTCTGATGGGGAAGCTTCAAACTTGAGCAGGCCAGAGATGTCCTTACCAAATTGGAAAGGAAGGTGAAACTGTTCCTTTCTTTAGCCAAAGAACCCTTCTCAAAGACGCCTCCAGAAATGGACAAAATGGCCTTCCCTTCGTTCCTTTCCAGGCAATAATGACATCATTAGTGATGCAATTCTATTTGTCTTTCTCTTTCCTCTCTGTCCTTTTTTTTAAAAAAAAAAAATGCATTTATTTCAAAACTGTGCTATTCTTTTAAGAGGAGTGGAGGTGACCCCTTCGATGCTGCTGCTATCGGGAGACAAGGTGCCATACCAATACGTGGGCTTGACTAATCCCAGGCCACCATGGGAGAGAGCAAAGCAGGGCTGCCAGGAGTTCAGTTGCATCAAGGGCGTAGAGCACGCGGGGGCTGGGCTCGGAATAGCAGTACTTTTCCACTTTGATGCCTTAGAACTCTCACTTCTCATCTCCACAGACCAGACTCAGTAAAATCTCAGGCCACTAGAGAATGGAAGGCGGTGAAACAGGATTTAAATGCAAAAAAAACCTATTGGAGGCTTTTGGCACCGTGGCTCACTAGAGGGACCCAGCATAGTAGAGGTTTCTCTTGTTGCAGCTTCTGAAAAGTTCAAAAAAGAACTCCAGGCCGTTCTTCCCTCAAACCCAGTGAGAGTTTGCAGAGAAGTGCCCCCTGCAGGGCTCCCGTCCCAGAACACCAGCACCAGAGAGGGTCTTCCCGATGCCCCCCGCTGGACTTGCCCAAGCCTCTGGGAGCCCCTCATCTCAGATCCCTGTGTTGAACATGACACTGACTGTCCCTTATTTGTTAAAATTTGCAATATCTCTCAAGTAAATAATAGCCAACATTTGTTGAATGCTTTCATGACTCCCGGGCTAAGGCCTTTATGAGCGTTGTCTCAAGGGGCCCCAACAGCCATCCCACAGGGAGGGGGATAACAGCCCCCATTTATAGATAAGGGAGCTGACCGGATGCTCTGAGAAGTGGCAGGTGTTGAAGGAAGGATAAAGCAGTGATGGGCCAGAATCCCCAAGGTTCCCTTTTTTGTTCATCAGGCCCTTCCTGAGATGTGATTTTTAATCTTTTAACTTTTTTTAATTAATAGCAATGCGTGGCCTCATATTTCTATGAACCATTTAGTGATACTCCCGCTTCCTGCATGCCACACACTGTGCTGGGAATTGCTCATGGGTTGTCCTGTTTCATCTTCTCCGTAGCCCTGTGAGATCGGCAATATTAGTCCCCCTACAGCCAAGGAAACTGCCCAGAGCCACACAACTCTTGAGGGGCGAGGAGGGCTTGAACCTGAGTCTGCCCAGCTCCAGAACTGAGCTTGCAGCCATTAGCCACAGCTGTCTCCTGCATGTCTGAGCAAAGAAAGGCCTTTACACAGCATCACCCTGTGCCATCCCATGCACCGTGGGACTCAGCTAAAGGACTGTGCAAAGAGGGGGCTCCTGAGTTGGATTTAGGCAAAAGGGGCAGAATTCGTTTGATTTTTAGAGAAAATCTCTGGAGAGTTTCTTTTGATTCATAGAATTCCTTTTAGATTTCTTTCCAGCATACCAACTAGCTTTAGTAGTGCTGCTACAACCAGCTCTTATAAGTAAGAGTGAAAAAGTATTCTTTTCTTCTTTAAAAAATAAGTTTTTCTTGCTTATAGTTAATTCTAGAAAGGCAATACTAAAGGTATATATTTTTTTCAAAATGCTATTTTTTACTGCACTTGATAATTATCCTGACAGCTCTGATCTCTGTAATAGATTCACTCTTCAGCTCTGGGCAGAACCAGAGGCAGGGTTCACACCAAATTTGTAAATACCATATGTGGGTCTGGTGTCCAGGAACTTTTTTCTTTCTGTTAAAAAAAAGAAAAAAAAAAGAAAAAAAAAAAGAAGTAGAGGTGGAAGAAAGACAAGACTTAGAGGAACAAAAGAATGTTTTCTTTTGAGATACTCTTCTCAAAGAAATAGCAACAATTGTATAAACAGGAAAACCAGCCAGCTTTCATGATAAAAGGAAGGCGTGTCTCTTGCCCTGGTATGAGATTAACAGAAATACAGATGCATTTTTATTTTGATTGAAAGATGGTGAGAATGTAGAAATGCTTAGGACTAGATTTTTAATTTTTTAAAATAACTATTATCATTTATTATGAAATATTTGTTCAGTTGTTTTGAGTGGGTTTCTTGTTCCTTTTTTCATTTAAAACCTTCTTTGTTGACTGGCTCCAGGCTTGTTTGCCTAAATTCTTAGGTAGTTTACACAAGTTCTAGAATCTTTTAGAACTTTAACTCCATTGGAAGCAAACCTAACTAATCGGAGTTTGAGATCCTGGTTGGTTTCAATAGGTATTCTGGAATTCTGGCAGAACACCTAAAGATTTTTTTTTTTTTTAGAAGGTTTTAGATACATTATCTTACACAAACTGTGACCTAATGGCAATAATTACCTCAAATGTGGGCATTCATCCTGGTTTTAGCCTTTTTTGAAATCATGTAGCCAGCTTGATCTTGGAATTTAAAGACTATGAATTCTCTGTGGGCTGAAAATAATGATTACTTCATACCCCCGGTCATCGTTGCTTAAGTGAATTCTGAAAATAGCTCATCTTTACAACAAAAATTAAACCAAGGAAGAGATTATTCTTTGTGTGTTGTACTCAAATGCGATGTTCAAATGCACATGTTAAGTATATATGTTTTTAGCTACTGTAAAATGCTGTTAGCCTTCTAAGCTATCAAAACAGTCACATTTTAAATGAGTAAACTAAACAATTGACTGTGGATACTTAAGCATATTTCTGGCTACGTTTTATAGTTAAAGTGTTTTATAGTTTACATTTAGACTGGTACTTTTTAAAGAAAAGTTCTGTTTATAACTGACATCCGCAAACCCCAGTGAATGCCTCTTAGTTGGAGGTTGTGTCTCCCCCAAGGCAAGTGTGTTGTCCCAGACTCTTCTGTAGTCCAGCATGCGCACTTCCCTCTGGATTATTACTTTCCACGTGAACTCAAGAGAACATGAAAGGCAATCCAGATGGAGGGAAAAGGTGTGAGTCCGCAGCCCGGGCCAGATGCGAAGGTCTCATGCGTGTCGTCTAAACACTTGTCTTCAAGGCCTTCTCTCTGACATCTTGGAAGAGTCATTGAGAACAGATAACCTGGTTCATTGATTTTTGTCTTGATTTGAATATTTAACTTATTAATAGATCCACTGATTTCCAGGCACCAGGCAGTAGAAGAGACTGGGATTCAGGTGACCATGAAGGCACAGCTGCTACTTCTGGGCCGGGGGTGATATTTTGATCAGCGTTTTGTAGGGGAGGACCATATACCCCTATTCCCATGGTCGCTGGCTGGGTTTTCCATATATCTGCTGTCATTTATTCGTTTTCCCCTTAAAAGCAAAATCAATGTAAAAGGCTATGTTTACGTTTTACTCATTGTCCAGCTTAGACTCAAAGTCTAGTTCGGTGGGAGGGGGACCTTAGCATCCTCTCAGAGATGGTCAGGGCTGAGCAGGAGGAGGCAGAGACAGAGGGGCAGCTCAGCCTGGTCCATTGAGACCCACTCTAAACAGACATCATATTTGGAACAAGAAGATGCTTCGAGACAGGAATGGGCCCCACTGTCATGCAGAAACAGACTGGGGGAATGGCAGTTTCCCTGAGTCTTGGTTTCTTTTATGTTTTCTCTTGTGCCACCACCAAACTGCAGAGGACCTGCTGTGACCTAAAGGGCATTCCTTTAGCAGATAAGACCTTGAAAACTGCAAAACACCTGGGACCAGGGAGCTTTTAAAAAATACAAAAAAATACCACATTTGCTTTTTCCCTGTGAACTGTATTGACAGCGTGTTCTTAGGACAGTCTTTTGGTGGAAATGTTACTGTAAAATAGTTTTCATCTCACCCCTCCTAATCATACTCCCACTTTCCTGTTTGTGTGGTGGTGTTGCTGTTTTTTCCTTTACATGAATTAACCAAATGAATTTTGTGTCATTGTTTTTGGGGCTTATATTTTTAAAACATAGAAATTGCCTTTTGTTCATTTGAAAAGTAAGTATGTTGTATCTGAAAAAGGGCTCTGCCTCTGCTCTCCCTCGCTTCCTTGTAACCAATCTCCAAACGAATCTCTCCTGGCACCGCCCCCTTCCTTATATAGGGTCACTGTCCCCGGGGCCACCTCTGCCTCCACCCTGCTGTCACCACTGCCCTGGGCCAAGGCACCCAGGACTCCCAGAAAGCGCGAGAGCCAGCAAGAAGGCCCCACTCAGCCTTGAGACTGGTGGTCACACCTCCCTGTCAGAGTCGCCTGCTGGGCTGAAGGGGCAATGGATTGTCATTGTTGAAATTGTTTGGCTCAGGTTATAAGGAGGAACTTGGGAAGTAGAAAGTGACTTGACCATGTGCATCCTTGGTAGCTTCCTGTAACTAACAAATGGAACAGAGAGCACACCCCCGCCCCGCCCCACCCCAAGCAGATGTTCCCGTCAGCGCTGCCCTGAGTCAGTCGGTCCCCCGTTTCTGCTCTCCTCCCTTTTGTGTTCCTGCTCACTTCAAGCTTCTTCCATGGACTTTCCAGGGCACAGTCATCTCTAGCCCCCAAATCATCTCTTCATCCTCTGTGTGTGCATTTTTTTAACCAAATGAAATAGACAAGAAAGTCATACTTTGGGGCAGCAGAATTTCTAATTTAGTAGAATCACTGTATAGAGATAGATGTTGATATATATGTTTGTGTATATATATCAAACCAAATTGGATAGGAGAAGTATAGCTTTACAGATGAGGAGAAGGAGCTCTTTAGAGGTCGGAGTCAAGACTGGTGTCTTGGACGTGCATGGGCTGTGTCCCAGGCCACTCCGCACACATGGGGCTGAGGCGTGGCGCCGGGCCCTTGTCATCCACCTCACCACGGCAGAGCCAGCAGGCCCTGTAGGGTGCTGCTGCTGTCTCACTGGGTCCCAGCTTCAAGCGCATCAGTGGGTGACGGGGGCAACAAATCAGAGTGACTGGAAGTTTCCATCCCGTTTTGCTTTGACCACGTGTACTGAGCTGCAGCCTCTGATACTCTGTCACGTTTCCAAAAATGGTATCCATTAGGATAGAAAGAGAATGGATCTGCAGAAATGTTTACCTTTCAACTGCTCATGAATTCAGGACACTGGATAGAAAGACTCACTCCCCAAAATGAGAACAGGGAAGAGGAGACCCGGCGACACTAAGTCACCAGGTCCAAGGAACGTGGCTCCCTCCCCAGGGTCATCTCACCTAGATCTTTCTCTCCCAGGTCATCTCAGCTCAATCTCAATAACCCTATGAAAGCCCTGGTCTGTTGTGTTCCTTCACCGTACGGTTTCTGTAATAAAAAGTGTTAATCCATGTTAATCTGTGTGAAAATTATTGCGTGCAACAGTATTTTCTCGTGTACCTCTTTTTCCTATGTGAATTGTCCCTCTTTTTTATTTATAAATGTCTACTTTTGTTTTTTTAAAGACAAACCAATGTGTTGTAGACCTATATGTAACCTATTCCTTAGTCTCATATTATAGGTATGTTATAAGAATGGATATTTTACTTGGCTTTAGAATGTTTTACAAGAAAACTAATTCTTAACTGATCAAGTCCTTGCTACTAAAATGCTTGTGTTTTTCATCATGACGTCGTGTGCTTCTAAATTAATCATTTTCGTTGTAGAAAAATGGAGTGAATTTATATTAGTCTTGGAAACTAATAATAGCATTGTAAATTTATGAGATGATTTTAACAGAAAAAATATAGAAGAATATAGTTATTTTAATTGTAATATTACTAACTGTAGGGTGAGAAAAAGGGGGGGGGGTCCCATTGTGGTGAACTATGTTATAGCTTGTTACTCATAGTTTCTTTTTGATCATTTTTTCGGTCTCCGAGGTGAAATGACTTATTAATTAAAATTTGTAAACTCACATATGCATATTGTATATGTGTAGAAATGTAATCACACTTTGTCTTGGAATTACATTAAACTGTTTGAAATCACTGTACACCTGCCTGGCATGCTTATTTATCCTGGAACCAGACCTGTCATAAAAGCGAAGAGGTTATTGTTACAAGTAACATATTTGGGGTTTGTTTGTTTATTTAGATGGAGTTTTGCTCTTGTTGCCCAGGCTGGAGGGCAATGGCACGATCCTGGCTCACTGCAAACTCCGCCTCCCAGGTTCAAGTGATTCTCTTGCCTCAGCCTCCCGAGTAGCTGGGATTACAGGCATGCACCACCACGCCCGGCTAATTTTGTATTTTTAGTAGAGATGGGGTTTCTCCATTTTTTGGTCAGGCTGGTCTCGAACTCCTGACCTCAGATGATCCACCTGCCTCGGCCTCCCAAAGTGCTGGGATTACAGGCATGAGCCACTGCGCCGGGCCGAGATTATTTAATGGCTCTGGAAATGTGTAGAAGCCACCACTGCATTGAACATTTGCAGAGAGAGGTGGGGGGCCTTGAGATCACATTACTACCAATTCCCATGCAGTTGAGTGGGGCTAAGAGTCTCCCAGCTTCCTGCTGCCTCTTCCAAGCCATTTCAGCCCCATCTGCTCCCAATCTCTGTCCCTGACACCTAAGGTGTGGCTGTCACCTGCTGTCCTGGAAGCTTTCCAATATGCATCCCGGATCCTCCGCACCCAGGCCCTGCCGTCTCACCAGACACCATCAGCACCCGGAGCCTCGTGGCTTGCTGGCCCATTGCCAGGGCCCTTGCCACTGCGCACTTGAGCTACGTGCGCCACAGCCCCGTCCAGGCGCTGTGCCTGCAGCAGCTCCACCTCAGCAAGCCTAAGAAACGCCACATCCTGCTGGGACTGGGGTTTCCCAGCCTTCTGACACTCTTTTTGTCTTAAATTATGGTAAAATATACATAATATAAAATTACCATTTTAAGTGGACTACTAGCAACGTTAAATACGTTCACATTATTGTATAGGTGTCACCACCATTTCCAGAATTTTTTCATCATCCCAAACACAAGTTCTGTCCCCATTAACAACTCCCCATTTCTCCCTCCACCCGGTGCCTAGCAACCACCCTTCTACTCTGTCTCCATGAATCTGCCTATCCTAGATATTTCATGTAAGTAGAATCATATATTTGTCCTTTTGTGTCTGGTCTATCTCACTTAGCATAATGTCTTTAGGGTTCATTCATGTTATGGCATACATCAGAATTCCATTCCTTTTCATGGCTGAATAATATTCCATTGTATGGAGAGATCACATTTGGCTGATCCATTTATCTGTTGATGGACATTTGAGTTGCTTCCACCTTTTGGCTGTTGTGCAAATGCTGCTGTGAACATTGGTGTGCAAAAGATCTGTTCAAATCCCTGCTTTCAGTTCTTCCGGGAGTGTACCCACAAGGGAACTGCCGGATCCTACAGCAATTTTAAGATTAACCCTTTGGGGTCCCATCATTCTGTTCCCCACAGCAGCTGTACCGTTTCACATTCCCACCAGCAATGCACAAGGTGTCCTGTTTCTCCACCCAGCACTCATCCTGGCTTCCATTTCCAGGATTTTCAAGTCTGGGGAGCTCTGGGTTCCAAGCCCTCGGTCTTCTGTGCCTCTGGGTTGGCCAGACTAAACTCCACAGCCCTTCCCTCCACCCACCTTTTCCCCTACACCCTCAGCTCACAGCCTTTTGCCTCTGCCACACCCCCTCGCAATGGCTCAGTGATTCTGCTGTCCACCTCTGCTCCGAGGGCTGCTGGGGAAGACCACCAAGCCCTGAAAACGAATAACCTCCAGCTTCGCCAGGTCTTCTGTTCCAGCAGCAACTTCTGTGGCTAATGGGAAACACCGATCTCTCCAGGCCCTGAGCCCCACTCTCATGAGACCTCTACTCCCCAGGCAACCCAAAGAGGTTAAGGCTGCTGGACAGAGTGCCCTCATCCCCCTCCTCCAGTCGCAGTGGCATCTGCCTTGCCGCCTCGGATCCCGTCAGCCCTATATAGGAGAGGAAGGCCCTGTGCTTCCCCCGTCCTTTCCTCTCTCCCGAGGGCTCTTTCTCCGTCAAGTCTCCCCTCCCTCTTTCAGATCTTCAGCCGTGTCTCCTAAATGTCCTTCAAGAACCAGCCTGAGTGCCCTCTCTAGGGAGCTTGCCCTAACGCTCCTGACTGAGGCAGTCAGCGCAGGTCTCGGTTCCCAGCGCCTTGTGCATTGTTCTCATTAGGCCACACTGTCAACATTGCTTCCCTTATTTTCCTTCCCTACAAAACCCTAACATTCTTGCAAGTAAAGATCTGTCTTTCATCTGTTTCCAGGGCATCTTATTATGATGCCAGGCACAGAGTGGGTGGTCAATGAACCTTCGGGTGAATGAACAAACCCCTCAGCCCACCTTCATCCAACCCCCAACCCACCTTTCCACTCTCCAAATTCAGCATCTCCCAGAATTCCAGTAATAAAAACAAAACCCTGAATGTGGCCCACACTTCAACTCGGATTAAATTCAACTCAGGTAAAATGTAAACTACATAAAATCCATGCAACACATTCGGATAAAGCTTCAGAATTCTTCCATCATGCATTTTGTCATTTTTATGACAAATGCATTGAGAGGAATCACATTGTGTGGAAATGGAAAGGGAAGTAGATTCTGCACACCAGTGAGATACGAGTGGGCCAGGCTGGCGCGGCGGCGGAGGGATCACCTGAGGTCAGGAATTCAAGACCAGCCTGGCCAGTATGGTGAAACCTCGTCTCTACTGAAAAGACAAAAATTAGCCAGGTGTGGTGGCTACTCCCAGCTACTCGGGAGGCTGAGGCAGGAGAATGGCTTGAACCCAAGAGGTGGATGTTGCAGTGAGCCGAGATCATGCCACTGCACTCCAGCCTGGACAACAGAGCCAGACTCCATCTCAAAAAAAAAAAAAAGATACGAGTGGGTCAAAGGGGAAGGCAGTGTAGCTGTATCCAAGGAGCTCACACTCGTGCACCATAAAGTTGCTTAAGTCTAAAGTGAAAAGATAAACTTACTGTTGTCGATATTTCCCTTAAGCATATTTAATATTGGGGTAATAAAAATGATAAGCTGCTTAATAGCCAAGGCGGCCCCTAGAGAAAGACCAAGCAAACAAGTAAATGGCGCCCTCACTTAGCAGCCAGGTTGTGGTGGTCCCTGTTGCGGCATTGGCTCTAGAGGGCGTGCTCCTGCATCACAAACCCCTCCTTGCTTTTAGGGCACATGGCTGGGTGTCAGCAGCTATGCCCTAGCCTGTTCCAAACAAGTGTAAAGTTTTTTATGACAGTCCAGCTTATATGTGTTTTCCAACCCTTTACTAGAATAGCTAACTTTAAGCAAACATTAAGTATAAAAGCAGAGCATACATTAAGAGCAAAGTGTAGATGTAACACTATTAGGGTTGGATGTCCTCATGTCTCTTAACTTTCATTTTCAGTCCTTCCTTTTTGCCAGCATTTGGCTTTAAAGAAGGAATCTGTGCCGCACGCAGTAACTCACACCTGTAATCTCAGCTACTTGAACTCAGGAGGCAGATGTTGCAGTGAGCCCAGATCACACCATTGCACTCCACCCTTGGGCAACAAAGCGAGACTGTCTCAAGAAACAAAAGGAATCTGGGACTCTTTCTTTCACCTGCCTCACACATTTTATATCCAACTTGGACCACACAAACTTCCTCTTAGGAAATTTATTTCCTTCATGGCTTCCCATACACCATCTTGCACTACTTGAGGATGAAAAAAATCTACTGTTCAGCATCAACCCCAACCCTCATTCTATACGGAAGAAACTGATAGCTAGAAACTAGAAATTTCATCCAGTATTGTGAGACCATCGATTCCATTTTGTAAATGCTTGTTTTCCATGTACAGAGATCTCTAGGTCTATGGTCTCTTCTACAGGGTCACTCCTCATTTGCTGCCACTTCTAAAGCAATGCTAGATTACAGGTAACCTTGAAAAGGATCACTTGACATACACTTTTCTGTCTTCATATATATTCTGTTTCTTTTTTTGTTTGTTTTTTGTTTTGTTTTTGTTTGTTTGTTTTTTTGAGACAGAGTCTCGCTCTGTCGCCAGGCTGGAGTGCAGTGGCGCGATCTTGGCTCACTGCAATCTCTGCCTCCTAGGTTCAAATGATTCTCCTGCCTCAGCCTCCCGAGTAGCTGGGATTACAGGCACGTGCCACCACACCCAGCTAAATTTTTTGTATTCTTAGTGGAGACAGGGTTTCACCATATTGGCCAGGATGGTCTTGATCTCCTGACCTCATGATCTGCCTGCCTTGGCCCCCCCAAAGTGCTGGGATTACAGGCGTGAGCCACCACACCCAGCCTCATTACTTCTACTCAACATTATTTATAGAAGTTAAAAAAAAATACAACAAAATACAAGATTGTATAATATGAAACACCATATAATAAAAATATTGAAAAGGGAGACGTAAAACTGTCTTTACTCAGAGAAAACATGATTGCATACAAAATCCTAAGCAATCTACATAAAAATCTACTAGAGCTAACAAGTCATTCAGGCAAAGTTACAGGATAAATGGCCTGTGTACAAAAATCAATTGCATTTCTTTATCCTAGCAACAAATAATTGGAATATGAAATTTTAAAAACAATACCATCTATAATAGCATCAAAAATAAAAAATATTTAAGGATAAATTTAACAAAATATGTAAAAGCTTATCCTTAAAACTTGTAACACATTGCTGAGAGAAAATTTTTTAAATTGTAAATGAATCCAGAGAGCCACCTTGCTCATTGATTGAAATGCTCATTGTTAAAATTTCCTCTCTCAACTGATTTATAGCAATGCAATCTCAATCAAAATCCTAGCAGAATTTTTTTTGTAGAATTGACAAACTGATTACAAAAATGTATATGAAAAATTAAAGAACCCAAAGAAGAGTCAAAACAATTTTGAAAAAGAATGAATTACAATATTGTTGTAAAGATAAACAAATAAATTAATGAAACAAAACAGAGTATGAAAGTAAATCCAGGCTGAGGAAGGCAGATTGCTTGAGCTCAGGAGTTCAAGACAAGCCTGGGCAACAAAGTGAGACCCTACATCTACCCAAAACACAAAAAATTAGCTGGGCATGGTGGCACATGCCTGTAAGCCCAGCTACCTGGGAGGCTGAGGCACAAGAATCACTTGAACCTGGGAGGTGCAAGTTGTGGTGAGTCAAGATCATGCCATTGCACTCTAGCGTGGGGGAAGAGCCAGACCCTGTCTCAAAAAAAAAAAAAAAAAGAAAAGAAAAGAAAGTAAATCCACACTTATAGGGTCAATTCATTTCAACTAAAGCACCAAAGCAATTCAATGGGAAATAGAAAGTTTCTTTAACAAATGGCTGTCTATATGGAAAAACTGGCTGTCTATATGGGAAAAAAAGGAACCTTGATCCATACCTCACAACATATACAAAGACCAATTCAAGATAGATCATAAATCTAAGTGCAGAAGTTAAAACTATTGAGCTTCTAGAACATATAGCAGAAAAGTCTCCACAATCTTAGATAGGTAAAGATTTCTTAGGACATAAAAAAGCAAGGTGTGCAAAAGAAAAAACTAACAAAATTGACTGTATCAAAATTAAAATCTTCTGTTCATCAAACATCATCATTTAAAAAATGAATAGATAAGTAGTGGACTGGGAGAAAATGTTCATAGACATATACCTTGGAAAGAAATGTATCCAGAATATTGCATAAGCTCACAGCTCCTACGAATCAAGAATAAAAAGACAAACAACCTAATTTTTAAAAATGAGTGAAATTTCTGAACATTCCCTTCACAATGGAAGATAGACAAATGGCCAATAAGCAAATAGAAAAGTATTCAACAATGCTATTCGTCAGAAAAATGTAAATTAAAATCATAATGAAACACCTCTACACACCCCGTGGAGCTGACAACAGTATTTAGAGCAAATGAAACTGATTCTTTGCTGATGGGAGTGTAAAATGGAATAGCCACTTTGGAAATTGATCTGACAACTTCCTATATATAAAGTTCCTATGAACACCCTATGACCCAGCAATTCTACTTCTAGGCATTTATTCAAGAGAAATGAACACATACATACATAAATACACTTCTAAAAGAATGTTCATAATAGCTTTTTCCTTTTACACTTTATTAGCCCATTTTCATGCTGCTGATAAACACATACCTGAGATTGGGCATGTGATACTCTTTCTTTTCTTACAAAAGAAAGAGGTTTATGGGATTCACAGTTCCACATGGCTGGGGAGGCCTCACAATCATGACAGAAGGCAAGGAGGAACAAGTCACATCTTACATGGATAGCGGCAGGCAAAGAGAGAGCTTGTGCAGAGAAACTCCTGTTTTTAAAACCATCAGATCTCATGAGACCTATTTACCATCACGAGAACAGCACCAGAAAGACACACCCCCATGATTCAATCATCTCCCACCAGGTCCCTGTCACAACACGTGGGAATTATGGGAGCTAAAAGGTGAGACTTGGGTGGGGACACAGAGCCAAATCATATCATTCCACTCCTGGCCCTCCCAAATCTCATATCTTCACATTTCAAAACCAATCATGCTTCCCAACTGTCTTCCCAAAGTCTCAACTCATTTCAGCATTAATTCAAAAGTCCACAGTCCAAAGTCTCATCCAAGACAAGGCAAATCCCTTTCATCTATGAGCCTGTAAAATCAAAAGCAAGCTAGTTACTTCCTTGATACAATGGAGGTATCGGCATTGGTTAAATACAGCCATTCAAAATGGGAGAAATTGGCCAAAACAAAGGGGCTACAGGCCCCAGCCAAGTCCAAAATCCAGCTGGGCAGTCAAATCTTAAAGCTCCAAAATTATCTCCTTTGACTCCAGGTCATGCTGATGCAAGAGGTGGGTTCCCATGGTCTTGGGCAGCTCTGCCTCTGTGGCTTTGCAGGGTATGGCCTCCCTCCCGGCTGCTTTCACGGGCTGGCATTGATTGTCTGTGGCTTTTCCAGGCGAAAGGTGCAAGCTGTGGGTGGATCTACCATTCTGGGGTCTGGAGGACAGTGGCCCTCTTCTCAAAGCTCCACTAGGTGGTGCCCCAGTAGAGACCCTGTGTGGAGGTTCTGACCCCACATTTCTCTTCCGCACTGCCCTAGCAGAAGTTCTCCATGAGCGCCACCTGCCCCCACAGCAGCAAACTTCTGCCTGGGCATCCAGGCGTTTCCATATATCTTCTAAAATCTAGGAGAAGGTTCCCAAACCCCAATTCTTGACATCTGTGCACTCCCAGGATAACACCATGTGGAAGCTGCCAAGGCTTGGGGGTTGCATCCTCTGAAGCCATGACCCAAGCTCTACAATGCCCCTCTCAGCCACAGCTGGAGCAGGCGGGACACAGGGCACCAAGTCCCTAGGCTGCACACAGCACAGGGACCCTGGGCCCATGAAACCATTTTCTCCTAGGCCTTTGGGCCTGTGATGGGAGGGGCTGCCATGAAGACCTCTGACATGCCCTGGAGACATTTTCCCCATTGTCTTGAGGATTAACATTCGGCTCCTCCTTACTTATGCAAATTTCTGCAGCTGGCTTGAATTTCTCCTCAGAAAATGGGTTTTTCTTTTCTATCACATTGTCAGGCTGCAAATTTTCTGAACTTTTATGCTCTGCTTCCCTTATAAAACGGAATGCCTTTAATAGCATCCAAGTAACCTCTTGAATGCTTTGCTCCTTAGGAATTTCTTCTGCCAGATACCCTAAATCATCTCTCTCAAATTCAAAGTTCCACAAATCTCTAGGGCAGGGGCAAAATGCCACCAGTTTGTTTGCTAAAACATAACAAGAGTCACCTTTGCTCCAGTTCCCAACGAGTTCCTCATCTCCATCTGAGACCACCTCAGCCTGGATTTTATTGTCCATATCACTATCAGCATTTTGGTCAAAGCCACTCAACAAGTCTCTAGGAAGTTCCAAACTTTCCCACATTTTCCTGTCTTCTTCTGAGCCTCCAAACTGTTCCAACCTCTGCCTGGTACCCAGTTCCAAAGTCACTTCCACATTTTTGGGTATCTTTTCAGCAACACCCCACTCTACCAGTACCAATTGACTGAATTAGTCCGTTTTCACACTGCTGATAAATACACATACCTGAGACTGGGCAATTTACAAAAGAAAGAGGTTTATTGGACTCACAGTTCCACGTGGCTGGGGAGGCCTCACAATCATGGCAGAAGGCAAGGAGGAGCAAGTCACGTCTTGCATTGATGGCAGCAGGCAAAGAGAGAGCTTGTGCAGAGACACTCCCATTTTTAAAACCATCAGATCTTGTGAGACCCATTCACCATCATGAGAACAGCATGGGAAAGACTCACGCCCATGATTCAGTCATCTCCCACTGGGTCCCTCCCGCAACACGTGGGAATTATGGGAGCTACAAGATGAAATTTGGGTGGGGACATAGAGCCAAGCCATAGCATTCGTGATAGCTAAAAATTGGAAACAACCCAAGTGACATCAAAGGAGAAAAGATTAAAGAAATAATATATCTGTACAGTGGACTACAACTAAAAAAATAAAATGCGCTACTAATATATGCAACAATATGCATGAATGTCAAAAATATTATACTGACTGAACAAAGCGAAACACTCAAGAGCACCTATTGTACAAGTCCAGTCAAAACTAATCTATAGTGAAAGAAATTGTAACAGTGGTTACCTTAAGGAGTGGGGACTGATCTGGAAGGAACAAACATGAGCAAGCTTTTTGGAATGATGGAAATGTTCTGAAAATTGATAAGAATGTGGGCTTTATGAGTGTATGCAATTGTCAAAACTCATTAAAATGTACATAAGATCTATGCATTTCCATATATGTAACTATAGCTCAAAAAATAAGTATTATAAGACACAGGAAGAAGCAGGAAAATAAATAATCAATATAAGCCGCAGAAGAAATAATCAGTAGAAACAGACCCACAGATATTAGCAGGTAAAGACTCTAAAATAACTATTATATCCCTGTGGGGGCACAAAAAATAAAAGAATAAAATAAAATAACTATAATGAATATGTTAAAGAAAAATTAAAAATATATTTGGTTAGTGAAAGGATAGATAATTTCAGCAGAGAAATGGAAACTATAAAAGAACCAAGAAGAAATTGAAGAATTGAAAAGTACATTATCTAAAATGAAAAATCTATTGAACAAAATCTAACAGCAAACTGGACACAGCAGAAGAAAGTAACACTTAACTCAAAGACTTGTCAGTAGAAAATATTCAAACTGGCTAGGCATGGTGGCTCACACCCAGAATTTTGAGAGGCCGAGGCAGAAAAATTGCTTGAGCCCAGGAGTTCAAGACCAGCCTGGACAACACAGGGAGAGTGTGTCTCTACAATACCTTAAAAATTAGCAGGCCATGGTGGTACACGCCTATAGTCCCAGACACTTGGGAGGCTGAGGCAGGAGGATCACTTGAGCCTGGGAGGTCAAGGTTGCAGTGAGCTATGATCACACCACTGTACTCTAGCCTGGGTGACAGAGTGAGATCCTGTCTCTAAAAAAAAAAGAAGGAAAAAAAAAATTTATATATACACACAGACATATACATACATACACATATATAACAGCCCTAATTGGAATCTTGGAAGGAGAGAAGAAACAGAAGAGTACAGCAGAAAAAAATGTTTAAAGAGATAAAAGTGGAGAATTTTTCAAAATTGATGAAAGACATAAACTCACAAAATCAAGAATTTAACTCCACACAGCATACAGCTAGACTCTATTTCTCAGCCTTCCATGACCACCCTGGCCAATAAATGTAGGCAGAAGTTTTGTGTGTCACCTCCAGATCTGGCCCTTGTCTAATACAGGTTAAGATATGCCATAGCAACAAACTCAAAATCTCAGAGCCCTTATTTCTCACTTAAACAGTCCAAGCCAGCCAGGAACGGTGGCTCACGCCTATAATCCCAGCACTCTGAGAGGCCAAGGTGGGCGTATCACTTGAGGCCAAGAGTTCAAGACCAGCCTGACCAACATGGTGACACCCCATCTCTACTAAAAATACAAAAATTAGCCGGGCGTGGTGGCAGCTGCCAGTAATCCCACCTACTCAGGAAGAAGCTGAGGCAAGAGAATCACTTGAACCGGGAGGCAGAGGTTGCAGTGAGCTGAGCTCGCGCAACTGCACTCCAGCCTGGGCGACAAAGCGAGATTCCACCTCAAAACAAACAAAAAACCAGTCCAAGCAACTCTCCAGGAAACCTGTCCCCTACATATTGGCTTAGCATCCCAGGATGCTTCAGTCTTATGGAACCTCCAAATCAATCACTACAATGGGGAGGGAAAATATGAAGCAGACATTGGTTCTTAAATGCTTCCACCTAAAAATGACAATGTGTCACTTTTCCTTGGTAAAAGCAAGTCACATGGACACCTAACTTCAAGAGGTCAGGAAATACAGTCCTTCCATCTGCTTGGAGACAAAGAAAAGTGACAAATATTAGTGCAGGGCAGTCATACCTATCACATCCCTCAGTGCACATGCTGTGTGAATGGCTCCTGATTGGAGCCAAATGGTTTCTATCACTGACCCACAGTAGTCTGTGGTGTGAGCAAGAAATACAGTTATCCCTCTGCATCCATGAGGGATTGGCTCCAGGACCCCCCATAGATACCAAAATTTGCAGATCCTCAATTCTCTTATATAAAATGACATATGACCTACGCATATCCTCTCGTACACTTTAAATAATCTCTGGATTACTTATAATACCTAATACAATGTAAATACTATGCAAATAATTGTGGGTTTTTTTGTTTTTTTTTTTTTTGAGACAGAGTCTCACTCTGTGGCGTGCAGTGGCGCGATCTTGGCTCACTGCAGCCTCCACCTCCCGGGTTCAAGCAACTCTCCTGCCTCAGCCTCCCAAGGAGCTGGGGTTACAGGCGTGTGCTACCATGCCCAGGTAATTTTCATATTTTTAGTAGAGACAGGGTCTCACCATGTTGCCCAGGCTCGTCTCGAACTCCTGACCTCAGGTGATCCACCTGTCTTGGCCTCCCAAAGTGCTAGGATTACAGGCATGAGCCACTGCAAATAATTGCTATATTATGTTCTTTTATTGTTTGTTTTTCAAATAGTTTCAATCCATGGTTGGTTGAACCCGCGGATGCAGAACCCACAGATGTGAAGGGCCAGCCTCTGAAATTTGGGTATTGTTACAGAAGCTAGCACAATGCTTTGCACAATACCTAGTCCATAAGAAGCTCTTAATTAATGTTGTTATTGTTATTCCAATTTATTATTACTCTTATTCCAGGTATTGTTGTTCCAATTTTGTCTTCGTTGTATATTTATCTGCTGAAAAGGAGTCTGTCCTCTAAACCACAGAACCCTAATAGATATCCTAAGTGGCTGGTCATCTCATTTATCTTTTTCTCAAAACCATCTGCAAGTTTCCTACTTTGTGGGCAGCTGAATTGGAAATGTGGGTTTCTAGGATCACAGACAGCATGGTGTAAAGAAAAGAGGATTTGAACCCGGAGGCAAGATCAGTTTAATTCAACACACATTTATGGAGCACCTTCTGTATGTACCAGGTGCTAGGGCTACAAAGGAGTGTGAGACTGGGTCCCTGCTCTCTAGGAGCTCACACCTCTGCATGAATGATGGACTAGTAAACAATTGAACAAAGCATGACACGTGCAATAATGAATATAAAGCAGAACAGGAGAGCCACACGGCCTGAGTGACATGACCTAGGATGTGTTACTTAACTGCTCTGGGCCTCATGGATAGTGAGATGGGGTAGATCATTTCTAGCCCCTGAAATATTAACATTTACAATTCTCAAAGCCCTGTGAAGTCAGCAGGGCAATTATTATTCCAGCCTTATAGACAGATGTAAAGCTTGAGGTCAGAGAGGTTTCATGTGGCGGCCTGAGCTACACAACTGCTTGTTGGTAGAACCAGACCCAGATTCAGGCAGGCCTTGGGAGCTGTATATAGTGCGTCCACTCCAGGCTGCCGTGGCAGACAGCGGGGAATCTCTGATGGGTGTGGCAAGGGGCTTTCTTGTTGCTCCCAATTTGAATCCCATACTTACAGTTTGGAGCTGGCCACAGACCAAGAGGAAACAGGCAGATACCCCTCCACCTGCTTCTGGTGCAAGCACTCAGCAGAGAGTGGGCATTTCTGAAAACCAGGTCACCTCTCACAGAACAATACAGTGATATCATATGGACAGGATTTTCCCAGTGATCGCAGGACCCTTCAAAACCAACCCCGGTCACTGATGACAACATTCCCGGGCCTGGCTTCCTCTTCCAGCTGTCTCCTCATCACTGGGCTTAGTGTGTGATGTGAAGGACACTCGGGAGATAGAGGCAGCTTTCCCTCAGCACCCCTGGACTTTTGGGCCACCCCACCCTCAACCCATCCAGCATGTGCACACTTAGGGAATGTGAATGAGCTCATTTAACATAAGCAAGGAGCTCACATTGGCTGTGCCTCTGAAATCATGCCACCAAAACCAAAAAGACAAGGCTCTGGACAATAGCCAGCCATCACTACCTCCCACCATAGCAAATAGTTCACAGATGACACTACAGGCAATCTTATTA
The DNA here is from genome assembly GCF_000001405.40 of Homo sapiens. Taxonomy (NCBI): domain Eukaryota; kingdom Metazoa; phylum Chordata; class Mammalia; order Primates; family Hominidae; genus Homo; species Homo sapiens. The sequence continues at coordinate 139,548,979 of NC_000007.14, read as the reverse complement.
TCATATACAGCAATTTCTGAGCATCTGCTATGTGTACTAAAAAGAGACCAAAAACACACAGTCCCTGCCATCTAGGGGCCACTATGGAGAGGCTTATAATCAGATGACAGGAATGGTCAGATGACAGGAATGGTCAGATGACACAAAGAGAAGAGTCACAAGATGACAAGGCCACACAGACACAGGGCCATGTAAGAGGCTCAGTCTTAAGAGGCAGAGACTTTGGGCAAAGGGAGTGGTCACGAGTGCTGTTGCTGCCAGGGAGGCATCCCAGGGAGGCTGGAGCTGGGCCTTAAAGGAAGAGAAGGACAGAAGTCATTCTTCACATCACCCACTCTTCCATGGGTAATTCACTGAATATCGTGTGATGAAGATAAAGTCATCCAGAAAAAGAATTGCCCGTGGGCATGCAGATGTCCTTTCCCAGGGTGGCCCCTTCTCAGCCACTGGCACACCCACCAGTGCCGCTCCATCCTCAGGGCTGGCCAGCACAGCAGGCAGCTCACCTGCCACACATGCAGCTCACCTGACACATGCAGCTCACCTGCCATACATGCAGCTTTCCGAGGTCCCTGTGGGGATGGGTCTGGGTTCAAATCCTGGCTTTGCCACCACCCAACAAATCCTGGCTTTGCCACCTCCCAACTGTATACTATGGGGCAAGTCCCATAGCTGCTGAGCTGGGCTGATCATGCTGACCTGGCAGGGCTATGAGGAAGATGCATACAATACTAGTTAATCCTCTAGGACAGCACCAAATGCTACCACCCAGTAAAGCTTCTTAAAAAGTCTTTCCTAGGGCCGGGAGCAGTGGCTTATGCCTGTAATCCTAGCACTTTGGGAGGCCAAGGCAGGCAGATCACCTGAAGTCAGGAGTTTGAGACCAGCCTGGCCAACATGGCAAAACCCCATCTCTACTAAAAACACAAAAATTACCCAGGCATGGTGGCACGTGCCTGTAATCCCAGCTACTCAGGAGGCTGAGGAAGGAGAATCACTTGAACTCGAGAGGCAGAGGTTGCAGTGAGCTGAGATCGCACCACTGCACTCCAGCCTGGGCAACAAAGCAAGACTCCCTTTCAAAAAAAATAAATAATAGGCCAGGCGCGGTGGCTCATGCCTGTTATCCCAGCACTTTGGGAGGACAAGGCGGGCAGATTAAGAGGTCAAGAGTTCGAGACTAGCCTAACCAACATGGTGAAACCCTGTCTCTACTAAAAATACAAAAAATTAGCTGGGCGTGGTGGTGTACGCCTGTAATCTCAGTTACTTGGGAGGCTGAGGCAGGAGAATTGCTGGAACCTGGGAGGCGGAGGTTGCAGTGAGCCGAGATCACGCCACTGCACTCCAGCCTGGGTGACAGCGAGACTCCGTCTCAGATAATAATAATAATAATAAATAATAAATAAAATTAAATAAAAAAAAAAGTCTCTCCTGGGTATCCTCCATCACAAAGTACCTCTGTGCGTGGCTGTGTGTGTGCTCCGGCTTCTACTAGCCCCCTGCCTACTGGGATTAGGGCTCAAATTTGCCTAGGGAGCACCTTCCCCAGCTCTGAGCTCCAAGGCCAGTCACCCCAAAAAGGAAAAATCTGCCCCAGGGGATAAGGAGCGAGACTTGGGGAGATGCGGTCCTACAGACCCTCCTTGCTGAAGGAGACATGAGCTCTGGGGATCAGAAACAAGTAGCATGTCTGCCCTCAGTGCTGCTGCCTCTAGCTGCTGAGAACACAGCACGGGGTGCCAAGGCCACGCAAACTGAGCCTGTTGTTCAGCCCACAAAGGGGACAGGGGTGGCCTGGCTGGTCTGTAACCCTTGGAAGGATTTCTGACATTTCTGAAGTTAGGTGTACAGGGTTTTGTTTTTATCTTGTACTTCCTTCATTGGTAGAAAAGAGTTTGAAAAAATCTTTCTTTTTTTTTTTTAAGACAGAGTCTCCCTCTGTCGCCCAGGCTGGAGTGCAGTGGTGCGATCTCGGCTCACTGCAACCTCCGTGTCCCAGGTTCAAGCAATTCTCTGCCTCAGCCTCTTGAGTAGCTGGGATTACAGGCGCCCGCCACCATGCCCAGCTAATTTTTGTATTTTTAGTAGAGACGGGGTTTCACCATGTTGGTCAGGCTGGTCTCAAACTCCTGACCTCATGATCCACCTGCCTTGGCCTCCCAAAGTGCTGGGATTACAGGCATGAGCCACTGCACCCGGCCTGAACATGGATGACCCTGGATCAGGGCACATGCTCTGCCAAACTGATTTAGAATTGTTGCATGGTCCCAGGACAAACCTAAAGTTAAAAGAGCTTATTTGCCACTAGGCTTTAAAAGCTTCAGGCAGGAGGCTTTGGATCATTTAATAAAAAATAAAACCCAGGTCAGACGCAGTGGCTCACATCTGTAATCCCAGCACCTTGGGAGGCCGAGGCAGGCAGATCACCTGAGGTCAGGAGTTCAAGACCAGCCTGGCCAACATGGTGAAACCCTGTCTCTACTAAAAATACAAAAATTAGCCAGGCATGGTGGCACTCACCTGTAGTCCCAGCTACTCGGGAGGCTGAGGCAGGAGAATCACTTGAACCCAGGAGGCAGAGGTTGCAGTGAGCCAAGATTGCGCCACTGCACTCCAGCCTGGGCGACAGAGTGAGAGTCTTTCTCAGAAAAATAAATAAATAAATAATAAATAAAATAAAACCCGAACGGCACAGGTTACCCATTCTGTGTCCTCTCACATTGCTTCCCTGAACTCCCAGGGCAGGAGGAAAGCAGGGCTCTGAAGCCCTCGGCCACGTGGTTCTCAGGACTCTGGCAAGGTAGTTTACTCACCTTTGGAAGTGTGCCCTGCCTCGGGCATCTCTGCAAGAATTAAGGGAGCTGCCATATGTAAAGCAAAAAGTACTGAGGCTTTTGAACCTCACTGTCTTTGAGGGGTGGATACTGGTGAGAAACACGGGCTTATATGTAACTGAGAACAGGTGGGAGTGTGGGACTCCCACCGGAGAAGTGGCAGCAGCTGACCACTTCCTCGCCCCTCAGCCCCTCACAGCCACCCCTACAGGCCCACCATCACCAGCTGAATTCCCTTAACTACTTTATTGTATACTCAGGTGCCCCACTGGCTTCCCAGTGACAGCAAAATATAAAACCATAAACCACCTGTATTTTATGAAATATCTGGAAAGCACGCGGAAAATGTAACAAACCCAAGTTGGTGGTTTTGTCTGAAGACTGTAAAACCAGTACTAGGACTGTGCAGAGCACAGCAGGACCCGGTTTCTCTGAGCTATTTTCTGAAAATGGGCCAGGACCCAAATGCACACACTGGGCTCCCAGGCAGGCCACCCACATCTCATCTGCCCGGGGTTATCAGGAGGCTGGAGAGGCCTGGGCTCCACAGCTGGAGCCTCAAGTGTGTGTGGAGGAGAGCATGGAGCCCCCACAGACCCGAGGGCATTGCCTGCCAACCCCATGCCCCGACTGCTTCCTCCCCAGGCAGCTCAAGGGGGATAGGAAGAGGCCATAAGACTTTCACAAACTCTTTTCCAGCCCAATGTGAACACCACCTAATTTTCATGTTCACTTCATTCCATCCTGCCCCGATGCAGAATAAACCATCCCTTGACTATGTTCCAGAATGTTCTAGCACTTTCTGAACTGTTTCCTCTGCTCCTTGCGTGCTTCTTGGGGGATTAAGGCCAGAGATCCCCCATGCCTGGTGTGGTGTCTGGCTTGCGGTAGGTGTGAATAAACGTTTGTCATCTTGAGGTGACTAGCAATGAAGGAGCTGGAACAGCCACGTAAGAATACCTTAAAGGCTTAGCAACATGAAACGATGTCCTGAGGCCAGAAGGTGCTTTTTTTTCATCCTCACACACCGCTATCTGCTGCACTAGAGCAGGTGCATTTTGTGGTAGCCCCCACAGACTGGCACCCAGAGATGTGCCCCTCTCTGCCCCTCCCCGAGCTCTGACTCTGGAACAAATGGCGGCAGACTTCTCTGGACATGAGATATTAACTCTTTATTCCGTTAGTGACCAATACAACAGCACCACGGACACAGCAGGGGCCCTGCCTGAGAACCCAGGCAAGGCAAAGAAGGGGGATGCAGGGGACCTCTGGGGCCCGGGGCGGGGCTGGCCCGGCCTAGGTGAGGGGGAAGCTTTCCCAGCCTACCTCCGCCGGCAGCCAGGAGAGAAACCAGTGGGGAAGCGGGGCTGCTGGGTGAACAGTCAAACCACCTGTCAATGCCCCTCCTTCCCCAGAGCACCAGGGCTGCAGTGAGGAGAGGGCTTCTAGGGGGCCGGAGAGAGATCTGTGGGGTGGCTCAGGATGGACACTGAGCTTCAGAAGGGACAGCGTCTGTGCGTGCGTGTACCTATGCATGTGTGTGTGTGTAGGTGGGCAGATGCCTACACTACCTAGCATATGGGATTTAACTGCTGAGCCACACGACCTGCCTGCAGACAAAGGAGGCCAGGAACCAGGGACTCAGAGCGCCAGGGCCTGGGAGAGGGGCCTGGGGCGGAGGCCACGCACCCACCGCTTCGCCTTGCAGAGGGCAGGCGGCTCCGCTGGAAGCAGGTCTTGAGCAGACACCAGACACCTCCCACAGGCCTAGGGGCGGGGCCACCTCTGGCCCCACCCACCTCAAGTATAGGCCATCTTGCTGCACACCCAGGGCCGGGTCATCAGACACTCCGTCGACACCAGCCTGGTGGGCTCCACGAAGACACACTCCCCTGGACCTGCGATGGTGAACCTGTGGCCAGGAGAGAAGACCAGGCGTTTATGATCTGGAACATTCAGCCCAAAACCCAGTGGCAGGGGAGGCCATGGAGGCCCTGTGACCTATCCCTCCCTCACTTCATCACTGGAGCTGCCTTCTAGGACATTTGGGCCAACAGACTGTTCTAGCTTGGCATCCCATTGTCTCCCTACTCTGTGCACCGTAGCTCCAGCCACCCTGGCACGCTGCTGAGACATTTCCTGGACACACATGCACTTCCCCATTCTCAATGTCCTTGCAGGGTCGGCTCACATGTCCCAGGCTCCATGGCACCCAGTTCAGGGCCACTCTCTGCCCACTCTACTTCCCCACAGTCCCCTGCCTGCTCTGTGGGGCACTCCCATAGCCCCCTGGGGCCTCTACCTGTCTGTCCACACAGGTCCCCAAAGCAGCCATCTCCTGAGCAGTGAGCTCTGTGCGCTCTCATCTTGGCTCCCTGCAGTGCGCAGAGTTGAGCACACAGGAGGAGCTCTGCAGAGCTGGCTGAAGTCAGCTACCCCTCACAGGTTAGGGGTAGGCTGCAATGACCCCAATATGGGCTAACTGAGGCTGGGTTGCACAGGAACTCATTGACATCACACACAGATGGGTGTGGTGGGAGGATTCCCCCCTACCTCAAATCACCCCTTTCCAGCCTCAGAGGTTTCTTCTTAGCCTTAGTTGTTCACCCGGACCTCCGATCCCTGCCAAGGCTGGAGGTAGACCCTCACAACAGAGGGCATTGGAAGGACCCCAAGAAGGAGTGCAAGGGAAAGGACCTCTGCAGTGTCTGAGAAATGTGGCCAACGGCCCCTTGGTTGTCAGGTGGTCAGCACGCCACGGACCCCAGCCTGCAGGGCTCTGAGAGCAAGAAGCTTCCAGAAAAGCAGGGAGAGGGGTGCAAAGCGCAAGACCTCCTCAGCCACTCTGAGAGAGCAGACCTGAGAGGGGGACAGGAAAGGGGGTGAGATAAGGAAGGGGCACTGAGGCCAGAGTAAGGGCAAAAATGAAGAGTGCTTGAGATAAGGAAAAGGAGGAGGAGGGGAAGCATCATGAATGCCCCTGCCTCCAGGGCTGCCATGGGCGTGACTGCCTAAGCCATCCTCAGGTGGGAGGGCAGCTGATGGCCACCTCTGGCAACCAGGAGGATCCCAGGGTCTCAGATGCCCTTCTGCTTTAGCCCCTGCCTTGGGGACGTTCACGCATCATCATCATCATCGGGTTAGGAGCTGTGTTCCCCACCCCACCCCATGCCCTCCGGCTGGCACCTCAGAGCCTATTCCTCCAGCCACAGGGTCTGTTCTGCGGGTCCCACTTCCCTCTGCACACTTCCCTGCATTTCTCTCGGCCTAGACCACTCCTTTCCCCACGCCCCACACAGTCACCACTGTACTGCCACAGCCACACATCTGCCACCCACTCCGCCCATGACCATCACCCCCACACCACACACCAGACCTGGCATCACACACTCACATCCACTCCACTTGAGTCTTACAAAACCGCCACGGCACACGCCACCACCTCAGCAGCGCTCCGTCCATCAAGAGATGCGTTCGCCAGTAAAATGTGACCTAGAACACTCCCAGGTGCCTGCCTTCAGATCCCCTTTCTTCCACAGCTACAGTGCTTAGGTGGCACGAGGCTGCCCGGGACAGAGGCGCATCTCCCATCCTCCCTTGCGGCCAGGTGCGGCCATGTGACTAAGTTCTGGCCAATGGGGTGAGGCCATCCAGGGCCCTCCCTCCCATTCTCTGTCCCGTTCTGGCTGAATGGGATGTGGTTGCGCCACACTGAGTGGAGCCGACAAGCGCCAGGCTGCACAGATCAGGGACTCAAGGGTGGAGAGACCCTGGGCCGGACACCGCGAAGCTCTGATGGCTTTGCAGGGCAGAGCCACCAAGCCAGGCTGGACTTTTATGAGAGAGGGAGAAGTACAGACATTTTCATGGCTGGGTCTCTGGCGCACACTGCTGGACCCCGAGACTAGTATCTCTAGCTAGCACAAAACAAGGGCTTCTCTCTTCGGGAGTTGTGTCCAGGGGGTGAGTCAGGCCTTTCTCAGTCTAAGCTCGGTAGCCAGAAGATGAAGCCTCAGCTCACGTGTCCGGATCAAACGGGTCCCCGTTGACCCAGTGGAATTCGTCCCCAACTCTGCGTAGTCCAATCCAGGGCTCCCTCCGCGTGAACTTGAACATAAATTCCTGCACCGAGGAAAAAGGGACACCTCAGGGTCAGATGCGGTCTCCTGACTGCTGTCACATCCCAAGACAAACCTCAGCTTGGAAGATACTGGCTCTCGGGATGTACAGACGCCAGGAGAGTGACTGTTGTCTCGCTGAATCCCGCAAGTAAGGAGCTAGGTTACAGGATCCTCTGCAGTCACGCTGCCAGAATTCGGCTCCAAGCTGCTGGCTGACCTCACAGCAGTTGCCTCCGACAGCTTGAAAGGGACCCTGGCTGTGTGTGCATGCCACTGGCCAGGAAGGCTGTACAGGGCTTGTCCTCCTGGCTCAGCAGGACAGCATTCCTGATTTGCAGGAAGCTTGGGGATTGCCCACTGGTTGGATGATCTGGGACAAATCTCAATGCTCAGGTTGGTTGTCCTACCTGCAAATTTCTGGGACTTTCCCTGCAGACTGGGGATATCATACTGTGTATCAAAGGCAAACAGAAGTGATTTTTAGATTATCTTCTATTTTGGTTAATACCACTGTTAACCTCAAAATCCAAAATGGCCAATAGACTCCATTAATTGTGTTTCTTTCACGTTTCTGTTGCTAAGACTGTTTTGGATGTTAAATGAGAGACCGTGTCCTGATTTGGATCTTTAGAAAATGACAATGTGTTTTCACATTTCACAATGCATTTATAATTTGTAATTCTTTTTTTTTTTCCTTAAGAGACAAGTCTTGTGGCTGGGCACGGTAGCTCACACCTGTAATACCAGCACTTTGGGAGGCCTAGGCGGGTGGATCACTTGAAGCCAGGAGTTCGAGACCAGCCTGGCCAACATGGTGAAACCCTGTCTCTACTAAAAATACAAAAAGTAGCCAGGCATGGTGGTGCACAGCTGCAGTCCCAGCGACTCAGGAGGATGAGGTACGAGAATCATTTGAACCCAGGAGGCAGAGGCTGCAGTGAGCCGAGATTGCACCATTGTACTCCAGCCAGGGCGACAGAGTGAGACTGTCTCAAAAAAAAAGAGAGACAAAGTCTTGCTATGTTACCCAGGCTGGCCTCGAACTCCTGTGATCCTCCTGCCTCAGCCCCCTAAGTAGCTGGGACTACAGGCACACTCCACCATGCCCAGCTAATTTTCTTTTTACTTTTTGTAGAGCTAGGGTCTCACTATGTTGCCCAGACTAGCCCCCAACTCCTGGGCTCAAGTGATCCTCCTGCCTCAGCCTCCTGAGTAGCTGGTACTAGAGGTGGATACCACATCACCAGCTTTATAATGTGTAATTCTTCTGGTTTATAATACTAAGTGACCTCAACCAGTGGGCCTTGGATTGAAATAGGTGGCCTTGACAATGGAAGTGGAAACTGGAGCCACTCATTGACCTGCTCAGACTGTGAGGTCTGCCTGCACCCCAAGTGGTTATGCAGCAGGTGGGCGGCTTTGGAGACGTGTCACAGGGAACACTGCATCCTTTACTGTGTGGCTGTCCCCTAGAGTCAAGGTTGGGGGCCCTGAGGGTCCCTTCCCCCAACCCCCTTCACCTTGGCACACTCACCAGCTCCTTCTGGCTCTGAATCACAGCCAGCACCGCCTCGTGGGTGTGGCAGTACTGCCTGCCTGTGTTCCAGTCTCTGGGTTCCTCGGAAAAGAAGTAGCACTTCCTTCCGTAGAGCAGCCAGTCCTCCGGGCAGGGCGCTTCGCACTTGATGCAGCCCTTGGAAGCTGCAGGGAAGAGACCAGCTCGGCCCTGCCCGCCCCCCCAGCCCGAGTCCCACTCTGCTTTCTGTGGCTCCCTCCCCTGCCTCAGCTTTGGCGTCCTGCAGGGACACTGCAGATGTGGCTGTCCTCTCCTGGTGCCTGGAGGTAAAAGGGTGGCCACTAAATGAATGAGAAAGGGGACTGTGGGAAGCCTGGCAGGGGCATCATCACGACGGGAAGTGACAGCAGGGCAGCCCCTGGGTTAGGATCTCCTCTGTCTCCAAACTCCCAGAGGCATGGAACGCCAGAAACTCAGACTGGGAAGAGGTCTGGCGGCTATGTGTCCTCTCCTTCCAGCTAGGCCAGGTACCAACAGCAGGACAGACTGCCCGCTGTCATTAACCATGCCCATGTTAGCTACCAAGGCTGCCATTCCACCACTGAACTGCTGGGAAGTTCTTTTCATTTTTATTTTTTTAACCCCCTTGCTGTCAGTGTGCATGGAAAGTTCTTAAATGTTGAGTCCCAACCTGTCCCCCTGTGACCTAGACCTGCTGGTCTAAGGCCTCTGGAGTGACCCAGAGACACCCGCTCTGTCTTCTACCCCCTACTCAAAGAAGCACACCAGCCTCCCTCATCCAGGTTGAAACAGATGCCATCTCTCCCATGATTCCTGACAAGGGTTGCTCTCCATCCTGCCTGCTCGCTGCAATGTCCCCATGTTACCACTGAATCGCTGCCACCAGGACAGACCGGGACACATCAGATGTGGCTCTACCAGCAGCAACAGTGACCACCATGCTGTCTTCCAGTCGTCATGGGATCTCCAGTCTGCAGACTGCTTCCACGAACAGATCGGCGGGTATGTGCATACATGGACTTTTCTGGGAAGGAAGCCCGGAGCTTCTCAAAGGGCCTCCTTGCCAAAAGGAATTAATCCACAATCTTAGATTGTTTTCATATGATCTGATTCTAAGCCAGGTCTCCCCCAGTGTCAGAACATGTGAAAATAACTTCTTAAATCCAAATGCAGAACCTTATATTTATTTCTTCCACATTTATGTCATTCACTTTGGCTCATCATTTGAGTTATTCAAGATACATTTTAATCTTGATTTCTTTCACCCATCTGTCATATGGGATTGTGTTTTTGGATTTTGTCAGCTGCAAATTCCATAAGCATACTTTTTGTTTGTTTTCATACAAGTGATTGATTAAAATGTAGACCAGGACAGAGCCAAGAACAGGCCTCTGGTACTCAAGCCCCTGGGGATCTCCAGCCACACAGACACCAATTCATTCATCGACACCCCCTGGCATATATATCTGTTCAATGAGATGCAAGTCCACCTGGGAGTACTGACCATGGTGTGGCTACATTTCAACTGCTTTTCCATAAGGATCTCCTAAGAGACTGTTGTGCTTTATTAAAATCATACTAGCTATGTCTACACATTCTCTGGCCTCCCAACCTAGTAAGAGGGGAAAAGGAAACTGATTTAATTTGTAGGAGTTACTCCAGCTGAATTTAAGCTAGGCCCAGTGGTTGCCTTTTTTGTTTGTTTGTTTGTTTGTTTTGTTTTGTTTTGTTTTTTTGAGATGGAGTCTCGCTCTGTCACCCAGCCTGGAGTGCAGTGGCGCGATCTCGGCTCACTGCAACCTCTGCCTCCCGGATTCAAGCAATTCTCCCGCCTCAGCCTCCTGAGTAGCTGGGATTACAGGCATGTGCCACCATGCCCAGCTAATTTTTTTGTATTTTTAGTAGAGACAGGGTTTCACCATATTGGCCAGGCTGGTCTCGAACTCCTGACCTTGTGATCCACCCACCTGGACCTCCCAAAGTGCTGGGATTACAGGCGTGAGCCACCACGCCCGGACCTTTTTTTGTTTTTTGTTTTTTGTTTTTTTTTTTTTGAGACAGAGTCTCTTCTGTCACTCAGGCTGGAGTGCGTGGCACAATCTCAGCTCATTGCAACCTCTGCTTCCCAGGTTCAAGTGGTTCTTCTTCCTCAGCCTCCCGAGTAGCTGGGACTACAGGTACACACCACCATGCCCAGCTAATTTTTGTATTTTTAGTAGAGACAGGGTTTCACCATGTTGGCCAGGCTGGTCTTGAACTCCTGACCTCAAGTGATCCACCCACCTTGGCCTCCCGAAGTGCTGGGATTACAGGCTTGAGCCACTGCACCCGGCTGCCATATCCATTTCTAAACACTCAGAACCCCTCTCCTTGTCATACAAGCCCTATAGGGGAGGGTTTGGTAAGAACTGATAATATTGGTGGACTTTTCCGCCATTTTGTGGATTCCACCTCTGGTCTTATGGCATTTCTCAAAGATTAAAGACAGAGGCACTAAAATCATTTTTGCAAACCCTTCAGAACCTACAATACACTTGTATTTGAATCTCTTAAAAGTAATCAGATTCCCTGTTCATATAGCCTCACATGTTCTTAGTTGCAGTTTCTACCTTTTTCATTTATCCAACCCTTTCAGTTCCACACACACTCTATGTTTCTCAGGCCTCTTCCACTTAGCATGTTCTATTTCCTTGATGGGGTCCAGAATATGCCACCCTAAAATATGCCACTTTGACATATGGATCATTTTAAGCCGAAGGCAATTCAGAATCAACAGGAAGGGTTCTCTGCCCTCTCATCTCCCTAAAAGTAGGGCATAAATTTCCCTTTGGGGAGGGTGCTGCCCTACTCCCCATCCCTCACCCCATCCCCTCTCATACCCCCACTGCCCACCCTAAACCAGGGAGGGAAGAGTGACTCATCATCAAACATGCCAAGGAATCAACACCAGGATTAGTTTGCACAAGCAAACCTTACCAAAATAGCCTTTATCTCCCATTGTTCCTCTATATGTTTCCTAGTCACTTCCCTCAATTCACCAGCCCTTGAAACCCAAACCCTCTTTCATTTGTTAAAAAGGTATATAAGCCCCTGAGTCTAAATTCTTCTTTGAGTTTCACTTATTATCTGTGAACTCCCATGAACATAAATATTAATAAACATTGGTTACCTTTTCTCCTGCTAATTTGTCTTTGATAGTTCAATTTACAGGCCCCCAGACACTGAACTTAAGAGGGCACAGGAAAAGTTTTTCCTCCCTAGCACTCTCTACCTCCTAATCTCTGGATAACTCCTATTCATTCTCCAGGGTTCAGTGCACATGTTTTTTCCTTCTGGGAAGCCACTGGGCAGTAATACCTCTATTATTGCACTTACCCCTGGACAGAGGAGACAGTGTCATATTCGTCTTTTTTTTTTTAACCTTAGCACTTAGCCCAGAGCTTAACACACAGCAGCACTCAATAAATGCTGACTGAATGTGATCTTTTTTTTTTTTTTTTTTTTTTTTGAGATGGAGTCTTTCTCTGTCGCCCAGGGTGGAGTGCGGTGGTGTGCGATCTCAACTCACTGCAACCTCTGCCTCCCAGGTTCCAGCGATTCTCCTGCCTCAGCCTCCCAACTAGCTGGGATTACTGGCACCCACCACCACACCTGGCTAATTTTTGCACTTTTAGTAGAGACCGGGTTTCACCATGTTGGCCAGGCTGGTCTCAAACTCCTGACCTCAGGTGATCCACCCACCTCAGCCTCCCAAAGTGCTGGGATTACAGGCGTGAGCCACTGCGCCCGGCCGAATATGATCCTTAAAGGCCCTTATTCCCAAACCATCTCCTCCAAGAAGCACTGTCTTCCTAACCTACCCCAAGTTTGTTCTGAGTTCTCACAACACTTACAAAATAATACCTAAGTAACATCTCTACTCTACTTGCATGGCTTGATGAAGGGGACATGTATAGTCTGTGTGTGAATATATTATTTTAAGCTGAACTCTCAACAACTGACACTATGTATTTTCTACTTATTTAGTCCCCCACAGGATTCTTGGAATGTCTAGAATCTTTCTTTAACTAATTAGACGTGCTTTTAACAAGGAATGTGCAAACTGAATGCATAAATGCTCTGACACGCATGCTCACCCAAGATGCTCATCACCACCAAGATGGCGAACAGAAGGACCGCGATGGCACCCAGCAGGAGGCGTGTGGTGGTGTCTAGGAGAAGAGAGAGGGGTTCAACATCCCACCGCCCATCCCACCGCCAGTCCCACTGCCAGCCCCATACCCTGCTAATGAGAAACAGGGGGAGGTAGAGCCCAGCAAGCTGTGTTTTGTTGTTGTTGTTGTTTTGAGATGGGGTTTCACCATGTTGGCCAGGCTGGTCTCGAACTCCTGACCTCAAATGATCCACCCGCCTTGGCCTCCCAAAGTGCTGGGATTACAGGCATGAGCTACCATACCTGGCCAACAAGCTGTGTTTAAAGCCCTCCAGGTGATTCTGATGCAGGCTGGAGTTTGCGATCCACTGCTGTAGAGCGCAGCTCTGATTCTGTGACTCCCTGGCTTGAAACCCTCCCTGCCGGGGGGCTACCCACTGCTCATGAAATCTTCAGTGATGGTCAGAGCTTTCCATCTTGAATCTCCTGCTGCTTCTCTATGCGGTCGCAGGTTTCAGCCGCATGGGTTCCTCAAAATAACCCGTTCAGCCCTCACAGCCCTGCTACTGAATCTTTGCTCCCGAAATCTCCTCCTCCACCTCCTCCACAGATACTTCCTAAAATTCACCCACCTCTACACCATCCATCCTCTTCCTGATCCTCTGGGTTCTCTCTTTGTTATTTTCATGTATTTATTTTATTTTGTTATCATTTAATATTCTCATTTTATATTTAACGAGATAACCCTTTTAGACGTTAAACATAGGGTATTTTAAGGATTTTAAAAATTGTGATGAAAATATATAACATAAAATTTGCAATTTTAACCATTTTTTAGTGTACGGTTAGTGGCATTAAGTACACTCACAATGTTGTGCAACCATCATCACTGTCTGTTTGCAAACTTTTTCATCATCCCAGACAGAAGTTCTGTTCCCTTAAACAACTCCCATCCCCTCCTCTCCCCAGCCCCGGGCAACCACCCTTCTACTTTCTGTCTCTATGAATTGGACCACTCTAGGAATCTCATATAAGAGGAAACATCTTTTTCCTTTTGTGTCTGGTTCCTTTCACAGATTGTTTACAAGGCTCATCCATGTTGTCACACATGTCAGAACTTCATTCCATCTTAAGGCTGAATAATGTTCCATCGTATAGCAAGACCACGTTGTGTTTATCCATTCATCTGTTGGTAGACATTTGGGCTGTTTCCACCTTTTGGCTATTGTGAATAACGCAGCTATGAACATGGTGTATGAGTATCTGTTCAAGTCCTTGCTTTCAATTCTTTTGGGTATATGCTTAGGAGTGGAGTTGCTGGATCACATGGTAGGTTTTTTTGTTGTTGTTCTTTTGTTTTTTTTTTTTTTACTAAAGAACACTTATTTATTTTTACCAAAATTTTATCTTGAGGACATGGCTAAACTGCGTTTCCATCCCCCACCCCATCTTGAAGAAGGGTTACTACAGTGAACGTTATAAAGCAGATATAAACAGTGGAAGGACTGGAACCAACATTAATTGAGGAAGAACAACTTCCATCTAAATCATCATAAAAATGTTTAAGTAAAAAAAAAGGAAGAAAAGAAAAAAAGAGGGGGCAACGGGGGTTTCCAAATGGAAAAAGAACTTCACATTTCATCTAATACAGCCAATCTTGGCTAGAGTATAACAAAGTGGAAACAGGATTACTATGATACAAAACTTCCGCTACAGCACACCGTACTCACCTGTGTTCCAAGCCCACCCCCAACCCCCCTAATGCTTCCAATACAATTATTTATCAGCCTGTTGAGCCTGCCGATGAAGAAGCATGTAGATCTTCTCTTTAATCCAGTCTTTTTTTATAAGGCTGGTATGTCTGGGTATCAGCTCGGTAAACCAGGCAGCTGAGGTCTGCCAGATCATTGATGAAATCAAACAACTGACTGATGTCATATTTGATAGAGGGACTGTTGGGATTCATTCTTTTCACATGTCTTCATACATTTTACAAACGCCTTCCATGCATTCATTCACAGATTCGTAGTCAGCATAAGTTCTGCCTTCTGGCCTCTTGGTAGTCTGTATCAGCAAAATGGTGTGAGACATCGCGCCAAACTCTTTGCTACAGCCGCTGCCGACACCACCGCTGCTACCGGTAGTTCTTTCTGAGGAAAGACTAACTCCATCATTGGTTGCATAATTTTACATTCTCACCAGCAACAGACAAGGGTTCCAGTTTCTCCACATCCTCTCACCAATACTTGTTGGTTTGCATTGTTTTGATTACAGCCCTCCTAGCAGGTGTGAATTCCCTTTACAATTTTGTTTGGATTTTTTTTTACCATCTTAACCATTGAGTGCACAGTTAAGTACAGTTACATTGTTGTGCCCCCACTTTGAAAGTGTTTTTTTAGTCAATGTTATACATAAATCATAGATGAAAACAGTGCCTCTGCAGCTCAATGTTTGTCTGTAAACTGTTACTTGTCCATCATGATATAAGTGCCAAAATTGAGAGGAAGAATCTGTAGCAATTACCCGACATCCAAGTGCCTGCTGCTAGTTATTCATTTGTATTGTATTTTACAAAGGATTTTAAAAAGAAACCTGTTTCCTTCACCAAAGATAGTCTGAAAAGCACAGATTTAAGGAATCAAGAAATTCTAAAAGGCTTCATTTAAAAAATAATAGTGCAGAGCGCAGTGGCTCACACCTGTAATCCCAACACTTTGGGAGGCTGAGGCAGGCAGATCACTTGAAGTCAGGAGTTCGAGACCAGCCTGGCCAACCTGGTGAAACCTTGTCTCTACAGAAATTACAGAAATTAACCGGGTGTGGTGGTGTGTGCCTGTAATCCCAGCTACTCGATAGGCTGAGGCAGAAGTATCGATTGAACTCAGGAGGCGGAGGTTGCAGTGAGCCAAGATCGCATCAGTGCACTCCAGTCTGAGCGACAAAGCGAGACTCTGTCTCCAAAAACTAATAATAGTAGTAATAACATTGCTCCTTCCCCAAAGCCAACCACTGTCAACTCTTTTAGCTGACTCTTTTGGTATTAGCTCCAAATTTCTAAGTGCCATGTGTATGTAAATACTTCTAGATTTTTTTCTGTTTTAGATATAATTTATTCATTTTCCATTATAATGATGCAGACTTAATTCTCTGCATTACCATTCTACCCTGACCACTCAGTCCCTGCCTTCTCAATATCATAGTTTGTATTAGCTTGATACTTTGGTGTTATATACTTAGCTCAGCATAAACAGTACTCTCAGCAAAGCCATGCCGTGTGCTATGATCATTTCCATAGAACTTCTTGTTTCCCTGTTAATCCTGGTCTTCTTTTCCCTTTGCTCAGTTTCTGTATGGGTATCATTATTTCAACACCAAAACGCCTCTTTCATGATGAGACAATATCGGAATTTCTCTTTCACTTTGGTCTTAGTTCAGTCTGCTATAACAAACTGTCATAGACTGGGTGGCTTAAACAACAGACATTTATTTCTCCTAATAGTTCTAGAGGCTGGATCAGGGTGCCAGCATGGTCAGGTTCTGGTAGGGGCCCACTTCCTGGCTTGCTGACAGCCGCTTTCTTACTGAGTCCTCACATAGCGGAGAGAGGAAGTTCTGGTGTCTGTTCCTTTTCTTATAAGGGTCCTAATTCCATCACAGGAGCTCTACCCTCATGACCTCATCTAAATCTAATTACCGCTCAATTACCCACCTCAATATCATCACATTGGAGGTTAGTGATTCAACCTATAAATTTGGGGAGGAAACCAACGTGCAGGCCATAACACCCATCTTGAAGAAATGTCCCTTGGAACTTTCTGACCTGCTTGAATCTGACTAGTTGCCTTCTAAGCCCAGCTGCCATCCAGGGTCTCCCCACACCGGCAGCCTGAGGATTTCTCTGCCTCTCTCCTATGTTGGCTCCTCTGTTCCTTTTCTCCCATGTCTTCCCCTCCCTTGGTTTACTCCCTCATCTTGGTGAAGCACATCATCCAATGGCTGCCTGAGGAAGGGTAGAGCAAAACCACTGCACTGCACAAATCCAAGGATCAACGCTTCTCATTGTGTTCCATGGTGAACTGGTGAATGTTGCCCATGGAATTGTGAACTCAGAGGACTGAGTATTATAGATCAAGAATAATTCTCCTTCAGAATTTTGAAGGTATTACTTAATTGTCTTCTAGCTCCAGTGTTGCTTTTGAAAAGTCTAGGTCCATTCTCACCCATGATCCTTTTCAACTGCTTAATTATTTTCTTTCTAGATGCTTTTAGGGTCTTCATTGCACAATGTTCTAAAATTTCATCATTGCATGCCATGCCTTGGTTTGGTCTATTTCATCTACTCTAGTAGGCCCTTTCAATGTGGAAAGTGATGTTTTTCAGTTCCAGGAAATTTTTTTTCTTTTTCTTTTTCTTTTTTTTTTTGAGACAGAGTCTTGCTCTGTTGCCCAGGGTGGAGTGCCATGGCATGATCTCAGCTCACTGCAACCTCCACCTCCTGGGTTCAAGCAATTTTCCTGCCTCAGCCTCCCAAGTAGCTGAGATTACAGGTGCCTGCCATCACACCTGGCTAATTTTTTGTATTTTTAGTAGAGATGGGGTTTCACCATGTTGGCCAGGATGGTCTTGAACTCCTGACCTCAGGTGATCCACCCGCCTCAGCCTCCCAAAGTGCTGGGATTACAGGCATGAGCCACCATGCCCAGCCAGGAAATTTTCTTTAATTATATTATTGATGTTTTCTTCTCTTCCATGTTTTGTTTTCTTTCTGGAAGTCATAGTCTTCAAATGTTGGATCTCTTAGATTGGTCCTCCAAATTTCTCATCTTATTTTCCCCTCTTGTTTGCTATATCTTTGCCTTTTTGCTCTATTTCGTGGAACATTTTCTCAATTTTATCATCCTACCCTTCTACTGAGTTCTTAATTTCTGTGACTATATTTTTAATTTCCAAGGTTTGTTTGGTTTTGTTGCTGCTGCTCTATGAATACCCCCTCTTAAAGAATCCTATTCTTGTTTTAATGATGCAATACTTTCTCTTAACTCTTCTCTCTGAAGATATGACTGACAGGTTTTTTGGAGGGGTGGGGGAAATGAGCAGAAAGATTATTTCTCCCTGTATAACCTCTGTTTTGGTCTTGAGCTTCCATGTTAGAGACTTTCCTCAGGGGTCTGGGGACCACAGTTATCTGTTCATGATTAAGGCAGGAAGACTAATGAGTTCACTGGAGCCTCCAAGCCCATAGATAGGGGCTTATTAACTGTGGGGGACACAGTAGAGTGATCTGGCTGGGCTGATTCTTGGGATTCTCTGAATGCTAATTTCATTATGTTTTTCCTCTTGGATGGATGAGAGTCCATGGAGGAGGCTTTTCTGTTTTCTCCCCAGGAGAATACAGGGCTAGCTGAGGGAAGAGGCTGGGATGCTGTCCTCAGCATTCAGTATGTAAATGTTGGCTTAGTTGCTTGCTCTCAGTGTGGTGATGTCTAGAGGCCCTATTTTTTTTTTTTTTTTTTTTTTTGAGACAAGAGTCTCACTCTGTCACCCAGGCTGGAGTACAGTGGTGCGATCTCAGCTCACTGCAACCTCTGCTTCCTGGGTTCAAGCAATTCTCCCACCTCAGCCTCCTGAGTAGCTGGGATTATAGGCACCCGCCACCACACCCGGCTAATTTTTGTAATTTTAGTAGACATGAGGTTTCACCATGTTGGTCGGGCTGGTCTCAAACTCCTGACCTCAGGTGATCCGCCAGCCTCGGCCTCTCAAAGTGCTGGGATTATAGGCGTGAGCCACCATGCCCAGCTGAAGCCCTCTTTCTTGAGAGATTTCACCTCAGGTTCCTGCCAGAGCTGGAGAGAATCTGTACAGAATGGGAATCTAAATCCTCCTTAAAGAAATTTTCAACCAGTCCTCCTGTTCTCAGCCCCATCTTCAAGCACTGCCACCAACCCCTGAGCCTTAGAGGTCCTCCCATGAGGCTCAGGTAACTCCTCTGCTCTCTGGACTTTCTCAGATGGGGTGAAGTCAGTTACCGTTTATCCACTTGTTCCTTAGCTCTCTATTTTGTTGCTATTTTCTCTCTTGTTCTTGTCCTTATGGCCTTTTAAAAATCCCCTTGCTGTTTGGTTTGGTTTGGTTTGGTTTTTTTTTTGACACAGAGTCTCGCTCTGTCACACAAGCTGGAGTACAGTGGTGCAATCCTGGCTCACTGCAACCTCCGCCTCCCAGGTTCAAGCAATTCTCCTGCCTCAGCCTCCTGAGTAGCTGGGATTAGAGGCACGTGCCACCATGCCTGGCTAATTTTGTTTTTTTTTTTTTTGCTCACTGCAACATCCACCTCCCAGGCTCAAGTGATTCTCCTGCCTCAGCCTCCCAAGTAGCTGGGACTATAGGCGCACATCACCACGCCTGGCTAACCTATTGCATTTTTAGTAGAGTTGGGGTTTCTCCACGTTGGCCAGATTGGTCTCAAACTCCTGACCTCAGGTGATCCACCCACCTCGGCCTCCCAAAGTGCTGGGATTATAGGCATGAGCCACTGCTCCTGGCCCCTTTACTGTTGTATTAGTGGGCTTCTGAAGGAAAAAAGAAAAAATGCATGTGTTCAGTTCGCCATCTTGACCTGCAAGTCCAACAAACATTTCCAGTCTTTCCTATTGGCAAGGTCTATGTTGGCAAGTTACCAGGAGTCCTGGGTGGGTAGCTTCAGACATGGTAAGAGCAGAGGTTTCAGCCTGCACTGGAGGACTGGGCTCTCTCTGTTCATGCTCTGCTGTCCTTGGTGGCAGCTTCATCACAGTTTCCTGGAGCTACACGATGGCTGCCTATGGTGAGCATGCTGAGTGCATCCTTCTTCTCCCTTCTATTAGCCTCTTCTCTATCATTGATGCTGTAATCCTTTGTGCACTGAAGATAAGGGCATAACATCTGACATCACTTTGCCTGGGTTCAAATCTTAGCTCTGCCATTTTCTAGATGTGTATGGATGGTAAAGTTTCTTAGCCTCTATTGTAGTTCATTTTCCTCATCTTGAAAATGAGGTAATGATAATATCTACCTGTCTCTTAGAGAGTTATAGGAATTCAGTGTACAGTGCTTAGCACAGTGCCTGGCATGGTAAACTCTATTCAATCAACTCGCGGTGATTATGCAGGCCATCAGTGTGATGATGACCATCAGCCCTAGGCTCCTTTGGGGTAAGGACTGTGCTTTGGGGTAAGGACTGTGCTTTACTCACCTTCAGATTGCCTGAAAGAGGGCTGGGTCATTGCCCTGCATGTTACAGAGCACCCACTGGAACTCAAAAACTATGGGAGAAATTTAGTTACACCAAATGACAACATCCTTGGTCAACTTTAAATTCAACTGAGTTTGTAGGAAAGACCACACAGGGAAGAGGGATCGGTACATGTATCTGCAGCACTGCCAGACCCAAGGTGCCTCTTCATTATGTCTCAGGGATAATTTCTCTAGGTGCTGCAC
This sequence comes from Homo sapiens, assembly GCF_000001405.40. NCBI lineage: Eukaryota > Metazoa > Chordata > Mammalia > Primates > Hominidae > Homo > Homo sapiens. The sequence continues at coordinate 139,528,852 of NC_000007.14, read as the reverse complement.
TGGACCATGCTTCCTCTGACCTCTGCAGGGGCTCCTTCCTTGCCTCTTCCTAGTGTCCAGTGGTTGCTGACGGACTTTGGCACTCCTTGGCTTGCAACCACATCAGTCCAATCTCTGCCTTTATCATCACATGGTATTCTCTTTGTGTGTCTTATGTCGTTCAACTATGTCCCCACCCAGATCTCATCTTGAATTATAGTTCCCATAATTCCCATGTGTCATGGGAGGGACTGGGTGGGAGGTAATTGAATCATGGGGGCAGGTTTTTCCCAAATCATGCTGTTCTTGTGATAGTGAGTAAGTCTCACAAGATCTGATGGTTTTATAAAGGGCAGTTCCTCTGCACACACTCTCTTGCCTGCCACCATGTAAGACGTGTCTTTGCTCCTCCTTCACCTTCCTTCATGATTGTGAAGCCTCCCCAGCCATGTGGAACTGTAAGTCCATTAAACCTCTTTCCTTTATAAATTACCCAGTCTTGGGTATGTCTTTATTAGCAGTGTGAGAACGGACTAATACAGTGCCTTTGTCTTCATGTGACCATCTTCTTATAAGGATGCCAGTTCATATGGGATTAGGGCCCACTCTACTCCAGTCTGACCTCATCTTAACTACAAATAATCTGCCAGACTGTATTTCCATATGCAGTCACATTCAGAGGTACCAGAGGTTAAGACTCCAATATCTCTTTTTTGGTAGGGACACAATTCAACTTCTAACAAATGTCTAACTCATTACTTGTTCCCTACTATGCCATGGCCCATATTAGATGGCGTATAAGGGTGTAGTTTATTTAGGTTTCTAAATGTGTGTGATTTCACCTAATTTTAGAAGGAACAACTGAAAAAACCTGACTCCCAGGCCCAGACAAAGCTCCCATCATCCTCACACTCATATCCCAAAAAAGGCCCATGCTGCTGTCTCTAAGTCATCGGGGACACAGCCTGGCAAGCATAATCTTGACTGTTAAAAACTACCAAATGTGAAGTTTGGTAATTTTTAAATTTTTAAGAGGCTAAAAGCATGTGTGTGGTTTTGATCAGGAAGTTGTGGGTTTATGCCTAATCAAGAAACTTTCAACATTAAAAATTCAGAATCGGTGAGCACTAAAAAATCTATAGGCTGAGGCACGCAGGCTCACTCTGTCCCCTCTCCCATACCCCCAGGCCACTCTGCCCCACTGCCACTCTCAATGCCAGAAATATGCCCATCTCGAATCACTTCTCTTGTTCCCAGAACCCAGGCGGGCTCTCCGGGTCACCTTTTCTAGCCTTATACCCCAGGCTGGAAGGAAAGGTTCATATCTACAGCGAGAGAAAAGACTTGATTAAGGCAACTTCTGTTTGGCTTCCTGTTTATAAAGCTAGTTATTCATCTCAGAAAAGTCTTAAAGACCTGGGCTCTAATCCCAGCTTTCTGCTTTAAGAAGCTCTCTGACTCATTTAACCCATAAGGAGGGAAACGTCAGTGCTGGAGGTGGCAGGGTTGTCTGGGGAGCAGGGGGAGGAGAGCGTGTGTGTGGGAATTTGATGATCCCCAGCTAGCTTCACCAAGGCTGACGTCCTTGGCCATGCAGGAAGGGGTCAGAGCCTTCACAACAGGGCTTTCATGTGATAGCAACCAAGGATGTCCTTGGGCAAGACACTCAGGCTCTCAGTCTCGGCTCCCTCATCTATGAAACAGAACACTCACCAGCCCCCCTGCAAGGGGAGAGGTGAGGACTGAGATGATGACTATGAAAGCCCCAGCAAGGCTCCAGCACGTAGCAGGTGCTTGATGTGCATTGGGCACATGGTGATAAAGGAGCAGAGACTTCTTGGAGGGTTCAGCTCAGTCAAGTCAGAAAATGTCCCATTTCTCTCAAGACAAGTGCTTGGCTAAGCAGGGGCAGCATAACCCTGGGTCCCCAAAGGACAGATCCCTCCTCCCATTGACAGTGTTTCATTACGTGAACTCTGGACTCAGGTTTGGGGTGGGAAGCAGAATCAAGGGAGGCTGACCAGAAGTCCAAGTGTTGCAGTTAGGCCTGGGCTCCCCCAGCAGGGGCTGCAGGAGGCCAAGTCCAGGCAGCTGGGAAGAGGAGTCACCATACACACAGCCCACACTCCAGGGCCTCTGTCTACCTGAGAGGTAGAAATCATGACCTGACTTGGCAGATAAGGAAGCAAATGGTCCAGGAAGTTGGAAAGCCCGCCAGCCTGTGGCAATGGAAGGCTCTGCCCCAGCTTTACCAGATGCTCTGCTTCCTGCACCTCCCCACACTGCCTCAGTCCCTGTCCTGGAACCTCTGAGAGAACATAAATGTGCCCAGGGCCCAGAATGGTACCCGGATGTTGCAGAAAGAATGAATGCATGATGGAGACAAATACAAAAGCCAGCACTGGGCCAATGCAGCAGCACCCTGGAGAGGAGCAGCCCTGCTCCATGAGCTCCTTTCTTCTGGGTCCTCCAGAAGAGGACCTCTCCTTCCGTCTGGGTCCGCCAGACCCGTCTCTCTCTACCCTGCCCCACCCCAGTACTCCAGGGCTCAGTTCCTACATGGGACAAACTAGCTCTGGCCACCTGGCCCAGAACACATCGTGCTCTGGGTCTGGGACACCTTTCCCTCTGTCTCCTCTCAGGCTCCTTTCCCAGGCTCCTCTCAGAAGAGAGGAGCTTGGGGGCACCCAAGAAGACCTTCAGAGAACTGGCAGAAGGGAGGCCCCTGGCCAGACTCAGACTCCAGATTCTAAAACTCCTGTGGGAAAAGTCAGTAGGCCCAAGATGCTGAGTACCCAAGGACCACAGGCCATCAGGAGTGGGACTGCTCCTGGGGAGACCAGGGGAAGGAAGGGGAGGGGACTGCAGGTGGCATGAGTCAGAGAGCAAGGCAAGGCAGGGGGCCATGGTGAGGCAAGGCTGGACCACAGGAAGATGCTAAGCATGGGAGTGGGCTTGACTCAGGGCCCCAGGCAGCCTCTGGGTGACCTTCCAGCTTGGTGTGTGGTCTGTTCTGCAGCCTGACTGGCAGGTGGGCAGCCCAGCCACAGTGGGGAGGAGGAAGCACAAGGGGGTGGAAGTCAGGGCAGGAGGTGGACAGGAACAGCAAGCAGGAGGCATTAAAGGGCCACAGCAGCCCAGAAGCAGCCCTACCATGGGGGCTGGGGTTAAGGTTAGGGCAGACCCTTCAGAAATGCTGACGAATAAATGAATGAAGAAATACAGGCAAGAGGAGGGAACAACTTCAAGAAATAGCTTTGGCAGGAGTGAAGCGTGGGAACACAGGGCCACTCCAACAGTAAAGCCGGAGACAGCGTCACGGGGGGGTGTCTGACCACCTCCATCCATTCCACACAACTCTTCACAACCCACAGCTCTGCTACAGCTCTTCTCCTTGGTGACGCAACATCTTCGCCTCCTCTGTCCCTGCCACTGTCTGGTGGTCCAGCTTCAGAGTCTGCACAGCCCTTCCTCGGACAGTGCACGTCCCCTGGCCCATAGCCTTTGTGCAGAAGGCTGGCATTACCATCCCCACCTCGCCATCCTCAGCAGCCCCATGACCTGCCTTGGCCCAGCTGCTGGTTATGTCCCTCCTGGTCCACTGCCCCACCCCCTCCCTGACCTCGAGCCTGGGTCCCACCCCTCTGGGCCACCACCAGTCTTCCAAGGGCAAGCCCACCATCTCCACCCCTCAGTAGCCCCTTCAGAACAAAGTCCAAGCTCCTGGGCAAGGCCTGGCTGGCCCTTCACCGTCTGGGTCCTTCAGGCCCGTCTCTCTCCACCCTGCCCCATCTCAGTACTCCAGGGCTCAGTTCCCACGTGGCACAGAGTAGCTCTGACCACCTGGCCTGGGATACGTCATGCTCTGGGTCTGGAACACCTTCCCCTCTGTCTCCACGCCTGCTAAGAGGTCACCTACTCCTGGGAAGCCCTCCTTTTCTGACACTGCCTCCCTAAGGATGGGTGATCCAGGCTCCAGGCTTCCCTAGTTAATGCTGCCCAGGTCCTCCTTGTCCTTGGATTCAGGGTGCCAGGAGCACCCTGAGAAGCACCCAAAGGGCCAGCCACCCTCTCACCAACTCCTGCATCTCCCACACCACACGCCGCCGGCGGTAGCTAATACAAGTTTCCTTAAAGAGCTCATGAACTTGAAATCAATTCTCTACTTGGGTTACTGCCCCGGAGGCAGGCCAGGGGTCCCTCCCTGAGGCAGTCTGATGGAGGAGTAGGTGTGACCCCTGACCTTGCAAGGAAGAGCCTCTCCTGGATTCTCCACCCCTGCCCTGCCCTGCCCTCCCCACATGCCCCACCACCACGGGGTCCCCGCGGCTCTCACAGGGGCGGGCACCACCTCTGGGGTCTCCAGCTTTCTTACTTTACTCGAAGCGTGTTCACGACCACAGATTCCGCCACCCTCTCAACACGCCTGTCTGGTGGGTGTCAGGCAGTGTTTGTCCCCTTCATGCGTGAGGAGACGAAGGCTCAGAGCGTGAAGCCCGCTCCAAGGTCAGAGAGGGAGTCGCAGCAGAGGCGGGGTCGAGGCTGTGACTCGCGGTGGCCCCCGGTTCCCTCCCACCCCACCCCACGAACCGGCGTCTGGCCGCCCTGAAATGAATGACTCCGCCGCGTCCCGGCGCCGCGCTCCCAGCGCTCCCCTCCGGGACAGCGGCCAAGGTGACTCTGACCGCCTCCGGGTCGCGGGTCGGGCCTGGGCAGGGGTCCCTGGGCCAGGAGAGGGAGGCCGCTCCGCGCTTACCCTCCAAGGCCGCCTTCCAGCTGGTGCTGCCCTCGTAGCCCGACCCGGATCGCCGCAGCAGCCCCTCGGGGCCGCGGGCCTCAGCCTCTGCGGGCGAACGCGGCCTGGGGGCGGCGGGGGCGGGCGCGGGGCGCGCGGCGAGGGGCGGCGGCGGCCGGGCCCGCGAGGGGGGCTCCCGGGCCGGCTCCATGCGGGGCGCTCCGCCGCGCCGCGCCCGCGCTCCTGCACCGGGGTGCGGGGCCCAGCCCGACGCGCACTCGGCGCTCCGCGCGCCCTGCGGGCCCCCCAGGCCGGCCTCGGGTGGGCTAGGACCGCGGCGCTGGCAGGCCGGGGCTGAGCCCGGCTCCCCGCGCTGGAGCCTCTGCGCCGGGTGCCGCCGCGGTGCGCTCAGCGCCTGCCCCGCCGAGCCGCAGCCTCCACGCACAGCCGGGCTGGGGAGGAGCGCGAGGCGGCGCGCGGGAGCCGGGAGCCGTGGACCCGGGCGGGGCGGGGCAGGGGCGGAGAGGGAGGAGGCGCGGAGGAGCGGGGACAGCCGGCTCCCCGACCCCGCCACCTGGGCTGGAGGCTGGATGCTGTCGAGCTGGGAGCGCAGTCTTGGAGCCGGGAGACCTGGTTCTAACTCAGCTCCATCTCCCCAGCCGCCTGCTCACCATCTGTGAAAATGGGAATAAAGTTCGCGGGGACAGTGCAGGGAGGCTCAGGGAAGATGAGCGCCTTTCTTCCCGGCTGCCCTGGAGCCACAGCAGAGGGTGGTAGGGGCTGTGACTTGACCCCCAAACTCTTGATAAAGGAGAGAAACGTCCGAACGATGAGCACAGAGACAGTAGAGTCTAAAGGAGCAAGCGAAGTGACGTTGCAGATTCAATTAACATTTATTGAGCACCTACTAAGCGCCAGGGACTTTCACATATTATTAGCTGACAATGCCCCCAGGTGAGGCTGAGAAGTGGAATTTTGAGGTCAAGGACATTTCCGAAGGCGGCGCCAGGCAGGTGCGTGCTTGGCGGGTGTCTGACTCCCAGGCCAGGGCTCCCTCCGGAGCCTTCACTGGCCCCTTGCCTCAGCTGACCTCGCGTCGCCTGAAGCCCCACGCCTCCAGCCCTGATCCTCTTCCCCCTCCACCATTCTCAGCCCCAACCTCTGGTTCCTGTCTCCATCTTCAGTTCCTCATCCCCAGCTCCTCCTGCTCCCTCCCCCAAATCCAATAGGCCACTGACTCTTGTGAATTCTCCCTTTTAAAATATTTTTATTTTTATTTTTTGAGACAGGGTCTCGTTCTGTAGCCCAGGCTGGAGTGCAGTGTCACTACAGCCTCGGCCTCCCAGGCTCAAGCGATCCTCCCACCTGGGTCTCCCAAAGTTCTAGGATTGCAGGCGTGAGCTGCCGTGCCCGGCCCCTTTTTTTTTTTTTTTTTTTTTTTGAGACGGAGTCTCGCTCTGTCGCCCAGGCTGGAGTGCAGTGGCGGGATCTCGGCTCACTGCAAGCTCCGCCTCCCGGGTTCACGCCATTCTCCTGCCTCAGCCTCCCAAGTAGCTGGGACTACAGGCGCCCGCCACTACGCCCGGCTAATTTTTTTGTATTTTTAGTAGAGACGGGGTTTCACCGTTTTAGCCGGGATGGTCTCGATCTCCTGACCTCGTGATCCGCCCGCCTCGGCCTCCCAAAGTGCTGGGATTACAGGCGTGAGCCACCGCGCCCGGCCGCCCGGCCCCTTTTAAACTCTTAGTCTGCGCATTGCACTCCATCCCTCTAGCCACTGGCCAAGTACAAGCCAATGCCTTCTCTTGCCCGACCACAGCAGCAGCCTTCTAAGGGGTCTCCCATCCTCCACTCTTGCTCCCTCCTATCCAGCCCCTCCCCCTCCACACCCGCAGCATCTACCTAAAGTGCAAACTCACCACTCCTTCAGGGGTCCCTTTACCTGTGGATTAAGGCCATCTTTTTACAAGGCCTCAAGGTCCCTCATGGTCAAAGTCCTGCTCCTACCTAAGGCATCCTCTCCTCCCACCCCTTCTCTGCCAGCCCTAGACACACCTAACTATTCTGACTCTTTCCTCTGGGCCTTTGAACACTGTCTTCCTTCTGCCTGGAACACATCTCCTCCTTGGTCCTTCTAACCCCTCCTTGTAGCCCCCATGCACCCTAGTTTGCCTACCAAATTTCTGCTAATGCTTCTGATTGCACAGTCTCTAGGATACTGCATTCATTCAGAGTAGGTTCAACAAGACTACAACAGAAAACCCCAGTAAGAGTTTAACTAGAAAGAAGGTTTTTGTTTTTTGTTTTTTGGTTTTTTGTGTTTTTTTTACCTGAAAGAAGTCTAGAGGTGATCAGCCCAGGGCTGGATTGAGAGCTCCAAGATCATCAGGGACCCTAGCTCTTCCTCTCATTCTGCTCCCATCATCCTTAGTATATAGCCTACATCTTCAGGATTCCCTCATGGTCACACTATAGCCACTGTGGTTCCAGCCATCACACCTGCACACCAGATTACAGAAAGAGGAAGAACCAAGGGGAAAAGGGCATGCCTCTTGTTGAATCAGACTCCTTTAAAGAGTTTTTCTGGAACCCCCAGTGATTTCCACTTACCTTCCACTGGACACTTCTTTCTCAAGTAAGTTTGTGGAGTATAGTGGCAATTAGCTAAAGCCATTGCCACGCTCAATAATGCAGAGATTCTGTTAGGAAGAAGGGGGGAATGGAATATGTGCATGACCAGCAATCCCTGCCTCCTAAGCCTCCTGTGATCCCAGACTGTGGCACCTGTCCTTTGGGCCTTTGGAACACTCTCCACCTCTCTTCCCATAGCACTTGCCACATCCTACTGTCATTGTTTGATCCCCAACCAGATGGCCAGCTGTGGGGTGAGGGCAGAGGCACTGCTCTATCCCCCATTCCTAGGGCAGTGCCCCATTGGAACACCAGGCCCAAAGCTTCAGACTTCATGTAGGCACAAGGAAGCATCAAAGGTGTTTGAGCAGAGAAAGGTCATGATCACACCATGCTTTAGGAAAATTAACTTTGGGCTCTCCCTCTCCCTCCCCCTCCCCCTCCCCCTCCCTCTCCCTCTCCCCTCTTTCCACGGTCTCCCTCTGATGCCGAGCCGAAGCTGGACTGTGCTGCTGCCATCTCGGCTCACTGCAACCTCCCTGCCTGATTCTCCTGCCTCAGCCTGCCGAGTGCCTGCGATTGCAGGGGCGCGCCGCCACGCCTGACTGGTTTTCGTATTTTTTGGGTGGAGACAGGGTTTCGCTGTGTTGGCCGGGCTGGTCTCCAGCTCCTAACCGCGAGTGATCCGCCAGCCTCGGCCTCCCGAGGTGCCGGGATTGCAGACGGAGTCTCCTTCACTCAGTGCTCAATGGTGCCCAGGCTGGAGTGCAGTGGCGTGATCTCGGCTCGCTACAACATCCACCTCCCAGCCGCCTGCCTTGGCCTCCCAAAGTGCCGAGATTGCAGCCTCTGCCCGGCTGCCACCCCGTCTGGGAAGTGAGGAGCGTCTCTGACTGGCCGCCCATCATCTGGGATGTGAGGAGCCTCTCTGCCTGGCTGCCCAGTCTGGGAAGTGAGGAGCGTCTCTGCCTGGCCGCCCATCGTCTGGGATGTGAGGAGCCTCTCTGCCTGGCTGCCCAGTCTGGAAAGTGAGGAGTGCCTCTTCCCGGCCGCCATCCCATCTAGGAAGTGAGGAGCGTCTCTGCCCCGCCGCCCCGTCTGGGATGTGAGGAGCGCCTCTGCCCGGCCGCCCATCGTCTGAGATGTGGGGAGCGCCTCTGCCCTGTCGCCCCGTCCGGGATGTGAGGAGCGTCTCTCCCCGGCCGCCCCGTCTGAGAAGTGAGGAGACCCTCTGCCTGGCAACCGCCCTGTCTGAGAAGTGAGGAGCGTCTCCGCCCGGCAGCCACCCCGTCCGGGAGGGAGATGGGGGGGTCAGCCCCCCGCCCGGCCAGCCGCCCCGTCCCGGAGGGAGGTGGGGGGATCAGCCCCCCGCCCGGCCGCCGCCCCGTCCGGGAGGTGAGGGGCGCCTCTACCCGGCCGCCCCTACTGGGAAGTGAGGAGCCCCTCTGCCCGGCCACCACCCCGTCTGGGAGGTGTACCCAACAGCTCATTGAGAACGGGCCATGATGACAATGGCAGTTTTGTGGAATAGAAAGGTGGGAAAGGTGGGGAAAAGATTGAGAAATCGTGGTTGCCGGGCATGGTGGTGGGTGCCTGTAGTCCCAGCTACTCGGGAGGCTGAGGCAGGAGAATGGCATGAACCCGGGAGGCAGAGTTTGCAGTGAGCGGAGATCATGTCACTGCACTCCAGCCTGGGAGATAGAGCCAGATGGTTGCCGTGTCTGTGTAGAAAGAGGTAGACATGGGAGACTTTTCATTTTGTTCTGTACTAAGAAAAATTCTTCTGCCTTGGGATCCTGTTGATCTATGACCTTACCCCCAACCCTGTGCTCTCTGAAACATGTGCTGTGTCCACTCAGGGTTAAATGGATTAAGGGCGGTGCAAGATGTGCTTTGTTAAACAGATGCTTGAAGGCAGCATGCTCGTTAAGAGTCATCACCACTCCCTAATCTCAAGTACCCAGGGACACAAACACTGCGGAAGGCCGCAGGGTCCTCTGCCTAGGAAAACCAGAGAACTTTATTCACTTGTTTATCTGCTGACCTTCCCTCCACTATTGTCCTGTGACCCTGCCAAATCCCCCTCTGCGAGAAACACCCAAGAATGATCAATAAAAAAAAAAATAATAAAATAAAAAATAAAAAATAAAAAAAAGAAAATTAACTTTGGTACCAGGTACAAACCAGTCTGGGAGCAGATCAGCAAAGAAACTCTTGAAATAAACGGTTAAGATAAAAGGAGTAACAAAGGTGTAATACCAACGCATCGGCAGTGGCGCTGACCTTAGAAGGCTTCCGACAGTCAATCACAATACTTCAGGACCTATCAGAGGTAGGATCTAAGCCTCCCAGAGTCCCCGCACGCCCTTGTCAGCTTCCCTGCTCCTCTCCTGATGCTTCCTGGGATCACTTCCGAAATAAATTACTTGCACTTAAATCCTTGTGTCAGGGTATGTTTTGGGGGGAACCCAAAAGACAATGACCCTTACGGCTGTGAAAGGGTCCACTTCCTCAAGAAGGAGGTGCTCATGAAAATGGATAAAACCCATCAAGACCCCCCGCCCTAGGCCGGGCGCGGTGGCTCACGCCTGTAATCCCAACACTTTGGGAGGTTGAGGCAGGTGGATCACTTGGGATCAGGCGTTCAAGACCAGCCTGCCCAACGTTGCGAAACCCCGTCTCTACTAAAAATACAAAAAATTAGCCGGGCATGGTGGTGGGTGCCTGTAGTCCCAGCTACTCGGGAGGCTGAGGCAGGAGAATGGCATGAACCCGGGAGGCAGAGTTTGCAGTGAGCGGAGATCATGTCACTGCACTCCAGCCTGGGAGATAGAGCCAGATTCCATCAAAACAAAACAAAACAAAACAAAAACAAAAACAAACAAACAAAAAAACCTGCCCTCTATCCCTGAGCGACTGTAGAGTTTCTAAGACGGCCCTTCCTTGAGCTCAGGCGACGAAGGCTGCACCAGCTGTACTCCCAGGAGCAAGCAGGGGACATACTGCTTACCTTTCAGAACCCAGTTTTGTCCCACGAGGGTGTAGCAAGTAGTAAACCCTCCGCTTTCAAACCCCTTCAGATTCCTAGACTCTTATAACGGACACCTAAAATTCCCCAGGGAACCCCTGCATGTGAACCTCCATGTCACATGCTGTCAAGGAGGTCCAACAGGAAACTTGATCAGATTTAGAGTGAGCTTAAGTAGAGGTCTGGGAAGATTTCAAATGCAGCCTGGCCAGCACCAGTCTTCCCTTGGTCTTCAGGGCAGGGTTTTTTTTTTTATTTATTTACTACTTTCTAACAAAGTGCATGTCCCCATCTCTGAATGTCTCTGTCCTGCCTTCCCCTGTGTCTCAGGATACTGACTCCGTCTCCTTTTCTTAGAGTTATGGAATAGGTGTGACTCCTGGCCCACAGATTCAGAGGTTGAAAAAATAATGACATGTACTTTCCTTCTTTTAAGTCAACTGAATTGTAACTTCAGGTCACCATGCCATTATGGGGGTAGAAAATTCCATCTGGCTGGGCGCAGTGGCTCATGCCTGTAATCCCAGCACTTTGGGAGGCTGAGGCAGGTGGATCACTTGAGTCCAGAAGTTTGATACCAGCCTGGCCAACATGGTGAAACCCCATCTCTACTGAAAATACAAAAATTAGCTGGGTGTGGTGGCACGCGCCTGTAGTCCCAGCTACTTGGGAGACTGAGGCAGGAGAATTGCTTGAACCCGGGAGGCAGAGGTTGCAGTGAGCAGAGATCTTGCCACTGCACTCCAGCCTGGGCAACAGAGTGGATGAGACTCTGTGTCAAAAAAAAAGGAAATTCCATCAAAGTTTTTAAAAATTTTTATTGAACTAAAATCTAAATAACATAAAATTCACTATTTTAACCATTTTAAAGCCCACAATTCTCACCTTTAGTATATTCACAACCCTCACCACTGTCTAATTCCAGAACATGCTCACACCCCATAAGGAAATCCTGTGCCCGCCAATCAGCCACTCTCCATTTCCCCTCACCCCCGGCCTCTGGCAACCACTAGTCTACTTTCTTTCCTTTTTCTGTATTACTATTTTTCATTTACTACTTATAAGTAACCACTAATCTACTTTCTGTCTCTATGAATTTGCCTATATTGAACATCTCATATAAATGGAATTGTACAATCCATGGTCTCCTGAAACTGGCTTCTGTCACTGAGCATAATGTTTTCAAGGGTCACATGTCATAGCATGGGTCAGTCCTTTATTCCTTTTCTTCTCAGCCAGTTTTGAGGACTCCTCATTGCTTTTGTTTGTTTGTTTGTTTGTTTTGATGGAGTCTCACTCTGTCACCCAGGCTGGAGTGCAGTGGTGCAATTTCGGCTCACTGTGACCTCCACCTGCCGGGTTCAAGTGATTCTCCTGCATCAGCCTCCCAAGAAGCTGGGATTATAGATGCCTGCTGCCAGGCCCAGCTAATTTTTGTATGTTTAGTAGAAACAGGGATTTGCCATATTGACCAGGCTGGTCTTGAACTCCTGACCTCAAGCGATCCGCCCACCTCAGCCTTCCACAAAGTGCTGGGATTACAGGCGTGAGCCACCGCACCTGGCAGAGGGCTCCTCATTCTTCCAAGGCTGTGTCAGAATCCCCAGGGCTTAGGAGGGAAGGTCTACCGTGGCCATAGCTGACATCAAATCAGCGTGTCCCTTGAAGCCCAGCAGGTCCTGCTTCCTGGCTTTCACAAGATATGGGGTCTTTGCTGGTGCTGGGGTTCTGGGGGCACAGGCCTGCCTCTCCTGGCCACTCTGCCATGTGGTCCCTTTCAGGAGGCTATCATTAAGCGGTGGATGGCCTTGTGGCACTTGAGGGGCCTCAGACCTTTCTGCCCTTCTCAGGCAGGGTGAGCCCCCTCACTTCACCACCTCTCCAAGGCTCTCTCCCTTTTCCTCTCTTTTTCCAGGACACCCTATAATCTCCTAGTGGCCTTAGGTTTTCAGTACAGACCAGCCTCATTCTCAGGCTGCTTTGCTGTCTGCCCCACTGAAATCCTGTAGGAAAGGAGGTACAAAGCCTGCCAAATTGCTTACAGTTAGGAAATACGTAGAGAGACAAAAAACTTTTTTTTTTTTTGAGACAGAGTCTTGCTCTGTTGCCCAGGCTGGAGTGCAGTGGCATGATCTTGGCTCACTGCAGCCTCCATTTCCCAGGTTAAAGTGATTCTCCTGACTCAGCCTCTCAAGTAGCTGGGACTATAGGCATGCACCACCATGCCCAGCTAGTTTTTGTATTTTTAGTAGAGACACGGTTTCACCGTGTTGGCCAGGCTGGTCTCGTACTCCTGGCCTCAAGTCATCCATCCACCTCAGCCTCCCCGCCTGCCTTGGTCTCCAAACACTTTTATATCAATGAATTATCCTGCCACCTGCCAGAGTGTGATGCTTAGACCTGAATCCTTTGTCTTTTCCCAATGAGTCCTTGAGCATTTCTGGAATGTTGGTGTTTACTGGACCAGGGAGGGGACAGCGCTGCAAGCTGAAATCTCCCTAGACATTTTATAGGAGGGAGTAAGTCCCCCAACCTCTGCTCATGTCAGCAGGTCATTAAAAACACTGCCCCACTATTACCAGAACTTTCCGTTTTCCCAAAGGAGCTGGGAATCTGAGTTGTTAGATGAAGCTTTGCAATTTTTAATGCCGGCAAATAATTCAGATTTTTAATACAAAACGTCGTTTTGAGCCCAAACAAAACAAAACACATCTGCAGGATGGATGAACTCCTGAGCTGTCAGTTCACAATCCCTGATTTAAGCAACACATTCAATGGCAGGGTGTCAGCGACTCAGCGACCCCATAAAGCACAAGATGCCATGAGCCCGAAGGAAAATGGTCACTGGATGGGACTCCTGAAGACAAATGACTCCGAATCAGGCAAAGGCCTTATTGGCTGGCCTGTTCCTCCCATGCGGAAGGAAATGTTCTCACCGCTTGCTAGGTGAGCATAGTGGGTGGGCCGTTGGGATGATGAGGAGGCGCAGAATGGGGAGGATGCTGGGAAAGGTATTTGCATATGAATGAGAACTTAGCCATAGGTGGGTTATAGGTTTCTCAGTCTATTCCTTTGGACTGGGCTTGAGAAATCACATGGCCTTCCCCCCAGTCTGCCACATGGCAGAAATTAATGAAGCCACCTAAGATCTGCAACCAGGCTGCCCTTGTCTTCACGTTACTGTGGGACGCCAGGGAGGACTTAGTTCTTGGGAGAAAGGGCTAGGAAGAGGTGAATTATAATAACAAATATATTGAACCCAGGAGGTGGAGGTTGCAGTGAGCCGAGATTGCACCACTGCACTCCAACCCAGGTGACAGAGCAAGACTCTGTCTCAAAATAAATAAATAAATAACCACTACATTTTAATAAGTTAATCAAGTAAAACAAATTGTGAAACCAAGACAAAGAGCAGAAATACTAAGTACTGGAAGTGGAGGATGTTTTATTACATGATCGTATTTTGACACGTTCTCCTTCCTCAGTCTATTCTTGGCTGTTAACAATCCAATCCACGGGGAGTGGGGGACATAGAGAGTTGCTGGTCAAAGGGCACAAAGTTTCCCTTAGGAGAAATAAGTTTTTTGAGATCTAGTGCACTGCATAGTGACTATAGTTAATAATAATGTACAGTACAGTATTGTATATTTCAAATGTTACCACAAAAAAATAAGTATTTGAGGTGACGGATGTGTTAATTAGTTTGAGTTAATTATTCTACATTGTATACATATAATATCACTTTGTATCCATAAATATATACAATTATAGGCCAGGCCTAGTGGCTCACGTCTGTTATCCCAGCACATTGGTAGGCCAAGGCAGGAGGATCACTTGAGACCAGGAGTTCCAGACCAGCCTGGGCAACATAGCAAGACCCCATCTTTAAAAAAATATTTGAAAATTACCCAGGTGGAGGCTGGGTGCGGTGGCTCATGCCTGTAATCCCAGCACTTTGGGAGGCCGAGACGGGCGGATCACCTGAGGTCAGGAGTTCAAGACCAGCCTCAACATGGAGAAACCCCGTCTCTACTAAAAATACAAAATTAGCTGGGCGTGGTGGTGCAGGCCTGTAATCCCAGGTACTCGGGAGGCTGAGACAGGAGAATTGCTTGAACCTGGGAGGCGGAAGTTGCGGTGAGCTGAGATTGCGCCATTGTACTCCATCCTGGGCAACAAGAGCGAAACTCCGTCTCAAAAAAAAAAAAAAAATTACGCAGGTGTGGTGGCATTGCCTGTGGTCCCAGCTGCTCGGGAGGCTGAGGTGGGAGGATTGCTTGAGCCCAGGAGTTGAGGCTGCAGTGAGCTATGACTATGCCACTGCAATCCAGCCTTGGCAAAGAGCAAGACCTTATTGCTAAAAAAAAATTTTTTTAATTAAAAACATTCCAGCCTGGCCAATATGGTGAAATCCCGTCTCTACCAAAAATACAAAAATTAGCCAGGTGTGGTAGCAGGTGCCTGTAGTCCCAGCTACTCAGGAGGCTGAGGCGATTGTACCACTGCACTCCAGCCTGGGTGACAAAGTGAGACTCGGTCTCAAAAAAAAAAAAAAAAAAAAAAAGATATATATAGATATATATATATATATATATATAATTTGTCAGTTTACAATAAAACAATTTAAAAAGCAATCAAATTCCCGTTGCCAAGACAATGTGAGTATCACTATATGACCTACTACTCTGCTCAGAGCCACGGAGGCTTCAAGGCCCTTCTTCCTGGGATTCAGGTGGACACTGTCCTTTCTGTGGAGTAGCGGTGGGCGCTGCTGTCTGTTGAAGAAATGCCTCTCCACTGGCCCAAGCCCGTGCCTCTGTAAAGCCTACCTCTGCTTCCCTCTGGACCCTGGCTCTTCTTGCTAGAACAAGTCTCCCTGGCAGTTAAGGACCACACCTGAGTCCTGCCTTTGCCACGGGTTCCCAGTGATGTAACTCTTCCTCAACTCCTTGCTATCATCCTCCTCCCAGGCCAGGCGAAGACACAGAAGCCTTTCCACCCTCAGCCCAACCCTGATACACAGCCTCTATGTGCAACCCCAAGTAGGGGACACAAATAGATCGCTCAAAGCAGGAAGAGTGGGGATCGTCAGAAGACTTGGGCCAAGAGCTGTTCAGATCCCAGAGCCAACTGTGGGAAATGTCGTCAGTGATATTATAGCCCAGGACTTGAGCCTTGGCTGGGTGAGTTCTTGGTCCACGCACATCAAGTGGTTTGAATCAGCAGATAATTTCTCATGGTCAAATGTTTCCCTCAGCTGCTCCAATGATTTTTCTAGAGAAGGAAGAGTCTGGAGGATTTAAAGGGTGTGGGAATGAGGGAAAGATCTCCTGAGGATGGGCAAGGTGACATGTCTTGTCTGCAGAGCCAGAGGCACAGCCTGCTCCTCGTTGGTGCCACAGGGCTTGGAGATTATTCTGTGAGGTTGGCAAACCCCAGCCTTTGTGAGCCAAATGCCAGTTCCTCTGCCGGCACAATTCCCTTGGGATTTCAGGGCTACGCTGGCTATTTGCTTCCAGTCAATGCACAAAGCCAGAGATCTTGCCAAGGGGCAGTGTTTGATTCCAGGATCTGCCGTGGAAACTTCCATGTCTTGAATCAGGCCTCAGTGCTCTGATCAATCGCTAAGTATCCCCATCTTGGTCTCTGCCTTGAGGTACTGGTAAGGAGGTGTTTAGAAGAAGCAGAAAGGGCTGGGCGCAGTGGATCACGCCTGTAATCCCAGCACTTTGGGAGGCCAAGGTGGGTGGATTACTTGAGGTCAGGAGTTCGAGACCAACCTGGCCGACATGGCAAAACGCCTTCTCTACTAAAAATACAAAAATTAGCCAGGTGCGGTGGTGGTGCACCTGTAGTCCCAGCTACTCTGGAGGCTGAGGGACGAGAATTGTTTGAACCCAGGAGGTGGAGTTCATAGTGAGCCAAGATCTCACCACTGCACTCCAGCCTGGACAACAGAGTGAGACTCCATCTCAAAAAAAAAAAAAAAAGAAGAAGAAGAAGAGGAAAAGGAAGAAGAAGAAGAGCCCAGATGTTGAAGAAGAAGAAGGGCCCAGATGTTGCAGAACCCACGTGGTGTAAAGGTTAGAAGCTCAGGCCTGACCCAGACTGACTAGGGCACAGCCTGGCTCTGTTACCTACTTCATCAGGATGGATTCATTTAACTTCCCATGACTTTATTTTCCTCATCTGTAGAACAGTACCAACTTTGTGGGTTGTTATAAGAAATAGATGAGGTCATATACGTATTTTTTTTTATTTTTGAGGCAGAGTCTCACTCTGTTGCGCAGGCTGGAGTGCAGTGGTGTGATCTTGGCTCACTGCAACCTCTGCCCCCTGGGCTCAAGCGATTCTCCTGCCTCAGCCTCCTGAGTAGCTGGGACTACAGGTGCATGCCACCATGCCTGGCTAATTTTTTGTATTTTTAGTAGAGACAGGGTTTCACCGTGTTAGCCAGGATGGTCTCGATCTCCTGACCTCATGATCCACCTGCCTCGGCCTCCCAAAGTGCTGGGATTACAGGTGTGAGCCACAGCTCCTGGCTGTAAAACATTTATAGGAGACACCAAAATGTTATCATCCTTATTCTCCTAAATTCCACCCTTCTCTCTTGCTGTGTTTTCTGCCTCCCAGGCTTTGCTCACAGTAGATTTAGTGCACTGCAGATAATTCCACTGTTCTAGGGCAGCATTGCTAGACAGAAAGGGCCTTTCTTAACAAAGCTGCATTTTCTCCCTTCTGTGTGTGTTGTCGGGTTTTTTTCTAAATTGTGATAAAATACACAGAACATAAAATTTACCATCTGAATCATTTTCAAACGTACATTTTAGTGGCATTCCTTCAGTATTTTCATATTGTTGTGCAACCGTCACCATCTCCTAAACTCCTTTCATCTTGTAAAACTGAAACTCTGTCCCTGTTAAACAACAATTCCCCATCTCCCCTTCCCCGGCTCCCTTGGCAACCACCCTTCTCTTTTCTGTCTGTATGAATTTGACTACTCTAGGGACCTTGCATAAGTGGAATCAAACAGTATTTGTCTTTTTGTGGCTGGCTGATTTCACTTAGGATAATGCCAAGATTCAACACGGTTGTAGCACGGGTCAGAATGTCCTTGAGGTTTGTTTCTTTCATGTAAGATCTTACCCAAAGTGGCAGAAGAAGCTCATCAACTTCATCTCTTCAGCCTCCTAGCTCTCCTGCATTGGTAAACACCTGGTTTGAGGGGCAACAATTTAATTTGTTGCTGCATTGTTACATAACAAGAATCATCAATGTGCTAGCCAAGGATAGAAGGGTCTTCATCTTACCTTGACTCGTCCAATTCTATACTTTAGGGTCACTGCAATCCTCCATTATTTTATTTTTTTCTTATTTTTTGGGGGACAGAGTCTTGCTCTGTCACCCAGGCTGGAGTGCAGTGGCGCAATCTCAGCTCACTGCAGCCTCCACCTCCCAGGTTCAAGCAAATTATCCTGCCTCAGCCACCCAAGTAGCTGGGATCACAGGCGCATGCCACCGCGCCTGGTTAATTTTTGTATTTTTAGCAGAGAGTGGGTTTTGCCATGTTGGCTAGGCTGGTCTCAAACTCCTGGCCTCAAGTGATCCACCCGCCTCAGCCTCCCAAAGTGCTGGGATTACAAGCATGAGTCACTGTACCTAGTCAATAATCCTCCATTCTTTATGCCAGTTTCTATATCAGGACTCTTCCCAGGGTAAGCAACAGAAAGCCTAACCCACGTTGGTTCTGGCAAAAAAAAAAGGAATTCATTGTCTTATGTAACTGAAAGTCCAGCGTGAGAGGAAGGGATCCGAGTACTGCCTGAACCAGGCACATTGGCTGTGTCGTCAGGACAAGCACCAGGCCGGGCACGGTGGCTCACACCTGTAATCCCAGCACTTTGGGAGGCTGAGGGGGGTGGATCATGAGGTCAGGAGTTCAAGACCAGTCTGGTCAACATGGTGAAACCCCGTTGCTACTAAAAATACAAAAATTAGCCAGGTGTGTCGGCGGGCGCCTGTAATTCCAGCTACTCGGGAAGCTGAGGCAGGAGAATTGCTTGAACTCAGGAGGTAGAGGTTGGAGTGAGCGGAGATTGCGCCATTGCACTCCAGCCTGGGCAACAAGAGCAAAACTCTGTCAAAAATAAAATAAAATAAATAAAAATTAAAAATTAAAAAATTAAAAAGAAATAAGACGAGCACCGTCTCTCTCCATATGTTGGCTTTGTTCTTCACCATGCGAGCTTTATTCTCGGACTCCACACCATGAGAAATTGGCTTCCAGCACTCCAGGCCAGTATCTCCTCATGTGTGAAGCCAGCAGAAAAAAGAGCTTCTCTTCCTTTAATACTTCAAAGAAAGTCCTGGTCATGATTGGCACTGCCCCAGCATGGGTTCTGTGTCCATCTCTGAACCAGTCATGGTGGTAAGGCCTGGGTCATCTGCCCAACCCTAGGTCACCTCCACCTAAATCAAAGAACTGAAAATGGGGAAGACATGATTCCCCCCCAAAAATCAGGCTGCTATTATA
This sequence comes from Homo sapiens, assembly GCF_000001405.40. Classification (NCBI taxonomy): domain Eukaryota; kingdom Metazoa; phylum Chordata; class Mammalia; order Primates; family Hominidae; genus Homo; species Homo sapiens. The sequence goes on along the minus strand of NC_000007.14, from coordinate 139,509,946 downwards.
AGAGGAAAGGGGAAAGCTTCCTGGGGAAGAAAAAGCTACATATACACTGGAATAGTATGCATCTTTTTAAAAAGAATAATGCTGATGTGTATATCCTGATTTGGAACAATCTCCAAGATACATTAAGTTAGAAGAAAGCAAGGTACAGAAGACATGTGGGTGTGGATGAGTGTATGTGTTTGTATAGATTTTTGGAAGAATACGCAAGAAACAGTTAATGGTGTTTATCTCTATAGTGCAGACCTGGCAGTAGTAGGTCTGGAATGAAGGGTGGAATGAAGACTCTTTTTTCTGTTTTCTATCTTTCTGATGTTTAACTGCGTACATGTGCATTTTCAGTGAATATCAACTAACCAGGCCCAACTGTTTAGTCCCATTCAGAACATCTATATTAGAATTTTTACCCCTACAGAGAATGGAGAAGACCACTAGGTAGGTGTGTGTAGGTATAGGTGTGTGGAGTCTGTGAACTGGAAGAGATTTTGATAGCAAGGCCCAGGGGCCTAGAGCAGGAGCTGGGGCAAAGCAGAGGCCTCCATCACATTTTTTTGGTTGGAGGCAGAGGCTGGGGATACTTTCAGCTGAAAAGGGTAACTTGAGGCTCAGCTGTAAGAGCTCAAGACTGGGGATAGGGAGGGCTAGTCTCTGCGCAGGCCTGGATTTGGGGTCCAACGGGTCTTTGGAGGAGCTCAGAGCAGCTGCAAGCCCACCCAGGCCCTTCCTTGGTACCCGGGCCCCAAAGCTGCCCCGGAAGTGCTTATTTTGCTTTGGCTATTAACACCACTCACCATTGCTTACGCGAGGTGATTAATGTTTATATGTGAGGTGGTTAATGTTTATGTCTAGCTATTGGGTTTTTAAAATAAAATTATTTTCTTTTTTGTTTTGTTTTGTTTTGATTTTTTTGAGACAGAATCTCGCTGTGTCACCAGGCTGGAGTGCAGTGGTGCGATCTCGGCTCACTGCAACCTCCACCTCCCAGGTTCAGGCGATTCTCCTGCCTCAGCCTCCCGAGTAGCTGGGACTACAGGCACGCGCCGCCACACCCAGCTAATTTTTGTATTTTTAGTAGAGACAGGGTTTCACCATGTTGGCCAGGATGGTCTTCATCTCTTGACCTTGTGATCCGCCCACCTCCGCCTCCCAAAGTGCTGGGATTACAGGCACGAGCCACCATTCCCCGCCCATTTTCTTCAAAAAATGAAATAGAGACAGCGTCTCACTATGTTGCCTAGGCTGGTCTCAAACTCCTGGGATCAAGCCATCTGCCCATCTCAGCCACCCAAAGTGTTGAGATTACAGGCATGAGCCACTGCACCAGGCCTATGTCTAGCTATCATGTAGCAGAAACATTCTGGAAATTGCTAAGAAATGTCAGATCAATTCCTGGGTATTGTTTCTGAGCTCAGGCCCAGGCATGGCGTCTGCTCCTGTGTGCTGATGTCATAAGGTGCTTCTCGGGTGGCAGGACCCTCTGAGCATAACCTTACAAAACAGGGACCACTGGAGGCAAACCTGGACTCACCAGCCAGGAACTGTAAGCCATCTTCACTGACACCCCACTTCCCCAGACACCCCACTTCCCCAGACACATGAGAATCAAGCTGACAGGACTCAAAGGTTCCTTCTTCCTTCCACAAATTCATTCAACAATTAGCGTCAGCTATGCATGAAGCACTGTGCTGGGTACCAGGAACGCAGAGATGAATGATGTACTCAGCTCAGGCTCTCAGCTCAGTCGCCTGGTAGGCTCTTGTTCTCATTAGAAGTTCCTGAGAGAGAGACCCCATGCCTCACTCATCACAAAGGTAGACTAGGAACGAGCTCTGCGAATCAGTGGGGAATATATTTAGCATTTCCTGATGGAAACAAAACCTACAGTCAAGAAAAAGCTGGGCCTGGCTAAAACACTGACTTTTGGAGGAGAATGATGCCTTAGGAACCATCCTGCCAAAAATCACTGCCTCATGCATTAGCCTTTTCCCTGGAGGGTAACAGGACCCGCGAGTCACAGAAAACTCAACTCACACTAGCTAAGGAAAAAAAAACCAAATCTGATCAGACTTTTTGTTTCTATTATAAAACAACAAAAATAAGCATGGATTTTCTTATTGTAAAACTAACACGTAGGCTGTTTTCATGTAAACAACATATAAATGTTTAAAATAATTTTTCTTTAGAATTTGGCATACTATTTACATGCGTCTAAGTACTTTTTAAATGTATGCAAAATAAATCCTTATGAACTTTTTTTCACACAAATGGGATGACTTCATACACTCTGCAAACTTGCTTCTTGTGTCATTTCATATAGCTCCATCACATTCTTAACCTAGAATTCCAGAGCAGGCCAGGAACAGTGGCTCACACCTGTAATCCCAGCACTTTGGGAGGCCAAGGTGGGAGGATCGCTTGAGCCCAGGAGTTCGAGACCATTCTGGGCAACATAGTGAGACTCCTGTGTCTATTTTATTATGAAAAATAAATAAATAGTGGGGGAGGGGGGAGGGATAGCATTAGGAGATATACCTAATGTAAATGACGAGTTAATGGGTGCAGCACACTAACATGGCACATGTATACACATGTAACAAACCTGCACATTGTGCACATGTACCCTAGAACTTAAAGTATAATAAAAATAAATAAATAAACAAAAAATAGAATTCTAGAGTATGGCGTTACCACAATTATTTCATTATTCTATTTTGTTGTTGTTGTTGTTTATTTGTTTTCTGAGACAGGATCTCACTCTGTCACTCAGATTGGAGTGCAGTGGAGCAATCATGGCTCACTGTAGCCTTGACCTCCTGGCCTTAAGCCATCTTCCCGCCTTAGCTTTCTGAGTAGCTGGTACTATAGGTGCACATCACCATTAGCCCCATTGCTGATTTTTAAAAATTATTTTTTGTAGAGATGGTGTCCCACTATGTTGCCCAGGCTGGTCTCAAACTCCTGGGCTCAAGCAATCCTCCTGCTTCAGCCTCCCAAAGTGCTGGGATTACAGGTATGAGCCACTGTGCCCGTCCTATTCTTCTATTGATGGACATTTAAATTGTTTCGTTTATTTATTTATTTATTTATTTTTTTGAGAAAGGGTAACCCTCTGTCACCCCAGCAGTCTGGAGTGCAGTGGTGTGATCACAGCTCACTGCAGCCTTGACCTCCCAGGCTCAAGCAACCCTCCTGCCTCAGCCTCCCGAGTAGCTGGGGCTATAGGCAAGTGCCACCATGCCCAGCTCATTTTTGTTTTTTTTGTAGTGATGGGGTCTCACTATATTGCCGAGGTTGGTCTCAAACTCCTGCCTCAGGAGATCCTCTTGCCTCAGCCTCCCAAACTAAATTTTTACTACAATGCTGCAATGAACATCCTAGCACATACACTTCTGTGCCCTTGTGGAAGTGTTTCTGTGGAAGAAATTTCCAGAAGTGGAATTACTGGGTCAGAAGCTGTCTGAAATGGTAGAATTTGATTTTGAGGTAAAGAATACCCTATGAGTGAACACTCTGCAGACCAGAGGGGCAGAAAATGATACACATGATTAATTATTCATGGTGAACTGTGAAGTGTGCTGGAGGGGATGCCGTTGGCTGGCCTGCTCAGAAATGTTCCAGTCACTGCCTTCCTGCTAGGACAGGAAATCTGCAGAGAAGGGTCCCGGCTCAGCATGTCCCTGATCCCACTGCTAGACCTCAGGAAGGCGTTTTTTGGGGGGTTTTGTTCTTGTTGTTTTTGTTTTCAAGACAGAGTCTTGCTCTGTCACCCAGGCTGGAATGCAGTGGTACCATCTCGGCTCACTGCAGCCTCTGCCTCCCGGGTTCAAACAATTCTCCTGCCTCAGCCTCCCGAGTAGGTGGGATTACAGGGGTGCGCCACCATGCCTGGCTAATTTTTGTATTTTTAGTAGAGACAGGGTTTCACCATGTTGGCCAGGCTGGTCTCAAACTCCTGACCTCAAGTGATCTGCCTGCCTCAGCCTCCCAAAGTGCTGGGATTACAGGTGTGAGACCCTGTGCCCGGCCTCGGGAAGGGTTTTGATGGCGGCCTCAGGAGTAGTAGTCATGAAGTGAACACACCACACACTGTGAGCACACAGCTGATGGAGAAGCCCTCAGAATCGTAGTAGGTGCTGCTCTGTAGAAAGAACAGCGCCCCCAGGTGTCGTGCAGATGCCACCACCTGTCCTCACGCAACCAGCGGCTGGCCTTTGCCTTTAGAGGAGAAGGCAGGGTTCAATTTCTCTTCTTCTGAAACTTGCCAGCAAATGTTTGCTGTCTAAACTTCTTCTTAACTAACGTTAATACAATATGACACAGTAAGACACCAGGTGAGTATTAGTGAGTGAGTGTTCTCATTTTGGGAGTGACCAAAGGCCCATGGTATGGAATGGTGTAGAAGGACACTCCCAGAGCTAGCAGGTGGGCCTCCCAGCTAGTCAGCGTCCACATCTCACCGCCGTTTCACTATTGCACCCACATTACTGAACTCTCCGTGCTGCTCCGAAACTGATAGGAACTGGCACAATGGCTTGAAAAATGGTCAAACAATTGGGAAGTTTGTTGGAAATGGAAATGGAAAGGTTACCTACTGTGCAGTAGGAGAACAGGCAAAGGAACAACTCTAGACTGCAATTTTTATTTTTATTTTATTTTTTTTTTTTGAGACGGAGTCGCAGTCTGTGGCCCAGGCTGGAGTGCAGTGGTGCAATCTTGGCTCACTGCATCCTCTACCTCCCAGGTTCAAGTGATTCTCCGGCCTCAGCCTCCTGAGTAGCTGGGATTACAGGCGCCTGCCACCATGCCCGGCTAAGTTTTGTATTTTTAGTAGTGACCGGGTTTCACCATGTTGGCCAGGCTGGTCTCGAACTCCTCACCTCAGGTGATCCGCACACCTTGGCCTCCCAAAGTGTTGGGATTACAGGTTCCAGCCACCATGCCTGGCCTGGACTGCGATTTTTAAAGGAGCCAAATAAATATTCTCATATTTCAAGTTTCCTCGACTTCCACACTCTCCATATTTTGGACTAGAAACTTCCTCATTTTAGGGGGCTGTCCTGTGCATAGTAGGATGTTTGGCGGCATCCCTGGTGTCTACCCACCAGCTGCCAGTAGCAACTCCTGGCTTCCAGTTGTGACAACCAAAAATGTTTCCGGAATCACTTCCATATTTGAACGTTTGGTTTAGGAAGGTCTTGAGAAATAGCTCTCTGGGAGACCAAGCAGCAGCTGTGTGTCCTGCCCACAACCGTATTGGACTTTTGGTAACTATTTTTTTATGTGGAAATAATATGAAACATTTATTAGATATACTGGACAAGAACAGAACTAAATAATCCAACTCTACCGCAGCATTACAAAAAAATCATCCCTTCACCACAGTGTAAGATTTAAGGGCAACTGCTGAAGGATGCATGTTTTCCTTTTTTTTGAGACAGAGTTTCACTCTTGTTGCCCAGGCTGGAGTGCAATGGCGCGATCTCGGCTCACCACAACCTCCGCCTCCCGGGTTCAAATGATTCTCCTGCCTCAGCCTCCCAAGTAGCTGGGATTATAGACATGTGCCACCACACCTGGCTAATTTTGTATTTTTAGTAGAGACGGGGTTTCTCCATGTTGGTCAGTCTGGTCTCGAACTCCCAACCTCAGGTGATTGCCTGCCTTGGCCTCCCAAAGTGCTAGGATTACAGGTGTGAGCCACTGTGGCCAGCCAGATGCATGTTATATAAAACACAGCAAGATTGCTGCGGCCCTGCCAAGTACTTCCAGTCCCTATCCAGGTCCTCCTGAAATACTGGTGTTCTCAATTAGTTTTATTGAAATAATTTTTTTTTTTGAAACGGAGTCTAGTTCTGTCTAGTGCAATGATGTGATCTCGGCTCACTGCAACCTCCGCTTCCTGAGTTCAAGTGATTATCCTGCCTCAGACTCCCGAGTAGCTGGGATTACAGGCATGTGCCACCATGCCCGGTTAATTTTTGTATTTTTAGTAGAGACTGGGTTTCACCATGTTGGTCAGGCTGGTCTCGAACTCCTGACCTTGTGATCCACCCGCCTCAGCCTCCCAAAGTGCTGGGATTACAGGCATCAGCCACCGTGCCTGGAGTAAGGGCTCTCTTTATCAGAAGGGCATTACGCTTGACCTCCAAATTTGGCTGACAATCTACTGATAAGATGCATAGTCTTTGTGTTGCGCTGGTATTTTGACATGTTTGCTGGGTCCTGAGCCACATCCTGGAAGGCTAACATAATTTCTGGATCCTGCATGGCTGCAAGAATCTCTGGATCACTAAGAATTTCATTGAGTCCGGGGATTCTGGCCATTCCAGCCATGCCCCCTCCCATTCCAGACATTCTTCTGGGACAATTACCAGGCACTCCCGCAGGAAAGCCACTTGGAAAAGAGCAGTACTGAGCTCCTGACTGTCTTCTGGCTTCTTCCTCCCTCTGGGCTCTCTCATGCTCTTCTTGAGCCTTCTTAACTCTTTCTATTCTTTCTTTGATCTCTTGTTCTTCACGTTTTCGCTCATACTTTCTCCGATGTTCTGCAATTTTCTGTGCCCCAGGTTGAACTTCTTTCAGCATTGCACTAGCATCTTCATCATAATCCAATTGAAGGGAAAGTCTGTGTGCTTTCTCTCGACACTTGTAAGGCTGAGCTGAATCAGGAATTATTTCTTTTCTTTTCTTTTCTTTTCTTTTTTTTTTTTGAGATGGAGTCTCGCTCTGTCACCCAGGCTGGAGTGCAGTGGCACGATCTTAGCTCACTGCAAACTCCACCTCCCGGGTTCAAGCAATTCTCTGCCTCAGCCTCCCGAGTAGCTGGGATTACAGGCGCCTGCCACCACACCCAGCTAATTTTTGTATTATTAGTAGAGACGGGGTTTCACCATCTTGGCCGGGCTGGTCTTGAACTCCTGACCTCGTGATCCACCTGCCTCGCCCTCCCAGTGCTGGGATTACAGGCGTGAGCCACCGTGCCTGGCACAGTCTCGGATGGCAGCATTTGGCTTCTATAATTTGACGAAGACACCAGCCGTCTTGGCATACAAAATGGCCAAGTGAGGATTCAGCTTGATGGCATCTGGGAACAAGTCAATGGCTGTCTGCAGTTCACCATCATTTAGGGCTTCAATAGCAGCCACTTTCTCATTTGCCTGATCCATCATCTCCTCTGTTATCTCTGCATTCTCATCTCCCATTTCTTGAGGGGCATCAGTGCCTGGTTCAACCACACCTTCATTATCAATTTCTAGATCACTTTCCTCGCTTGATGGTTAGTCTGCCTTTAAGTCTTCCTTCACCTTCTTACTATCAGGTTTTTCTTCCTTGGTATTTTCTTCTGATTTAGCTTTCTGAGTAGCAGGTGGTACTTTACCCGCCATGCTCTCCACCCTCTCCCTTAGGAAATGCATTTTCTCGGCGTGCGGAACGCTCGGATCCTGCTTACACGTTTTCACAAAGGCCCGAAGCTCGTTCACTTTGCGGGGGTCCATGGTCGGGAGGCGGTGGGCAAGGCTGAGGGGCTGCGGCCCGGTTCCAGGCCCAGGCGCTGGCTCGGTGTGACCGTGCAGAAGGCGACTTTTGGTAATTATTATTAGGCGTTTTCCCTCGTCCAGACCTGAGACCTGAATTCAGCCCCCATGGGACAGAGTGAGGCACCATCGACCTCATGGAGATATTTCAGGGCTGACATTATATGATGCACATGAACATGGATTGCGAATGAAGGTAAGGTAAAGACTAGAGAAAGCTATCTCCAGATTGCTTTTCAAATATGCCCAGACCTTGATTCACATTTTAGGGGATAAAAGCAGGGTTCTTTTTTTCTTTTCCTCACATTCTATGATCCAATTAAATAGGTATCCAAAGTTGTATGAATAATCATTGTTTCCTGTAGTTTTAAAACTGTATTTTCATTTTGGTTCTTTTATTTATTTATTTATTTATTTTTTGGAGACAAGGTCTCACTCTGTCGCCCAGGCTGGAGTGCAGCGGTATGATCTCAGCTCACTGCAACCTCTGCCTCCTGGGTTCAAGTGATTCTCCTGCCTCAGCCTCTTGAGTAGCTGGGATTACAAGCGCGGGCCACTAGGTTCAAATAATTTTTGTATTTTTAGTAGAGATGGGATTTCACCATGTTGACCAGGCTGGTTTCGAACTCCTGGCCTCAAGCGATCCACCTGCCTCGGCCTTCCAAAGGCTGGGATTACAGGCATGAGCCACCGCGCCTGGCCCTGTATTTTCATTTTGATTAGGGCAAAAATGCAACCTTTAAATCTTTTTTCCAACTTTTATTTTAGATTCAAGGGGTACAGGTGCAGGTGTGTAAGCTGGACATATCATGTGATGCCGAGCTTTGGAGTACAAATGGTTCCTTCCCCCAAGTGCTGAGCACAGTACCCTATAGTTTTTCAACCCTTGCCCTTCTCCCTCCCCCATCTAGAAGTCCCCAGTGTCTATTGTTCCCATCTTTATGTCCATAATTACCCAATGTCTAGCTCCCACTTATAAGTGAGAAGATGCAACCGGCCAGGTGCGGTGGCTCACGCCTGTAATCCCAGCACTTTGGGAGGCCGAGGCAGGTGGATCACCTGAGGTCGGGAGTTCGAGACCAGCCTGACCAACATGGAGAAACCCCGTCTCTATTAAAAATACAAAATTAGCCGGGCGTGGTGGTGCGTGCCTGTAATCCCAGCTACTTGGGAGGCTGAGGCAGGAGAATCACTTGAACCTGGGAGGCCGAGGTTGCCGTGACCCAAGATGGCGCCATTGCACTCCAGCCTGGGCAACAAGAGCAAAACTCCATCTCAAAAAAAAGTGAAATAATGCATATTTGGTTTGTTTTCGGTTCCTGTATTAATTCACTTAGGATAATGGCCTCCAGCTGCATCCAGGTTGCTGCAAAGGACACGACACCTTTAAATCTTTATTTTCCCTGGTTTGGCTTTGGAAACAACAGGTTACAGCCTTTCTGAAGCCCCATCCCATTCTTCATTCTTTCCCAGTTTATTAACCCACAGGTGACACCAATGGCCTCTGAGAGCCTCGACCCTTGAACCCTGAGCAGACGCCCAGGAACCTGTGCCCGGCACATTCGCAGGGCAGAGCGAATTCACATCAAGCTCCCAAACATACATTGTTGTTGTTGTTGTTGTTGTGTTATGTAATTTCAGTTATTATTTAATTTACAAGCTGTGAGCACACAGAGCCACTCTGGTTCTGCCCTTGGATCGCCGCTCGCGCGCTGCCGAGGCCCACCTGGGCATCCCAAAGTGCTGGGATTACAGGCGTGAGCCAACGCCCCCCGCCGGAATAGCTTTTTTTTTTGAGACGTAGTCTCGCTTTTTCGCCCAGGCTGGAGTGCAGTGGCACGATCTCGGCTCACTGCAAGCTCCGCCTACCAGGTTCATGCCGTTCTCCTGCCTCAGCCTCCCGAGTAGCTGGGACTACAGGCGCCCGCCACCACGCCCGGCTAATTTTTTGTATTTTTAGTAGAGACGGGGTTTCACTATGTTAGCCAGGATGGTCTCGATCTCCTGACCTTGTGATCCGCCCACCTCGGCCTCCCAAAGTGCTGGGATTACAGGCGTGAGCCACTGCGCCCGGCCCGGAATTGCTCTTAGGAGTCACACCTCCTGAGTCTCCTGCTCTCTCCAGCCTTGCGTTGCCTTTCTGGCCTCAAGGCCCCCGCCTTGGAAAAAGTCCGCGTCCCCACGCTGCCTCTGCAAGCCTGGGTGCGAGCGAGGTCCCCCTTCGCTTTGCTTTCCTGTTACGCGCGGTCGCCCTCTAGTGACAACAAGGAAGCACTGCTACGTTCGGACGCGAAGCCTTCCACCGCTGCGGCTCTGGGCTTTTGGTCTGCGCAGGAGAGCTCCGCGGCCCCACAGTGCACCTCATCCGGGCCCTGGTGGGGAGCATCATTGGGTGCCCTTGGCTCTTCCGCAACACGAGTCCTGGGGCCGACTCCCCAGAGGAAGGCTGGTCTGATGCAAACACTGGATCATGTTGACTGAGCCCCCAGCGGCTCCAGAGCAGAAGACTTGTCTGGAAGTCCTGCGGGCTTAGGAAACCCCATCTTTTGTTGGCAGGTGGGAAAAGTGTTCAGAGATGGGGCCGGGTGCGGTGGCTCACGCCTGTAATCCCAGCACTTTGGGAAGCCGAGGCGGGCAGATCACTTAAGGCCAGGAGTTCGAGACCAGCCTGACAAACATGGCAAATCTTCGTCTCTATTAAAAATACAAAAATTAGCCCGGTTTAATGGTGCACGCCTGTAATACCAACTACTTGGGAGGCTGAAGCAGGAGAATCGTTTGAACCCAGAAGGTGGAGGTTGCCGTGAACCGAGATCGCGCCACTGCACTCCAGCCTGGGCAACAGAGCCAGATTCCGTCTCAAAAACAAAAACAAAAGAAAACTGTTCAGGGAGACAAGGATATCAGAGGGGGCTCCACCAGTGACTACGAGGCCTGCCCCCTGCCCTCCCTGAGGGCACCTCCATTATAGACCCTGAAGACAGGGAGAGCAGAACTCCTAGGTCCCAGAACAGTCTCCTCCGAGCTAGTCAGAACTACCTTGCCCCCCACCACCCTTCCCACAGGCACAGCCACAAGAAGCAAGCACCTTCTGCACCCAGCAAACCCGCAAGCATCCAGGCAGGGGAGAGACTTCCAAGGGGAAGGAGGTTTTGGTGGCCAAAACAGACCCTGAGTTAGCTTAGTGGCCAGAGAAACTGAGGGTCTGCAGAAGGCCAGGTGGGCCTGGTCAGCGCACCTGAGTCGTCACAGTCTTTGCCGAGGTCACCCCTTCAACTTTTGAAATACATTTTCTCCATCATCATTGTGAAGATCTCTCAAAACTGACAATAGCTTCAATGCCTGTTTTAGTTGATGTGTTTTGCCTGCAGACATGTGAAAGTTTTCTGCCTGAATATCACAGTGTGCCATTCTCAAGTGCAATGATCAGACTAGCTGTCATGCTGGCTGAGTCAGGGTATTTAACTCTGGTATTAAATCTGGATAAAAGTCACCCATCATCTCAGTTTGGGGCTCTGAAGAATCAGGTGGAAAACAGCCCTCCCATGGCCTGTGAAAGCGTCCTGGGCAAAAATGCAGTGGAATCAATAAGCCAGCTGGTGGAGCTCCCGCCTGGAACCAGGGCTCCTTATGTTGTTGTTCATGAGTGGGCTTCAGGTTGTGACCCCCTGAAACTGAAATGTATAGGTATTTACTAGGGAGAGGGTTCCCAACTTTTACTGGAGTTTCCAAGGAATCTATATACAAACCAATTTGGAACTACTTCCCTAGAAACTCCCATTACCCACAAGTGAAATAATAAACCGATTTTTCCTGAAGTGTAAAAGGTTCATCACGAAACTAGAATTGTTAGCAATGAAAGCAAAGCTTTAAACTTGACAATGGTCGATCTCCCAAGCTGGGCCTTGAAATTCCCATCAGAGTTATATATGTGGATTTATAAAGTGCAGTCTGAGCCCCCGTGATCACAAAATGGCAAATGATTTTGTCCTCGGGGGCCTGGTGTCTCTGATGGGTACTCAGTAGTAGGAGTGTCTATTCCCTTAGGGAGGAGGGTGGACCTCAGTGGATCCATGGACTTGGTCCCAAGATCGTTAGAGATGTTAGATTTGTCCCTTAGAAGATCACTTCTATATATCGGAGGCAGTGACTCATGCCTGTAATCCCAGTACTTTGGGAGGCTGAGGTGGGCGCATCACTTGAGCTCAGGAGCTCGCGACTAGCCTGGGCAACTTCGCAAAACCCGTCTCTAAAAAAAAAAAAAAAAAAAAAAAATTAGCCTGGTGTAGTAGCACACACCTGTAATCGCAGCTGCTCAGGAGGCTGAGGCATGAGAACCATTTGAACCTGGGAGGCGGGGATTGTAGTTAGCAGAGATCGAGCCACTGCACTCCAGCCTGGGCAACAGAGTGAGACTCTGTCTCAAAAAAAAAAAAAAAAAGACGGTCACATCTACGGAAGGGTTTTGTTCACTTCAGCCAGAGCTAAGTGATGGCTGACAATTTCCACTTGTCTGACGCCCTCATGATGTTTTTTTGTTTGTTTGTTTGTTTGTTTGTTTTTTGAGATGGGGTCTCGCTCTGTTGCCCAGGCTGGAGTGCAGTGGCACAATCTCAGCTCACTTTAACCTCCGCCTCCTGGGTTCAAGCGATTCTTCTCCCTCAGCCTCCTGAGTAGCTGGGATTACAGGTGCCTGCCACCACGCCTGGCTAATTTTTGTATTTTTAATAGAGGTGGGGTTCTATCATGTTGCCCAGGCTGTTCTCGAACTCCTGAGCTCAAGTGATCCGCCCACCTCAGCCTCCCAAAGTGCTGGGATTACAGACAAGAGCCACTGCGTCCGGCTTCAAGATGTTTATGATTAGGACCCAAACTGGTCCAACTTTCTTTCTCATTCTCCCATTCATCTGACCCTGATCCTCCTCTACTCTTCACCCTTAACATATTTATATCTGCTTAGAATTCAGCAAAGCGAAACTCTGCATCCTGAAAACCTGAGCAGGCATTTTGGACCACATGTTCATGGCAACATAATCTGGATCATATTCACTGGGTCTGTGGTAGGGAACGTTCTCACTTTGCATTAAGAAAAGGACAACCAGATACCAACTTTTAGAAAATGAAATTAAAAATTTTAGCAAAGCATTTAAACTATTTTCTTTTTTTTTTTTTTTTTGAGATGGAGTCTCGCTCTGTCACCCAGGCTGGAGTGCAGTGGCGCAATGTCGGCTCACTGCAACGTCCACCTCCCAGGTTCAAGCAATTCTCCTGCCTCAGCCTCCTGAGTAGCTGGGACTGCAGGCGTGCACCACGTCCAGCTAATTTTTTCGTATTTTTAGTAGATACGAGGTTTCACCATGTTGGTCAGGCTGGTCTCGAACTCCTAATCTCAAATGGTCCACCTGCCTCGGCCTCCCAAAGTGCTGGGATTACAGGCATGAACCACCATGCCCGGCCTCAACTATTTTCTGAAGTAGATTTCCCCTGAAGCCAGAGGCTCCTCATCGGACATTTATTCTTCTCTAACTGACGAATGCGGCTTTTACTCGGGAGAAAAGCCTCTTTATGGGCTGTGACCATCTTCCTCCAGCCACCTGACTCCTCGTATTTGACAGGCTGGTGATCATGTTATGCTTGTACCACAAAGGACTGTGCAGATATCTGACCGGATATTCTCGCTGCTTGAAAAGCACATGTCTGATTCAACCCCGCGTGGTGCTGTCATGAAACCCTCCTCCCCAGCCAAGCCATATGCATGGATGTTAGTGTTGATGTGTTGTAGTGTCGTTGTGTGCCCCCAATCTCCCTTAAAGGCCATGGTTATTGCCAGAGTTATTAACCTGGGCCAAGGAGGGTCTGTCCTCACAACTCCCACTTTCAGGGGAATGAGGGAATTTCAGGCTTTTTCCGGGCCACAGTTGATTTGCACCCTTGAGGGTGGTCCCAACAGGTACAGAAGAGCTTGGCACAAAATGCCCATGGATAGCAAGTCCTGGCTGGGTTGTTCCCCCTGCCATTGCCAGTTTTGGGTTAATAGGGGCACTGAGGGCTGGATGTGTGGCGGGAGGTGGAGTGTAACCCTGAGCCCCTAGAGAAAAGGGACACGTGGTTTGGATTAAGGTCCAAAGGAGGATCTGGCCTTGAAGTGTGCTGGTTTTGGGGCCTGCAGGATGGAGTGACTGTGATTTGGGAGCAGGGTGTGGGGAATCCCTGGATTCTAGGGCTGCTCCCTTTTGGGGTGTGTGAGTGTCCCTGGAGAGGCACGGTGGTCATGTGAGACCCCTCCTCTGTTTCACACAGGCAAGTCCTTGAGTGTTCAGAATCCTCCCAATATCCGACAGCTCTCAGGAAGCATACTCTCCTGTCCTGAGGTGGGCAGAGGAGATGGAGAGAACAGGTGAAGGCAGGTCACAGAAGCAAGACAGGACTGACACGCACCAGGGCCTGGCTGGGCAGTGGACCTCAGACTGAGGACAGGCAGAGGTGGCCAGGCCAGTTCAGTCCTGATAGAGCCAACTCCAGGGCCCGAGAGACCATCAGGCAAAACTGACCCCCCAGAGGGCTGTGGCGCTGCTGAGGCTTTGCGTCTCCCCTTTAATCCTGAGCAGCCCAGGCTGCTCGCTGCCTCCAGCCCTGCTATCTACCCTGACATCCAGCTTTCCTGCAGTGGCCTGACTTCCCTGGGAGGACCAATCTCTTAGATCCAGGTGGAACCAGAATCTGGTGGGTTTTAAATGAATTCAGTCTCTTTGTCCTCATCGAGCTCCACACAGTCGGGCCAAAGTGGGTAGTCAGGGTCTTGTGAGGAGACCCCCACATCTTCCTCTGCAGTCTAGCAACCCATTGGGGCCCAGGCACAGGCTCTAGGAGAGGGGCTGTTCACCAGGGCTGCGCATTCAGCAGAGCAGGCTGTGGGCTGCTTAGCCCCAGCGGGTGCCATTCACCCAGTGCAGATGTGAATGAGATCCCTGGAGTGGAGCAACTCATCATCCCTGCTCCTGACAGCAGTGACAAAAACACCCCGCTGATGGGTAGAGAGAGTCTGGTTTAAAATTAGCTCTTTCACTTTCCTATTGAGTCATTACCCCCCCCCCAAAAAAAGAGAGATTTTCTGCTTCCTCCTCTGAAGAGGGCAGTTGGACTTTTTATCCTGAAAATGGAAGTGTGCCTAGCCCCAGGGGAGAGTTGAGTGTTTTGTTTTTAAAAGCCTAGACTCATAAAATAATAATAATACAGGACGTTTGGAATCAAGGAAGCTTCCATGGGCTGAGAGCTAAGAATAGCCCAAGGATGGAGGAGGCTGATGGGACAGGTGTTCCCAGAGGGTCTGGGGAGGTGGCAGGCCCCCAGACTGGGGAGGGTGTGAGTGAAGGATGCCTGTAGGGGGTGGCCCTGAGAGTGTGGGCAGGTGCAATGGCTGTCAATGCCACATAAAGGGCAAGGGGATCTACATCCTAAACAGTGAAAGACCAGTGCCCGGAGACTACATCTACATCAGGAAGAAGAAGCAGCAAAATTCTGACCCACAGCCCAAGAGTGAGCATCCTTTTTCAGGACATTAATAAGCCCTGGGGTCCTTGTTTACTCTCTTGGGAGGAGGGGGTCACAGAATGCACACATAGTGAAGTTCTCATGTATTTTTACAAATGAGGGCTGGAACTGGATACAGTGTAACTTGGGGAAATAAGGAAGGTGACATTTCTCATACCTGAGAGTTGAGAAGCACATTACTACTCATCACTGACTTTTAGGAGCCCTGTCCACCAAAGGGACAACAGTAATGCAGAAATAGGAGAGGAAGTTGATAGGATTCAACCAACAAATAGTTCATCTCCACAGCTGTTTCCTGAGGTTCGGTGGGGTTGGACTTTAAAGAAAGTGAGATCAGGAGCCAGGTGTGGTGGCTCACGCCTGTTATCCCAGCCCTTGGGAGGCTGAGGCAGACAGATCACTTGAGGTCAGGAGTTCAAGACCAGTCTGGCCAACATGATGAAATCTCATCTCTACTAAAAATACAAAAATTAGCCGGGCATGGTGGCACACACCTGTACTCCCAGCTACTCAGGTGGGTGAGGCAGAAGAATCGCTTGAACCCAGGAGGTGGAGGTTGCAGTGAGCTGAGATCATGCCACTGCACTCCAGCTTGGGCGACGAGAGCAAAACTCCATCTCAAAAAGAAAGTGAGATCAGGGACATCAGGGATAGCACACTGCAGACACGATGGTTGAGCTAGGAGATCTCCCTTTAAAAACTCTCCCCTGGCTGGGCAGGTTGGACAATACCTGTAATCCCAGCATTTTGGGAGGTCAAGGTGGGAGGTTCGTTTGGAGGCCAGGAATTTGAGACCAGCCTGGGCAACATGACCAAGACCCTGTCTCTTAAATTTTTTTAAAAAAACTAGCCAGGCACTGTGCTATGTCCCTGCAGTCCCAGCTACTCAGGAGGCTGAGGCAAAAGGATTTCTTCAGCCCAGGAGATGAAGGCTGCATTTATTTTGATTGCACCACTGAGCTATGATCACACCACTGCACTCTAGCCAAAGTGACAGAGCAAGACCCTGTCTCTTAGACAAAAATTTAAAAATAAATTTTAAAACTTCCTTAAAAATCTCTTGCTTAAAAAACTAAGCACATGGGCTGGGCACAGTGGCTCACGCCTATAATCCCAACACTTTGAGAGGCCGAGGCAGGTGGATCACCTGAGGTCAGGAGTTCAAGACCAGCCTGGCCAACATGGTGAAACCCCTCTCTACTAAAATTACAAAAATTAGTTGGGAGTGGTAGCACACACCCGTAACCCCAGCTACTCGGGAGGCTGAGGTGGGAGAATCACTTGAACCTGGGAGGCAGAGGTTGCAGTGAGCTGAGATCATGCCACTGCACTCCAGCCTGGGTGATACAGTGAGACTCTGTCTCAAAAAAAAAAAAACAAACAAGGCCAGGCGCCGTGGCTCACACCTGTAATCTCAGCACTTTGAGAGGCCAAGGTGGGCAGATCACTTGAGGTCAGGAGTTCAAGACCAGCCTGGCCAACATGGTGAAACCCCGCCTCTACCAATAATACAAAAATTAGCCAGGCGTGGTGTCATGTGCCTGTAGTCCCAGCTACTTGGGAGGCTGAGGCAGGAGACTCGCTTGAACCCAGGAGGTGGAGGTTGCAGTGAGATGAGATCACGCCACTGCACTCCAGCCTGTGTGACAGAGCGAGACTCCATTTCAAAAACAACAAAACAAAACAAAACAAACAAAAAAGCCAAAGCAGATGGTCACCAAATCACATGTATATCCAAATACAAGATCATTCATATAAGGTGGGGGAGATACTGCAGCACGGCCTCTCCTTCTACCTGCAGGGAGTTTTCTGAAGGGAAGAAAGAGCCATGATTAGGCAGAACAGGAACTGGAGAAATCACAATAGATGAGGGGAACCTATGGTGAGGCAGTAGCACTAAGACTGCGGGAGAATAGTAAACTCTAGACCAAGCAGGCAGGATCCGGTCTAAGAGGCAAGGTGGAGTAGACGGTTTTCAATGGCAGGTTTTCACAACAGGCTAATGGATTCAGCTTTAAATGAGAGGGAAAAAGGGAAGGGAATGGCTAGGAACCATGTTGGGACAGACAACTGGGCCAAGCTTCAGGTGAGACTGACCTAAGGAAAGTCTGGCAGGAAATGGAGTCCAGGGCCTGGGCAGACTGGCCCTATGCTCAGGGGTTAGACAGGGAAGCTCCTGTGTGTTGAGTGTATTCACCAGAATTCATGTGTTGGAAATTTGGTCCCCAATGTGGCACTGTTGGGAGGTGAGGTTAGTAAGAGGTGACTAGATCATTAAGTGAAATCAATGCCTCTCTTGACAGCATAAATGGGTAAATTATTGCACTCACTTGCCCTTCCCCTTTGCTGCCATGTTATGATGCAACATGAAAGCCCTTACCAGAAGCTGCTGCCATGCCCTTGGACTTCCCAGTCTTTAGAACTATAAGAAATCACTTTCTTTTCTTTTCCTTTTTTTCATTTTTTATTTTTTTGAGACCAAGTCTCGTTCTGTTGCCCAGGCTTGAGTGCAGTGGTGTGATCTTGGCTCACTGCAACCTCTGCCTCCTGGGTTCAAGTGATTCTCCTGCATCAGCCCCCTGAGTAGCTGGGATTACAAGACATGTGCCACGACACCAGCTAATTTTTGTATCTTTGGTAGAGATGGGGTTTCACCATATTGGCCAGGCTGGTCCTGAACTCCTGACCTCAAGTGATCTGTCTGCCTTGGCCTCCCAAATTGCTGGGATTATAGGCATGAACCATTGCACCTGGCCTTTTCTTTTCTTTGTGAATTACTCAGTCTCAGAATACCTGGCAGGTATTCTGCTATAGCAACAGAAAATGGACTAAGACAGAAACTGAGGAGAGACTCCCAGCCACCTGCACATTAGTGGTGAAGGACCCCTGATACTTCCCAGGCCAGCTCTCCCTCCCATATTGGTTTAGGGTTTCAGTGTTAGGAGCCTGGCAGTGGGTGGCATGGGGCAGGCATGAGTCCCTTGCATCTCAGGGAATCAGAATATCTGGTGTCTCTCTATCTTGGGCAGTGCTAGAGAAACTTGCCAAATTCTTGTATTTGGGAGACCTTATATTCTACTCTTTTCTCCACTCCTCCCCACTTTTCCCTGAAAATGATTTCTTCATGGCTTTTTTTCCTGATTATAGAAATAATTACCACCTTTGTCTTAAAACACACATGAACACATAATAGCTGTTAATATATTTGATTAGACTACAATTTTCTACATTTAGTCATGACTTTCTGGTGGTGTATTCTAGGCCTTTGATTAGATTTTTGCAAGGCCTGTTTGATTTGGGGGATACTTAGGCCTCAAGACTCTTGGACTAGCAAATCTCATTCATAATGGGCTGATTTAGTTCAGAGGGGAAGAAGATACTATTATCCTTAAATCTGGGACCTCTTCACCAAGGTGCTCCTGGGCACTTGTACCTCCTCCCTTTGCTACCCTCAGTCTCTGGTGACAGGAGTCCCACACAGCCTGGCAGGAAAAGTCTGTTACACACCTGTGATGCAAGGAAGTGCTTTTCCTGGTCTCACATATCCAAGCCCAGCCCTACTCCATTGCTCCCCCAGGTCTCCTGGTCCTTCTACCTGCTCCCATCTAGGTCTTTCCAAGTATTGAACCCCAGACTCGACAAAGTCAGCTAACGCTGGGGACACTAATGCAGAGGAGAGCTAGGTCTGCCCCCCATATCCCTGAGCCACAGCTGTCTATCCACACCATTACAATCCCACAAGTGCTGCATTGGACAGGAAAGGATTCTGGGGATGGAGCTTCTAAAAGGGAGGGTTTTGTTTTGTTTTGTTTTTTCTTTTGAGACGGAGTCTCACTCTGTCACCCAGGCTGGAGTGCAGTGCCACAATCTCAGCTCACTGCAAACTCCACCTCCCGGGTTCAAGCGATTCTCCTGCCTCAGCTTCCTGAGTGGCTGAGATTATAGGCGCCTGCCACCACGCCCAGCCAATTTTTGTATTTTTAGTAGAGACGGAGTTTCACCATGTTGGTCAGGCTGGTCTCAAACTCCTGATCTCATGATCCAGTTTTTTTGTGTGTGTGTTTTGTTTTTTTGTTTGTTTGTTTTTGAGACGGAGTTTCGCTCTTGTTGCCCAGGCTCAAGTGCAATGGCATAATCTCAGCTCACTGCAACCTCCGCCTCCTGGGTTCAAGTGATTCTCCTGCCCCAGCCTCCCAAGTAGCTGAGATTACAGGTGCGTGCCACCAAGCCTGGCTAATTTTTGTATTTTTAGTAGAGATGGGGTTTCACCATGTTGGTCAGGCTGGTCTCAAACTCCTGACCTCATGTTCCTTTTTTTTTTTTTTTTTTTGAGATGGAGTTTCCCTCTTGTTGCCCAGGCTGGAGTGCAATGGCGTGATCTCAGCTCACTGCAACCTCCACCTCAAGGGAGGGCCTTTGTTTCAACACACAGATGTCTCAGGGAGCTGTTTTCCTGCTGGCCATGGCTCTTCTCCAATTCTCCCGGGATAAGCTTGTGTGTATTCAGGTGGAATGTTTTCTCAGTCCCTGCCTTACCCACACTCTTGACCTAAAGCTACCTTTTGTTCCTCCCCTAGAGCTGCCTAGCTCTCTCTCCTCTGCCTCGCCCAGCTGCAGGTGGATCCTCCACTAAAATGAGGCTGCCTCGTCACTCCCATTGGATGGCTGATGTCTCAGAAAGTTACAGGGGATGGGGGTCAGGGGTGCGGTGTGGCTGAAGGAACTGGAAAGTGAGGCCTAGTCTGTTAGTAACGGGAGCAACATCTATACCTCTGCCCCAGCCCATGACCTGCATGGACTCAATCAGCGGGAGACTGGGGATGAAACATTCGGGGAACCAGGAGGACTAGGGGAGCATAAAGCAGCAAAAGGGGAGAAAAGATGTGTTTGGGAGCCGGAGCTGCCCAATGACATGCTGGCTTTCCCACTTAGGAGCCGTGCACCCCTACACTAGCTCCTCAACCTCTCTGAATCTCAGTTTCCTCACCTGTGAAGTAGGGATTTTAGTTATTATGAAGAGTAAATGGACCCAACAGCCAAATGTCATGCTTGAACCCTGATGGGAACCTGGTTGGAAAAAAAATTAGAAAAATTTAAATTTGGTCTCCAAAATATCACCTGGCTCGGCGTTATTGTTCATTTCTTTGGTGTGAGAATGGCGTTGTACTTATGGAAAACACGTGTATTCTTCGCAGATGCACGCTGAAATATTGAAGGGTGAGGCTTCACGAGGTCGGCAGCTCACACTCAGATGGTTCCATAACAACAGAGAGAATGTTTGCACAGAGGTGGAGAGAAGGACAAGAACGATGTGTGAAATGCTAACTGTTGAATCAAGGTGGAGGGCGTTCACGTGATCACCATTTATTCTTTCCATTTTTCTTAATGTTTAAAAATGTGTCAACCAAAGATTGAGGGGGGGAAGAGAGACCAGGTGTGTGAAGCACTCTGCACAATGCCCCATTCAGCATAATTTATTTAATAAATATTCACTAAGCTCCTGGCGGAGATGTCAGTCAAGAACCAGGGATGGCGTGTCAGATACTGATCTGGGGATGCAGTGAGGATTTCTAGGGGGCCAGAGACAAGCATTAAAGGGTGAACAACCATGTGCACGTGCTGACCACAGACTGTGGAGAATGCTAGGAAGACAGCTGACAGGTGAGAGACCAAGGTGGGGGCTTAGGCGGTGTGAGGGGATGTCACACTGGCTTGGGTACCCTCTGAGCCTCTGAGCAGGTGGAATGTGAGCTGGGGATGGGCTGTGCCAGGGAGCTGGCTGTGCGGAAACCCCTCTCCTTCCTCATCTGTGTCTCCAGGGCCCCTAGAGGGGCCCAAGATGCCACGGGGATGACATCAGCCAAGAACCAGGAGTGGGAATGTTTGCCTCCTCTCTGGGGAATTAAGCTGCAATTTAATTTATGCTTGTAGAACTCAGTCTGTTCGGACAGACCAGATACCATCAGCCACCCTTGACCAGTGAACCTCATGGTGTGGGGCAGGAAAAATGATGAGGATTCCTGCAGGGCCACCTCCTGGAACCAGCCAGTGATTTGGAACTGGCATTAGAGGAAATGTTAGTGGTATTTCATCCAGGCCCTGACAGTGTCCAAGACACTTCTCAGTAGCACAACTAACAAATGAAAAGATGTTCAGCTTCATTCATAGTTAAAGAAATGCAAGCTGGAATTCAATATTTTTGCCCATCAGATTGGTAAGGACTAAGAAGATTGATGATACGGAGCGATGGGGCGGCCACGGGAACAGCCCTCGCATCCTTTGTTTGTTGAGCCTCTTGTGGGTAATTTAGCAGTACCCATCACATTCAAAATTCTGACCACCCTTTGGCTCAGCAATTTCATTTTAATGATTCTATTCTGAAGATATTTCAGAGATGTGATTTTTAAAAACAATATATACAAGTATGCTCACTGAATTATATCTATATCATGTTCAGCATTACAGTAATTATGTCACCCAAATGGAAACAACTCAAACGTCCATCAGGAGACTTCTTAAATAAATTACATATAGGAAAACATTTAATATGAGTGAAGTTTTGGAAATAAAGATATTTATATATATAATAACAGTACAGGTTAGTGTATACATTTGTTTAAAAATCTTGAAGACTGCATACCAAAATGTTAATAACAGAAATCTCTGGAGCATAGAAAACAGGGGACCTTTCTTTTCTACAGTATGCACTTCTGTAATATCTATATTTTGTATTGCAGACATACATTGCTGTTGCAAGCAGAAAACAGGATTTTAAAGTGAGGGAAAGGGAGAAAAGGATGAAAGGAAGGATCACGGTAGATATTTGTTCTTTTTTGCCAGCCAACATCTGAACCCCCTTGAAACATTTGGGTAATTCACCTATCTTAGGATGTCTCAATTTAGAAGTTGTAAATGGCCTTCTGGTGCCAGGCTGCTGTGCTGTGTCACAGGAGGTATAGAGAGACTCCATCGAAGCCTGGCCCTCACCCCAAGACAGACGTGGAGCCCAGTGAGACTTGGGTTTTCGGCCACTTGCAATCAGTTCCTCCTTCCTTCCTTCCTTTTATCTACCTTCCCTTCCCTCCCCCTTCCCTTCCCCCTCCCCTTCACCTTCACCTTCACCTTCACCTTCACCTTACCCTTACCCTTACCCTCCCCTCCCCCTTCCCCTTCACCTCACCCTTCCCTTCCCCTTCCCCTTTGTCTTCCCCTTTCCTTCCCTCCTCTCCCCTTTACTCTCTTTCTCTCCTTCCTTTCTTTTTGTGAGACAGGATCTCACTCTGTTGCCCAGGCTGGAGTGCAGTGGCACAATCACAGCTCACTGCAGCCTCAAACTCCCAGGCTCAAACAATCCTCCCGCCTCAGCCTCTCTAGTAGCTGAGACCACAGGTGCATGCCACTGCACCCAGCTAACTTTTTGCTTTTTTAGTAAAGACAAAGTCTCCCTATGCTGCCCAGATTCAAACTCCTGGGCTCAAGTGATCCTCCTGCCTTGGCCTCCCAACGTGCTGGGATTACAGGTGTGAGTCACCATGCCTGACCCAGAGTCTTAAATGATAAGGCAAAAAGTGGAGGAGGTATGAGAAGGATACTCAGGGTCTCGTGAAATCCACAGAATTGAACAAACAAGCTTTAGGAAGGGCTGAGATCGGACAAACTCTGGGGCCCAGAGCAGGAGTTTCTGGGCTTTCTCTCTAGGGAGCTGCCCTACTAGGAGCTCTGACAACACTCGGCTCTGGGTCTCTCATATCTAGTGTCAAATTCCTGCAAAGAAGAACCTAAGCTCAGGAGAAAGATCTGGGCTTGAAGGTCACTGACGTATGGTGGGTGAGAAGCTCTGCAGCAATTTTCAAAGGAACAGCCAGGAAGGCAGAAGGAGAGCTGGTAGAGGTGGTGTCAGGAAGCCCACAGGCCACAGATGAGTGGGTTTTTGAGAGGAGGAAGAAATGATCATAATGTCAAAACCTGAGAGATAAAACGAGCACTGAAGAGCATCTGCAGGCCGGGCACAGTAACTCACACCTGTAAGCCCAGCACTTTGGGAGGCCGAGGCGAGAAGATGGCTTAAGGCCAGGAGTTCAAGACTAGCCTGGGCAACATAGCGAGACTCCTCCATCCTTATAATATATATAAAATATAACATATATATATATATATATCTTTTTTTTCCAAAAATGGAAAAAAAGCATTTGCTGGGTTTGGTGACTTGTACCCTTGCCAAGGAAAATTTTGGCAGACAGATGGGGGCAATTACCTTGTTAAAAAAGGTTGGTCATGGCCCGGTGTGGTGGCTCACGCCTGTAATCCCAGCACTTTGGGAGGTTGAAGCGGGCAGATCACCTGAGGTCAGGAGTTCAAGACCCTGTCTCTACTAAAAATACAAAAATTAAGCGGTTGTGATGGTGCACACCTATAATCCCAGCTACTTGGGAGGCTGAGGCACGAGAATTGCTTGAACCCAGGAGGCCATGGTTGTAGTGAGCCGAGATCACGCCACTGCACTCCAGCCTAGGTGACAGAACAAGACTCTCTTTCAAAAAAAAAAAAAAAGTTTGGCCACGACAAGGAAGAATAGAGAGGGTGTTAGCAGGAGGAGGGTACTGGGCCCAAAGAGGCATTTAAAACTTGAACATGTTGAGTGATGCCCTTGACTGATGAGGAATGAGCAGAAGCCTCGTAGTGGTGGAGAAGGACCCTTTGGTGAAGCTTTCCCAGGTGATTTTCTGCTAAAGTTTTGGCTTTCTCAAAACACTCTCATAGTAAGCAGATGTTATTGCTCTTTTGCCCTCTAGAAAGCCAACAAGCAAAATGCCTTGAGCATCCCAAAAAACTGTTGCTGTGACTTCTGCTCTTGACCTGTCCACTTTTGCTGTGACTGGGCCACTTCCACCTCTTGGGAGCCATTGCTTTGTGCTTTGTCTTCAGGATCCTACTGGTAAAGCCACGTTCCATCTTCTGTTACAACTCTTCAGAGAAATGCTTCAGGATCTTGATCCTACTCGTTTTAAATTTCCATTGAAAGTTCTGCTCTTGGCTGCAGCTGATCTGGACGCAATGGTTTTCCATAGAGTGGAAACTTTGCTCAACTTTAATTTTTCAGTCAGAAAAGTGTAAGCTGAACCAATTGAGACGTCTTTGGTGTTGGCTGTTGTTTGTGCTGTTAATCGTTGGTCCTCTTCATGAGGGCACAAATAAGATTAATTATTTTACTCAAAAATTGATGTGGATGGTCTGCCACTGAGGGCTTTATCCTCAACATTGTCTCATCCCTTCTCTTTTTTTTTTTTTTTGAGATGGAGTCTCCTTCTGTCACCCAGGCTGGAGTACAGTGGCACAATCTCGGCTCACTGCAAACTCTGCCTCCCGAGTTCAAGCAATTCTCCTGCCTCAGCCTCCCGAGTAGCTAGGATTACAGGCACCCACTACCACGCCCGGCTAATTTTTTGTATTTTCAGGCACCCGAGTAGCTGAGACTACAGGCGCATGCCACCATGCCAGCTAATTTTTTGTATTTTAGTAGAGACGGGGTTTCACTGTGTTGCCCAGGCTGGTCTTGAACTCTTGAGCTCAGTCAATCCGCCCACCTCGGCCTCCCAAAGTGCTGGGATTACAGGCGTGAGCTGCCGCGCCCAGCTTAATTTTTGCTTTTTTAGTAGAGACAGGATTTCAGCATGTTGGCCAGGCTGGTCTCGAACTCCTTACCTCAAGTGATCCACCTGCCTCGGCCTCCCAAAGTGCTGGGATTACAGGCTGAGCCACCACGCCTGGCCTCATCCCTTCTTAAAACGAGTTTTCCATTTGCAAACTGCTGGTTTCTTGGGGGCATTGTCCCCATGAGCTTTTCATAAAAATATCAATGATGTCACCATAAATGTGATGATTATTCTTGCTTCAAATTTAGCAGAATCCTTGTTGCTCTGACAGGAGCTCTTTTCAAACTGATGTCTTATCCTTCTTAGTGCCTCAAACTAGATCTTGTCGAGACATGTGATAACAAGTTAGTACAAATTTATTTTGGTGCCAAAAAATTTTCAAATCCATGCATAGTTTTTTTCATAGTATGAATTTTCCATGAACCTTTTGAAGACCGCTTGTATAGAAAAAAACAGTATATATAGGGTTTGGTGCTATCCAAAGTTTCAGGCATTCACTGGGAGGTCTTGGAACTATCCCAGTGGATAAGGGAGGACTACTATGCTAAAAACTATCCCTTGTTTAACTGAAATTCAAATTAAACTGAGTGGCCTGCATTTTATCTGCCAACCCTACCCTGGGGGCACTTAAAAATACCAGAGGCCAGGCGGGGCGCGGTGGCTCACGCCTGTAACCCCAGCACTTTGGGAGGCCGAGGCGGGCAGATCACGAGGTCAGGAGATCGAGACCATCCTGGCCAACATGGTGAAACCCCGTCTCTACTAAAAATACAAAAATTAGCCGGGCGTGGTGGGGTGGGTGCCTGTAGTCCCAGCTACTCACGAGGCTGAGGCAGGAGAATCGCTTGAACCTGGGAGGCGGAGATTGCAGTGAGCCGAGATCGGGCCACTGCACTCCAGCCTGGCGACAGAGCAAGACTCCGTCTCAAAAAAAAAAAAAAAAAGAAGAATTGCTTATCCACGCCCTGTTTCTTTTCTCTTAGCGTTACTCAGTGGGGGAGTCCTCCCAAGTATGATGGAGAGTCCTTTCGAAACCCTGCTGGATTGTCAGGACAACCAACTGGGCTACTTTTCCACAGGTCGCCCCAATTCCTTTGGATTCTGATTTCTCTGAGGTCCCAGGATCCAGACAGGCTTGGCCAATCCTTCCCCGCCCAAACTGTAACTCTCAAAACCAACACCCCGGCATAGGGCTGGAGGGGAAAATGGGTGAGGTCAGAGACAAAGAAGAGGGAAGGGTCAGGCGGGGCTCCGGGTTCCCTGCCACAAGCCTCCGCTGGTGTTCTGCTTTTCTCCCGAGAGCTCCCGCCCACCCTGCAACCCTCGCCTGGCCCCGCTGCCGTTCTCAGCTCCCTCCCAGTGCCTGGTGGAGGCCGGGGCTGTGTCCCGAAGGGGGTCGGGGCAGCAGAACCTCAGCCACAGCCAATCACAGCGGGGTCCTTCGGGGAGGGGCGTGGCCTGACAACTTCGGCGACGCGGCTGGACCAATCCGGACGGAGGAGAGCGAAGCTCCTCTGCACTGGGCCCAGGTGCGCTCCTCAGCGTCTCCGGGTGGCGGGGCGCGCGGGATGGAGGAGTCTTGGGAGGCTGCGCCCGGAGGCCAAGCCGGGGCAGAGCTCCCAATGGAGCCCGTGGGAAGCCTGGTCCCCACGCTGGAGCAGCCGCAGGTGCCCGCGAAGGTGCGACAACCTGAAGGTCCCGAAAGCAGCCCAAGTCCGGCCGGGGCCGTGGAGAAGGCGGCGGGCGCAGGCCTGGAGCCCTCGAGCAAGAAAAAGCCGCCTTCGCCTCGCCCCGGGTCCCCGCGCGTGCCGCCGCTCAGCCTGGGCTACGGGGTCTGCCCCGAGCCGCCGTCACCGGGCCCTGCCTTGGTCAAGCTGCCCCGGAATGGCGAGGCGCCCGGGGCTGAGCCTGCGCCCAGCGCCTGGGCGCCCATGGAGCTGCAGGTAGATGTGCGCGTGAAGCCCGTGGGCGCGGCCGGTGGCAGCAGCACGCCATCGCCCAGGCCCTCCACGCGCTTCCTCAAGGTGCCGGTGCCCGAGTCCCCTGCCTTCTCCCGCCACGCGGACCCGGCGCACCAGCTCCTGCTGCGCGCACCATCCCAGGGCGGCACGTGGGGCCGCCGCTCGCCGCTGGCTGCAGCCCGGACGGAGAGCGGCTGCGACGCAGAGGGCCGGGCCAGCCCCGCGGAAGGAAGCGCCGGCTCCCCGGGCTCCCCCACGTGCTGCCGCTGCAAGGAGCTGGGGCTGGAGAAGGAGGATGCGGCGCTGTTGCCCCGCGCGGGGTTGGACGGCGACGAGAAGCTGCCCCGGGCCGTAACGCTTACGGGTGAGTGCTCACCTGCGCCGGCAGCCGACGCCGCCAGGTCGGGTGGACGTAGCCGAAACCCCCACACCCGCCCAGCCCTGGACCGCTGGGCAGCTGACCGACTAAGGGACCCAGTTGGCCATCCCGATCCCCAACCCGATCTGGCCTCTCGGGCTTACAATCAATAACATTCCTGTCTACGTAACTGTAATTCACATTGTTGCCGTGTCTCACGCCTGTAATCCCAGCACTTTGGGAAGCCGAGGCGGGCGGATCACCTGAGGTCAGGAGTTCGAGACCAGCCTGACCAATATGATGAAACCCCGTCTCTACTAAAAATACAAAAATTAGCCTGGCATGGTGGCATTCACCTGTAATCCCAGCTACTCAGGAGGCTGAGACAGGAGAGTCGCTTGAACCCGAGAAGCGGAGGTTGCAGTGGGCCGAGATCATGCCATTGTACTCCAGCCTGGGCAACAAGAGAGAAACTCCGTCTCAAAAAAAAAAGAGTAAAGCCACTCCCCTTCTCATCCTCCCCTACCCGCACTCCCGAACTTTCAAATTCCCTCTTAGCATGCGCAGCACCTTTGAGAAGTAGCAGTGGAAGGAACTCCAGATGAGGGGAAGTCATTCAGGATCAGGTGGCAGGGGTGGCAGCCCAGATCCCCCCATCCCTGCACTGCCAAGGACTTTCTGGAAGGTCCAGGCTGCTGCTTTCTTTCCACCACACTGAGGAACATTTAGCCCCAAACACTCATCCATTCAGTAGATAGTGAGTGGGACCACAGGGTAGATGTGCCAGTAGTATGTGCGGCTGGTTATTTTGTGGTGTGGGGGAGGGGGAGCTTGACACAGAAGAAAGAGCCCACAAAAGATACAGACTGTCCTGGATAAGGAGACTGGAGGGAGTAGTTGGTGAATTTGGGGCAAGAGATAGCCAATTTTTTTCTTTTTTTCTTTTTTCTTTCTTTTTTTTTTAAGAAATAAGTTTTGCGCTTGTCACCCAGGCTGGAGTGCAATGGCACAATCTCGGCTCACTGCAACCTTCGCCTCCTGGATTCAAGCGATTCTCCTGCCTCAGCCTCCTCCCGAGTAGCTGGGATTACAGGCGCCGGCCACCATGCCTGGCTAGTTTTTGTATTTTTGGTAGACAGGGGGTTTCATCATGTTGGCCAGGCTGGTCTGGAACTCCTGACCTCAGGTGATCCAGCCGCCTCAGCCTCCCAAAGTGCTGGGATTACAGGTGTGAACCACCGGGCCAGCCAGAAAGCCACATCTTGAAAGGTGAGTAGGAGTAGGGGGTGCTAGGGATCCCTGCTAGGTAGAGAGACTGGAAGGAGCAACGGCCAGGAGGGGTCAGAGCCCCGCCCAGCAGGCAAACTGGCAAAAGCTTGGCTGATTGAGAAGCAGGCCAAGCCCACTGACAGGCACCAAATTCCCAGGGCCTCTAGTTGAGAGGTTCTTAGACAGGGCTAGGGTTCAGGGGCTTGGATCACTCAGGAACTTTTGCAGAGTTTGATGTGAGCACATTTTCTGTGTGATGGAATATTAGTTTTCTATTGCTGTTGTAACAAATTACCACAAACTTAGTGTCTTTAAGTGACACAAATGTATTATCTTACAGTTCCGTTAAGTCAGAAGTCTATAATGCCGGCTCACTGGTCTAAAATCGAGTTTTCAGTGGGGCTGCATTCCTTTCTGGGGGTCTAGGGGAGACTCCCTTTTCTTGCCTTTGCTAGCTTCTGGGCTTTTCTTAGGTCAAGCCCTTCTCTATATTAAAATCCAGCGTTGTTGGTAGAGTCCTCCTGCTGCCACTTCTGATGCTCACCACCTGTCTTCCTCTTCCACATATAAGGCTCCTGAAGCTGGGCACGGTGGCTCACGCCTGTAATCCCAGCACTTTGGGAGGCCAAGGCGGGCGGATCACTTAGGGTCAGGAGTTCAAGACCAGCCTGACCAACATCGTCAAACCCCATCTCTACTAAAGATATGAAAATTAGCCAGGCATGGTGGCAGTCACCTGTAATCCCAGCTACTTGGGAGGCTAAGGCATGAGAATTGCTTGAACCCAGGAGGTGGAGGTTGCAGTGAGCTGAGATCATGCCACTGCACTCCAGCCTGGGCGATAGAAAGACTCAGTCTCAAAAAAAAAAAAAAAAAAGGGCCAGACGCGTTGGCTCACACCTGTAATCCCAGCACTTTGGGAGGCCGAGGTGGGCAGATCACAAGGTCAGGAGTTCAAGACCAACCTGGCCAACATGGTGAAACCCCGTCTCTACTAAAAATACAAAAAATTAGCCGGGCATGGTGGCACGCACCTGTAACCCCAGCTACTCAGGAGGTTGAGGCAGGAGAATTGCTTGAACCCGGGAGGCAGAGGTTGCAGTGAGCCGAGATCGCACCACTGCACTCCAACCTGGGCGACAAAGCAAGACTCTGTCTCCAAAAAAAAAAAAAAAAAAAAAAAGAATATCTGGCTTCTTTCTCCAGAATATAAAGTTGGAACTTAAACGTTGTGGTTTATGTTGGCATCCCAGGCTGAGGGGGTGGGTGCTGGGGTGAGGTGGGTGAGATGCTGGTGTGCTGTGTCTGTGGTTCTGAGTTGGGTTGGTTGGGATGGTCTCCACTAATCTGATTATCCTGTTTGCCCCCGTCCCAGGGCTACCCATGTACGTGAAGTCCCTGTACTGGGCCCTGGCGTTCATGGCTGTGCTCCTGGCAGTCTCTGGGGTTGTCATTGTGGTCCTGGCCTCAAGAGCAGGTATGGTGTCCCTGCAGTCCCCATCCCCTCTCCCTGCCGCTCCACTACTGGGGCTGTGTTTCCAGCCCTTAAAACACCTTAGAATTAGAAAGAGACACTGGGAGATGCAACACGAAGACATGGTGCTTGATGAGCAAAGTTAAGGAAAATGGGTGCCTTCCTCCCACTGGATACAGCTTGTGCCCTGATAAGCAATCAGATGCCAGCTGCCACCCCGGGGACTTTGTGCACTGCACAGACTATAAAAGCTCCCTGGGGCCCTGCCCACCTTGAGGTTTGCCAGTTCCATGCCCCTTCATTTGAGGCAGCAGCCAGGCTTTGTTTATTTAATGCAGCTTACCCTGCAGCTCACCAGCAGTCTCTGTGCTTGCAGGAGCCAGATGCCAGCAGTGCCCCCCAGGCTGGGTGTTGTCCGAGGAGCACTGTTACTACTTCTCTGCAGAAGCGCAGGCCTGGGAAGCCAGCCAGGCTTTCTGCTCAGCCTACCACGCTACCCTCCCCCTGCTAAGCCACACCCAGGTGAGAAGGGGGTGTCCAATCTAAGGGGGTACAGATCTTTCTAGACCACAGAATCCTAGCACTGGAAAGAAGCTTAATGATTGAGTCCAGCTCTTCATTATAGAAATCACCAAGGTGTAGAGGAGTAGCATGACCATAACTTCGTGCAGCCTCTAACTCCTGTGCTCAGGCAATCCTCCTGCCTCAGCCTTTTGGGTAGCTACAGGCATGTGCCACCATGCCCAGCTTTAAAAAAAATTTTTTTTTGGCCAGGCACAGTGGCTCACACCTGTAATCCCAGCACTCTGGGAGGCCAAGGCAGGCGGATCACAAGGTCAGGAGTTCTAGACCAGTCTGACCAACACAGTGAAACCCTGTCTCTACCAAAAATACAAAAATTAGCCGGACATGGTGGCGGGCGCCTGTAATCCCAGCTATTTAGGAGGCTGAGGCAGGAGAATTGCTTGAACCTGGGAGGCAGAGGTTGCAGTGAGCCGAGATCACTCCACTGCACTCCAGCCTGGGCAACAGAGCAAGGCTCCGTCTCAAAATAAATAAATAAATAAAAATAAAAATAATTTTTTTTTAAGGGACAGGGTCTCACGATGTTGGCCAGGCTGGTTCAAACTTCTGGCCTCAAGTGATCCTCCTTCCTTAGCCTCCCAAAGTGCTGGAATTACAGGCCATGAGCCACTGCGCACAGCCAAGCACTTATGTTTTTAATCGTTGGTCTCTGGGTCATCTTTTGATAGGCTGGGCTTGGCTGGACAGCTCAGCTTTATAATGCAGATTGCCAGGGCTTGGTTTGAGGCTGCAGGTTGGGTCTGTGTAGAATATTCCATCCCCATGGGAGAGGGAGAGGAGTGGATGTTTGCTGAATAGTAATCCAGTCAGTGGGTTTGAGAGCATCTACAAAAAGGGACCAATAGATAGGATCCAGTCCTTGGCATAATTTTGTTTTCCTTTTTTATTTATTTATGTGTTGTGTCTCACTCTGTTGCCCAGGCTGGAGTGCAGTGGCATAATCTCGGCTCACTGCAACCTTCACCTCCCGGGTTGAAGGGATTCTCTTGCCTCAGCCTCCCAAGTAGCTGGGATTACAGGCATGTGCCAGCACACCTGGCTAATTTTTGTATTTTTAGTAGAGATGGGGTTTCTCCATGTTGGTCAGGCTGGTCTCAAAATCCCCACCTCAGGTAATCCGCCCGCCTCGGCCTCCCAAAGTGCTGGGATTACAGGTGTGAGCCACTGCGTCCAGTGTTGTCCTTTTTTTTTTTTTTTTTGAAACAGGTCCTCACTCTGTTGCCCAGGCTGAGTACAGTAGTGCAGTCATGGCTTACTGCAGCCTTGAACTCCCAGGCTCAAGCAATCCTCCCACCTCAGCCTCCTGAATAGCAAGGACTACAGTCATGTGCCACCACAACTGGCTAATTTATTTTTTGTAGAGACACAAGTCTTGCTATGTTGCCCAGGCTGGTCTTAAACTCCTGGACTCAAGCGATCCTCCCACTTCGGCCTCTCAAAGTGCTGGGATTACAGGTGTGAGCCACTGTGCCTGGCTTTTTTTTTTCCCCATTTAAAAAAATTGTGGGCCGGGCACAGTGGCTCACGCCTGTAATCCCAGCACTTTGGGAGGCCGAGGCGGGTGGATCACAAGGTCAGGAGATCGAGACCATCTTGGCTAACACGGTGAAACCCCGTCTCTACTAAAAATACAAAACATTAGCCGGGCGCGGTGGCGGGCGCCTGTAGTCCCAGCTACTCCAGAGGCTGAGGCAGGAGAATGGCATGAACCTGGGAGGCGGAGCTTGCAGTGAGCCGAGATTGTGCCACTGCAATCCGGCCTGGGCTAAAGAGCGGGACTCCGTCTCAAAAAAAAAAAAATTGTGTTAAAATACACATAACATAAAATTTACCATCCTAGCCATTTTAAGTGTACAGCTGAGTGATATTAAATACATTCATAATGTTGAGCACCTATCACCACCATCCATCTCCTGAACTCTTTTCGTCTTGTACAACTGAAACTCTAACCCCTCTAAACACTGATTCCCCATTTCCCCCGCCCCCAATCCCTGGCAGCCACCAAGCTGCCTTTTCTCTCTCTCTCTTTGGTTTGAACTATTCTAAGAACCTCATACAAGTGGAATCGCACAGTATTTGTCTTGTTGTGACTGGCTTATTTCACTTAGTATCATGTCCTCAAGGCTCACCCGTGTCGTAGCCTGTATGAGAATTCCCTTCCTTTTTAAGGCTGAATAATACTCCATTGTGTGTATGCACCACATTTTGCTTATTTGTTCACCGGTCAGTGGACAGACCCTTGGGTTGCTTCCATGTTTGGGTTGTTGTGAATAATGCAGCTATGAATTTGGGTGGACAAATATCTCTTCGAGACCCTGTTTTCAGTTCTTAGAGTATATACCCAGAAGTGAGAATTGCTGGATCATATGGTAATCCTATTTTTAATTTTTTGAGGAATTGCCATACTGTTTTCCATAGGGGCTGTGCAATTTTACATTCCCAGCAATCCTTGGCTTAATTTTACCTGGGGGCAGGTGCCAGGAATTTATATTCGCTGTTCTGGTATGTATGAAAACGCAGCACTCCTTCCGTCAGTGCTTTAATGAGTGTGTATTAAGCACTTACTCCGTGTTTGGCAAGGGGGATTCAATAATGAGCCAGAATAGCACAGCCCCCACCTTGACAAAGCTAAGACAGCAGTGAGTGAGGCAGACGTCAATCAGGAAATCACAGAAATAGATGTTTAATGACCACACTGATCTGTGCTGTGAAGGGACGGTGCACAGTGCTACGAGAGTAAATGACAGGAGGGTGTGACCTGAAGGTCAAGGTGAGCAAGGCAGCATGTGCCTTTCCAAAAACATTCAAGAAAAGATAGTGAGGCCGGGTGCAGTGGATCACACCTGTAATCCCAGCACTTTGGGAGCCTGAGGAGGCAGGAGGATCACCTGCAGTCGGGAGTTCAAGACCAGCCTGGCCAACCTGGTGAAACCCCGTCTCTACTAAAAATACAAAAATTAGCCAGGCATGGTGGCATGCACCTGTAGTCCCCACTACTTGGGAGGCTGAGGCATGGGAATCGCTTGAACCCAGAAGACAGGATGCAGTGAGCCAAGATCGCGCCACTGCTCTCCAGCCTGGGTAACAGAGTGAGACTCTGTCTCAAGGAAAAAAAAAAAAGATAGTGACACCGGGCCAGAGAGCCTTCTGGAATCCTCTCTTCTCTGTTCCAGTCTGGACCTGTTGCTCACCAGGCCTGCTGCACAGCTGTTCTGGAATTTCTATTTACCTGCATCCTCAGTATGCCTTTTGCCTCCCTCCTCCGTGGGATTCCCTGTTTCCTAGGTCGCATGTCTTTTCGTTGGTTTCACCTCAGTCTCCTCAGTGGAGTCAGAGTTTTGCCACCTTGCCCAGGCTTGTCTCAAACTCCTGGACTCAGGCGATCCGCCTGCCTCAGCCTCCCTAAGTGCTGGGATTACAGACATGAGCCACCGTGCCTGGCCTCAATTTCTTGAGACCTTTCGTGCTTAAAGAACTTTTATTCTAACCTCCAAGCTAACAATCACTTGGCTGGTGTGTAGGAAAAACACTCAAACTGTCTTTCCTCTGCTCTTACACAACAACAATCAACCCAGAAAGCGTCTGTGACCAAATGTGTTTTTTTTTTTTCTCTTACCCACGAAGCAGTGGGCACCAGCTGGGTGTCCTGTAATTTAATTCAATTCTGATGCTGTTTTCCCGGAGATAGCTTCAGATCCCACAGTTTGAGGGTTCAGTCCCTAAGGCTGCCCAGCTTCAGACGCCCGTCGCAAGTCCAGGCCTCTGGAACTTCTGAGTGGCTGGCTTCAAGTTTGGACTCCCACGTTCCCTCTTTGGGTTTGATTAATTTGCTAGAGCAGCTCACAAAACTTAGGGAAACACATTTACTGGTTTGTTACAAAGGGTATTTTAAATGATACAAACACACAGCCAAAGGAGATGCACAGGGTGAGATCTGGAAGAGTCCCAAGCACAGGAGATTCTGTCCTTATAGAGCTGGGTGGGGTGTGCCGCCACCCCCCCAGCACGGGGACGAGTTCTTTTTTTTTTTTTTGAGATAGAGTCTTGCGCTGTCACCCAGGCTGGAGTGCAGAGGTGCAATCTCGTCTCACTGCAACCTCCACCTCCCAGTTTCACGCCATTCTCCTGCCTCAGCCTCCCAAGTAGCTGGGACTACAGGCGCCCGCCACCACGCCTGGCTAATTTTTTGTATTTTTAGTAGAGACGGGGTTTCACCATGTTAGCCAGGATGGTCTCGATCTCCTGACCTCGTGATCCGCCTGCCTCGGCCTCCTAAAGTGCTGAGATTACAGGCGTGAGCCACCGCGCCCAGCCTGGGACAAGTTCTCACTCACCTTCCTGTTAGCCTCTATGTGTTCAGCCTATCCGGAAGCCCCCAAACCCTGTCCTGTTGGGCCTTTTGTG
Organism: Homo sapiens; assembly: GCF_000001405.40. NCBI lineage: Eukaryota > Metazoa > Chordata > Mammalia > Primates > Hominidae > Homo > Homo sapiens. The sequence goes on along the minus strand of NC_000007.14, from coordinate 139,475,159 downwards.
GAGACTTCGTTGGACAGGCATGACTAAAGCAGGGACAACTGTGTCAAGATTTGATTGGGCAGAAAGGATTTGATCTCATACTAATAGACTAGGCAGGAAACCCAGCGAGGCCTGTCTGCTCCAATTCTTCTTGGCCTGTCTCTGCAGCATTCCTTCCTTCAGAGATGGGCCAGGACCCTCCCTAGAATAGGGTCTTATGACCCACAGCAGATTAGAGTCCTGCCTTGGGCAGAAGGTCAGAGAGAGAGATTCTATTTCCTAGGTCTGGGCCTGCATCTGAGGCCTGGAGCACCACAGCATTATAACAAATCCTGTGTCAAGGGCTATGGGAGTTATAAGCCAGGAACTGTGGACAAGACATTTATTTTATTTTATTTTGTTTTATTTATTTATTTTTTTGAGACAAAGTTTCACTCTGTCGCCCAGGCTGGAGTGCAGTGGGGCGATCTCAGCTCACTGCAACCTCCACCTCCTGGATTCAAGCAATTCTCCTGCCTCAGCCTCCCAAGTAGTTGGAATTACAGGCGTGTGCCAACATGCCCAGCTAATTTTTTTGTATTTTTAGTAAAGATGGGGTTTCACCATGTTGGCCAGGCTGGTCTCAAACTCCTGACCTCAAATGATCCACCTGCCTCAGCCTCCCAAAGTTCTGGGATTACAAGTGTTAGCCACCATGCCCAGCCAAAAACATTATTTTAGATAGAGATATGGAGATAGAGACATAGATATCATAATATCACATCTGGGTATAGAATTCTAGGTAGAAAATCGCTTTTCCCCAGAATTCTCCGTGACTGTCAGCTCTTAGTCTTGCCATTAAGAAGTCTGAGCCAAGGTGGGGCACAGTGGCTCATGCCTGTAATCCCAGCACATTGGGAGGCCAAGGCAGATGGATCACTTGAGGTCAGGAGTTCGAGATCAGCCTACGCAACATGGTGATACCCTATCTCTACTAAAAATACACACACACAAAAATTTAGCTAGGCATGGTGGCACACAACTGTAGTCCCAGCTACTCGGGAGGCTGAGGTACTAGAATTGCTTGAACCCAGGAGGTGGAGGTGGCAGAGCCAAGATTGTGCCACTTGCACTCCAGCCTGGGTGACAGAGTGAGACTAGGTCTCCAAAAAAAAAAAAAAAAAAAAGTCTGAGCCACTCTGATTCCCAGTTCTTTGTATGTCATTCATTTTTATTTCTTCTCTGGAAAATTTCAGTGTCTTCTTTGTTCTCAGTGTTCCGAAATTTAATAATATGCCCTGTGGGCCTTTTTCTTCTTCATTTACATTTTTGCTGCCTTGTTTCTAATTTTTAGAACTGTTTTGACCTTTCAAATGTTCCTTTTTTACAGTGTCCTGTTCTTGTTTCATGGATGCCATCTTTTCGGTCTTGAACTCCTGACCTCGGGTGATCTGCCCACCTCTGCCTCCCAAAGTGCTAGGATTACAGGTGTGAGCCACTGTACCTGGCTGATGCCATCTTTTCTTATCTCATTGTGGATGCTGGTGTTTTTGAAATTTTCCTCTGCTCCCTGCATTAGCTCTGATTTTTTGTGTGTACTTTTTATTCTGTTTATTGTTTGTCTTTTGCATGTTAGAAAATTTCCTCAAATGTTGTGATCCTCAGCTGCTGTCATTGAGAGTAAAGTACTAAATTACAGATTAAGTGTTCTATGTCGGGTGGGAGGGTGAGGGTGAGGCTGAGCTTTTTTAGAGGCAGGCTTTACCATATGGGAATCAGGCAGGGACTCAGTCATTTTCTTAGTGATGCTGAGCTGTCATCATTGCGCGGATAGGAGGGGGTGGTTTCACCTCTAAGTGTGTAGCACTTAAATATCCTTCCCTTTTTATTTATTTATTTTTATCTTTATTTTATTTTATTTTAGACAGAGTCTTGGTCTGTCACCCAGGCTGGAATGCACTGGAGCAATCTCAGCTCACTGCAACCTCTGCCTCACAGGTTCAAGTGATTCTCCTGCCTCGGCCTCCTGAGTAGCTGGGATTATAGGGTCGAACCACCACACACAGCTAATTTTTGTATGTTTGTAGAGACGGTGTTTTGCCATGTTGGCCAGGCTGGTCTCAAACTCCTGGCCTCAAGCGACCCACCCACCTCGGCCTCCCAAAGTACTGGGATTACAGGCGCGAGCCACCGCATCCCCTTCCCTTTTTAGTATAAACACCTTCACCCTTAACTGAACCCTGTATCCTGGATTCTAAAAGCCTCTGTGGTTCGTCTTTCCGAATAGCTCTGCCAGTTAGTTACCTCGCTGCATGGGGAAGATGAGTGGATCTTTGGGCTGGGGGTGGAGGGTCCTAACTGTTTCTTTTACAGACTTTCAACCGGTCCTTTTTCCCGTACATTGGCCTTCAGAAGGACCTGTTGTCTCTAATACTTAAGCTTTGGGGGCTTCTCAATTCAAATTGGGGTATTTCTTGGCTTTCTCCCAGCTGTCTATCTGTCCTTTCCTTGAAAACCACTGAGCTTTCTCAGCTCTATGAGGCTGTTACAGTTGTCCAGCTTCCAAAATGTTGATGTTTCTCATCTGATGTTGTCTCTTCCCATTCTTTTTTTTTTTTTAATGGACACGGGGTCTTACTATGTTTCCCAGGCTGGTCTTAAACTCCTGGGCTCAAGTGATCTTCCTGCCCTGACCTCCCAAAGTGCTGGGATTACAGACATGAGCCACCGCACTCAGCTTCTCTTCCCATTTTTTTTTGTCCTTTTTTCTTTCTATTTTTTAAAAAATTCTATTTTTATTTAAGAGTTTTAAATATGAATGAGTTTAAATCATTGAAGGCTTTCTATGCATCCAGTGGGATGATAGTATCTTTTTTGTTTCTCCTTTTAATCTCTTGTGGCGGTTTGTTTGTTTGTTTTATTCCTGGCTTCATGTGGTCAAGTCTGCTTAGTCATGATTTTTTTCCCCAAATATTTCTGGACTTGACTTGTTAATATTTCACTGAAGATTTTTGCATGCATGACGTTTTGTTGGACTGTCCCTACCTGGAATCAAAGTTATTCTGCCCCACACAATAGGGAGGGGAGGGAGTTTCTAGCTTTTGTTTCTTCTGGGATTGTTCCTGGAAGTGCCTGCCATGCATTGCAGAAGGATTAGGTGTCCAGGCTCTGTCCTGGGATTAGGGGTCAGGAACTGCCACACGTCAGGTGACAGCTCCGAAACAGTCTGTGGCCTGGTATCCCCACCTTCTGTATTGTGCTTCCCAGCCCTTTATCCCACCCACTTTGGCTGTCATATCCACACCTCTCTGAGACACACACCTCCTCTGAGACTCACCTCTGTTCGTGCCACCTCGCCTGGGGACAGACAATGAGTGACAGTGGAGGGACAGAGCCCTGAAGAACTGGCCACTGGGCCTGTCCTGCCAGCTGCCTGCAGTGCCTGACGTCTCTTGCCCTGGAGGAGCCAAGAGGAGCCCTCCTGAGAACCCCTAGGGACCCTTGCGAGAGCAGGACAGGAAGTGAATTCTTTTTTTTTTTTGAGACCGAGTCTCGCTCAGCTGTCCAGGCTGGAGTGCGGTGGCACGATCTCGGCTCACTGCAACCACCATCTCCCAGGTTCAAGTGATCCTCCCATCTCAGCCTTCCGAGTAGCTGGGGTTACAGGCACCTGCCATCATGCCTGGCTAATTTTTGTATTTTAGTAGAGACAGAGTTTCACCATGTTGGCCAGGCTGGTCTTAAACTCTTGACCTCAGGTGATCTGCCCACCTTGGGCTCCCAAAGTGCTAGGATTACAGGCGTGAACCACCACTCCCAGCCGAGAAGTGAATTCTTGAACACACATGTCAGTATCTCTTATTGCTGTATATTTTTCTCATTATTAAGTAATACATTCACTGCAAAAAGTTTGGAAAACATAAACATTTAGAAAGAAAATAAATTTTACTCATTATCTCGTACCTAAAGATAAGCACTAACAAAATATTTTGGAATACCTACTTCCAGGCTTTTTTCTATGATATGTAACTTTGTCTTTAAAACAAAAATGGAAGTCCGGGCCCGGTGGCTCACACCTGTAATCCCAGCACTTTGGGAGGCTGAAGCAGGTGGATCACCTGAGGTCAGGAGCTCAGGACCATCATGGCCAATATGGTGAAACCCTATCTCTACTAAAAAAAAAAAACAAAAATTATCCAGGTGTGGTGACGGGGACCTGTAATCCCAGCTACTCAGGAGACTGAGGCAGGAGAATCGCTTTAACCTGGGAGACAGGGGTTCCAGTGAGCCAAGATCGTGCCATTGCACTCCAGCCTGGGCGATAGAGTGAGACTCTGTCTCAAATTAAAAAAAAAAAAAAGGAATGTGCTGTTTCCTAATCTGGTTTTATTTTATTTTTGTTTTTGTTTTTTTTAGAGACAGGTCTCTGTTGCCCAGGCTGGAGTGCAGTGGTGCCATCATAGCTCGCTGCAGCCTCGAACTCTCCTGACTCAAGCAATCCTCTTGCCTCAACCTCCCAAGTAGCTGGGACCACAGGCATGTGCCACCACACCCAGCTAATTTTTTATTTTTTGTAGAGATGAAATCTTACTATGTTGCCCAGGCTGATCTCAAAATCCTGGCCTCAAGCGATCCTCCCACCTCAGGCTCCCAAAGTCCTGGGATTGTAGGCATGAGCCACTGCACCTGGCTTTTTCTGTTTTTCTAACTTTTGTTTAAATCTTTGTCAGTTTGACAGAGGAAAAAGAAGACTGGCTTTGCATTTGTTGTATTTCCACATAAGGCCAGACCATGGCTCATACTGGTTTGGCTGTCTGGAAATAGTCTTAGAATTGCTTATCCATAGCCGGGCGCAGTGGCTCATGCCTGTAATCCCAGCAATTCGGGAGGCTGAGGCGGGCAGATCACGAGGTCAGGAGATCGAGACCATCCTGGCCAACATGGTGAAATCCCGTCTTTATTAAAAATACAAAAAAATTAGCTGGGCATGGTGGCACACACATGTAGTCCCGGCTACTTGGGAGGCTGGGGCAGGAGAATCGCTTAAATCTGGGAGGTGGAGGTTGCAGTGAGCCAAGATCACACCACTGCATTCAAGCCTGGCAACAGAGCGAGACTCCGTCCAAAAAAAAAAAAAAGAATTGCTTACCCATGCCCTGTTTCTTTTCTCTTAGCATTACTCGGTCTTTTTCTTGTTGATATGTAGGAGCTCTTTCCTTTGGTTGTCCACCTCTTATGTAGGGAATATCCTTATGCTCTTAGGCACACTTGTGCTATAAGGAATCTCTACTCCTTACGCCCCACAGTGTCCTGACCGTGTGCTGGAGACTGGGCATGCAGGGGTGCGGAACGCATGGCCGGGCCTCAGGGTCCAGCAGGAGCCCTCAGATCTTCCTCCTAGTCCTGTAGTCTTCCATTTATTAAAGAAGTGAAACCTGTTTTCAAATCTTACTGTATTAGCCGGGCGTAGTGGCTCACGCCTGTAATCCCAGCACTTTGGGAGGCCGAGGTGGGTGGATCATCTGAAGTCAGGAGTTTGAAACCATTCTGGGCAACATGGTGAAACCCCATCTCTACCAAAAATACAAAATTAGCGGGACATGGTGACGCATGCCTGTGATCCCAGCTACTTAAGAGTCTGAGGCAGAAGAACACTTGAACCCAGGAGGCGGAGGTTGCAGTGAGCCGAGATCGCGCTACTGGGTGACGGAGCGAAACTCTGTCTCAAAAAATAAATAAGTAGGCTGGGCGTGGTGGCTCACACCTATAATCACAGCACTTTGGGAGGCCGAGGCAGGCAGATCACTTGAGGTCAGGAGTTCAAGACCAGCCTGGGCAACATGGTGAAACCCCGTCTCTACTAAAAATACAAAACTTAGTTGAGCGTGGTGGCACACGCCTGTAGTCCCAGCTATTCGGGAGGCTGAGGCAGGAGACTCGCTTGAACCTGGGAGGCAGAGGCTGCAGTGAGCAAAGATCGCACCACCGCACTCCAGCCTGGGTGACAGCGAGACCCTATCTCAAAAAAATAAGTAAATAAACAAATCTTATGGTATTAGTTTACTGGGGCTGCTATAGCAAAATACTGCAGACTGGTTAGCTTCAACAAGCTGACTTTCTCACAGTCCTGAAGGCTGGAAGTCTGAGATCAAGATGTCAGCAGGTTCTGGGTTTCCAGAGGCCTCTCCTTGGCTTTCAGGTAGTGGCCCTTCTCCCTGTGTCCTCACATGGCAATCCTGTGCCCTCCCATCTCTAGTGTCTCTCGGCATGTCTAAATTTACTCCTCTTGTAACAACCCCAGTCACATTGGATTAGGGGCCACCCGAACAGCGTTATGTGCATTTAATGTTTAATCACTCTTTAAAAGCGTGACTCCAAGTACGGTCACATTTTGAGGTACTGGGGGTTAGGGCACCCACATATGAACTTTAGGGTGACAGAATTCATCCCGTCACACTTACGGAATCCCAACACTTAAAGACTGACACATGTGACATTTTGATTTGTGTCAAATTGTTTTATAAGTTCAAAAGAGAACACTATCCTTTTCACTCACGTCCGTGTGAAGAGACCACCAAACAGGCTTTGTGTGAGCAACAAGGCTGTTTATTTCACCTGGGTGCAGGCGGGCTGAGTCTGAAAAAAGAGTCAGCGAAGGGAGATAAGGGTGGGGCCATTTTATAGGATTTGGGTGGGTAGTGGAAAATTACAGTCAAAGAGGGTTGTTCTCTGGCAGGCAGGGGCAAGGGTCACAAGGTGCTCAGTTGGGGAGCTTATGAGCCAGGAAAAGGAATTTCCCAAAGTAATGTCATCAGTTAAGGCAGGAATTGAAGGGGTGGGTTGCCCCTCCACACCTGTGGGTCTTTCTTGTTAGGTGGAACGAGAGACTTGGAAAAGAAAAAGACACAGAGACAAAGTATAGAGAAAGAAATAAGGGGGCCCAGGGGACCAGCGTTCAGCATATAGAGGATCCCGCCAGCCTCTGAGTTCCCTTAGTATTTATTGATCATTCTTGGGTGTTTCTCGGAGAGGGGGATGTGGCAGGGTCATAGGATAATAGTGGAGAGAAGGTCAGCAGATAAACACGTGAACAAAGGTCTCTACCTCATAGACAAGGTAAAGGATTAAGTGCTGTGCTTTAGATATGCACACACATAAACATCTCAATACCTTAAAGAGCAGTGTTGCTGCCCGCATGTCCCACCTCCAGCCCTAAGGCGGTTTTCCCCTATCTCAGTAGATGGAACATACAATCAGGTTTTATACCGAGACATTCCATTGCCCAGTGACGAGCAGGAGACAGATGCCTTCCTCTTGTCTCAACTGCAAAGAGGCATTCCTTCCTCTTATACTAATGCTCCTCAGCACAGACCCTTTACTGGGTGTCGGGCTGGGGGACGGTCAGGTCTTTCCCTTCCCATGAGGCCATATTTCAGACTATCCCATGGGGAGAAACCTTGGACAATACCTGGCTTTCCTAGGCAGAGGAACCTGCGGCCTTCCGCAGTGTTTGTGTCCCTGGGTACTTGAGATTAGGGAGTGGTGATGACTCTTAACGAGCATGCTGCCTTCAAGCATCTGTTTAACAAAGCACATCTTGCACCGCCCTTAATCCATTTAACCCTGAGTGGACACAGCACATGTTTCAGAGAGCACGGCGTTGGGGGTAAGGTCATAGATTAACAGCATACCAAGGCAGAAGAATTTTTTTTAGTACAGAACAAAATGGAGTCTCCTATGTCTACTTCTTTCTACACAGACACAGTAACAATCTGATCTGTCTTTCTTTTCCCCACAAGGAATAGGCCATTTTCACTTCTTTTGTGGTTCTTCACTTCAGGCCACCTGGATGTATATATATGTGCAGGTCACAGGGGATATGATGGCTTAGCTTGGGCTCAGAGGCCTGACATTCTTGTCTTCTTATATTAGTAAGAAAAATAAAATGAAATAGTGGTAAAGTGTTGGGGCGGCGAAAATTTTGGGGGGTGATATGGAGAGATAATGGGCGATGTTTCTCAGGGCTGCTTCGAGCGGGATTAGGGGCGACATGGGAACCTAGAGTGGGAGAGATTAAGCTGAAGGAAGATTTTGTGGTAAGGGGCGATATTGTGGGGTTGTTAAAAGGAGTATTTGTCCCATAGAATGTTTGGTGATGGCCTGGATGCAGTTTTGTATGAGTTGAGAGACTAAACAGAAGACACAAGGTCCAAATAAGAGAAGGAGAAAAACAGAGATTAAAGGACTAAGAATTGGGAGGGCCCAGGACATCCAATTAGAGAGTGCCTAAGGGGGTTCAGCCTAATTACTTGCTTGGTTGGCAAGTTTTTAGGCTCTATCTTTGAGCTTTTTTTTTTTTTTTATGTTGTCATATACCAGGCCAGATTGATTTAGGTAAAAACAGCACTGTTCATTTAAAAATATACAGAGTACCCCCCCCTTTTTTTATTTTTTTTATTTTATTTTTAGCAGTGAGTAAGTCGAGGCCTCGGCGATTTTGGAGGAAAGAGAAATGCAAAGCTAGCAATTGTTAAAGAAGGATTAGAAACGGCTAGGAGAGAGTGACTGAGATTGATAGTGTGGTGGAGATAGCTGGGGAGAGGTAGAGCGTGGCATAAGAACGGGAACAAGAGTAAGAGTGAGTATAAAAGTAAAGAATAGGACTTCATCAGGGTGAAAGTATTGGAGTGTACTTTGTCACTGAAGATCTTCTATCCACTTAAAGAGAGACTTAAGGGTGGGGATTTGAGGTAAAACCAGGAGCCACTAAATAACAAGAGCCTGAGAAACTGCTTGGGTGATTTGACTAATAAAGGCCGGTCCATTATCAGACTGTATAGAGGTGGGAAGGCCAAACCGAGGAATTATGTCTGACAGAAGAGAAGAAATGACCGCGGTGGCCTTCTCAGACCCTGTGGGAAAGGCTTCTACCCACCCAGTGAAAGTGTTTACCCAGACCAAGAGGTATTTTAGTTTTCTGACCCGGGGCATGTGAGTAAAGTCAATTTGCCAGTCCTGGGCAGGGGGCAAATCCCCGAGCTTGATGTGTAGGGAAGGGAGGGGGCCTGAATAATCCCTGAGGAGTAGTAGATAGCAGATGGAACACTGAGATTTTTTTGAGGATAGATTTTTACGATGGAAAGGAAATGAGAGGTTCTAAGAGGCAGACCAGCGGCTTGTAACCTACATGGAAGAGGCTATGAAATGATGACAGAATAGAATGGGCCTGTGAGGCTGGAAGGAGATATTTTCCTTGGTCCAAGAACCATTTGCCTTGTGTGGGAAGAGATTGATAGGTGCAAGTTTGAGTGGGGGAGTAGGTGGGAGTGGCCAGATGAGAAGGAGAAAAACTGCCATGAGGGATAGAAGTTGGAATGCTAGGTGCTTTTTTAGCTACCTTATCAGCATATGCATTGCCCTGAGCAATGAGAGGTCTGATGCCTTTTGATGGCTGCTTGCAGTGAATGACTCTAGCTTCCTTCCTTTCTTTCTTTCTTTTTTTTTTTTTTTGAGACAGAGTCTCACACTCTCGCCCAGGCTGGAGTGCAGTGGTGCCATCTCGGCTCACCGCAAGCTCCGCCTCCCAGGTTCACGCCATTCTCCTGCCTCAGCCTCTGGAGTAGCTGGGACTACAGGCACCCGCCACCATGCCTGGCTAATTTTTTGTATTTTTAGTAGAGACGGGGTTTCACCGTGTTAGCCAGGATGGTCTCGATCTCCTGACCTTGTGATCCACCCACCTCGGCCTCCCAAAGTGCTGGAATTACAGGCGTGAGCCACCGCGCCCGGTGACTCTAGCCTCCTTTGGAAGTAAAGCGGCTTTGAGAAGAGTTTTTATTAAAGAGGCATTAATGATGGAGGACCCTTGCATAGTGAGGAAATTTCTTTCTGCCCATATAACAGCATGGTGGTGCAGGATATGGAAGGCATATTTAAAGTCAATATAAATATCGATGCGTAGTCCTTTTGCAAGAGCAAGGGCTCGAGTGAAGGCAATGAGTTTGGCTAGTTGAGAGGTAGTGGACGGGGGCAGAGTGGTAGCCTCACTGATAGGTGTGGAAGATACTATAGCATAGCCTGCCTTTGCTGGTGAGTGGCAGTTAGGCCTGGTGGAACTGCTATCAATAAACCAAGTGTGTTCAGGGTGAGGAACAGGAAAGAAGGAAATATGGGGAATTGGAGTGAATGTCAGGTGTGGTATCAGGAATAATGTGGGAGGCCGGATTGAAGTCCGGGCCAGTAACAATGGTAATTGTGGGAGACTCAACAAAGAGCGAGTATAGCTGAAGGAGCCAGAGGGCAGAAAGTATATGTGTCAGGTGTGAGGAAGAAAATAGATTTTGGAAGTTATGAGAACTGTAGAGAGTGAGTTGAGCATAGTTTGTGATTTTGAGGGCCTCTGAAAATATTAAAGCAGCGGCAGCTGCCACACACAGACATGAAGGCTAGGCTAAAAGAGTAAGGTCAAATTGTTTGGACAGAAAGACTACAGGGCGCGGTCCTGGCTCTTGTGTAAGAATTCCGACCACAGAGTCCTGCACTTTGGCTGTGTATAATGAAAAAGGTTGGGATGAGTTAGGGAGAGCTAGTGTGGGAGCAGCTTTTAGAGCTGTTTTTTAAGGAATGGAAAGGGGAGTGGGGAAAGGATTTAGGATTTATGGGGTCAGCTAGGTTTATCTAGAATAGAATAATGGGTTGTGGAGGGAGGTATTGAGGATAGGAGAGTATATGGGTTTGGCACCACGGGGTGGATAGGCAAAACAATTTGGTTGATAAGGCGCAGATCCTGAACTAACCTGTAATACTTGTCTGGTTTTAGGACAGGTAAAATGGGGGAATTGTAAGGAGAGTTTATAGGTTTTAAAAGGCCATGCTGTAACAGGCGAGTAATAACAGGCTTCTAAAGCGTGCTGTGTGATGGGATATTGGCGTTTAGCGGGGTATGGGTGATTAGGTTTTAATGGGATGGTAAGGGGTGCATGATCAATCGCCAAGGAGGGAGTAGAGGTGTCCTACCCTTGTGGATTAAGGTGGGGAGATACAAGGGGAGAATGCAAAGGAGGCTTTGAACTGGGGAAAAAGGCAGCAATGAGATGTGGCTGTAGCCCAGGAACAGTCAGGGAAGCAGATAATTTAGTTAAAATGTCTTGACCTAACAAGGGAGCTGGGCAGGTGGGGATAACTAGAAGGAGTATATAAAAGAATATTGTCCAAGCTAGCATCAGAGTTGGGGAGTTTTAAGAGGTCTAGAAGCCTGGCCGTCAACACCCACAACAGTTATGGAGGCATAACAAACAGGCCCTTGAAAAGAAGGTAATGTGGAGTGGGTAGCCTCAGTATTGATTAAGAAGGGGATGGACTTACCCTTCACTCTATAAGAGTTACCCAAAGCATCTGTGATGGTCCAGGAAGCTTCTGAGGCAATTGGGCAGCGTCGGTCGTCAGCCGCTAAGTCAAGAAGATCTGGGAAGGAGTCAGTCAGAGAGCCTTGGGCCGGAGTTCCAGGGACTCTGGGGTTGGCTGCTGGGTGACTTGGACAGTCTGATTTCCAGTGGGGTCCCATACACATGGGACACGGCTTAGGAGGAATCCTGGGCTGCGGGCATTCCTTGGCCCAGTGGCCAGATTTCTGGCACTTGAAGCAAGATCCTGGTGGAGGAAGTCCTGTAGGAACGCCTGGCCGCTGTGGCTTAGGTGTGCGCGGCTTAGGCATTTTGAAGTTCTTGTATGCTGGAGGTGCGGCTGGGTTTTGTCTCATGGCAGAGGCAAGTAATTGTAACTCAGAAATGCGTTGCTGTCTGGCTGCCTCTGCTCTATTATTGTACACCTTGAAGGCGAGGTTAATTAAGTCTTGTTGTGGGGTTTGAGGGCTGGAATCTAATTTTTGGAGCTTTATTTAATGTCAGGAGCGGACTGGGTAATAAAATGCGTATTAAGAATAAGATGGCCTTCTTTCTGACCTTTCAGGGTCTAGGGCTGTAAAGCGTCTCAGGTTGCTGCCAAACGAGCCAAGAACTGGGCTGGGTTTTTCTATTTGATGAAAAAGAGCCTAAACGCTAACTGATTTGGGAGAGGTCGGATAAAGAAAAACCTTGACCATGCCTTTGGCTCCAGCCACCTTTTAAGAAGAAATTGCTGGGCAGGTCGGGGAGGGCTAGTCGCAGAACGAAACTGTAAGCCGCGTCGGGTGTGAGGAGAGGAGGTGATAAAAGGATTATAGGGTAGGGGAGCGGAGGCTGAGGAAGAATTGGGACCTGGCTAGGCCTGGTGAGGAGCAACCTGGGGAGGAAAGGAGAGGTCAGATGGGTCTGTAGAAAAGGAAGATTGGAAAGACTCAGCAATGCTTGGGGTTGGGACTGAGGGGACAGGTGGGAGGGAAAGAAGCAAGATTTGGGACTAATTGCATTGGGAACAGAGACTAGGGAGGGACTGATGTGTAAAAGAATGCCTGGACGTCAGGCACCTCAGACCATTTGCCCATTTCATGACAAGAATTACCTAGACCTTGTAGGATGGAGAAATCGAAAGTGCCGTTTTCTGGCTATTTGGAACCATTGTCAAGTTTGCATTGGGGTCAAGCAGCATTGCAGAAGAAAATAAGGCATTTAGGTTTTAGGTCAGGTGTGAGTTGAAGAGGTTTTGAGTTCTTGAGAACACAGGCTAAAGGAGAAGAAGGAGGAATGGAGGGTGGAAGTTTGCCTATAGTGAAGGAGGCAAGTCCAGAGAAAAGAGAGGGTAGAGACACGGAGAGAAGGTGGGGGGATGCTTGCCCCCCAGGACAGTGGAAAAGGGGTAGACACACAGAGAGAAGGGATGGGGGGTGCTTGCCCCCCAGGACAGTGGAAAAGGGGTAGAGACACGGAGAGAAGGGGTGAGGGGTGCTTGCCCCCAAGAAAAGCAGTGCTTGCTGCTAAGGGTGAAGGACCAAGGCAGGCGTCCCTGTGTGATCAGACACCTCTGAAACGTGGGTGAGTAATCAAGCAGGCATCCCTGCGTGATTAAACACCAAGGGAAGACTGTTTTCCCGAGTCCGTAACTAGCGATGGAGTTTTGGGTTCACGGATAAAACGCGTCTCCTGTCTCTACCAGAAAAGGAAAGGCACTGAAATTAAGAGAAGGGAGAGACTGAAAGATGGCACCAAGATTCAAAGGAGAAAGAGGTTGAGGGATAGTGAGAGAGGTTGGAGAAAAGCGTAAAAAGAGGCCGCTTATCCAATTTAAAATTGGTGAGATGTTCCTTGGGCTGGTTGGTCTGAGGACCAGAGGTCGTAGGTGCAAAGAGCAGGAGGACAGGGGATTGATCTCCCAAGGATCCCTGATCCGAGTCATGGCACCAAATGTCACACGCATCCGTGTGAAGAGACCACCAAACAGGCTTTGTGTGAGCAATGAGGCTGTTTATTTAACCTGGGTGCAGGCGGGCTGAGTCCGAAAAGAGTCAGCGAAGGGAGATAAGGGTGGGGCAGCTTTATAAGATTTGGGTGGGTAGTGGATAATTACAGTCAAAGGGTGTTGTTCGCTGGCGGGCAGGGGCGGGGGTCATAAGGTGCTCAGTGGGGGAGCTTTTGAGCCAGGATGAGCCAGGAGAAGGAATTTCACAAGGTAATGTCATCAGTTAAGGCAGGAACAGGGCATTTTCAGTTCTTTTGTGATTCTTCAGTTACTTCAGGCCATCTGGATGTATACGTGCAGGTCACAGGGGATATGATGGCTTAGCTTGGGCTCAGAGGCCTGGCAATCCTAAAGTCCAAACAGCCCTGTGATGTGAAGATAACGATTCGTTTTTCTCTTTCATCGATAAGGAATCTTGTGGCAAAGAAAAGCTCAGTAACTTGCCCTTGATCAGAGTGTCAGAGAAGATATTTGCACCAAAGGCCTGGCTCAGAAGCCCCACCCCAACACTGCTGCTATGGTTTAGGTGTGTCCCCCACATTTCTCTCTCTCTCTTTTTTTTTTAGATGGAGTCTGGCTCTGTCACCCAGGCTGGAGTGCAGTGGTGCGATCTCAGCTCACTGCAGCCTACCTCCCAAGTTCAAGCAATTCTCCTGCCTTAACCTCCTGAGTAGCGGGGATTACAGGTCCCATCACCATGCCTGGATAATTTTTGTGTTTTTTAGTAGAGACAAAATACAGGCTGGTCTTGAACTCCTGACCTCAGTTGATCCACCTTCCTTGGCCTCCCAAAGTGCTGGGATTAAAGGCGTGAGCCCCCTCGCCCAACCTCCTCTTTTTTTCAATTGACACAGAGTCTCGCTCTGTCACCCAGGCTCGAGTGCAGTGGCAGGTCGCCACTTAGTTCACTGCAACCTCTGCCTCCCGGGTTCAAGCGATTCTGGTGCCTCAGCCTCCCAAGTAGCTAGAATTACAGGCTCCTGCCACCACATGCAGCTAATTTTTGTATTTTTAGTAGAGGTGGAGTTTCACCATGTTAGCCAGGCCGGTCTCAAACTCGTGACATCAAGTGATCTGCCTGCCTTGGCCTCCCAAAGTGCTGAGATTACAGGTGTGACCCACTGTGCCCAGCTGTCTTTTTTTTTTTTAGACAGGGTCTTGCTCTGTTCCCCAGGCTGGAGTGCAGTGTTGTGATCATGGCTTGCTGCAGCCTCCACCTCCCAGGCTCAAGCAATCCTCCCATCTCAGCCTCCTGAGTAGCTGGAACCACGCCTGGCTAATTTTTTTGACTTTTAGTACAGACAGGGTCTCACTCTGTTGCCCAGGCTGGTCTCAAACTCCTAGCCTCAAGCAACCTTCCCATCTTGGCCTCCCAAAGGGCTGGGATTACAGGCATGAGCCGCTGCACCTGACCCAGCCTCCAAAACTGTAAGAAGTAATTGATTTTCCTTATAAATTACCCTTTCTGTGGTAATCTGTGACAGCAACAGAAAACAAACTAAACAGACCAGGACGATGACATTGGAGCCACCAACAACGTCGGGGCCAGGTCCCCTCGCAACCCCCATGGCAGGCTCAGGAAACAGTCCTGGTATCTTCCCATTTTTCCCATGTAAAAATCTGCTGGAGGGCCCAGTGGCTCATGCCTGTAATCCCAACACTTTGGGGGGCCAAGGCGGGCAGATCATCTGAGGTCAGGAGTTTGAGACCGGCCTGGCCAACATGGTGAAACCCACCCTCTACTAAAAATATACAAATATGGCCAGGCGCGGGGGCTCACACCTGTAATCCCAGCACTTTGGGAAGCCGAGGCGGGCGGATCATGAGGTCAAGAGATCAAGACCATCCTCGCCAACATGGTGAAACCCTGTCTCTACTAAAAATACAAAAAATTAGCCAGTGTGGTGGCGGGTGCCTGTAGTTCCAGCTACTTGGGAGGCTGAGGCAGGAGAATCGCTTGAACCTGGGAGGCGGAGGTTGCAGTGAGCTGAGATTGCACCACTGCACTCCAGCCTGGGCAAGAAGAGTAAAACTCCGTCTCAAAAAAAAAAAATCTGGAGGTGATGTTTTTCAGTGAGCACAGATTACTGTGTAACCAGGAATAACATTTATTTTCTAAATGTTCCACAAATAATATATGCTGTGAATGGGGGAATATGCCAGGGCACCAGTAGCCTGTGAGGGCAAGAGGAGCTCAGTAGGGATCAGTTTCTGCTCAGCGCCTGGGCTGGGCCCTGAGGTGTTGGCGTTGAGATGGGAATGGGCTGTGCAAAGAAAGCACCCCAGGCTCCTGTACCAAACGACTCAGACTGGTTGTATCTGCAAATTGAAGGCCTGTAGGAATGTAGGTGGGACCAAAGGTGGTCTCTAGAGTGCCTAGAGTTAGGGCCAGGAGCCAAGCAGGGCGGGGATCATATTGTTGCAGGGACATAGTTCATCCCATTACTTACTTATGGAATCCCATCGCTTAAGACTGATGAACATAGCATTTTGTCCTGAGACAGACAGATTGAGCACAGCAAATGCCAACAGGAAGCCAGTAAAACGGGCCTCACATCAGACAGGTTCACCTCAGATGAGCTTAGAACTCCTTGTTGCCAATGGGGGGAGGTGGGTTTAACTATCCAAATTGGAAACAGAACCTGAGATAAAGAATTTAACAAAAAAATGCATACAGCATCAATCATTTGAAACATAAGTAAATCTGCAGAAAACATATCATAGTCTGGGTAAACCCCTTCCCTGCAAAAAGACCAACGCTAAGATTCAAGATCTAGGCAGTTAAAATCTGGAATATAATGATTGTGGAACTCTGGAATTTTCCTGAGTTCTGGACAAGGACCGGAAGCTCCTGCAGGTGCTGAGGCAGGGTGGGGAGGACAGGACACACACGCAGAAGCAGCGCGCACAAACCCCAGGAACGCACCAGGGCCAGGGTGCCCAGAGGTACAGGATAGACGTGGCTCATCTTCCCAGAAGCCTGTTTTGCTCAGGATTAGTGAAAAGTAGGAAGTTGTAAGTGCTCACCATTAGTTTAATAACAACTTTGCTTTGCAGAGTGGAGGAGGGAGGAAGCTACCTTAACAGCACACACTGAACTCGAGCCCGATGCTAATTTCAAAAAGATTAAACCATTGAATACATTTACATCCTAGGATTAAGAAAAGTAATTTGAAACATTTTAATATTAAAACAGACATGGATGAAGATAGAGAGTAGAATGGCTGTTGCCAGTGCAGCGGGGGATGGGGAGTTGTTTAATGAGGACAGCTTCAGTTTGGGGAGGTGAAAAAGTTCAGGAGATGGATGGTGATGATGGTTTTACAACAATGTGGATATACTTCATGCCCTTGAACTGTACACTTATCATGGTTAAAATGGTAAATTTTATGTCATTAAACTTTTTCTTTCTTTCTTTCTTTTTTTTTTTGAGACAGGATCTCTTGCTCTCTCACCCAGGCTGGAGTGCAGTGGTGCAATCATGGCTCAGTGCAGCCTCGACCTCCCGGGGTCAAGCCATCCTTCGGCCTCAGCCTCCTGAGTAGCTGGGAGTACAGGAGCGTGCCACCACACCTGGTTAATATTTGTATTTTTTGTAGAGACAGGGTCTCACTATGTTACCCAGGCTGGTCTCAAACTCCTGAGCTTGAGTGATCTGCCCTCCTCAGCCTCCCACAGTTCTAAGACCACAGCTGTGAGCAGCCATGCCTGGCCGTGAATCTTTTATCACAATTTTTAAAAAAGAAATGTATGAAGGCATAGGAAACAATTTTCTATAATTTTAAGACGTAAAATATGAGATTTTCAGTCCATTCTGCTCAGGATCACATTCCCTCTCCCCATATTAGTGGAAAAGTTGGAGAATCCACAGTTAAGGAGGCCTCAGGATCTTTTGCACAGAGCAGTCCTTTTAGCCATAAATTACTTAGTAGTTCCCAGAGTTTATTTATAACTCTGAACAATGCCTTCCCTACACCACCATTTTTGCTAACAATGAGATCAGGAGTCTCAAACGCAAGGAAAAGAAGAATGGAATGGAGTGGGTGGGTCTAGGCGGGGCTGGGGCTCGGGGGAGGCCTTCAGCTCCCGTCACCAGGAGGCCCAGAGGGGAAGGGTGAGAGAGGCAGATAGCTTGGGGCTCTGACAGAAGGACAGGGTCCTCTTGAGGTTGCTGTAAGCATCAAAGGGGCTCATGTGTGTAGGAGGCAGGTCACAGGCTTTGCCCATCACATGTCAGACGCGAGAGGACATGGGATGAGTGTGTACTAGGTGGCCGTGGCTTTATATGTTAGTATCTCAAGCCTCATCACAAGCATCTTCGTTTTACAGACGACCACACAGCGGCTCTGAAAGGTTGGGTAACTTGTCTAAGGTCATGTGGCTCACAAGTCATGGAGCCAGAATTTGCATATGGGGTAGCCTGGCTCCATCTCAGCCCCGGAAGAGGCACTGAGCCCTGGTGTGCCTTCCCAAACAGGCAGCTGAGTGCTCCCAGGAAGACGGTGTTGGGCCGCTCAGCCCTCTGACTCACACCTCAGAGCAGCCTGGGGCCCTCCCATCCTCTCCAAGTTTCCCTGCCCAGCCCCACCCTGGGCCCCAGTGTGTCCCCGAAGCACCAGCCAAGGAACAGCTGCCCAGTGTACATTCTCTGTTCCGTCCACTCACCACTCTCCATTTTCCTATGCACTCTGGTCTTTAGGATTCAAGAAGGGTAAGATTAGCAACCTTCAGCCTGGGAAGTTGCCCCTGACTTCTCTCTGGGCTGTTAACTGACTGGTGCTAACCTTGAGGGGCAGAAGATGGGTTTTCCGTGACACTTCTGGGATACACAGTGGCCTGATGGCCTGGTCTCACTGTGGCTCTGCTGATTTTTGGCAGTGAGCGCGGGGAGGCAGTTTCACTGAGTTGACCTACTGTGTACTGGGTTATCATAGTGCGATGCTGAGTAAGACAAGCTCCTGGCCCGCACCAGGTTCACCAACTAATACAGGAAAGTGACAAGGAGGCAAGCCATTAGAAGGCAGCACATGAGTGGTGGCACGCACCAGCAGTCCCAGCTACTTCGGAGGCTGAGGTGGGAGCATCGCTTGAGCCCAGAGGTTCAAGGCCAGCCTGGACAACGTAGTGAGATCCTGTCTCTTAAAAAATAAAAAAGAGAGGCTGGGTGCAGTGGCTTATACCTGTAATCCTAGCACTTTGGGAGGCCGAGGTGGGTGAATCATCTGAGGTCAGGAGTTCAAGACCAGCCTGGCCAACATGGTGAAACCCCATCTCTACTAAATTGGGCGTCATGGCAGGTGCCTGTAATCCCAGCTACTTGGGAGGCTGAGACAGGAGAATTCCTTGAACACGGGAGACGGTGGTTGCAGTAAGCCGAGATTGTGCCACTGCACTCCAGCCTAGGTGGCTGAGCAAGACTCCGTCTCAAAAATAAAAATTAAAAAAATAAAAATAAAAAAGAGACAGCTCTATTCTGTGAAAGTTGTGGAAACCAAGGGGAGGGAGGAGCACCTATTTCACCTTGGAGAGGGTCAGCCCAGTGTCCGTTAAAAAAGCCACCTTTAAATCAGTTCTGAAGGATGGAGGAGGTGGCAGCAACAGGACAATCATCACTCTAATTCCCAGGGCTTGTCTTTGTTGACTTAAACCATTTTCTTAGGGAAGAAGAACTGAGCATATGCGAAATTCATTTATACCGCTCTGCTCCTAACCTGCCTCAGTGTGAATATGTGCTTCTTGACATTGTTGTGAGTGATATGTACTTGCTAGTGTAGTCTTTTTTTTTTTACATGGCATGATTTCATATTTACATTTTCCTGCATAATGACATTTTCTATACACTTGTCATTTTTAATAGCACTATAATTTTCCATCATGTTGACATCCTATAATTTACCTTGTTATTTCTTGATTGCTGAGCGTTTGGGGAGTTTCCAGTTTTTCTTCACAAATAGCACCGTGTTATCTTTAGATAAGTTCATTTTTTTCCCTTTATATTCTTGGATTTATTTCTCAGTGAAATCACCCATTTGAGCAGGAGTGGTGGTGCTGCTCTTGTCACATAGCACCAAACGACATTTCAGAAAGAACAAGCTGATGCGGGCCGTGCCGGCATCACTGCCCCCTCCACCACGTCCCCACCCTGGGACTTAAAAGATTTAAACTTTTTTTTCCAAGTTAAAAAATCTTGGCCGGGCGCGGTGGCTCACGCCTGTAATCCCAGCACTTTGAGAGGCCGAGGCAGGCGGATCACGAGGTCAGGAGATCGAGACCATCTTGGCTAACACGGTGAAACCCCATCTCTACTAAAAATACAAAAAATTAGCCAGGCATGGTGGCGGGTGCCTGTAGTCCCAGCTACTCGGGAGGCTGAGGCAGGAGAATGGCGTGAACCCAGGAGACAGAGCTTGCAGTGAGCCGAGATCGCGCCACTGCACTCCAGCCTGGGCAACAGAGCGAGACTCTGTCTCAAAAAAAAAAAAAAAAAATCTTGGCCGGGTACAGTGGCTCACACCACTAATTCTACACTTTGGGAGGCTAAAATGGACAGATCACTTGAGGCCAGGAGCTCAAGACCAGCCTAGGCCAACACGGCAAAACCCTTCCCTACTAAAAATACGAAAATTACCTGGGTGTGGTGGTGCATGCCTGTAGTTCCAGCCTCTCAGGAGGCTGAGGCGGGAGAATCGGTTGAACCTGAGAGGCGGAGGCTGCAGTGAGCCAGGATCGTGCCACTGCACTCCAGCCTGGGTGACAGAGCAAGGCTCCATCTCAAAAAAAAAAAAATCTTAAATATATACTTTAAAACATTGTCTTTTTTGCTTTAATTCATTGTTAAAAATAGTGTGACATTGAGGGCAAATATTTAAAAGAAAAAAGTCTCCTCTAGTACCTCTCCAGCACACTTACTTTGGTTTTTGTTGTTCCTGCACATCTGCGTGTGTTATTATTATTATTATTATTATTATTATTATTATTATTATTATTATTTTGAGATAGAATTTCCCTCTTGTCAGCCCAGGCTGGAATGCAGTGGCGCAATCTCGGCTTACTGCAACCTCTGTCTCCTGGGCTCAAGCGATTCTCCTGTTTCAGCCTCCCAAGTAGCTGGGATTACAGGCGCCCGCCACCATGCCCAGCTAATTTTTTTTTTTTTAATAGAAACGGGGTTTCACTATGTTGGACAGGCCGGTCTCGAACTCCTGGCCTCAGGTAATCTGCCAGCCTCGGCCTCCCAATGTGCTGGGATTACAGGCATGAGCCACCGTGCCTGACCACCTCCCTCGCTTTCTGAGCTTCCTTGTTTCTTTGCCCACTCAATGCCCACTGAGCATCACTTAGTGGTGTTTGGCGTTCACATCCCTTTGGCTGAGACGGGGTCACCCTCATTTTGGCCCCCAGCCCTGAGCACAGAACCTGGCACCCAGCAGGCATCCAATCCAGCTTTCAAGGTTTTTTTGTTCTGCAAGTGCTGGCTTGAGCAGATCCTTCTGGATTGGCCAGCTGGGATCCTGTGGAAGCCCCAGGGAATCCGTACGCCCCAGGCAAGCCACGCCAGTGTCCAGGGGAGTGACCAGCTTACTTTTCTCCCTCAGGACTTCCTGGGCAGATACCCAGTCTCCAGGCACTCCTGGGTGGGGGCCTGGCGAGGCCCCCAGGGCTGGCACTGGATCGACGAGGCCCCACTCCCGCCCCAGCTGTGAGTGACCACGGGCTTTTCTCCCTCCTCTGCTGTTCTGGATCCTCCATTTCTCCCCAGACTCCACCTCCTTGCTGCTCCCCTAGCCTGGAATGCCACTTGGAAAGCAGCCCACGCCCATGCTCGCGGCCTGGTGCCTGATTAGACCCTGTCGCTTCACTCTTTATTTGGGTTCCCAGCACGTTCACCCAAGCAGGGTTGTCACCCCCATTTTACAGATGCGGGGTCAGCTGCCCAGGGAGGTTTGGGGATTCATCCAGTGCCACGTGGCTGACCAGTGCAGTGACTCACTCAGTGCCCAGGCCGGTAGAGGTGACAGGCACACACGCTGGAGGGTCTGGCTGGGAAGCAAGGCCCCGGCACCCTAAACACCTCTCCTCTTTCCCCTCCCATCCTTTCCCAGACTCCCTGAGGACGGCGAGGACAATCTGGATATCAACTGTGGGGCCCTGGAGGAAGGCACGCTGGTGGCTGCAAACTGCAGCACTCCAAGACCCTGGGTCTGTGCCAAGGGGACCCAGTGATCTGGGCTCTGCCTGGTCCTCAGCCTGCCAGGCAGATGCAGCACCCCCTACAGGGGAGGCCAGTTGAGAGCTTGGGCAGCCTCTTCCTGGACCCAGTTATCCAGGTCTTCATGCTCTGCTCAAGGGGGCCACATGAGCGAGCCTAGGAGCTGGACTTCAACCCAGGAAGATGCATCCGAGGGAAAGGAGATTTTCTATGGCCTCAGGCCTGAGTGCCAATATTAGTCTCCAGCTTCTGTGGATGATCGGTTTGATGACATTGGGATGGTTGTTTAGCATTTCTGTGCCTTGGTTTCATTAAAATGACAATTTCCCCCTAGAGGAAAAAGACAGGGTTAACAACCACAGCGGATTCCAATCTGGGTTCTCATTCCGGCTCATGGAAATGAGTCTGCCGTTGTTCAGTGGCAGTGGGACTTGGCAGG
This sequence comes from Homo sapiens, assembly GCF_000001405.40. NCBI lineage: Eukaryota > Metazoa > Chordata > Mammalia > Primates > Hominidae > Homo > Homo sapiens. The sequence goes on along the minus strand of NC_000007.14, from coordinate 139,453,161 downwards.
GATAACGTCATTGCTGTGAATTCTACTTCAGGCAGCTGGGTGTACATCGGACACAGCCTACCGGCAGCCTCTGGAAAATTAACCAAGGAAAAGGAGCGGTCAGCCCTGGAAAGAGGGGAGAGCAAGGTTTTCCTTCCCCACCCTGAGAGTTGGCAAAGGGTTGGCAGACAGGAAGGTTCTGGGTGGAGATCCCGCATGTGGGCTGGCCAGCCCCTGGCACGCTGATGCCCAAGGGTGAGACAAGGCAGAGAGGACAGGGCCACCTGGCAGGAGAAGCCAGGAGAGCACCCCAGCTTGGTAGGTGGAAGCTGAGGAGTCTGAGTGAAAAAGGAAATCAGAGAAATGCAGGCACGTTCCAGGCAGCTCTTCTACCCACAGCTGCAGAGACGACCAACCTGAAGATGTCTCCATGCTGGGGTGCAGTGAAGACCTTCAGGCTGGAGGATGTGGCTGACAGAGTTGTGTAGTTCCTTGAGTCCAGCTAGACCTCCAAACAGCAGGAGCCTGGGCCTGCGTGTTGGCTTGGTGCTGAGCACGCACTCAACTGGCCCTTGCAAGCCAGCCTTCCCTCAAAAGTCAGACCATGCACCCAGATCCCTCCCAAACAGAAATCCTTATTGGTGCGTTTGAACCAGTAATGGGCCGTCTGGGAGAATGGGATGGAGAGTCCTAGATGGGAGAAATTTCTCACACTGTATTTTTCATTAGTATTATTATACTTTAAGTTCTGGGGTACATGTGCAGAACGTGCAGGTTTGTTACATAGGTATACACATGCCATGGTGGTTTGCTGCACCCATCAACTTGTCATCTACATTAGAAATTTCTCCTAATGCTATCCCTGCCTTCTCACACTCCTGAAAGTAATAACAAAAAGGGAAATGGAGGCCGGGCACGGTGGCTCATGCCTGTAATCCCAGCATTTTGGGAGGCCGAGGTGGGCGAATCACAAGGTCAGGAGTTCGAGACCAGCCTGCCAGCCTGGCCAACATGGTGAAACCCTGTCTCTACTAAAAACACAAAAAAATAGCTGGGCGTGGTGGTGGGTGCCTGTAATTCTAGCTACTCGGGAGGCTGGGGCAGGAGAATTGCTTGAACCCAGGAGGCGGAGGTTGCAGTGAGCCGAGATTGTGCCACTGCACTGCAGCCCGGGTGACAGTGCAAGACTCTGTCTCAAAAAAAAAAAAAAAAAAAAGGACATGGAAATTCCCTGGCTGGATGTGAAATGGGTGGCTCACGTGGGGCAGGCGCCAATCAAAATACATCCTATGTGGGCAGGAAGCTGTGTATGTTACCGCCCCCATCCCCTGCCATGTGTTCCCAGGATCTGTGCCTGGAGAAATGACACATCTGTAGGTTATGAGTATACAGAACCTTATCTAGCCTTCTCAGTACCTTTTAGAGAAGGGAAGTGTTGTACTCAGTGTTACCCAGCTAGAAAGTGGAAGGTCTAGAATGAAACCCACTTGCTATCTGACTCCAAAGGCCGCATTCTTTCCATCCCAGCACGCAGTAGAGGAATCTAGAAAGGTATTAGTGGCAGCGGAGTGGGAAGCCATCAGGTGGAGTGAGGGAGAAAGGAGGTACCAAGTTGTTTCACACTTGTGATAATCCACTCCCTCGGTTATCTGTTGCTTTATAACAAAAAAAAAAATTTTTTTTTGAGGCCGAGTCTCGCTCTGTCGCCAGGCTGGAGCACAGTGTCACTGTCTCGGCTCACCGCAACCTCCGCCTCCTGGGTTCAAATGATTCTCCTGCCTCAGCCTCCTGAGTAGCTGGGACTATAGGCATCTACCACCATGCCCAGCTAATTTTTGCATTTTTAGTAGAGATGGGGTTTCACTATGTTGGCCAGGCTGGTCTCGAACTCCTGACCTCAGGTGAGCCGCCTGCCTCGGCCTCCCAAAGTGCTGGGGTTACAGGCGTGAGCCACGGTGCACGGCCTGCTTTATAACAAATTGTCCCCAAACTTAGCAACAACTATTTGCCCCAGACAACTGTTTTTCCCCCTTCCTTCTATGGATTGACCAGCCAGTTCTGCTTTAGATGGTATTGGATGGAGCCCTGGAATGGCTGAAAAGTCCAAACTGGCCTGACTTGCTCAGCCAGCAATGCGGTGCAGGCTCCTAGCTGGGGCCTTAGTTCTCCTGCACCTGCGGCTCTCCATATGGCTGCTTGGACTTCCTCATAGCATGGCAGATGGATTACGAGAAGGAGCATTCCCAAATAAAGGACCACATAAGCTAGATCTCTGGAGGGCTAGCCTCAGAAGTCACCCAGTGTCACATGGGCCACATTTTATTGGTTACAGGGCCAGCCAGTTTGAAGGGGAAGAGAAATATGTCGCTGTTTATGCTGTGTCCAGTGCTAGCTTGCTACCTGCTCTCCCAGTTCCAGTGCTCAGGGCAGCACTGGCAGAACAGATGTACTTACTGAGTTAAAAACAGCAACATCCAAGACAATTGTTAACTTTTAAAACTGTCTCCCATCCCAGAAGGTATAACTAAAAAACTAACAATAAAAATAATAGTAATAAATAATAAAAATAAAACTGATTGTGTCTGAAATATCAAACAATTTAAAAATGGCTTTGTAAGTCCCTGTGGGACTTCTGAATTCATCAAGATAATTGTTAATATGGCTAGGCGCAGTGGCTCACCCCTGTAATCCCAGCACTTTGGGAGGCCACGGTGGGCAGATCACAAGGTCAAGAGTTCGAGACCAGCCTGGCTAACACGGTGAAACCCCATCTCTACTGAAAATACAAAAAATTAGCCGGGCGTGGTGGCAGGCGCCTGTAGTCCCAGCTACTCGGGAGGCTGAGACAGGAGAATGGCGTGAACCCAGGAGGCAGAGCTTGCAGTGAGCCGAGATCGCGCCACTGCACTCCAGCCTGGGCGACAGAGCAAGACTCCGTCTCAAAACAAAACAAAACAAAAAAAAAAACAAACATTAGCCAGGCGTGGTGGTGGGTGCCTATAATCCCAGCTACTCGGGAGGCTGAGGCAGGAGAATCGCTTGAACCCGGGAGGCAGAGGTTGCAGTGAGGCAAGATTACAACACTGCACTCCACCCTGGGTGACAGAGTGAGACTCCGTTTCAAAAACAAAAACAAACAAAAAAAATTGTTAATAGAAAAAAGCTTAAAGAATAAGGATATAGGCCGGGCACAGTGGCTCACGCCTGTAATCCCAGCACTTTGGGAGGCCGAGGCGGGCGGATCACAAGGTCAGGAGATCGAGACCATCCTGGCTAACAGGATGAAACCCTGTCTCTACTAAAAATACAAAAAAAATTAGCCAAGCGTGGTGGTGGGCGCCTGTAGTCCCAGCTACTCGGGAGGCTGAGGCAGGAGAATGGCGTGAACCTGGCAGGTGGAGCTTGCAGTGAGCCAAGATCGTGCCACTGCACTCCAGCCTGGGTGACAGAGGGAGACTCCGTCTCAAAAAAAAAAAAAAAAAAAAAAAAGAATAAGGATATAGAGGAAGAAAATATTTTTGTACAGGTGTATAATATTTGTGTTTTAAGCTAAGTGTTATTACAAAAAAGTCAAAAAGTTAAAAAATTTATGAAGTTACAGTAAGCTAAGATTTATTATTGAAAGAAAATGCCTTTTCATAAATTAGTGTAGCCCAAGTGTGCAGTGTTTATAAAGTCTCCAATAGTGTAATGTCCTAAACCTTCACAGTCACTCCCCACTCACCCAGAACAACTTCCAGTCCTATAAGTGCCCCATACAAGAGTACCATTTTTAATTTTTTGAAGCGGAGCCTCACTCTGTCACCCAGGCTGGAGTGCAGTGGCACAATCTCTGCTCACTGCAACCTCCACCTCCCAGGTTCCAGTGATTCGCCTGCCTCAGCCTCCGAGTAGCTGGGATTATAGGTGCCCGCCACCATGCTGGGCTAATTTTTGTATTTTTAGTAGAGACAGGGTTTCACCATGTTGGCCAGGCTGGTCTTGAACTCCTGATCTTAGGTGATCCACCCACCTCTGCCTCCCAAGGTGCTGGGATTACAGGCGTGAGCCACCACGCCCAACAATTTTTTTTTTTTTGAGACGGAGTGTCCCTCTGTCACCCAGGCTGGAATGCAGTGGTGCGATCTCGGCTCACTGCAACCTCCACCTCCCAGGTTCAAGCAATTCTCTGCCTCAGCCCCCCGAGTAGCTGGGATTACAGGTGCTCGCCACCACACCTGGATAATTTTTGTATTTTTAGTAGAGACGGGGTTTCATCATCTTGACCAGGCTGGTCTTGAACTCCTGACCTCATGATCCACCCGCCTCAGCCTCCCAAAGCGCTGGTATTACAGGTATGAGCCACTGTGCCTGTCCAATTTTTTTAAATTTAATTTTTAAACAGCAGCCATGCTAATCTCTGTATTGTTCCAATTTTAGTATATGTGCTGCTGAAGCAAGCACTATTTATCTTTTAAAAAACTTTATTTTATTTATTATTATTATTTTTTAAGAAGGAGTCTTGCTCTGTCACCCAGGCTGGAGTGCAGTGGCGCAATCTTGGCTCACTGCAACCTCCGCCTTCCAGGTTCAAGCAATCCTCCTGCCTCAGCCTCGAGTAGCTGGGATTACAGGCGTGAGCCACTGCGCCCAGCCTATTTATCTTTTACACCATATTTTTACTGTACTTTTTCTATGTTAGATACACAAATACTTACCATTGTGTTACAGTTGCCAACAGTATTCAGTGCAGTATATTGGAGTCAAAATTAAAATATAGAGACAAATCTCTAAATTTATCATGTTATTTGGGATACCAGAATTGCAGCTTCAGGCATACAAACAGACTGACTGGTCTTCAATATGTCCAAAGAACAAAGAGGAGGTTTTATAAAAAGGAGAAATGTTGGCCAGGTGTGGTGGCTCACACCTGTAATCACAGGACTTTAGGAGGCAGAGGTAGGAGGATCGCTTGAGCCCAGGAGTTTGAGACCAGCCTGGACAACATGGTGAGACCCCATCTCTACAAAAAAATAAAAAATAAGCTGGGCGTGGTGGCCCCCAGCCTGTAGTCCCAGCTGCTTGGGAGGCTGAAGATGGAGGATCCTTTGAGCCTAGGAGGTTGAGGCTGCAGTGAGCCATGATTGTACGCCTGCACTCCAGCCTGAGTGACAGAGCCAGACCTGTCTGTCTGACAAGAAAAGAAAGGAGAAATGTTATGCATTGTTTTTCCACGAAGTCCATTAGCACTCGTAGAGTGTTGGGGAGCTGGCACACTCTGATTGGTAAGTGGCTTCAGTAGGTAAAACTAGATTTAGAGCTGCAGCAGGTTGTTTCAGAAGCCATTAGATAAAACTGGTTTCAGGTGGCAGCAGGCAGCTTCGGCAGCCAGGCTTGCAGAGAATTACATTCTTGGAGCTGTGTTATGTGCCCTAAGTGCTTTTTCCCCCTAGCTTCTCAACTGTTTTAACTGGGTGTGACAAGAATGGCCCAATTCAAAAGGCTGGGTGCGGTGGCTCACACCTGTAGTCCCAGCACTTTGGGAGGCCGAGGTGGGCAGATCACTTGAGGTCAGGAGTTCAAGACCAGCCTGGCCAACATGGTGAAACCCCCGGTCTCTACTAAAAATACAAAAATTAGCAGTGTGTGGTGGTGGGCGCCTGTAATCCCAGCTACTTGGGAGGCTGAGGCACGAGAATGGCTGAAACCCAGGTGGTGAAAGCTGCAGTGAGCTGAGATCGTACCACTGCAATCCAGCCTGGGTGACAGAGCGAGACTCTGTCTCAAAAAAAAAAAAAAAAGAATGACCCAAGTCATATGATCAACTTGCACAAGTAACATGCTGTACAGGTTTGTGGCTTAGGAGTAATAGGCCATACCATATGGCCCAGGTCGGTAGGAGGCTCTAACCTATAGGTTCGTGTAATTAAATGATGTTTGCACAATGATAAAATCGCCTAACAACAAATTTCTCAGACATTTCCCTGTTGTTAAGCGACACATGACTATTTAAAATGTATTTGATCTGAAACTATCTCTTTCAAATGCTATTTTATTGGGTTTTAACGTTATGCTGACTTCATTAAAAGAATAAGGACTTTCTGTCATCTAAGCTCTGGAGTAAACACCACTGATGTGTTTGGCAGGGAAGGCAAGGAAGTCTCAGAGTCTAGCAGGTCCTGTCAAAAGAGCTGAGGACCAACCCGAAGAGGCTGTCACTGACCAAAGACAGTTTTCTTTTTAAATTAATTAATTTTTGCTTTAAAAAATCCTTTTTTCCTAGGATTACTGTGATTAAATTAAGGATCTTCAAATGAGATGAGCCTGGGTTACCCAGGTGTACCCAAGGTAATCACAAGTGTCCTTATAAGAGGGAGGCAGGCAGGTCAGGGGTGAAGGAGGAGGAGGTTGGATGTCAGAAGCCGATGTCGGAGGAGGAGGTTGGGTGTCAGAAGCCGATGGTCGGAGGAGGCGGGAGGACTCAAAGATGCTACATTCTGGCTTTGAAGGAGGAGGGGACCAGGAGCTATGGACTGCAGGAAGATTCCAGAAGCTGAAAAAGAGGCTGGGCGCGGTGGCTCACGCCTGTAATCCCAGCATTTTGGGAGGCCGAGGAGGGCGGATCACTTGAGGTCAGGAATTCGAGACCAGCCTGGCTGACGTGGCAAAACTCCGTAATACAAAAAATTAGCTGGGGATGGTGGCAGTCACCTGTAATCCCTGCTACTCAGGAGGCTGAGGCACGAGAATCACTTGATTCTCTACCCAGGAGGTAGAAGTTGGAGTGAGCCGAGACTGAGCTACTGCACTCCAGCCTGGGCGACAGAGGGAGACTCTCTCTTAAAAAAAAAAAAAAAAAAAAAAAAACCCTGGAAAATGCAAAGAATGGATTCTCCCCTCAAGCCTCCAAGGGGGAATGTGGCTCTGCTGGCACCCTGATTTTGGCTCAGTGAGACTGCAGACTTCTGGCCTCCCCAGTGGAAAGGTACAAATTTTGCATTGTTTTGAGCCTCTAAGTTTGTAGCAACACTATCAACTGTATCACAACTTTAAAAATATTTTAGACTGGCCATGGTGGCTCACGCCTGTAATCCCAGCACTGGGAGGCCGAGGCGGGCGGATCACCTGAGGTCAGGAGTTTAAGATCAGCCTGGCTAACAGCCTGGCTAACATGGAAACCTCGTTTCTACTAAAAATACAAAACATTAGCCGGGTGTGGTGGTGTGTGCCTGCAATCCCAGCTACTCGGGAGGCTGAGGCAGGAGAATTGCTTGAACCCAGGAGGCGGAGGCTGCAGTGAGCCGAGATTGTGCCATTGCACTGCAGTTTGGGCAATAAGAGTGAAACTCCGTCTCAAAAAAATAAAAAATAAAACTTAAAGAGCAAAACTCCGTCATATATATATACACACATATATATATACATATATATATATACATACACATATATATAATTTAGGAAGGACTCTATAGGCCTTGCCAGATTACCAAAGGGGTCTGTGAAACCAAAAGTGGTTAAGAACCCTCGATCCATCTGCCCCCTGTGATTTCACCCTGTCTCACAGCATTAAATACCATCAATAAGCCGATGATTCCAGAACGTCAGATCTGGTCCCCTGCCACCTGTCAGGCCTCATGTCCCTTCTTCCCTGGACTCACTCCCCTCTAGCTGTTTCTCAAGCCCACCTGTCACTTCTCCTTCCCTCTTCATCTCCTTCCATGGCTGAAATCACCTGCTTTGAAATCATCTGTGTGCTTGATTATGCGTAAGCTCCGCGAGGACAGGATTTGTCTATGCATGAATACACCCTTGGTGCTTAGAATGATGCCAGCCCAGCCTCACGCCTGTAATCCCAGCACTTTGAGAGGTTGAGGCAGGCAGATCACCTGAGGTCAGGGGTTCGAGACCAGCCTGGCCAACATGGGGAAACCCCGTCTCTACTGAAAATACAAAACATTAGCCCAGCACAATGGTGGGCACCTGTAATTCCAGCTACTCGGGAGGCTGAGGCAGGAGAATTACTTCAACATGGGAGGCAGAGATTGCAGTGAGCTGAGATTGCACCACTGCACTCTAGCCTGGGTGAAAGAATGAGAGACTCCAACTCGAAAAAAAAAAAAAATAGAAATAGTGCCAGCCCATAGGAAATGCTTAATTCCCCTTAGTGGAAAGGAGGAGGAAGGGATGAACCATCCTGAATCTCTTTGTGTTTGGGTGAATCTCGTCTCTTGTCACAGTTTATGTTGGTTTTGCTTCATTATTCAATCTAAGACTTCATAGGAAGATTAGCCCGTTTTTATACTTATGGATAGGAGAAAATATGTTTGGTTTTACTGCTGTCTGCATATTTATGTGCAAAATATTTCACTATTTAATCTGTCTGCTCTGTAGGGTGTGTATCTTATAGTTTGGGAGTTTTGTGTCGTCGTAATAGTGACTATTTTTATATTGCATTGGCTGTTCATGGTGCCATAACAATGTACCATAGACTGGGTGCAAGGTAAACATAAATCACAGAAATGTATTTTCTTCCAGTTCTGGAGGCTGGAAGTCTGAGATCAGGGGGTCCACATGGTCCATTCCTGGTGAGGGCTGCTCTCTTGCCTTGCAGATGGCCACCCTCTCACTGTGTCCTCACGTGGCATGGAGAGAAGGAGCAAGCTCTTTAGTGTCTCTTATAAGGTCACTAATTCCATCATGACCTCATCTAAACCGAATTACCAGCTGGGCACGGTGGCCCACACCTGTAATACCAGCAATTTGGGAGACCCAGGTGGGTGGATCACCTGAGTTCAGGGGTTCGAGACCAGCCTGGCCAACGTGGTGAAACCCCCTTCTCTACTAAAAATACAAAAATTAGCCAGGCGTGGTGGTGGGCACCTGTAATCCCAGCTATAGTTAATATTGAGTGTCAACTTGATTGGATTGAAGGACGCAAAGTATTGTTCTGGGTGTGTCTGTAAGGGTGTTGATAAAGGAGATTAATATTTGAGTCAGTGGACTGGAAGAGGCAGACCCACCCTCAGTATGGGTAGGTACCATCTAATCAGTCTCCAGCATGGCTAGGATAAAAGGCAGAAGAAGTTGGAAAGAGCAGACTTGCTGAGGCTTCTGGCCTTCATCTTTCTCCCGTGCTGGATGCTTCCTGCACTTGAACATCAGACTCCAAGTTCTTCAGCTTTTGGACTCTTGGACTTATACCAGTGGTTTGCCAGGGGCTCTCAGGCCTTTGGCCACAGACTGAAGGCTGTACTGTCGGCTTCCCTATTTTTGAGGTTTTGGGACTTGGACTGAGCTACTACTGGCTTCCTTGCTCCTCAGTTTGCAGACAGCCTATCATGGGACTTAACCTAGTGATAGTACGAGTCAATTCTCAGTAAACTCCCTCTCAGGCCGTGGTGGGCGGACGAGGTCAGGAGTTTGAGACCAGCCTGGCCAACATGGTGAAACCCTGCCTCTACTAAAAATACAAAAATTAGCCAGGCGTGGTGGCACACACCTGTAATCCCAGCTACTTGGGAGGCTGAGGCAGGAGAATCGTTTGAACCCGGGAGGTGGAGGTTGCAGTGAGCTGAGATCGTGCCATTGCACTCCAGCCTGGGCAGCAGGGCAAGACTCCATCTCAAAAAATAAACAAACTCCCTCTCATCTACACATACATCCTCTAAACATCTAGTTCTGTCCCTCTAGAGAACCCTGACTAATACTGTTTCATTTTTTCCTAGGACTTGGTATATACCTTATCAGCATGTTGATCAAGTCATTTTATTTTTAGAAAGCCCTCTTGCCTTATTTTATTTCTTTAAATATCTTCCCTGGCCAGGTGCCAGTGACTCACTCCTATAATCTCAAAACTTTGGGAGGCCAAGGCGGGTGGATCACTTGAGATCAGGAGTTTGAGACCAGCCTGGCGGACATGGTGAAACCCTGTCTCTACTAAAAATACAAAAATTAGCCCGGCATGGTCTATAGTCCCAGCTACTTGGGAGGCTGAGGCAGGAGAATCCCTTGAACCTGGGAGGCAGAGGTTGCAGTGAGCCAAGATCACACCACTAGACTCCAGCCTGGGCAACACAGCAAGACTCCATCTCAAAAAAAAAAAAAAAAAAGTTTTTTTTCCTGTTCCATTATTTTTGTTTTTGCCTCCAGGAATATTAACTAAATGTATATAGTACTTCTTGGATCTTCATGTCTATCATATTCTGTGTATTCATTTTAAACTTTTGTCTATTCTACTTTGTTCTTTACTATTTTTCTCAATCCCAATGTATCGTTTTTTCTCTTGCTCTTCCTTTTTATGATTTCAGGATTACTTCTTTTCAATTGTGCTGCATCCACTGTGCCTGGCTCTCTGTGATAGCTTTTGTTTTGTTTTGAGGCAGGGTCTCGCTCTGTCACCCAGACTGGAGGATAGTGGCATGATACTGACTCACTATGACTTTTGCCTCCTGGGCTCAGCCTCCTGAGTATCTGGGACTAAAGGTGTGTGCCACAATGCCTGGCTAATTTTTGTATTTTTTGTAGAGACAAAGTTTTGCCATGTTGAACTTTGGAGGTCTTGAACTTTGGAGCTCAAGTGATCCGCCCACCATGGCCTCCCAAAGTGCTGGGATTACAGGCATGAGCCACCCACCCGGCTAAGTTTTGTATTTTTTATAGACATGAGGTCTCACTATGTAGCCCAGTCTGGTCTTGAACTCCTGGACTCGAGCCATCCTCCCACCTTGGCCTCCCAAAGTGCTGGGATTACAGGTGTGAGCTACCGTGCCTGGCCTATCAGTCATCTTTGAATGAGGCAAGTCTAGACCACCAGATGTCAGGAGTTGAAGGGCCTGGGCTATGTATGCTCTAGGAGAGCAGCATTCATGTGAGTGGATAACCTTCACTCCTCCTGTCCGCTGAGCTCATCAGATGCAGGCTCATGGTGGACAGTTGCTCCTCTCTGTCCAACCTCACTTGCAGATTCCTTCCTTCAAACAAGGCTTGTCTGTGTGACTCCGCATTCAGCCTCACCTCCTGTGTTCACTCCAGCTCCCTGCCTGGGTCTGGGCAAGTCCCTACCTGAGCATCCTGTCATGCTTTGCTCCCTGGCGTGTCACTGACTTTGGAGAATTATGCTCAGCTGGCTGCCTCCAGGACGTGCCCTCTCCTTACACCTGTTTAACATTCAGGGCAGTTGGCATCCCTTCCTCATACTTTCATGGCTGAGGGTTTCAGAGGTCTCCTAGTTTCCTTAGTGCCAAGGTGTGGATTTCTGCTGCTTGTTCTCCTTACTGCTTTGGGGTAGATTTGGAGAGAAGCAGCATTATTCTGACATTTTTAAACAGGAAGTCTTCTGCTGTGTGCTGCAGCCTGTCTAAATAGCCAGCCTTGGTTCAGAACGTGGTGGCCAGAAGAGAGCCCTATTCAATAGATGAATCAAGAGATTCAATACACTTATTTTTGCTCTGTTGCCTGGGCTGCAGTGCAATGGCACAATCTTGACTCAATCCAATCTCTACCTCCCTGGGCTCAAGGGATCCTCCTGCCTCAGCCTCCCAAGTAGCTGGGACCACAGGTGTGCACCACCATGCCCAGCTATTTTTTTTTTTATACTTTAAGTTCTGGGGTACATGTGCACAATGTGCAGGTTTGTTACATAGGTTTATATGTGCCATGTTGGTTTGTTGCACCCATCAACTTTTACATTAGGTATTTCTCTTAATGCTATCCCTCCCCCAGTCCCCCACCCACCAACAGGCCCCAGTGTGTGATGTTCCCCTCTCTGTGTCCATGTGTTCTCATTGTTCAATTCCCACCTGTGAGTGAGAATATGCGGTGTTTGGTTTTCTGTCCTTGTGACAGTTGCTGAGAATGATAGTTTCCAGCTTCATCCATGTCCCTGCAAAGGACATGAACTCATCCTTTTTTATGGCTACATAGTATTCCATGGTGTATATGTGCCACATTTTCTTTATCCAGTCTATTATTGATAGACATTTGGGTTGGTTCCAAGTCTGCTATTATGAATAGTGCTGCAATAAACATACGTGTGCTTGTGTATTTATAGTAGCATGATTTATAATCCTTTGTGTATATACCCAGTAATGGGATTGATGCCTAACTATTTTTTGTATTTTTTGATAGAGACAGCGTTTTTGCCATGATGACCTGGCTGGTCTTGAACTCCTGACCTCAGGTGATCTGCCCACCTCGGCCTCCCAAAGTGCTGGGATTACAGGCATGGGCCACCATGGCCGGCCTCAATACACTTATAAAAGAAATATAATCTACACAGCTGATGGTTGTCAGTTGAAGCTGACAGACTGCTAGATGAGGGTCATATAAATAAATAATATTAAAATAGAGCCTGCTGTTATAGATTGAATTGTGTCCCCCAAAATGTTGAAGTCCTAATTCCCAATACTTATTAATGTGAACTTATTTGGAAATGGGGTCTTTTAAGATGAGGTCGTGCCAGGCACTGTGGTGCAAGCTTGTAGTCCCAGCTACTAGGGAGGCCGAAGGGGAAGGATCACTTGAGCCCTGGGGTCTAAGACCAGCCTGGACAACATAGTGAGATCATATCTCTATTTAAAAAATAGATGAGATCATTAGGTTGGGCCCTAATCCAATTTGACTAATGTTGTTATAAAACACACAAATTAAGTCGGCTATGGTAGCTCACACCTGTAATCCCAACACTTTTGGGAGGTTGAGGTGGGAGGCTCACAGGAGTTCAAGATCAGCCTGGGTAACATGGGAAGATCCAGTCTCTACTAAAAATACAAAAAAAAAAAAAAAAAAAAAAAAGCCAGGTGTGGTGGCACACACCTGTAATCCCAACACTTTTGGGAGGCTGAGGTGGGAGGCTCACAGGAGTTCGAGATCAGCCTGGGCAACATAGGGAGATCCAATCTCTACTAAAAATACAAAAAAAAAAAAAAAATAGCCAGGTGTGGTGGCACACACCTATAATTCCAGCTACTCAGGAGGCTGAGGCACAAGAATTGCCCGAACCTGGGAGACGGAGGCTGCAGTGAGCTGAGACGGTGCCACTGCACTCCAGCCTGGGCGACAGAGCAAGACTCTGTCTTTAAAATAAGTAGAAATTTGGACACAGAGGCAGACATGCCCGTAGAGAGCACATCATGTAAAAAAGACACAGGGAGAAGACAGCCAAGGGATGCCTGATGCTACCAGTAGCCAGGAGAGAGGCCTAGAAACAGATCCTTCCTCGGCACCATCAGAGGGAACATGGCCCTGCTCATGCCTTGGTTTTGGACTCTGACTTCCAGAACTGTGACAGAATAAATTTCTGGGTTTTTGGTTTTTTTTAATTGTTTTTAATTATTTTTTTTAAACAAAAGCATCAGGTTGGTGAAAAAAAGTTCTGTTGTTTAAGCCACCCAGTCTGAGATACTTTGTTACGATAGTCCTGGGAAACCAACCCATCACCTTTGTGTCCGCTATTCCCAACCAACATCTGCATCCCCTCCTGTGCTGAGGCAGGGGTCCAGGAGGTTCATGTTACCCTGCAAGCTTTACGTTTCCAGAGCATCACGTGCCAGAAATTGGGGAGGAAGCAGGGAACTACTAAGTGTCTTGAGGGATGGCAGCTTGGGCAAAAAGAGGAAGACTGAGTCTCTGGCCCAGCCTGGAACCCTCATGAGTGTCGGCTGCTCTGCTCAGGATAACAGCCGAAGCAGATCATGCACACAAGGCCCTTGCCACTTGGCCTCACCCACCTTTCAAACCTCGCCTCTAACTGCACGCCCTGGTCTCTCCCTGCTCCAACCACCTGAACTGTTTCCCCTTGACAGCCCCCCAGAAAGCTCCCTCAAGGCCCTTCCCCATGACCCCACATCCACTCCAGAGACAGACACTGTCCTGATGTGTTCCACCACGTCCATCTTCCCTGTTGTAGAGTTCGTAGAAGCGGAGTCACACAGCATGTGCATTGCATGCAGCATAATGCTTCTGGAAATTCATGTTGCACATATGAGCAGCTCATTCTGTTGTATGGGCACACAGTACTACAATGTGTTTATCCATTCACCAGTTGATAGACATTAGTCTTGTCTCCAGTCTGGGGTGGTTATGAATTAAGCTGTTATGAACATGTCAGTACAAGTACTTGTATGGAAGTGTTTTCATTTCTCCCGGATTCCTGGGGATTAGATCACTGGGTCAGGTGCTAAGTATATAGTTCACCTTTTAAGAAATTGCCACGCGGGGCATGGTGGCTCACGCCTGTAATCCCAGCACTTTGGGAGGCCGAGGCGGGGCGGGGTGGGGGGGGGGAGGGGATCATCTGAGGTTGGGAGTTTGAGACCAGCCTGACCAATGTGGAGAAATACCGTCTCTACTAAAAATACAAAATTAGCCGGGTGTGGTGGCACATGCCTGTAATCCCAGCTACTCAGGAGGTTGAGGCAGGAGAATCACTTGCACCTGGGAGGTGGAGGTTGCAGTGAGCTGAGATCACGCCATTGCACTCCAGCCTGGGCAACAAGAGCGAAACTCCATCTCAAAAAAAAAAAAAAATTGCCAAAATGTTTCCCAAAGAAGGTGTATCATGTTCTATTTCCACCAACAATGCATGAAAGTCCAGGTGCTACAAGTCCTCACCAACACTTGGTGTTGTCTTTTTACTTTCAGCCCTACCGATCGGTGTATGGTGGTATCTCATTTAAAATTGCATTTCTGATCCAGTGCAGTGGCTCACGCCTCTAATCCCAATACTTTAGGAGGCTAAGGCAGGAGGATCTCTTGGACCCAGGAGTTCTAGACCAGCCTGAGCAACAAAGCAAGACCCTGTATATACCAAGGAAAATAGCCAGGAATGGTGGCACATGTCTGTGGTCCCAGTTACTCAGGTGGGAGGATCACTTGAGCCCAGGAGTTCAAGGCTGTAGTGAGCTACAATCACACCACTGCACTCTAGTCTGGGTGACAAAGTGAGACACCTCCATCTCAAAAATAAATAAAACTGCATTTCTGAACAATACACGTTTGTTTGGCCGGCTCCACCAATCTCAGCTGGGCTCCCCTACATCTGCAAGTTGGCTTGGGTGGCCTTCTCTAGCCCGGCCTTGGCTGGAGCAGCCCTGTTCCGTGTGTCCTTCATTGTCCTCCAGCTACTGGGATAGGCAGACATAGTCTTATGACAATGGCAAGAGAGCCAAAAGAAACACGCAGGCCTTTTGAGGCCTAGGTCAGAACTGACACACCATTCTTTCCCCAACAGGCCACTAGCTGGAGCCACAGAAACAGCCAAACTCAGTGGGCAGGGGTGGGGGAGTCCAGCCAGTCCTGAAGTAGATGAAGCTGCAGGCTCAGGTGGCAAAGGGCATGGATGCAGGGAGAGGCAAAGAACTGGACCAGAGATGATCTCAAACACACAATCCCTCCTGTGAATGTTTCACAATTTATGCCTAATAACTCGTAGAAAAATGACTAATGATGGCCGGGTGCGGTGGCTCACGCCTGTAATCCCAGCACTTTGGGAGGCTGAGGCAGGTGGATCACCTGAGGTCAGGAGTTGGAGACCAGCATGGCCAATGTGGCAAAACCCCATCTGTACTGAAAATACAAAAAATTAGCCATGTGTGGTGGTACATGCCTGTAATTCCAGCTACTCAGGAAGCTGAGGCATGAGAATTGCTTGAACCTGGGAGACAGTGGTTGTAGTAAGCTGAGATCATGCCACTGCATTCCAGCCTGGGCAACAGAGCGAGACTCTGTCTCAAACAAACAAACTAATGATGAATTTTTTTTTTTTTTTTTTTTTTTTTTTGGAGATGGAGTCTCCCTCAGCTGCCCGGGCTGGAGTGCAGTAGTGTAATCTTGGCTTACTGCAACCACCGTCTCCTGGGTTCAAGCGATTCTCCCATCTCAGCCTCCCGAGTAGCTGGGACTACAGGCACCCGCCATCATGCCTGGCTAATTTTTGTATTTTAGTAAAGATGGGTTTCGCCATGTTGGCCAGGCTGGTCTTGAACTCCTGACCTCAGCTGATCCACCTGCCTCGGCCTCCCAAAGGGCTAGGATTACAGGCATGAGCCACTGCGCCTGGCCAAATCATTCATTTCTTGAATATCTGTAGGAAGAGTCTAGAGGCTGGGTCTGTCAGTTCTGCACAGTGGCGTCTTTCTCACAGATGGCATTTCCCACTTCACAGGGTGTTAAGTTGTTCTTCGTCCCCTGTCAAGCTCCGGCCTCACCTCAAACCCGTAAGGTCCTTGCACACACAGTCCGGGTGAGGCTGTGAGGATCCAAGGACACCGAGTGAAGTGAGGGCAGCAGGACCCAGTGCCTGGCCATTCTAGCTGGGACTGGCCACCTGGCAGTGTCGTAGCCAACATCTGTGGTGACTCTGCCATGCCCCAGGTAGTGTGTGTGAACAGTTTACATATAGAGCGCATGGAATTTCCACAATGACCCAGTACATTAGTGGGTTAGTTTGGCTTTTAGTAACAAAAACCCAATTCCAAGCTGCCTACGCAAGAAAGAGAAATGATTAGAAGACTCAGGAGGGCCTTAGAGAGGCCAAGAGTAGGGATACAACTGGGCTTGGGACTGGCTGGAGCCGGGCTCCTCATGTCCTGCCTCGACCCCTCTTCCTGTGCCTGGGTCACTTGCTTCTGCGGTGGCCAGCTTTATCATGGCGGCACATGGCCACTAACAGCTGTCAACTTCCGTGACATCCTCAGTTCAAGAGAACAGCCAGTCCAAGCTAGAAACTAGTCCCAAGGAAGGACTGGGATTGTTTTAAACAGGCTCAGGCACCCGCCTCTGGACCACTAAGCTGTCACTGTTACCAGTGTGGAAACGTCCACATTGACTAAAACATTCGTGTGACTGCAGAGGTGTGAAGGGGGGGGTTCCCTAGACAGTGGGGGAAGGGCAGACGGAACAGCAGCAGTCTTCTTCCATGCTTGCGTTTTTATTTCCATTTAATAGATGAGACTCGAGGAAAAAAATGCGCAGGTAGAGTGTGCGGGTTAAGAGTACAGACCCGGCCAGGCACAATGGCTCATGCTTGTAATCCCACCACTTTGGGAGCCTGAGGTGGGCAGATCACTCGAGGTCAGGAGTTCGAGACCAGCCTGGCCAACATGGTGAAACCCTGTCTCTACTAAAAAATACACAAATTAGCCGGGTATGGTGGTGCATACCTGTAATCCCAGCTACTTGGGAGGCTGAGACAGGAGAATCACTTGAACATGGGAGGTGGAGGTTGCAATGAGCCAAGATTGTGCCATTGCACTCCAGCCTGGGTGACAGAGCAAGACCCTATCTCAAAAAAAAAAAAAATTACAGGCCCTATATAAGATCTGAATAGACACTTCACCAAAAAGATACACAAAAAGCAAATAAACACATGACTTTAAGTGGGTAAGCGGCGGGGCACCCTTACAATGGATTCTACTCAATGTGAAAAGGTGGGATGTGCTGATGCACACAGCACGGGTGAGTCTCAGCAGCATCGTGTTAAGGGAAGGAAGTCGGCATGAAAGTCTGTATGCCAATAACTCCATTTATATAAAGTTCTAGAGAAGATAAAGCTCATGCTAGAGAGATCAGTGGTTGCCGGGGCCAGAGGTTTGAGGAGAGGATTGGGAGAGGCCAGGAGAGAATTTGTGGGGAGATGGAACTATTCTATATCATGATTGCAGTGGTGGGATACATTTGTCAACTTACTGTATGCTTAAAATTGGTGATTTTTTTTTGAGACGGAGTCTCGCTCTGTCACCCAGGCTGGAGTGCAGTGGCACAATCTTGGCTCACTGCAACCTCTACCTTCAGGGTTCAAGCGATTCTCCTGCCTCACCCTCCCGAATAGCTGGGATTACAGGTGCCTGCCACCATGCCGGCTAATTTTTTGTGTTTTTGGTAGAGATGGGGCTTCACCATGTTGGCCAGGCTGGTCTCGAACTCCTGACCTCAAGTGATCCACTCCCCTCGGCCTCCCAAAGTGCTGGGATTACAGGCGTGAGCCACTGCGCCCAGCCGAAATTGGTGAATTTTATTGTGGGAAAATTAAATCTCAATAAAGTTTTTTTAAGAAAGGTAGCCATTATCATTTTTAGGCATCTCTTACAGGTTTTGCCTTTGAATAAACGCAATAAAAATAAAGTAGTAGGTCCTGGGGTTAATCTAAACTACATTCAACTCCCCCAGGCCCTATCATGATACCTTGAGTACCTTTTTGACTTTTTTAAGCCTCAGCAATCTCATCTGTAAGTCTGGAGATGGTAACTTCTAGCTTATAGATTTATTGTTGTGAAGGACGAAGAGATGATGTGGATAACTCCTCAGTGCTGGGGTTATCTAGTCTGACTTTGGTAAATGTATTATTATCGCTTCCCAAGGGCACACAGCTTCTAAGTGGCAGATTCAGGGCTCAAACCGAAGTCTGTTTTCAAACCCTAGCTCCTGGCCGCCCGCGCCGCACCGCCTCACTAGCGCCCTCTTGCGCTAGTTCTATGCTCCAAGCACACTTCGGATTCTTTGACTTCCCCTGTAAGAACACAGCGTGCTGATCAACAAACCAGAGCATCTGCTTCTATTTATAACTCTAAGTAGAAAATTGACATTCAGCTTTTATAAATACTTTTAAAAAACAGGAACAGGCTGCAAGTCTTTTGATTTGGAAACTCTTGAGTAGCAAGGAGAAGGCTCAGAAGGCCACAAGGAATCCATACTGCTTACAGAGGGAGGGAGGGCAGGCTTTGGCCCCAGCAACTCATCAAGATGACTGCCGTGTAAAGGGGCTTGGCTGTTGATGCTCCCAGCCAAGGAAGGAAGGTAGGTGGCCAGTGCCTCCAGCTGTAAGCAGAAGCCCGGGTGTCACTGGTTGGGAGTAAGAGAAGGAGAATGAGAACAAACCATGGTGATAAGTTGGTTCTGAATTATGACCAGGCAAAGGGTGGGAGAACTGTGGCCACATTTGAGCTCTGATAAGAGCAAAGCTGGAATCTTAAATATTTAGACGCGGAGCCCTAAAGGATGTACTTGACAAGCAATAAAAATCTTAGAAACACTTTAGTGATTCTCACGGCTTGCTTCTTATTCCAACTGCAAATTAACCTGGCAGTCTGAGAACATACTCTATTTTAACTTCCAAGCTCCTCACAGCAAACATCCTGTGTCTGGGACATCAGGAGCCTTTCAGCTCCTCCCAGCCTCAGGGCCAAGTACCACAGGCTCAGGGCTCCCCAGGGACAGGTGCTGGCTGGAATCGCCTGTGAGGTTAAAAAACGCACGTGATGCTGGGCGTGATGCTGGGCGCGGTGGCTCACACTGAAGTGCTCCCAGCACTTTGGGAGGCCGAGGCGGGGGATCACTTGAGGTCAGGAGTTCGAGACCAGCCTGGCCAACATGGTTGAAACCCTGTCTCTACTAAAAATACAAAAATTAGCCTGGTGTAGTTGCAGGCACCTGTAATCCCGGCTATTCAGGAGGCTGAGGCAGAAGAATAACTTGAACCCCGGAGGTGGAGGTTGCATTCTCGGCAGTGAGGCGAGAATGTGCCACTGCACTCCAGCCTGGGTGACAGAGCAAGACTCCATCTCAAAAAAAAAAAAAAAAAAAGGCCGGGCGCAGTGGTTCACGCCTGTAATCCCAGCACTTTGGGAGGCCAAGGCAGGCTGATCACCTGAGGTTGGGAGTTCGAGACCAGCCTGACCAACATGGAGAAACCCCGTCTCTACTAAAAAATACAAAATTAGCCGGGTGTGGTGGCACATGCCTGTAATGCCAGCTACTCGGGAGACTGAGGCAGGAGAATCGCTTGAACTCGGGAAGTGGAGGTTGTGGTGAGCCAAGATTGTGCCATTGTACTCCAGCCTGTGCAACAAGAAATTACATCTCCAAAAAAACAAACAAACAAACAAACAAAAAAAAAACCACACACCACAGGTACTCAGACTCCTCCCAGGTGCAGGATTCAATCTGAGTAAGCCAAGGTAGTGGTAGGAGTGATCCCGGGGCCTGGAAATCTGGAACATTTTTGTTTTACTTGGTGAGGATGGAGACTGAGTGAAAGTCTGGTCTGCTATTCGAGAAAGCTACCATTGTCCCAAGTTGGCAAGCCAAGAAACAGCAGTATAAACATTATTTAGAACTATGAAAACAAATACAAGGAGGAACCACAGAAAGCACCTAAAGTGGTTCTAACCAGTGGTGTCCGAAGTCAGAATAGTGATTATCTTGAGAAGCGGGGACTATTAGCTTGGAAGGACCATCAGGGAACTTTCTAGGGTGCTGGAAATGGTCCGTATCTTGATCTGGGTGGGAGTTGGGTGTTGGCCCTCCCTATCCATGGATTCTGCGTCGGTGAATTCAACCAACCTTGGGTTTAAAATATTTGGGAGAAAATCATTTAAAAAAATACAAATGATATACAAACAATGTAACAACTGTTTACGTAGCATTTACATTGTATCAGGTGTTATAAGCAATGTAGAGGTGACTTAAAGTATACAGAGATGATATGCATAGGTTATGTGCAAATGCCACACCATTTTGTATGAGAGACTTGTGCACCCTCAGATGTGGCGCTTGAACCCAGGAAGCAGAGGCGGAGGCTGCACTGAACCGAGATCACACCACTGCACTCAGACCTGAGGAACAGTTAGATTCCGTCTCAAAAAAAAATATTGGGGGGGGGGGGTCCTGCAATCAATCCCCCATAGATACCGAGGAATGACCATACATATATAAAAACCCATCAAGCTGTACTCTCAAGATTGTGTATTTCGCCTGCATATAATTTAAACTCTGTAAATGTCTCCCTCCAAAGAGGAATCAGTTTACAGCGAGACTAGGCTGTAGGCAGACTTTTTTTTTTCTTTTTCTTTTTTCAAAGACAGAGTCCCTCTCTGTTGACTGGGCTGGAGTGCAGTGGTGTGATCACAGCTCACTGCAGTCTCATCCTGGGCGCCAGTGATCCTCCCGCCTCAGCCTCCCAAGCAGCTGGGAGTACGGGCACAGGCCACTGTGCCTGGCTAGATTTTAAATATTTTGTAGAGACAGGATCTCCCTTTGTTGCCTGTGTTGGGCTTGAACTCCTGGGCTCAAGCAATCCTCCTGCCTTAGCCTCTCAAAGTGCTGGAATTACAAGCGTGAGGCACCGTGCCTGGTCAGGACTGACTTTTTTTTTTTTAAAACATACATTTACAAACTTAAAACCATCTCCACCTTTTTAAAAAACACCATATTCATGTCTCCTTTGATAAAAATAGAAATTAGATGTTTTAAAAGGTCCACAAGAGTCTGGTGTACAGCCTGGGTTGAGAAGTTCTGACTTCAGAAATGCTTCCTGCAACTGCTTTTTAAAAATAGCTTCTAACCCTTTCTTTCACCAAGGTAAATTCTCATGAGTTTCAACCTCTACTTTAGAGCATACCTTTGCTTTCTACAAGCAGAAGTTTGAAGAGAAGAGCTACACAGTAGGTTGGTCTGCATGGAATTCCTCTACTTCTTCTAGTCTCTTCCCACCAGGCACTGCCAGCTGCTATTGTTTGAAACTGACACTCAACATTACCACCAGCCCCAGCTTATGTAGTGGAGCTTTTGAGGCCGGGCTCTGACTCAGGCTGGCCTAGCGGATCGCAGGCCACAGAAGAGCAGCTCTGGATATTTGGTTTTTCAGTAGGTCAGGCATGGGATGGGGGTCCCCAAACAAGGTCTTTCCCAATTTTCCTGGTAATTCTGATGCTGGTTGGTGGTCCAGAAGCCACATTTTGAGCTACCCTGCCTAAAAGAGTCCATACTGCCAACAGGAAAAAAAAAAAAGTGTATATATTTTCAATCAGATTTACTGAGGCATAATGAAGAAAGTGTATCTATTTTAAGACTGCCTTTTGACAAATGTAGGCACCCATGTAACTACTGCCAATCAAAATATGGAAGATTTCCAACACGCTAGAAAGTTCCCTCTCTGCCATTAATCCTTGGTCCTCCCTGAGGTCCGGCCCCAGGCAAACCTGCTTTCTGTCCCTAGAAACCAGTTTTGCCTGTTCTAGGATTTCACATAGAGAATTGATTGTACAGTATGTGTACTCTTTTGTGTCTCATTCCTTTAGCTCAGCTTTTGATTTATTAGCTCAGCATGTTTTAAAGGTATTCATGTTGCTGCTTGTGTCAGTAATCCCTTCCTTTATAGAGATGTATCACAATTTAACCTTTTTTTTTTTTTTTTTCTGAGACAGGGTCTCACTCTGTCACCCAGGCTGGAGTGCAATGGTGCAATCTCGGCTCACTGCTGCAACCTCCCCCTCCCCGGTTCAAGTGATTCTTCTGCCTCAGCCTCCCAAGTAGCTGGGATTATAGGCACCTGCCACCATGCCTAGCTAATTTTTGTATTTTTAGTAGAGACAGGGTTTCACCATGTTGGCCAGGCTGGTTTCGAACTGCTGACCTCAAGTGATCTGCCTGCCTCGGCCTCCCAAAGTGCTGGGATTAGAGGGGTGAGCCACCACACCTGGCCTGTTTATCTGCTTTCTAATTGATGGATATTTCCGCTCTTATGAATACAGCTGCTATGAATGTTCAAATACAAGTGTTTGATTGGACATAAGTCTTCATTTCCCTTGGGTACGTAGGAGGATTGCTGGGTCATATGGTAAGGATATGCTTATTTGTAAGAAGCTGCCTGTTTTCCAAAATAGCTGTACCATGTTACAACACCACTAGCAAATGAGTTCTGGTTGCTCTACATCTTCATTCATACTTAGGTGCTGTCAGTCTTTTTACTTTTGATCATTCTAGTGGATGTGTAATGGGATCTCATAGTTTTAACTTTTTTTTTTTTGAGATGGAGTTTCGCTCTTGTTGCCCAGGCTGGAGTGCAATGGCTCAATCTCGGCTCACCACAACCTCTGCCTCCCAGATTCAAGTGATTCTCCTGCCTCAGCCTCCCAAGTACCTGGGATTACAGGCATGCACCACCACGCCTGGCTAATTTTGTATTTTTAGTAGAGATGGGGTTTCTCCATGTTGGTCAGGCCAGTCTCGAACTCCCGACCTCAGGTGATCTGCCTGCCTCAGCCTCCCAAAGTGCTGGGATTACAAGCATTAGCCATTGCGCCCGGCAGTTTTAACTTTCATTTCATAATGAGCAATGATGGTGATTCTCCTTTTATGTGCTCAACGGCCATCTGAATATTTTATTTTGTGATTCTGATTCAGAGTGTTTAGAGATCGTATTTTGAGGAACCCTGCCTTAAAAACACCCATATGGGGGGGGTCAGCCCCCCGCCCGGCCAGCCGCCCTGTCTGGGAGGTGAGGGGCGCCTCTGCCCGGCCGCCACCCCGTCTGGGAGGTGTACTCAACAGCTCATTGAGAACGGGCCATGATGACAATGGCAGTTTTGTGGAATAGAAAGGGGGGGGAAGGTGGGGAAAAGATTGAGAAATCGAATGGTTGCCGTGTCTGTGTAGAAAGAGGACATGGGAGACTTTTCATTTTGTTCTGTACTAAGAACAATTCTTCTGCCTTGGGATCCTGTTGATCTGTGACCTTACCCCCAACCCTGTGCTCTCTGAAACATGTGCTGTGTCCACTCAGGGTTGAATGGATTAAGGGTGGTGCAAGATGTGCTTTGTTAAACAGATGCTTGAAGGCAGCATGCTCGTTAAGAGTCATCACCACTCCCTAATCTCAAGTACCCAGGGACACAAACACTGCGGAAGGCCGCAGGGTCCTCTGCCTAGGAAAACCAGAGACCTTTGTTCACTTATCTGCTGACCTTCCCTCCACTATTGTCCTGTGACTCTGCCAAATCCCCCTCTGCGAGAAACACCCAAGAATGATCAATAAAAAAAAAAGAAAAAGAAAAAGAAAAACACCCATATATATGGCCTCCAGAAAAGAACGACTTGAAGTGATGATTTATTTACTTATTTTTTGAGACAGGGTCTTGCTCTGTCACCCAGGCTGGAGTGCAGTGGCAAAATCTCAGCCCACTGCAACCTCCACTTCCAGGATTAAAGCAATTCTCGTGCCTCAGCCTCCAGAGTAGTTGCAATTACAGGTGCGCGCCACCACGTCTGGCTAATTTTTGTATTTTTAGTAGAAATGGAGTTTCACCGTGTTGGCCAGGCTGGTCTTGAACTCCTGAACTCACGTGATCCACTCACCTCAGCCTGGGATTACAGGCGTAAGCCACCACGCCTGGCCTAAAGTGATTATTTAAATGGAAAATCTAAGAGTTCCTCCCCCTAACTTTGTGAAAATTTTCAAAAATACACAAAAGTTGAAAAACCAGTGATCTACTTAGATCTAACAGTGAACAATTTGTTACACCCGCTCTTTATGTGTTTATCAAATTGTTGAACTATTTAAAAGTAAGCTGCAGACATCCAGATGCTTCATCCTTAAATACTTTAGCACTTATCTCCTAAGAATATTCTTCTATGTAATGGCAATTCCACCATTATACCTAATAAAATTAACAATAAATTCATATTCAATCCATATCCTAATTTCTCATTATTCCAGCCTTTTAAACAAAGATCCAATCAGAGTTCAAGCCCTTTTACTGATTATCATCTCTTCAGTCTCCTTTGTGTTTCATTACCTAGTAGATTGTCATATTGATTTCAAGTAAATTAAACTTTCTGAACAAAAATATCAAGAAATCAAAAAATGTAACTGGCCAGGCAGGGTAGCTCATACCTATACTCCCAGCACTTTGGGAAGCCAAGGTGGGAGGATCACTTGAGCTCAGGGGTTTGAGACCAGCCTGGGAAACATAGTGTGATCCCATCTCTGCAAAAAAAAATTTAAAAAATTTTTTAAAAAATTAGCTGAGTGGGAGGGTGGTGGGTGGGGGCAGGGCTATTCAGGAGGCTGAGGCAGGAGGATTACTTGAGTCCAGGAGGTCAAAACTATAGAAAGCCATGTGCACCACTGCACCCCAGCCTGGGCAACATGGTGAGACCCTGTCTGAAAACAAAAAACAAAAAATGGTAACTCCTATATACCATGTTATTTGGATAACTATCGGTTTTTTATCTGTTACAATCAGCTTGAGAGATACCATGAGACTAGAATAAAAGGTGCTGGAAATGGGACAGTACTTGCAGTTATCATCCTGCTTCATTCATTTCAGTCTTTTTTGTAATGGACATTTCTGTTGCTCCCTCCCTTCTTGCCACTCCCAGCTGAATCCTACCTGTCACAATACTTTATGCCAGAAAGAGCCTTTCACTTAGAATCAAAAAGGTGTCGGCTGACTCTGTCCTATTAGTCACTCAGCATGCCTCAGCTTCCTACTCCGAAAAACGGGCATGATGGTGATAGAATATGGTCCCTTCGAGTAACCACAGGATTGCTATACAAATCAAATGAGATCGTGTGAGTTAATTTATGTTGGAAAACATGAGGCACTTCATTCATTCATTCCACATTCATCGGGCATCGTCTATGTAGGTCTCTGTGCCAGGGACAGAGATGTGAGAAAAAGGTTGCGAGAGGTTCTGGGAAAAGTTGCCTTGCTCTTAAGAGACACAAGATGAAATGGTTTCTCTTCATATGGATATAGGGCTCAGATGCTAGTCCAAGATATGGAGCTGGCATGCAACTCAATCACACGAGCTGCTAAGGTCCCTTCAGAGTTTAAGCCCATTTGAATGTATTTTCTTTTACAGGTAGCCAACAGCATCCAGAGACAGGTGTGAACAGCATTTGAGACTTGAAGAATCAGTCTCCCAAAGGAGCATCAGAGCAGATTTTGATGCTGGCACCAGCCTTTGACTTCTGCTTGGCTGGCCCCATCTCTTAGATCCCTGCTTGACTGACAGCCCAATTCTGTGAGTCTCAAAGCCTTGCTTCAGCCAATGCTGGCCATTAGCTTGTTCTGATCCCCAGATATGCCTGCAGACCCCAAACCTCTAACACCCTAATGTTTCTGCTGCTACCTGGAGAACATGCCAGTGTGCTGCCTGCTGACCCTAGAGCCCCCAAGGCCCCACTCATGCATGGCCCCAGTACTACTCTGCTGACAGACCCCTGCCTGCTCTCCCCTACTCGGCCTCTGCCCAGGGAAACCCTGTTCTCTCAGCTCTCTAACCTTTCCTAACTCCCCTGAGGGAGAAAATGCTTTTTCAAATAACAGGCAGTACAAAGAAAAATACTGAGAAAGGGCAACTTCATATTGCCTTATTTATATCCCAGGAAATTTTAATTATCAACAGTCAAGATATAATAAAATCGTGATGTAGGCTGGGCGCAGTGGCATACACCTGTAGTCCCAGCACTCTAGGAGGCTGATGCAGGCAGATCGCTGGGGCTCAGGAGTTGGAGATCAGCTTTGCCAACACAATGAAACCCTGTCTCTACTAAAACTAGTCAGGCATGGTGGTACACACCTGTCGTCCCAGCTACTCAGGGGCCTGAGGTGAAAAGATCGCCTGAGCCCAGGATGTTGAGGCTGTAGTGAGCCGAGATTGCGCCACTGCACGCCAGCCTGGGCAACACAGTGAGACCCTGTCTTAAAAAAAAAAAAAAAAAAAAAAGAAAGAAAAACAAAAAACAAACCCCATAGCATTTATTTGAAAAAACTTAAAGGTAGATAACCATTACCTAAAAACCATTTTTGAAAGAAAATCATTATTACATCAAATAGCTTCTGCTTTTTCAGATACAAAACAGACAAGAATGTGTTTCAAACTATTTAAGTCAGTACAGCATGTGGTAGTGAACTAATTCTGGACGTTCCTGGCTGTGCTTGCTGGTCTTGCGTTGGCGGCAGGCACTCAACTAGCCCAGGGCAGCAGCTAATTTACCACTTGAAGGGACATGTTTCAATGGTTTCACAAGTGGGATAGCCGTAAAAGCTGAACATCCACATTAGGCATGTGGGTTTTTTTTTAAAAATATGTAATATTTACTTAGATTTTTAAAGCTAAAAAATCCATAAATGGGCTGGATGTGGTGGCTCATGTCTGTAATCTCAGCACCTTGGGAGGCTGAGGTGGGAGAATTGCTTGAGCCCAGGAGTTGTAGACCAGCCTGGGCAATAAAGCAAGACTCCATCTCTACAATTTTTTTTTTTTTTTTTTTTTTTTGAGATGGGAGTTTTACTCTTGTCGCCCAGGCTGGGGTGCAGTGGCACCATCTCGGCTCACTGCAACCCCTCCAGGGTTCAAGTGATTCTCCTGCCTCAGTCTCTGGAGTAGCTGGGATTACAGGCATGTGCCACCATGCCCGGTAATTTTGTTTTGTTTTTTGAGATGAAGTCTCACACTGTTGCCCAGACTGGAGTGCGATCTCGGCTCACTGCAGCCTCTGCCTCCCGGGTTCAAACGATTCTCGTGCCTTAAGCCTCCCGAATAGCTGAGACTACAGGTGTGTGCTACCATACCTGGCTAATTTTTTTTTTTTTTCAGTAGAGATGGGGTTTCACCATGTTGGCCAGGCTGGTCTTGAACTCCTGACCTCAAGTGATCTGCCTGCCTCGGCCTCCCAAAATGCTGAGATTACAGGCATGAGTCACCATATCCGGCCTCTACACATTTTTTTTTTTTAATTAGCTGGGCATGGTGGTACGTGCCTATAATCCCAGCTCCTTGGGAGGGTGAAGTGGGAAGATCACTTGTGCCCAGGACATTGAGGTTGCAGTGAGCTAAGATCATGCCACTGTGCTCTAGCTTGGTGACACAGGAAGACCTTACATTAAAAAAAAAAAAAAAAAAAAAAAAAAAACCTATGAACATTTAACAATTATAATCAGCATTTATTCGGAAAAACTTAAATGATGTACATAATCATTACCTAAAAACCATTTTGAAAGAATTTACGACATCAAATGGCAAAAGTGTTTGTGGAAATTGTAATGCATACTGGGCGATGGCTCAAAAGGCCAATGTTGAAAGCTATCACTAAAAATAGATGCTTAAAATGTAACATGGAGGGGAAAGAGGGAACTTGGAAAAGATAAAGGTATATTGGTTTTAGGTCTAATAATCACAGGTAAGAAAGTCTTTGTTTAAAAAACAAGCCTGGGCCGGGCGCGGTGGCTCACGCCTGTAATCCCAGCACTTTGGGAGGCCGAGGCGGGTGGATCATGAGGTCAGGAGATCGAGACCATCCTGGCTAACAAGGTGAAACCCCGTCTCTACTAAAAAAAAATACAAAAAATTAGCCGGGCGCGGTGGCGGGCGCCTGTAGTCCCAGCTACTCGGGAGGCTGAGGCAGGAGAATGGCGTGAACCCGGGAAGCGGAGCTTGCAGTGAGCCGAGATTGCGCCACTGCAGTCCGCAGTCCGGCCTGGGCGACAGAGCGAGACTCCGTCTCAAAAAAAAAAAAAACAAAAAAAAAAACAAAAAAAAAACAAAAAACAAAAAAAAAAAAAAAAAAAACAAGCCTGGCAGGGGTAGGGCAGGGAGGGGTTGCTCATGCCTTATACTCCCAGCACTTTGGGAGGCCGAGGCGGGCCTATCACCTGAGGCCAGCAGTTCAAGACCAGCCTGGGCAACACGGCGAAACCCCGTCTCTACTAAAAATACAAAAATTAGCCGGACGTGGTGGTGCACGTCTATAATCCCAGCTACTCGGGAGGCTGAGGCAGAAGAATTGCTTGAACCCAGGAGGCGGAAGTTGCAGTGAGCTGAGATTGCACCATTGCACTCCAGCCTGGGCAACAAGAGTGAAACTCCGTCTCAAAAAAATAAAAAACATACCTATTTAAGGAGGCTTTTTTCCTTAGTTTTAGTTGGTGTTGATAAGCTCAGCAAAGGAGCTTTAGGGTAATACTTGATGACAGCAAAATGAAGGAAACCTTACTGAAGGTAAAAACTTAGCAAAACACTCCCCAGAGGGACAAAAGTTTTTTGCAAATACAATATACTTACTTATGCTTTCTACCAGTCACCAACACAGAAAGACCAAAAATTGTGTATGAGAAAGTGATATTAAGATTTGAGATTTTATTCTAATTCAGTGGCATCAATCATGTAAAGAGCCATGCGGTTGAAGTGGTCCGCTGTGGCACGCAGCCCCACAGTGATGGTGCGCTTTATGCCCTGTTCATGTTGGGGCAGCCTATACCATCTAGAAACCACAGCTGCAGTAACCATTGATATATAGACCTGTGTTACTTCTACAAGTGTTCCATTCCAACTGTACATATGCTTTAGAGTTCAAAATCTAAGTCCAGATATACTATTATAATGGGCCAGGTCCCAGACATTCTTCCTCACACCAACCAGCTAGTCCTTTTGATCTTACTCCGAACCCCAATGTACGAAATCTGAAGTGCTTGTAAGGATTTAGAACAGCACAGACTACCCGGAACAAAGGAGATACAAAACATTTCTTAGCAACCAAAAATAAAAGGGAAATGGGCCACTGAGGCAGATGGGTCTCTCAGATTAAATGCCATATAAATTGCATGTGTGGAACCAAATACAGCAGAAAACCCTCAGTTAATGAGGCATAGCTTGGTAAATTGGGAACTTGATGAGGGTTTTTAACGTAATCTGGTATCACTTAGAATGGCCTTAGTTTCCCATTCTCTCAGCACCTTCACAGAGGCCCACATGCCTCTGACATCAAATCTGTCAAACTTGGGGACAAAGGACATTAACAGTTCTTGAAAGGTGACCTTAGTTAATGATACCCACAGATACTAATTTCATTACTTAAGGAATCTGTGTTCCTCAGAATTTCCAGAATCACAAGTGATACCTGCCAATTACAGTTTAAGTTACTAACGGATATACAACTCTTCAAGGCAGAAACTTAAGTCTCATTATGTTGGTTACATATACTGTTTTTATTTGGGTTTGTTGAATGAGAATAAAAACACCCCAGTTTCTTCTGCAGGTCGAGCCCTTCTCTATAACGGTCATTACAAACAACCCTGAAGTGGCTGGAATATAGTCAGCAAGGGGCCCACATGAACAGCTCATCTGGAATCTTTGCAAGTACGTATTTATGTCCTTTGGTGCCTTGCACAGTAAGGCACTGTTAATGACGTAACAGAATAGAGGAAATGCCCACAGCAAATAGTTCTAGTGACAATTTACTAGACAAGTTACAGTTTAATAATGGTGGTGGTGATTGTTTCTTTCATTTTATTATTATTATTTTTTTACAATAAGGGTGTAGCCTTTATACTCCACACACACAAAATAAAACAAGTGCTTATTACGAAAAGAGTCCCTGCCCCCACCCCCTAGAACATCCTGAACATAGCAATTCAACAGAACAGAAAAATCAAGACGTTTGATTTCAAAATTTCAATAAAAAAGCAAAAGTATGTAATGCAACAGCTGTTCAACTTCCAACTCTAAATAGGCACCATTAAACAAAAAACCCCAGTATTTTAAATTTCTCCAGCACACATTCCAGGATCAATGCTCTGAACTGTAATCAGCTAGTAATTCATAACGGGAATACAGCCTTAGAATGGAAGCTATATTGCTTCCCTGCCCCCTTTCTCTTACAATTGGAGAGTGTAGGTATTAAGGGATACAAAGTCAGAGGAAGAATAATTAAAAAGAAAAATGCCCAAAGCTGCAGCTGTTTGGACTAGGAAGACAGCATTTTACAAACGTTCAAAAAATCCCAAGGCAAGTAACACAATTTGTTCACTAGCACTCTTACTTGAAAGAATAAAGAGATCAGCATCTTATTATATAAAACTGTACTTTCAGAACTGTATTACAGGTTCACCAGAAACTATGGATGTAGTTTTAGGCATCATCAAGGAAAACAGGTTCAGTTCAGATCAAGTTAGATACTGTACATCTAGCCTAGCTGGATCTGGTGTCTGGATCTGCTCACTGTCACCCTGAACAGCTGTGAACTAAACAATAGTACGTAACTCCGTAGGAAGCTTAAGGACTGAAGAAATGTACACAGCTAGTTAGATCTCCCCTGCTTCGCGCTCTTCAGAGCTCCTCCTGTCTTCTGATCTGCCATTAGCACTCTCATAGGACCGCTTCTTATCTTTCCGATCTCTGTCACGAGGTGATCTGTCTCTTGAACTCCTGTCTCTGTCACATGATGCTAAGTCTTGGTCTCTGAATCTTTCTTTTGAGGATCTGAAAAATATTAATTTGAGGAGCAAAATATGTTGGGAAACCCAAAAACCCAAATTAAAGAATAGGATAAATATTAAGCTCTTGATAGCTGAAGATATATAGACGAATATACCCATGACAGAGGAGTCAGTTTTCTGACAAATTACAGAGCACTACCATAGTTGATAAGGGCATTAAAACAAGAAGATGGGTGAAAAACAAATAGCAGAGGGTCAGAAGGCTAAAATAATTTCTTACAGGCTACTCTCATCTCAGAGACAACACAGAGTTTCTCCAATTCATAAAAGGTATTTTAATATAAAAAATAATACATAGATAACAGCTTTAAAAAGTGAAAGAAATGTATTATCTAAATTTTAAATGGCTTAGAATAGGGGCCAGATGGTGACTATCTGGGGTACTGCAGGTCCATGCAATCTTTGTGGCAGTTCTTTTCTTTTTAGAATGTAAAAACCATCCATAGCTTGCTGGTTGTACAGGCTACCGGCCAGATTTGGCCTATCGGCAACAGTTTGCCAACACCTGACTTAGATAAGAGAACTACTCAATTATTAATATGAATTTAAATAACCACTTCTAAAAATCTACTCATACTGAGTTAGCTTATTCAACCAACAAGGGGAAATAAAAAAAGACAAAGATGCTCACACTAATAAATCTTGATTAGCCATAACTGTTTACTACCTTCTCCATTCCCATACCCAACTTCATTATAAGAAAGGTAAATAATAAATCAATCGGAAAACCAAACATATTATGGAATCAGAATAAACATGGAATCTTCCATACTTCCAACATCTAAAATTCAACAAATTACATTTATTTGGTTCTTTACAGGTGACACAGCACTTTTACATAATTATCTCACTCAACCCATATTCAAAATTAGGATCTGAGGCACTACCAAGAACCTGAATAAGTAATACTTTCAGGAAAATAAAAAATATGACTGTTCAGTTTTAGAAATATAGTTAAGGAGGGTTAAACAAAAAATGGTTCTAAAATAATGTCCACTTTGAACATTCTACTTAATGTTTTAATAAACTTAAAATGATATAAAAAGACTGGGCACGGT
Organism: Homo sapiens; assembly: GCF_000001405.40. Classification (NCBI taxonomy): domain Eukaryota; kingdom Metazoa; phylum Chordata; class Mammalia; order Primates; family Hominidae; genus Homo; species Homo sapiens. Next base: position 139,421,087 of record NC_000007.14, on the reverse strand, counting down.
GACTCACGCCTGTAATCCCAGCACTTTGGGAGGCCAAGGCAGGCAGATCACTTGAGGTCAGGAGTTCAAGACCAGCCTAGCCAACATAGTGAAACCCCCGTCTCTACTTAAAATACAAAAAATTAGCTGAGAGTGGTGGCGTGTGCCTGTAGTCCCAGCTACTCGGGAGGCTGAGGCAGGAGAATCACTTGAACCTGGGAGGCGGAGGCTGCAGTGAGCCCAGATCGCATTACTGCACTCCAGCCTGGGTGACAGAGCAAGACTCCATCTCAACAACAACAAAAAATCACAGTGCCAAGTCTAGTGATTCCACGTCTACACTAGTCCTATCCATAGCCTTTGTTGGAATAAAATATGAAAAGAGATGGTAAAAATGATACCTAAAAAGACACTAGATGCCAAACAGTCCCAGTGATCAGTAATAACTAAAAAACTATGAGTATCAACTACTATGTCCCACACATAGTGGTTTCCATATACTATTTTACTCAAACTACCAATAATCTTAACAAAGCAGGTATTCTTACTTTCTCCACTTAGTAGATGGGGAAAGACAGGTGAGATAGTTATAAATTACTTAGCCAAGGTGGGACGTGGTGGCTCATGCCTGTAATCCCAGCATTTTGGGAGGCCAAGGCAGGTGGATCACCTGAGGTCGGGAGTTTGAGACCAGCCCGGCCAACATGGCGTAACCCTGTCCCTACTAAAAATACAAAAATAGCCAGGTGTGGTGGCCTGGGCCTGTAATCCCAGCTACTTGGGAGGCCGAGGCAAAAGAATCGCTTGAACCCGCAAGGCAGAGGTTGCAACGAGCCGAGATCGCGCCACTGCCCTCCAGCCTGGGTGACAGAACGAGACTCTCGTCTCAAAAAAAAAAATAAATTACTTAGCCTAAACCAATGAACCCAAGTAATCTGACTTTGGAGTCTGCACTAAACATGTTTGAACAGAGCAAAAAGATAGATAGATGCAAATGGTCCTCATTTACGCAGGGCACTATTGCCAGGAAGAGGTCACAAAGAATCTACTTGTATCAGAGACAAGTATTTCACAGTAGGGAAAGGAGAACAGCAAAACATAAAAGGCTTTCAATAAGAACTTTTACCTTGAAAAATTAAACCCAAATATGTAGCAATAACTTGATGTTGTATGAAATACCAAGTAGGTTTTAACAGCAATTATCTGGTAATTTTTAGTATAAAACAAAGAATGATGCTTTAAAAGAGAATAATTTGAATTCAAAGATGAGAAAGTGCTCGAGAAAAGCAAAACTTTTAATAGTTTTACAAAAATAATCCTCTTTATGAACATGCTGACATCTTAGATATGATCATGTATCATGTATGGTGGAAAAATTCCTATACAACTTCATCAACGCAGGAAGCATCAGGGACTAAAATAACACAATCTCAGATTAGGGGACTTCACGCCCATCCTTCCCATACCCATCACCAATAAAGACATTTAGGAGTTCAGCAACAACAATGACAGTTGGGCAGATTTGACACAGGAAAATGTCTAAACCTTCCATCACCTAGCAGGATAATTCTGAAAATTCATTGTGCAGATAAGACAGGTAACTTTTAAAAAATGCTTATTTCTGAACACTGCACTGAGGGTAGACCCCCAAAATCAGTTTCAAGAGTGTGAGATAAGAGGCCTACAAATCACTCTGTCCTTTACAAACTCCCTCCTCATTCTCTGCATTTGCCTAGGATATTCACTCTATATGGAATATCTTTTTCCTAGCTGATTCTACCTGTTCAAATTTTACCGACTACCTGAAGCCATTTTTGATTACTCTGTTATTTGCCTCATCTAAACTCTCGGATCATTTATTCTATGATATGCAGTTTAGCACTTTATAACATGTGGTAGTCTTATGCCAGTCTAATTATTGTCAAAGATGTCAATCCTTTGTTCTAACTCACATAGGAGACTTTTTGTTTTTTTTTTTGTTTGTTTTTTTTTGTTTTGAGAGCTGGAGTCTCGCTCTGTCACCCAGGCTGGAGTGCAGTGGTGCGATCTTGGCTCACTGCAACCTCCACCTTTGTGTTCAAGCAATTCTCCTTCCTCAGCCTCCTGAGTAGCTGGGATTACAGGCATGTGCCACCATGCCCGGCTAATGTTTGTATTTTAGTAGAGATGGGGTTGGTTGGCCAGGCTGGTCTTGAACTCCTGATCTCAAGTGATACGCCCATCTCGGTCTCCCAAAGTGCTGGGATTATAAGCGTGAGCCATGGCACCCAGCCTCACATAGGAAACTTCTTAGAGCAACTTAAAGTTGTTCAACTATGTTATACGTCTTTCTTATGTTTTACTAAGTCTAGTACAGTAAAACATATACAATTAATTATTATTAAAATCACCTTAAGAAATACTAAAAACAAGGCCAGAATATAAGAAATAAAATATTGAGAGCCTATTAACAAACTCAGCTTGTGAGTGATTTCAGGGAATGGAAAGTTGAGTCAAAAAAAAATAGGAAAGATTTTAACAGCTTTCTGTGGATTTTATTATAGATTTTATGTGGAGTAATCCACAGAATATGTAAGACTAGTAGGTACTAGGCACTCAAAAAATGTTTATCATACATATACTTCTGAATAGTTGTCAAGAAAAAAGCAATTTTAAACATGGCTTACGTTACACAGAAATTACCTGGTTTAAGGGCCATCATGTGACCTGAGAAGTTTTGACAGTTTGATCTATACAGACTATGAATGCTAAACTCTTCTACCACATTATAATCCTTTGTCTATCCTTAATAGATATTCAAGTCCTCAAACATACCTTACCCTATGCCTGCACCTTTTGAATGTTCTCATTAAACCAAGGGAAGTCTTGGAACCTCCTTATTAGTCTGCCTTGCCAAGCTGAAGGTATGTAACAATACATATCTATAGTGCAGATAAAACAAGAATATACTAGAATGTGTCTGCTCTGAAAAAGCATCCCAGCTCAAATAAGTTTAGAAAACAATAAATCAAAGCTAAACAACTCTTGTAATGAAAGGACTTCTCAGAGCCCCTAATTTGCTGATCCATACTAAGGGTATTGGTATTTAAAATTATTTACCTGTAAAGAACTTTTTTCCAAGACACACTAAGCAGAGAAAAGCAATAACCTCTACACATATTGGTTCCAATTTCTTGCTCTGGCTCATAAGTATATTCTTTCAAAACTACCCATATAATCACAGAAAAATGTTGTACACCCACACATAAATGTGTACATATTACCAGATGCAAAAGTTTCAAACCAATAATCTGAACTCTAAACATAAGTAACATAAGTAAACATAAACAACTCTAAAACATTAAGGTAGCTCCATATCCTCTGATTGACACATCAATACCTCCTCTTGGATCGTTCTCTGCTCCTATCTCTAGAACTGTGCCGACTTCTCTGGTGGCTACGGCTGCGGCTACGGCTGCTGGAGCGGGACCTGTGGCGATGGCGTTTCTCCCGAGATTTGGATCGAGTTCTCCTCTTGCGTTCACGTGACATGGAGCGAGATCGATGTCTGCGATGCTCTCTGGACCTGGATCTACCAGACAAGATTTGATTTTGTTTCTACCTTTGTAATTACTATATTTCTCATTTATTAAAGCCTTTTCTTTAAAGAGAAACTTTTTTTCAGTAGTCTTAATGTCAATTATATTCCAAGTCAGCTAAATCTACACTGAATTGCTGGTGTGTTAATAACTACATACTAGAATTCAAAATAAAACATTAATAATTCTCAGCCAGGCGCCGTGGCTCACACCTGTAATCCCAACACTTTGGGAGTCTGAGGCAGGAGGATCGCTTGAGCTCAGGATTTCAAGACCAGCCTAGGCAACATGGCGAAACTCTGTCTCTATAAAACATACAAAAATTAGCTGGACACAGAGGCACATGCCTGTAGTCCCAGCTACTCAGGAAGCTGAGGTGAGAGAATCTCTTGAGCCAGGGAGGTCAAGGCTGCTGCAATGACCTGGTGATCACATCGCTGCAGTCCAGCCTGGGCAAAAGAGTGAAATTCTGTCTCAAAAACAAGACACTGATTGATAATTCTCAGAGAGCAATCAGTAATGTATAAATTTATTATCAGAAATAGTTTTTCAAGTGAAAGCAACTTTTGAACCACTACTATATGCCAGGGGCTATATTATCTAGATTTGTTATGAATTTAATTGCACTTAAATATCTTGAACATTTTTGTATCCTCTAGAAATTAAATATGTACCTGACAGACCTGGACAGAAGGGAAGAGAAGAGATGAGGAAGAATACGTCAGGACAAATTACTCTTTGTCTGAATTAGAAAGGTGAGATAACCATAGAAGTAAGTTTTTAATGCCCACAATATGCATGTCTAGTCACAGTGTAATCAAAACAGAGTAAGGGCCAGGGGTAGTAGCTCACGCCTTTAATCCCAGCACTTTGGGAGGCTAAGGAAGGATGATCACCCAAGCCCAGGAAGTCAAGGCTACAGGGAGCTGTGTTCACACCACTGCATTCCAGCCTGGGCAATAGAGAGCAAGACAAAACAAACACAGTAAGACAGTTCTCTATTCAAGGAGCAAACAGTTTGGGAGAAAGAACACTTGCGAAAATCATTTTTGAGAACTTGACTCAGATTGCAAAAAAAATGTATTTCTAATGAATACACAGAAATAGAGAACGAAAAACATTCTGAAAAACCAGAAAATATACGATCAAGGTGCTGGCAAAATAAAGACATTTTTTGAAAAGAAAAAAACCCACAAGGTAAGACACTTTTATAGCCTCCACCAGGTCACAAACTAACTTGTGGGGTGGGTGGGGGTGCATGGTGAGGGTGGAAATGGCATGGAGAGGACATAAACGTTTGACAGAAAACAAGGGGAAACAAAGGAATGCAACTTTGTTAGAAGAGTCACTTTAAGAATGATGGAAATGTTCTCAACTGGATTATGGTGATAGTTGCACAGCTTTAAATCTGCTAAAAAATCACTGACTTCAGAGTAAATCATATATATATATATATATATATATATATATATATATATATATATATATATTTTATACCTCAATAAAACTCTTAAATTTAAGTCACTTTAAGAATGTGAGGTTTGCTCATAATTTGATACAGCAAGTTCAAAATCATATTATACATATGAGATAGTTTACAAATACAGTTTATCTTCAACTGATTGTTATGAACGATGCTAAAAGGCATTCAGCTTATGTCAACATTATAGTCAAAGAAAGGTACATGACATGGACGTAGCTTTAGCCACACTTAAAAAGAGTATTTCTGGCTGGGCACAATAGCTTGTGTCTGTAATCCCAGCACTTGGGGAGGCCACAATGGGAGGACTGCTTAATCCTTAAACGGGAGGAGTTCAAGACCAGCCTGAGCAACATAGGGAGACCCCGTATCTACAATAAATTTTTAAAAATTAGCTGGACATGGTGGCACACGCCTGTGGTCCCAGCTACTCAGGACAGAGTGAGACCCTGTCTCAAAAAAAAAAAAAAAAAAAAAGCGTTATTTCCACAGCTGAAAAGAGTAATTCCAAAAGGAAGCAGAGGGAAAAAATATAAAACTCTCAGTGTAAGTTTTATCAAATCATACTTCGTTTAACCACTCATTTTGAGTTATTATGAATGCCATTTCTTCCAATGTATAACTTTATTCATCTTTTTAAAAATTCTAGGTAATTTTTTCATCCAAAAAATATTCACTAGGTATTTTTGCACTGTTCTATACTAGGGGAGGTTGAGTAGCAAGTAAAACAAAGTTCCTGCACTAAACTTAGTGCTTATACTATAGAAAGGGATCTATACAGGTTTGTAGGCAGTAAATAAAGATATGTCAGGTGGTTAAGAAAAAAAAAAAAGATCTATTGCTGGACATGGTGACTCATGCCTGTAATCCCAACACTTTGGAAGGCTGAGGCAGGCGGATCACTTGAGGTCAGGAGTTCAAGACCAGCCTGGCCAACATGGTGAAACCCCTACTCTACTAAAAATACAAAAAAAAAAAAAAAAAAAAAAAAAAAAACTTAGCAGGGCATGGTGGCACGTGCCTATAATCCTAGCTACTAGGGAGCCTAAGGTAGAAGAATCACTTGAACCTGGGAGGCGGAGGTTGCAGTGAGCTGGCATTTTGCCACTGCACTCCAGCCTGGGCAACAGAGCAAGACTCCGTCTCAAAAAAAAATTAAAAGATGTTATTACGTAGAGTGGAAAAAGAGAAAAGAGTGGAAATATTTATACGGAATAAGCAGGGAAGGCTTTTCTGATAGGTTGGCACTGAAGCAAAGCTGAAAGAAGAAAGGGAACAAGTGAATCAGTCATCTCAGAGAGGAGTGCTTCAGGCTGAGGGAACACAGATGCAAAGTCCCTGAGGTGGGAAAAAGCTCAGCATGTTGAAGGAAAAGACCAGTGTGGCTGGAATGAAGTGAGCAAAAGGAAGTAATATCAGGGTCTTACAGGCAGGATGACCAGGTACTTTATCATTCAAACTAGAAGGCTCTGAATAAGTTACTGAATGTAATGAGAAGCTATTAATACATATTCTGGGATAAAAGACATAAACCAGAACTATCCCAGGGCAGTTTGGGCTATGCCAAGCTTGTCCAACCTGCGGCCTCCAAGCCGCATGCTGCCCAGGATGGCTTTGAATACAGCCCAACACAAATTTGTAAACTTTCTTAAAATATTATGAGATTTCTTTGCAATTTTTTTTCCAGCTCATCAGTTATCATTAGTGTATCTGATGTGTGGCCCAGGTAAGCCAAAAGATTGGACACCCCAGGCCACACCGTCACCCTATGTAAAAGCTTTGGTAAAGATGTTAACTTCTCATATGAATGAGATGAAAAACCTTTGGAGAATCAGAGGGCTGATGTGATGTATTTCATTTATTTAAAGGCTCATCCTGGCTGACGTGTGAAAAATAGAATGAGGTGAAGAAGGGGGGTGGGCAAGCACAGAGAACTAAGGAGCCCAGTTACAAGGCAAACATATTATCTAGGTAACAGGACTAGAGGAATAGAAATTAAATTTCTGGCCCAAATATCTAAAGATGTTCTATGTGCAATACTTTATGTTTTCAACAAAGGGACCAGCTTATATTAATCAAACAGTAAACAATAACAGTATCACAGTTTAATGTTTCTACTTATCATGCTAGATCAGAGAAATTCACCAATAATATAAATTAGCTGACACAACTGGCCCCACTTATTAATGTTCTTTAGTTTTTTTAGTGTTTTAGGCAGAAATATCATTGATAGATGTTGCTAACAGAACTGTAAGGTTTTTGTTTTTCTTTTTTTGAGACAGTCTTACTCTGTCACCCAAGCTGGAATGCAGTGGCACAATCTCGGCTTACTGTAACCTCCACCTCCTGGGTTCAAGTGATTCTCCTGCCTCAGCCTCTCAAGTAGCTGGGATTACAGGCACCTGCCACCACACCCGGCTAATTTTTGTGTTTTTAGTAGAGATGGAGTTTCGCCATGTTGGCCAGGCTGGTCTCGAACTCCTGACTTCAGGTGATCTGGCTGCCTCGGCCTCCCAAAGAGCTGTGATGGTATAAGCGTGAGGCACTGCGCTCAGCCAGGTTTTTCTTTCATAACAACAAATTCTCTACTTTTTAGGGAAAACTTCTTGGGAAATAGTCTCTAGAGCTGAGAACTCAGAAAGTTTCTAAAAGAAGATGTGATCTGAACAAGAGGAATGGTAGAATTTGGAAAAGACTGAGAAAGGGCATTCTAGGTGGGAATGGATCCATGAAGAAAGCTCAACGACTGGAATGAGAAGGGCAAGTGAAGAACTGAGAAAGAATGATGAAGTACAACACATTTCCCTGCCTTTCTCAGACAAAAAAATGTATCAGCAACTAGCAAAAACTACAAAGAAAGGTTTCAAACCCCAAATATTAACGCTGAAAGTCAAAACAAAGTATTGTCTTGCTCTTTTAAGGCTGCAAATGCCTCTCTGAAAGCCTTCTGTGATCACTGTATAAAGGAATGGGTAATAAACTCACATAAAGTCAAGACTGGAGGGTATACTAAACATTTTGGTTTTGCTTAACCCACAGTGGATCAATCAAAATTTTATCCAACTATTAACCTACTAATGTTTTCAACAGCTACAACCTCTTAGAACATGTTTCCTAAATGTACCACCCAAATTGATTTTTAAAAAATTAATCCTTTTACGTATCTACTCTGAGCATCTAAATGATTTCAAAAAAAATTTTCTTTTTTTTTTTTTTTTTTTTTTTAAAGACAGAGTCCTATTCTGTTGCCCAGGCTGGAGTGCAGTGGTGCTATCTTGGCTCACTGCAACCTCTGCCTCCCGGCTTCAAGCAATTCTGCCTCAGCCTCTTGAGTAGCTGGGATTACAAGCATGCATCACCGTGCCCAGCCAAAAAAGAAAATTTTTAAAGGACCATTTAATCAATCTATAAAAACTACCTTTGAAAAAGACAACTTCACTACTTATACCTGTCTTATGTAATACACCTACCTTTTTGGATTCTTGCTGTGTGATCGGGACCTAAAAAAAAAAAATATGTATTTTTAGAAAAGTGGCTATAAATAAGAAAACAGTGCAGTGTTACATTATATTCTTCCTGATTTCTAATGTTTACATTAATTTTATAAATACAAGGCGTGTACCTACGCACACAAAATTTTCCAAAAGACACCACAAACTCGACAGATTTCTTCACCTTGCAGGGTTTGCTTAACTCAAGAATACCTGGCTCTTAAAGAATATGTTCCTAGGAGATTAAAACACAGTACAGGTTGAGTACTCCTTCTCCGAAACGCTAAGGATCATAAGTGTTTCGGATTTTTTCTGTTTTTTGTTTTTGTTTTTTTTTTTTTTAATTTTTACATTTTTTGTTGCCTAGGGTGGTCTTGAACTCCTGGATGCAAATGATCCAACCACCTTGGCCTTCCGAAGTGCTGGGATTACAGGTGGCCGATTTTTTTCAAAATTTGAAGTGTCTGCATTATAATTTACTGGTTCAGCATCCCTAAATCCAGAAACCAAAATCTGAAATGCCCTAATAAGCATCTCCTTTAAATGCTGCCAGCACTCAAGAAGTTTCAGATTTTGAAGCTCACTGGATTTCATTTTTTGGATTTGGGATGCTCAACCTACATATCACAACTTGCTAATTTTCCAGAAACCACTTACCAGCTTGGAAAAAATTCTTTTATATCTGTCATTTCTTTTTTCCCTTCTGGGAAAAGAGTGAAATTTCTATGGTCTGAGATCTACATACTCTTGGAGCTACAACCTCATACTATAATCTCTAGAACACCTAGTTCAATCTTACAATGTGTTTCTTCAAATGAAATGAGATACTCTACTTAAGGCACTTGTCACATTTCCTAGCACACAGGTAACGCTCAATGAAATGTAAAGTGAATATTATGGCTAGTAGGACACCACAGGGATTATTATTTTTTTTTGGATGATATATAGCATTGTTGAAAGCATGACTTTGAGATCAGCCAGATTTGAGTTTTATTTCTGGTTCTACCATTCACTGTCTGTGTGACCTAAGTAAGTTACATATCCTCTCTCAGCTTACTCTGTCACTAGCAAAAGAGGGATACTAATATAAATTTTACTGGGGTGGAGTGGGGGTGGGGTTTATAAAGATTAGATGAATATGGATAAATTCCTTACTACAGTGTCTGGCATACAATAAGCACCCAGTAAATGATTATGATTTTTTTCTTTTATCCCATCTTATATAATTTTATACTAGTTTCTAATTTCCTCATCTTCCATACTTCCATATTTCTTTAAGCTCACAGATTCAACGACTTTTTTTTAATGTTTCTGAAATTTGCATTATATAATCACTGTCAAAAGAAACTTGCCATTTGGCAAACAAAGGAGTAAGATGTGATATACTTTTTCATCATCTACAAATGTGAAAATGTAGTCCTGCAAAGAAATTCTGTTCCATGTTACTGTCACCTCAATTGAATCTTAAAATGAGATTCCCAATATTACTGAAAATTCCACTTATATATTAGAATACTGGGCAATATTCCCATAAGGACTTACTATACACAAAAGAACAAGTAGATAAAAGCTCTGAGGTAAACTTTACAGTAAATGAAGAAATCTCTCTCTCTCAATAGAGGACTGACATCACTTCTCCTAAAAAGGGACCATATAGACATGTAGTTTTGTTTCACTGTCTTTATGGTGCAAAAAGATTACCTGGTTATAAGCCATGTGACACAAACGAAGTCTGTTTAAACTTCTTGAAATATACTGAGTATATAATATGCTCAAAGATCGAAGGAAGTGAGCATAACCTAATACTACAAAGGGTTTTAATTAGCTTAAGCACATCTGCTAACTCTAAAGAGAAGGTATTTAAATTTAAGACATTTAAATGTAGTATGATTCAAGGAACACTATAAATTAGGACTACAGGCAAATCATTTGTGATATAACTGTCCATCCTAAAGCTGCTGAAGTTAAAAAGATGAGTTACAAAAAAATGTTGCCACCATGATGCTATGTGATTTTAGCTGCCAATGGTAAAAGTGACTCAGAAGAATGTTTAGACATTCCAAATACTAGAATTCTAAGATTTTATCAATTAATGAATACCAATGTAAGAGGAATTATATACATTTAGATATTTTTAGACTTTTTAATAGTTTATGGCTCCTAGAATTGAGGAACTAACCAAAGTTCAATGTAAAAAAAACCCTTCAATGAAACAACCACCCTTAAACCTTTTGTTAACAAAATACATCATAAAAAAAAAATAATAATTCTATGCTAACCTGGTGCAAATCTAGCCCAATATGAAAAATCAAAGGGCTAGAAAAGGATTTTGTTATAAATCTTTTTTTTTTTTTGAGACAGAGTCTCGCTGTCGCCCAGGCTGGAGTGCAGTGGCCCGATCTCAGCTCACTGCAGGCTCTGCCCCCCCAGGTTCACGCCATTCTCCTGCCTCAGCCTCCCGCGCAGCTGGGACTACAGGCGCCCGCCACCTCGCCCAGCTAATTTTTTGTATTTTTAGTAGAGTCGGGGTTTCACCGTGTTAGCCAGGATGGTCTCGATCTCCTGACCTCGTGATCCACCCGCCTCGGCCTCCCAAAGTGCTGGAATTACAGGCGTGAGCCACCATGCCCGGCTGGATTTTGTTATAAATCTTACAAGATACGAAGCATTCTTTATTCACTCTTCCACACATTTTAAAGGAAATCACATTCCGTTAAATGGCCAAGAGTTACGATACTTGTATAATTAAACATTTATATAATTCGCACAGTAATATTTTTTAAAGTAAGCAGAAGTTTCCCACGTCCCATAACAGATTTATCACCATCTAAAATTTAAAATCAATTATATCTCTTTTTAGAACCACAGAGATTCAACTTCAATTACTTGGCCCATTACTCCATACCTCCTCAGCTTCTCCCTTTCTTCTCTCTCTCTCTCTTCTCTTCGTTTCAGCCGTTCCTGGTTTCTTTTCTCCTGCTTCTCAGCTACGACTCTCTTAAAAACAGTAATAAATGAGGAGAATATTTACTGAGTCCATTCTTAAACAGCTTTATCCTAAACTTTATATTATCTGGTTTCTAATACAGTACAACTGCTGTCAAAATCTGTTTAATAATTCAATTTGAAGTACTGCCAGAAATAATCATTAGGCCTACAAGTCTTCTTTCCATAATCTTTCCCCATTTTGTGGAAAATGTGTAAAATTTCACCTTTCTCCATGATTTCTACTTGGTTTTTTTTTTTGTTTTTTTTTTTAAGTGAAAACAAATTATTTTAAAATAGAGACAGAATCTCGCTATGTTGCCCAGATGGGTCTACAACTCCTGGGCTCCAGTGATCCTCCCACCTCAGCCTCCCAAAGTGTTGGAATTAACAGGTGCGAGCCACTGAGACTGGCCTATGATCTTATTATTTTTTTTTTAGAGACAGTCTTACTCTGTTGCCCAGACTGGAGTGCAGTAGCACCATCTCGGCTCACTGCAACCTCCACCTGCCAGCCTCAGCCACCTGAGGAGCTGGGATTACAGGCGTGCATCACCACACCCAGCTAATTTTTCTATTAATATTTTTTAGTGGAGATGGGGTTTCACCATGTTGCCCAGGCTGGTCTCCAACTCCTGGCCTCAAGTGATCTGGCCACCTTGGCATCCCAAAGTGCTGGGATTACAGGCATAAGCCACCATACCCAGCTCCATGACTTTTTTTTTTTTTTTTTGAGACAGAGTCTCGCTCTGTCGCCCAGGTTGGAGTGCAGTGGCACAATCTCAGCTCACTGCAACCTCCACCTCCCGGGTTCAAGTGATTCTCCTGCCTCAGTCTCCAGAGTAGCTGGGACTACAGGCACATGCCACCACACCCAGCTAATTTTTATATTTTTAGTAGAGACAGGATTTCACCATATTGGCCAGACTGGTCTCGAACTCCTGACCTTGTGATCCGCCCGCCTTGGCCTCCCAAAGTGCTAGGATTACAGGCGTGAGCCACTGCGCCTAGCCTTTCATGATTTCTTAATGACATTTCCAAGTCACTTCTACAAGATTTTCCTCCTCTAAATGTTTTCTAGTATTATTTTGTATTTTTTAAAAAAACATCAACCATTATAAATCACAAGTTCCCATGCCCTGTGATTTCTAATATGGAAATATTTAGGTCACTTCCAATTACCATCCTGATGCTGCTGCTTTTTAAAGATATGAGTAAAATGCTTGAGTTCTGTTGCTAGGTCTATCTGCAAAGACTCCCAAGTAGGAACCACTGGAGTTTTAACTTGGAGCCTAGTAACTATTTGCTATAGTGACTCTTTTCGAAATTTTTAAAAAATTACTTGAGATCACCCTAGCTACTCAGAATACTGAAAAGAGCCCACTGTTACCTGAGAATATGGAGATGTCCCTAGGCATTTTCTGATTCTATATTATTTTAAATGCTATGGACCTTGAGTTAATTCCAGTTGACAATAACAGTTACAAAGAAAATGACTATCCCATGTTTCCTATCTGTCAGCCAGACCTCAATTCATGAAAAAACACTACAGTGCCACAATTCTTAAAAAGCTATCAGCATATTAAAAGGTAAATAGATTATATCCACCAACACTCATCTTTACCACTTCAGAAATATCACCATGCTTTTTTGTGTTTATCCCCTCTAAACAACAAGAGTAAAAACTGTGTTGTCTTCCCCACAAAAGCCTATATTATTTAAGTAATAGTGATTGTCCTTTTAAAAAAATATAAATTTTTTCATAAGTCCTTTCTGAAGTGGAAGCAGGAGCATAAAATAAAACTAGAGATTCTGCAAGCTTGCTATTTAATAAAGAATTGCAAAATATTTCAAATTAATATTGGGTTCATTTTCTCAAACTTCTTATAAATATTATATTATTACATTCTTATTGACCTTATTGAAAAGAACAATAACAATGAAGTTTTATGGGACTCTTTTAGTAACTAGTTTGAAAGATCCCTAACTCGGTGTCATATCTAATATAAAATGGTAACTCCCAAAATAACAGGATAATATTAAGTCTGTTTCTCAGGCAGCATCCATTAAACCAACTTGAATTTCCATCTATAATCCTACACTGTTTAGTATTAATCATTAGATACTATATTACTGAATCATAGTCAAGAATATTGTACAAAAAGGCAACTGATACAGATCAAAAGAACAAGAGGATAAAGTGAGGAATATTTTACCAATGTACCTTTAATTCTTCAAGCTTCTCTCTTATTTCAATAAATCCCAGGTGCAGTTTACCCCCAAAATGATCAGCCAGTCGTCTGTCATTATCATGAAGTCCTAAATAGGCAGAGCAGACTTCACAGACTCGAAGTTTCTGCTGCTGAAAACTGGAAGCTGGCATAGAATTCCGATAAACTTCCTAAACAAAAGTGAGAAAAACAATGACCATATAAATCTCACTAAAAGTCATACAATTAAATAAAATATACTATGCTTATACCAAAAGTGTTTTCTAAAAAATACACAAAAGTGGCTGGGCACGGTGGCTCACTGGGGCGAGACTCCAGCTCAAAAAAAAAAAAAAAAAAAAACCACAAAAGCATGGCTATTTTGTTATGAAAATTATAGGTTCCCTTTATCCCCATCCTCTATCCTTAGCGCCTCTCTCCACTGGAGTATAAGGAAATAATAAACATGAACAGAAATCAATGAAATAGAAAACAAGAAAAAAACAATAAAATCAGAAGACTGGTTCTTTGAAAAACAAAATAAAACTGACCAGCTAGATTAATTAAGAAAAGACACGAATTGCAAACATTCTACAGATATTAAAAGAGAACACTATGAACAACTTTATATCAATAAATACAACTTAGAGAGATTTTCTGAAAGACAAATTTACCAAAAGTATTTTAAAAAACAACAACAACAAAAAAACAGGCCAGGCCGGGTGGCTCACGCCTGTAATCCCAGCACTTTGGGAGGCTGAGGTGGACAGATCACCCCAGGTCAGGAGTTCAAGACCAGCCTGGCCAACATGGTGAAAGCCTATCTCTACTAAAAATACAAAAAATTAGCCGGGCATGGTGGTGCACACCTGTAGTCCCAGCTACTCAGCAGGCTGAGGCAAGAGAATCGCCTGAACCCAGGAAGCAGAGGTTTCAGTGAGCTGAGATCGCACCACTACACTCCAGCCTTGGAGAGAGAGTAAGACTCTGTCTTAAAAAAAAAAAAAAAAAAGGCCCTGGTGCAGTGGTTCATGCCTGTAATCCTAGCACTTTGGGAGGCCGAGGCAGGTGGATCACCTGAGGTTGGGTGTTCAAGACCAGCCTGACCAACATGGAGAAACCCTGTCTCTACTAAAAATATAAATATTAGCCAGGTGTGGTGGCATGGGCCTGTAATCCCAGCTACTTGGGAGGCTGAGGCAGGAGAATCGCTTGAACCCGGGAGGCAGAGGTTGCGGTGAGCTGAGATCATGCCATTGCACTCCTGCCTGAGCAAGAAGAGCAAAACTCCATCTCAAAAAAACAAAAAGAAGAAGGCTGGACTTGAACTGGACTCAAGCGATCCACCTTAGCCTGCAAAATAGCTGGGACCAAAGGCACGCACCACCACAACCAGCTTTTTCCGAGTTTTGTTTTGTTTTTGTCTTTTAGTTCAACTTCTCTTTAACAACTGTTCAATAATTTCCATTCAAATACATGTTCTTAGAGAAGTATAGATACTGAAGTTTCATCTACTACTTTTTATTTGTAGTCTTACCAAATTAAGCAGAATTCGTCTACTACTATTAAGAATTTACCTCTGCTTCTCTTTTCTTTGCCCGTGCTTTCTCTACTTCATCCATTACTTTCTGGGATTCCTCCACATTCCCTTCAGCTCCTAGTTGTTCCACCTTGGCTAACAATTTACCAATTTCTTCATTTAACTCATGAACACGTTCTGCCTAAAAAGAAATAAAAAAGAAGATCATGAATAAACAAGAGAATGAATTTTAAATTTCAAAGTATTTCAGAACTGCTGAGAAAAAACTTGTTATCTAAGGCAGTATGTGGTTAAAGAATGCTTTCTGAGCGTATCCCAAATGAACTACTGAGACATCAGGATGTTCTGAGCCTGCCTGCCTTACCTCAATGAAGTCAGGGCTACTACTGGGCCCAATATAACTTTCTATCCTCTGGCGAGGTGGTGTATTCCTAGTGTAAAATACGATTTCTTCCATGATCTGGCCCTTTGTACTTTTCTAAACCATCTCTTGCTACTCCCCCACCTCACAACATAATTTATAGTTTCCCCAAACTTACCCTGTTGTTTTCTACCTCTGTTACTTTGCATATACTCTTCTTTCTGGGATGGGATCCCTTACCTCTCGCCTGCCTACTGAATATTCACTCGTTCCAACAAGATACAACTCAAGGGCCATTTCTGTAAAACATTCCTGAACAGTCACCACATCCCAGCCCCACTTAAACACATCAGCAAAGATGGCCATACTCTCTCCTTTGTGTCACCTTTGTATCTTTTTTGACAGTTCCTTTCATAAATATCATACTACTTTAAGGACAGCTATCTGTATTTCCCATCTTTGTATCTCTAGTGCTCAGCAAATAGCCTAGGCTCAAATATGAGTTAAAGAAATGAATTGGTGGATCAAGTTCAGGAATCCATCAGATCTGACTTATTGCTAAACCAATTACTATCTGTGTAATTTTGGCCACATTACTTATACCTGAATTCATTTCCTCATCTAAGAAGTACCTATCCCACAAAGTTGTGAGAAATGAGAAAATAAGCCTCGTATGTACCCTGCATAGCACCTTGCTGATTTTCAGCATACTCGCCTGGCAACTCCACTCTATGAGTCCTTAGCTTTCCACCAGGATTAACTCTGGCCTTGGGAAAGAATACGTTCCTCTTCCTCATCACCATCATCATCCTAGCAACTTAGTTCATTCCTACTGTTGTAATGGCACATAAAACATACATATAATCATTATTTGGGCCACAAAGTCTTTGCTGTATGGCCAATTATAATATGTTAGCAAAGAAGGTTTTAATTTTTTGTTGTTATTGTTGTTTTTGAGATGGAGTCTTGCTCTGTCGCCCAGGCTGGAGTGCAGTGCCATGATTTCAGTTCACTACAACCTCTGCCTCCTGGGTTCAAGCAATTCTCCTGTCTCAGCCTCCCACGTAGCTGAGATTACAGGCGTGCACCACCATGCCTGGCTAATTTTGCAGTTTTTGTAGAAACAGGGTTTCACCATGGTGGCCAGGCTGGTCTCAAACTCCTGACCTTAAGTGGTCCACCCACCTTGGCCTCACAAAGTGCTGGGATTACAGGTGTGAGCCACCACGCCCGGCCGAAGGTTTTAGTTTGGTATGAGTTTCCAGTCCCAACAAACCAGTTTACTGGTTTAATTAATAGTCTTTACTTCTCAAATATCCTTCAACCCAAAATATTTCTTCCCTCAATGAGAGTCCAATTCTATTATCACTATCCTCCCTCTCTACCAAATGGTATTTTCCTTTAAATGTATCATTGAATGACTAAACTGTTGTCCAAAACTCTTCTTTCTTCCCTGTATCCATGTCCTTGACCATGTAATTGTGTACCATCGTACTCTGACTCTGAATTTGGCCATGAACTTGCTTTGGTTACTGAGATGGTAGCAAACATGACCAAAGGAGAGGCCTGTGTGATGGGGCTTGATGCTTCTGCACCTCTACCACCACTATGAGAACACGGCCAGGCTAGCCTGCTGGGCATGGCTCTGCATCCTCTAGTGGACTGCAAGGCATGTGAGTAAGCCCAGCTGAAACAAGAATAACTGCTCAGTCAAGTTCAGCCTAAATCACTGACTGCAGAGTCATGGGCTAAATAAATAGTGTTTTAAGTCACTGAGCTTTGAGGTGGTTTGTTATACAGCATTTGTGTAGTGATGGATAACCAATACAACCAATACAACTCAGGCTCTACCAAGCACTTACAGATCTCTTCCAACCATGAGATACTAGATCCTTTGTACTTCAGGATGCCCGTCTTTCCAGTCCCCATCTTCAGAGAATTTTCAGAAAAGGTTGACTAAAAGCAACCCTTTTCTCAAACGATGGAATCTATTTTCATTTGTATATACATATCTGAACACCATATTTTAATACTGTCATCTAAACTCCACCTGGGTAACTCTTTTTCTCCCATTCTGCATTTTCATAAAACACACTTGATCATACTGAATGGAATATAATTATGTTGTAATAAGTCATCAACAAATGCAATATAAAAGACCTTGTTTGGATTCTAATAAATCGACTC
The DNA here is from genome assembly GCF_000001405.40 of Homo sapiens. NCBI lineage: Eukaryota > Metazoa > Chordata > Mammalia > Primates > Hominidae > Homo > Homo sapiens. The sequence continues at coordinate 139,403,276 of NC_000007.14, read as the reverse complement.
TATAAGAAAAATAAACATACACTGGATAACATTAAAAAATTACTGTTAACTTTATGTATGTATTACTGTGGTTATAACTTACAGGTGAAATATTGACATTTAACATTTGCTTTTAAAAGCAAATAAAAATACTGTGGTATATCTGTACAATGGAGAAATAAAAAGGAATGAACTGATACACACAACTTGAATGAATCTCAAGAAAGTTATATGGAATGAAAAAGGCCAAATCTCAAAAGCGTACACAGGATTTCATTTATGTAACACTCCATGAAATAACATAACTACAGAGATAGAGAATAGGTTAGTGGTTGCCAAGGGTAGAGATGCTGGGTGGGGGTAAAGATGGATGTAGCTATAAAAGGGGTAACATGAGGGAGTCTTGTGGCAATGTTATACTTAAGCATCCTAACTGTGGCTGTAATTACACATGTGATTAAACTGCAGAGAGCTGGCCAGGCGTGGTGGCTCACACCTGTAATCCCAGCACTTTGGGAGGCCAAGGTGGGTAGATCGCTTGAGGCCAGAAGTTTGAGACCAGCCTGGCCAACATGGCAAAACCCTGTCTCTGCTAAAAATAAAAAAAATTAGCTGGGCCTGGTGACGCACACCTGTAATCCCAGTTACTCAGAAGGCTGAGGCACGAGACTTGAGCCCAGAAGGCAGAGATTGCAGCAAGCCAAGATTACACCACTGCATTCCAGCCTGGGCAACACAGCAAAACTCTGTCTCAAACAAAAAGAAAAACAAAAAAACTGCACAGAGCTATACATACAGACATGCATACACAAATAAATGCATGCATAACTGGCAAAATCTGAATAAAATATAAGGATTAGACCAATGTCAATTTATTTGATATTGCACTATATTGTATAAGATGTTTACACTGGGGCAGACAAGAAAGTATACAGAATTCCTTGTATATGTCTTTGCAATCTCTTGCAAATCTAATTATTTCAAAATAAAAACTTAAACAAAAGGAGTCGAAATAATACTTTGTACTAATGAAATGATTAAAATTCTTACCTTTGCTGCTACTTCAGCACTAATCTCTTCTTGAGTTTCTGCTAATCTTTTCTTGGCCACTTCTGTTCTACGATCACAATCTGCAATGAATGACTGCAGATGATCCATGGCCTACAAAGTTTAATTAAAGACAATTACTGTCAGAAAGTCAATTTTATTCAGAAATATCTTCATACAAAAATCACACTTTGCTTTTTAAAATGCTACCATGGTGGGGCACGGTGGCTCACGTCAGTAATTGAGCACTTTAGGAGGCTAAGGCAGACAGATCACTTGAGGCCAGCCTGGCCAACTTGGCGAAACTCTGCCTCTACTTAAAATCCAAATTTAGCCAGGTGGGTGGGGCACACCTGTAGTCTCAGCTTCTCGGGAGGCTGAGGCGGAAGGAACACTTGGGCCCAAAGAGGCTGAGGCTGCAGTGAGCCCTGATGATGCCACTGCACTCCAGTCTGGGTGACACAGCGAGACCCTGTCATTAAAAAAAAAAAAAAAAGAAGCTGGGCGTGGTGGGTCACGCCTATAATTCCAGCACTTTGGGAGGCCGAAGCAGGTAGATCACCTGAAGTTAGGAGTTTGAGACTACGCTGGCCAACATGGTGAAACCTCGTCTCTACTAAAAATACAAAAATTAGCCAGGCATGGTAGTGCGCGCCTGTAATCCCAGCTACTCGGGAGGCTGAGGCAGGAGAATCACTTGCACCTGGGAGGCTGAGGTTGCAGTGAGCCAAGATCGCACCACTGCATTCTAGCCTGGGTGACAGAATGAGACTGTCTCAAAAAAAATCACTTGAGGACATGAAGAAATGTTCAGGATTCATTTGTAAATAAAAAGCAAATTACAAATGTTATGCAGTAAGATCCCAATTTTGTAAAATAAAGACAGAAAAATCTGCTGCAAGTCTAGATCTGAATGGACAAAAAGAAAATACAGAAAAAATGGAAAACTATACAAAATGCTAACAGTAAGTATTTCCGAACATTTTTACCCTTTTTTCTTTTAATTCTCCAAACTGCTTTAGAATTTTTTTTTTTGAGACAAGAGTCTCGCACATCAGGAAAACTTATCTTTTTTCAGAGAATAAACCATTGAGAATTTTAGCAGTATCTACACTATAAAAATTCAATATTTATATAAGACATTTGTGAGGCACATATTAATGTCTACAATTAATAGTTCATTTAAAAGTAAACTTTAAGAATTCATTCTCAAGTTTGGACTTCCAAATCTTACTGTACAGAAATATAACTAATTCAAGATACAAATGTTTGAACTAAAAATACAAATTTATTCAGCACACATTGAATTCCAAAAATAGTTGGATAACCCAAGAATTTCTTCAATGTGAAAAGCAATAAGGATCATTTCTTAAACAGCTTTTATCTGTGATAACATAAAAATAGTTAATTTCTTTTAATTTGAAAATTTTTAAATCACAACAGAAATCTATTCAAATTTCCTTATGTAAAGATAAAGATGGCATCTCAAAGCAGTGAGAGAAAAGATGGACTAATCAGCAAATAGTGTTGGGTGACTAAGTAGCTATGTGGGGTTGGGGGGAGACTAGATCCATATCTCAGTTCCTTAAACCAGAATAAATCTGAGATGAATCGAGGACTTAAAAGTCTATAAAATGAAGCCAAAATATGCCAGAAGAAACCACAGGAGAGAACTCTTAGCACCTCAGAAAAAGAAAAGCGTTTAGAACTAATGAAATAGATTTGGTTTCTCTGTTTGTGTTTTGAGACAGAGTCTCGCTCTGTCCCCCAAGCTGGAGCACAGTGGCATGATCTAGGCTCACTGCAACCTGACTCCCGGGTTCAAGTGATTCTCCTGCCTCAGCCTCCTGAGTAGCTGGGATTACAGGCACCCACCACCATGCCCGGCTAATTTTTGTATTTTTAGTAGAGATGGGGTTTCACCATGTTGGCCAGGCTGGTCTTGAACTACTGACCTTAGGTGATCCACCCCTGCCTCGGCCTCCCAAAGTGCTGGGATTACAGCCTCCCAAAGTGCTGGGATTACAGTGCTGGGATTACGAGCCACCACGCCTGGCTATAGATTTGTTAAAGACTGATAAATCAGAAGATATAAATATAAAAATACCCCCGCAAGGCCAAAAACCACCAAAAAAGTAGGGAAAATGTGTTGTAAATTATATTTCTGAAAACAATTTCATTTCCATTAGCAGAAATTCTTGGATATTCAGAAGACAAGAGGACCTGTTTGTTGGTTTATCTCCTAAAACCAAATTTAAAACATCTATTATTTCACTTATAAAATGTATCAAAGATTTATGCACATTAGTATGTTTTATGTAATGCTGATTATATATATGCAAAAAAACTTTATTTTTATGCAAACGATTTTCATATAAAAACAGCAATATAAAGTTACATTTCAGGCTTTTTTAGGTATCTAAATGGTGTCTTCCATTTCTTGGTTTTTCATTAAAAACACTGTCCTTAATATCCCCCAAACGGCCGGGTGCCGTGGCTCACGCCTGTAATCCCAACACTTTGGGAGGCTGAGGCGGGCGGATCACGCGGTCAGGAGATCAAGACCATCCTAGCTAACACGGTGAAACCCTGTCTCTACTAAAAACACAAAAAATTAGCTGGGTGTGGTGGCAGGCGCCTGTAGTCCCGGCTACTCGGTAGGCTGAGACAGCAGAACAGCATGAACCCGGGAGGCAGAGGTTGCAGTGAGCCGAGATTGGGCCACTGCACTCCAGTCTGGGCTACAGAGCGAGACTCTGTCTCAAAAAAAAAAAAAAAAAAAAAAAAAAAAAAAAAAAAAATCCCCCAAACACCCATATGCATGTCCCTCAGTATCTGTGGGAGATTGGTTCCAGGAGACCCAGCGGATACCAAAATCCATGAATGCACGTTTAATATAAAATGGTGTAATACTTGCATATAATCTCCCAGTACACATCCTCCCATATACTTTAAAATGTCTCCAGATTACTTATAATACCTAATACAATGTAAATGCTATGTAAACAGTTATACTGTAATGTTTGGGGAATAATAACAAGAACAAAATGTCTGTACATGTTCAGTACGGATGCAACAATCCATTTCTTCTGCTAAATATTTACAATCCCAGTTGGTTCCTTCTACAGATTCAACGACAGATATGGGGGGCCAACTATATATACATGTATATATATATATAAGTAGATTCAAAAATAAATATGAATGTAAAAACTCAGTATATTACTAAAGATAGGTCCTTATATACACTATAAATTAGTTGCTTACATTTGCTTGATATTTCCTTAATCATTACTATTTTGTTGGGAAGAATATGCTTAATTTCCAAAAGAATATATGAATCATACGACTGTTACACATTTTCTTAAAATACAGTCTCACCTCATATTTTTAAAAGAGTTGTCAAGAAAGTACATGATCTTACTTGAGTCTTACCCTTCATATAACCAGAGGATAAACTGCTAAGAGTTTTTCCTATTAAGAGATCTTAATCCACATTCACAATGTTTTACAGCAAAAGATAACAACAAACCATTAAAGCAAAATCACATACATCAAGTTCAAAGAAAAAATCTTGTTCTTTGGATGCAATTTCATAATCCGCTCTTAAAGCCAGGTCATGGACTTTCAGACATTCTCCAAGATCCATTCTCTGGAAGGGAAAAAAGACATAATATTAAAACAAAAAAAAGTTTTTTAAAAAATGCTTCAACAACCACAGTTCTTGTCAGAATACATATTAAGTCATACAGATGCTTTTTTATGTAGGGGCTTCCAAATTACAAAATTTCATAGACAAATATAAAACGTGGTGTCAGAAGAAAAAAATGGCACCAATTTTGTCTACCAACAGATGGGAACAGGGATCACTTGTATTTAAGAATAAATGGATATGGAAAAGCTTTTCAGAATCTGAAAAAAGCTAGCTTCTATATCACAACATAGTTCATTTAGCTCCACAACACAAAAAAGATCAAGTTAATTTTAAACCAAACTAAAAGAATATATACATCAAATTGTTGAGATGTCAATGTGCTTTGAAGAACATCCTATTTTTCAAATAAAGATGGAGTCCTCAAAAACCAGACTGGTGGCCAGGCATGGTGGCTCATGCCTGTAATCCCAGCACTTTGGAAGGCCAAGGCAGGAGGATCGCTTGAGCCCAGGAATTTGAGACCAGCCTAGCCTGGGCAACACACTAACACCTGTCTCAATTTTAAAAAATAAAAAATTTTTAAAAACCCACAACAAAACAAGACTGTTGACTTTGATATAGTCTTGTCTGGGGACAAGACTCCATATAAACTAGTAAAGAGGTGATTTACTAGTAAGACCCAACATAAGTGCACAGAGAACAAGCATTTAATCCCACTTATAATAAGCATGTATCAGGGAAATAAATACTCTTACTGAATCTAGGGTCCTTCTACTTGGAAATTCCAATTAGGTGTTATTTACCAAACCAGAGGCTTTCCTCATATCTGAGACAAAATATCTAAAAATCTATCCATTTTTATATGTATCTAGGCAACTGTTAAGATCTTTCATGAAACTTTTTTGGGGGAAAATATGAGAAAAAATTGGCAAGATGCAAGGATCATTACAGGTATGATTAATCGGTGATGAAAGCAAGGCGGAGATTTTCCAACTGGAGGTGTGACCACCCTTGGAATACCTCAAAATCTCTGGAGGGTTGGTAAAAAGGGAGTACAAGTCATTCTCCTTCCTTTGACTATTAAGTTCCCACTTGTGGTAAGCACTACTTTAGGTGCTAGGGATATAGACTTAAGTGACACAGACAGTCTGACTTCATGGAGCTTACATTCTATTTGAGGGGAAACAAATAACAAGAATCATGTCTATGAACAAAGTCAGATGATGTAATAAAATAGCAATGTTCCCCATTATTATGGGGGCCTACTTGGGATGAGTTGGTCAGAGAAGACCTTTCTGAAGAGGATACAATTAAACTGGATCTAAAGAGGGAGAAGCAAATGAATCTTAGGAAAAGGCAAAAAGTAATGTTCCAGGTTGTACAGAAGATTTAGAAGGCAGATCTTTAAAATATTTATTTATTTATATGCCACTATTAATCACAGGGAAGTTTATGGTAACAGGGAACAGGAATAGAGTATGGCACACAGGTCTGAGCCTTAGCTTTGTATACAGTATCTAAAAATGAGTATGCCTATTTAACTTGTCAACAACCTAAATATGTATAAAACAAACGTATGATAATTAATTTTATAAAATATCCCAACTAAAAAGGATAGCTAATGCACGAGATCAAGATTCAAAAGTATTAATAGACCAGATAAAATTTAAAAGAAATAAATATGAAGTCCTATAGTTACATATCCAAGACAATAAATTTACAAATAAGTAGGTATGAGCAGAGAATCAGACATTTTAAAAATGTAAGTAGTCAAGAGTAACAGTTACAGCATGGCACAACTGAGAAAAATCTATATTGTCTAAAACTAACTCAAAGAGGACACAGTATAAACAAAGTAGGAACTCTCTACTGAAGGCTGGTTTTAAAAGCAAACCACTGCTCTCCAAAACACACATTCTATGTACTAACACATTTCAAAAGGAATATGAGAAAATTAGACAAAGTATCTCAAAACCAGGCTGCACAAAAAAGCCAGGGAACAGAAATAAATAGAGAAGACAAAAGATGTGAACCAACTTCAATCAACTGAGGAATTTTTCATAAAGCAGCAGAAATAGATTTGTTTTATTATGGCCCGAAGGGACTCCAATGAGTCAGACTTCAACTCTCTGAATACTTTTTCTTCTTTTTTTGAGACAAGGTCTCACTTTGTCACCTAGGCTGGAGTGTAGTGGCATAATCATGGCTCACTGCAGCCTCCACCTCCCAGCTCAAGCGATCCTCCCACCTAAGCACCCCTCCCCGACAAGTAGCTGGGACCACCGTCCCCCGCCACCATATCCAGCTAATTTTTTTTTTTAAGTAGAGACAAAGGGTGCTATCTTGCCCAGGCTGGTCTCAAACTCCTGAGCTTGAGTGATCCTCCCACTTCAGCCTCCCAATGCTGGATTACAGGTATGAGCAACTGCACCTGGCCAAGAAAATATTTTCAATAATCAAAGCTTTCTGAAGGTAGAACAAACATCCTCAGAGTTAGGGAGTTCCCAGATAAATGAGATGTTCAAACACTGTTTTGACAACCATTTTATTAGGATATTAAGGAAATAATTCAACCATCAGGTAGCTTTTTTCTTCCTTCGGACTCTTAGATGTTGTGACTATTAAAAAAAGTAAAAAACACACAATGTTTCTGGCCACAGTGGCTAATGCCTATAATCCCAGCACTTCGGGGGGCCAAGGTGGGAGGATCACTTAAGCCCAGGAGTTCCAGACCGGCCTGGGTAACATAAGAAAACCCCGTCTCTACAAAAAGTAAAAAAGAAAAAAATTATCCAGGCATGGTGGCCCATGCTTGTGGTCCCAGCTCCTGAGGAGACAGAGGCAGGGGGATCACTTGAGCTCTGGAGGTCAAAGCTGCAGTAAGCTGTGATCATGCCACTGCATTCCAGCCTGGGTGACAGAGCTAGACCCTGTCTCAAAAGTAAAAACAAACAGAAAATGTTTTTCTGTAAAACTATATTACCTTCAGTTCTTAATTATATAATGGAATGAATGGGAACGTATAAATTCTGCCCCCAGTTATCCTTTGGGAAATAATGAGGACTCATCACTGTTATAAAAGTCCTCATCATGCTTAATGGTATTAAAGTACTGTACTGTTACTGAGCATGCTGAGATTTTTCCAGGCTCCAATCCTTACCCCCCGATTCATTAGTCTGGTTTAACAAGCTAAGGAGTTTTTCAGTGACAATAAACAAAAAGTAAAGCTTTCTATGATGTGTAGAAATTCAAATTTAAAAGGTGCTCATTAAACAATTATTAAGAAAATGCAGAAAAACTTAAATATTCCTAAGAAAGAATTCCAGAAAATATAACAGGAATGAAAGAAGCTAATGGCAGAAGGATGCTGTCATTGTCTTTGATATGCCAGGCAGTACGTTTCTGAAATTAACAATTTCTAAACATCAATCACGCCAACAACTTCCTTAATATTTTATTTCCACAAGCTATAGCTGTTCACATGATGCTACATTCTATTTTATTTCATAAAATGCAAGATGTCACAGTTGGAAAGACTTTTTGATCCACTGTGGTTCTCAACTTAGACCTGGGGAACTTTTACATAATATTGATGGAAGCTTTTAAAAAACAGTCCCAATTCCTACCTCCCAAAGACTGACTGAATTGTAAAAGCCCCCCAGGTATTTTTAATGTGCAATGTTGAGAACCACTCACTGATCTAGTTTTAGTCCCATTCTTTGCACAGAAAGAATGACTTGCTCAGGGTGCTTATCAGAAAATCTGGTTAGACTGATTCCTAGTCTAATATTGCTTCCACTTTACCATGCTAGTTCCGGTTATTTCAGTACTAACTTACCTTTCAATATTTTTCAGTAAGTCATTCCCCACAACATCTAAGAAAGCTCACCACAGAGATTCAAAGCAGCTGTCTACTTCCTTTCTTCCGTATCTCCTTTATCTTACTTTCATCAGTTCCCTGATCAACTACATTTCCAATCCGTATTCAACAAAAACTTAAAAGTAACACATAAATTTTGCCTCATTGTTTTTAACCTAAACATCTCTGTCTCTATTGCAATAATTCTAGGCTCCCTGCCTCCACTTCTTTAAAGTTACATCACACAACCAACCAAAGGAAGAAAAGCAACTATGTAGACTAAGAACAAAATGAACACAAGAAAGATACAATTTTACCACTATAGTAGAGGTGGACTTTTTGGTGAGAGTAGCCTTTTGGGGAAGGCATGCCATGGGGAAGATGCATGAGAGGGGTAAGATTAACTCACTAAAATGTGAGCTCCATAGGGCAAGGATTCTTCTGTTTTATCTACGATGTGCCTATGTTGAATAAATCAAACTAGGAAAGAGGGCAAAGAAGAACATTTGGCACAGGGCGGCTTATTAACAAGCCAGAGTGGTCAAGATGAATTCCAGGACAAAACTGATCTGAGCTTCTGGAGGGAGGTTCTTCTTAGCCTCTCCTTGGATTATCTCTTTTGCTTGGACTCCTTACCTTCTTAAGTGTTTTGAGCTATTCTTCTTTTTTCCTCCAAGAGGCAGGCTAGTTGGGCTTGTCACTTTCTGGGCTCTAAGTCCTTGCAAGTTTATAGCCTAGCCTGACTCATCATAGTAGATTTTGGTGTCAAAGCCCTAGGACCAAGGGCCTAATTATAATAAAGAAGGCTTTTTTGTATGTGGAATATCCTCAGTGGTTATCTCTTCAGGGACCTAGTGGGACAGTAGGTATAGCCAAGGCAGATTTTCAGAATACTAGTCATCTATATTCCTCTGTCCATACCATGATGACTACTAAGCATCTACTCTGGCACTGTGCTATGCACATGAGAAGTACTTAAAATTTAAAACATGGTCAGGTGTGGTGGCTCACTCCTGAAATCCCAGCACCTTGGGAGGCCAAGGCAGGCAGATACTTGAGGTCAGAAGTTTGAGACCAGCCTGGGCAACACGGTGAAACCCCATCTCTACTAAAAACACAAAAAATAGCTGGACAGGGTGGCAGGCACCTGTAATCCCAGCTACTCAGGAGGATGAGGTACAATAATCACTTGAACCCAGGAGGCAGAGGTTTGCAGTGAGCTGAGATCGTGCACTCCAGCCCGGGAAACAGAGTAAGACTCTGTCACAAAATATATGATTATTTATTTATTTATTTTTACTTTTTTAGAGACAGGGCCTCACTCTGTCCCCCAGTCTGGAGTACAATGGCATGATCTCAGCTCACTGCAACCCTACCTCCCAGGGTCAAGCAATCCTCCCGCTTAAGCCACCTGACACCTGAGTAGCTGGGACCAACAGGCACACATCACCATACCCGGCTAATTTTTTGGAGACAGAGTCTCGCTCTGTTGCCCAGGCTGGAGTGCAGTGGTGCAATCTCAGCTCACTGCAACCTCTGCCTCCCAGGTTCAAGCAATTCTCCTGCCTCGGCCTCCCTACTAGCTGGGATTACAAGTGTGCACCACCACACCTGGCTAATTTTTGTATTTTTAGTAGAGTTGGGGTTTCATCATGTTGGCCTGGCTGGTCTAAAACTCTTCACCTCAGGTAATTCAACCGCCTCGGCCTCCCAAAGTGCTGGGATTACAGGCGTGAGCCACCACACCTGGTCTTAAAATTTTTTTTTTAATTTAACAAGTAGTTGCTGGGTGCAGTTGCTCACGCCTATAATTCCAGCACTTTGTGAGGCCGAGGCGGGCAGATCACCTGAGGTTGGGAGTTTGAGAACAGCCTGACCAACATGGAGAAACCTCGTCTCTACTAAAAAAATACAAAATTAGCCGGGCGTGGTGGTGCATGCCTGTAATCCCAACTACTCGGGAGGCTGAGGCAGAATAGCTTGAACCTGGGGGGCAGAGGTTGCGGTGAGCCAAGATCACACCATTGCACTCCAGCCTGGGCAACAAGAGCGAAACTCCATCTCAAAAAAAGACAAGTAGTTTACTTCATAATTAAATTCCTTCCACAAGCTTATTCTTGGTTTTTAATATTTTTACATCTAAATGCTTAGATTGTAGATTTTTTAAAAAATGCTTATTTGTAATTAAGTTCAGTTCTGCATTTTGTCTTCTCCATTCTGAATCCATTACTGCATGAAATGTGGACCAAATAACTATACCTGATCCTGGTAACTTATAGCTCCACAGCATTTTATATTGTTTTACTAACAAAGGTAACAAAGTTAAATCGTCAAGAATTTTTAACTTTTCTTTTGAAATTCCAAAAGTGAATGTTATTTCCCCAAATAAACTCTTAAGCTTCATTAGAAAAATGGTCCATTTTTCTTACTTATCCCTCCCAGAAGACCAGGTTTTGCACAAACCATGACTACTGAATAAACCTGATAATTTGACTAAGGAATTCTATTTCTAAGGAATTAAGAGTGAAATAATTATAAAAAGATAAATGGAGAATAAAGTTTAACAATGTTGTTTTTTATACAAGAAGAAACATTTTAAGAGCCTCTCAACAGAGGTTTGGTTGATTCAGCTATGGAATAGCCATACAGTGTCTATTTAGCCTTTAAAAATGATGTTCTTGATATACCAAGTGGAGAAAAGAGAAGGTGGCAAAGAAAGACATAATAAAATACGAATTTTGGAATTTACAAATCTATATTACTATGAGGGTTGTTTGAACTTTCTAGTACTGGTTGAATTATAAGCAATGAGCATGATTATTACTACAATTGGAAAAATCAATGAAGCCAGGCCGGGCGTGGTGGCTCACACCTGTAGTCCCAGCACTATGGGAGCCTGAGGCAAGCAGATCACTAGAGGCCAGGAGTTCGAGACCAGCCTGGCAAACATGGTGAAACCCCGTCTCTACCAAAAATATAAAAATTAGCTGGGCATGGTGACATGCCTGGAATCCCAACTACTCAGGAGGCTGAGGCAGAAGAATCACTTGAACCTGGGAGGCAGAGGTTGCAGTGAGCCAAGATCATGTCACTGCCCTCTAGCCTGGGTGACAGACTGAGACCCTGTCCCCCCCACCAAAAAAAAAGAAGCCAATTTAATTTTAGAGAAAAAAAATTGAGAGGCATGTGAAAACTATACATTAAAATCAACGAATAGACATATTACAGTAGAGCAAATCAAAAGGTTGATTTATACATTTTGAGTGTACTGCTAAGTGTAAATTAATAGTAGTAATATGTTAATGAATATATAAACGATAGAATTTGGCATAGTAATAGCTCCAAGTAATTGTAAATATAACTGCTTTGTTATGTGTTTGAACATTTGTTCAGTTCTAAGAACCAGATCCTGAACAAAATTACAGAACAGCATGAGAATATAATTTCTACTATTATGGAATTTATATTCACAATGGAAATCAAGGCCTTAAACTAAAGCAACAGCTGCAAGTGTCTACAAAGATGTACATACAAGGATTTGACTGCCACAGTGTACACCAAAAACAGAAACAAAGACTATGAATATATTAATACTCACTGCATGTAAGAGAACAGCCACACTACACAATATTATTCAGGCATTTTTAAAAATGCAGACAACTGATATGGAAACCTCTCCAAGACAAGTGAAAAAAATTCAAACAATATAATGGCATCTGTTAAAACACACAAGCTTGTGTGCACAAGCATTTACACAAGGAGAGTGAAAGATGTACACTAAATTGTTGACAAGGTTTAGATCTGAGAAGGAGGGTGATGTATAATTGGAAATATTCATGTTTTATGCTTTATTCTCCTGTACTTAAAAACTACATTGTCTAGGCCCGGCATGGTGGCTCACACCTGTAATCCCAGCAGTTTGGGAGGCCGAGACGGGCGAATCACGAGGTCAGGAGATCGAGACCATCCTGGCTAACACGGTGAAATCCCGTCTCTACTAAAAATACAGAAAAATTAGCCGGGCATGGTGGTGGGCGCCTATAGTCCCAGCTACTTGGGAGGCTGAGGCAGGAGAATGGCGTGAACCTGGGAGGTGGAGCTTGCAGTGAGCCGAGATCGTGCCACTGCACTCCAGCCTGGGCGACAAAGCGAGACTCCGTCTCAAAAAAAAAAAAAAAACTACATTGTCTAAGTAATAAGACAGACTAGGCCAGACGCAGTGGCTCATGTCTGTAACCCCAGCACTTTGGGAGGCCGAGGCAGGTGGATCACTTGAGGTCAGAAGTTTGAGACCAGCCTGGCCAATATGGCGAAACCCCATCTCTACTAAAAATACAAAAATTAGCTACTCAAGAGGCTGAGGCAGGAAAATCACTTGAACCCAGGAGGCAGAGGTTGTGGTGAGTGGAGATGGCGCCACTGCACTCCAGCCTGGGGGACAGATTGAGACCCTGGTCTCCAAAAAAAATAAAAATAAAAAAAAAAATAAGAAAAAAAGAGAGAGAGAGAGAGAGAGAGAGACTGGGCACTGGACCACATCAAAACACCTCTCTTTACCTCGTATTATCCATTTGATCCTGAGAAATTCACTTAAACTCTCTGACCTTCCAACCTGGAGTGCAGTGGCACAATCATAGCTCACTGCGGCCTTGAATTCCTAGGCTTAAGTGATCTTCCCACTTTAGTCTCCTCACTAGCTAGAAGTACATGTGCATGCCACACCAAGTTAATTTTTTTTTGAGATGGGATCTTGCTATGTTGTCCAGGCTGGTAACTCCTGGCCTCAAGTGATCCTGCCTGCGCCAGCTGAACTTCTGTTTTCTCAAGTACTTCAGGATTGCTGTTCAGATCAAGTAAGATGTTTATAAAAGCACTCTGAAGGCAGGCTGTCAACCTACTTATTTTTGCATATTGATTGCAATGGGATATAAGCTCAATGAGGGAGGAACATAGTCTTTCTTGATCATTGTAACAGCCCCAATCAGATAACACAGTCCACCACATAATAGGTACTCAATATTTTGTTACATAATATGATATAATATTATATTACAGCTCAATATTTGTTCAATGAATAACTTATTTCCTTGGCTCATAACTTTACCTACTTCTAATGCTTCCATTTTCAAGCAAATTCACAAAAGAGGGCTATCTTTATTAAATATCAGTGTGTATGAGGAGGTTTCTAGGACAAGTGAAGATAATTTACACAGAAGACAAATAATAGAGGGAAAGAGCCAGAGCACATGCTTCAAGAGGAGAATACAGTATTTCCTATCGGGAAAATAAAGAGGAACAACTTAACTGGAACGAGAAGATTTCTACTAGAAGATAAAGGAAAATGATGGGGGGAAAAGGGGATGTAGGATTATACTGGCCCACAGGCCACTAGTTTACAGCCTCTGACTAGATGGTGAAAGAGTCTGAAAATGAGTCAAAAAAAATGCAGAATTTATTCTGTAGGCAAAGAAGAATGCTTGACTACTCAGGCAGAAATACGACACAATAAAATCCATGTTTCAGAACCATTAACACTAGATGGATTGACCAGAAGAAAGAGACAAAGGGCAAGAAAAGATATTACAAGAACCTAGGAATAAAGCCACTGGGGTCAAATTAGAAGAGAAAAAAGAAAGGAGGTGACAGAGGTAAACCAGAGTGCCGAAGAATTAAAAAAAAAAAAAATCATTTAAAAAATGTGAAGTGTCTCTGGAATAATGAATCCCATCACACCTTCTTACAAATATGGAAATCAAGACTCAGACAGATCAATATTTGCCTAAGATCATAAGCTAATGGCAGCAGAGTAAAAATCTCAACAGGTCTTTAATATAGCTCAATATTCTTTCAATAACACAATAACTTTCAACCTACAGGTATTAGCTAAATGGAAATTAAGTGTGGAAAGAAAAAAGTCAGGAGTCTCTTCAGGGTTTCAAGTATTTCAAACATGAGAAAACAATGATGCCACCAAGAGAACTGACTAAATCAAATGGGAAAACTGATCTATGAGGGAAAATGTCTTGTTCTGGACAAGATGATTTTGATGTAATAACAGGAAATCTAAGTAGCAGCATCTAGTATGATACAGATATATGACTACATTCACTACAGGCTTTCTTTATCCAAGTTTTCCAGGATGAAAGTTATACATATTCCTCCCCATAGTTACAGCTCAAGCATTTTTCCAGAAGATGCTCTAACGAATTACACAAGAACACGGAGTCTGACCCCCATGTTAACAAGTATACCTTAGACATGAGTATAGGGTGAAGAGAAATGGGGCACATTGTGCATACATAACGCTGCTGCTTTTCTACCACTTCCCAATTTCTTAACTGCCTCTTCCCACTTGTATATGTTCCAGCTCCAAACCTATTTTTCCCAAAGTAAAGATAAATCATGATATTTTTCTACCTTTTTGTAATTTTCTTAAGAACATAGGAAATATTTTTATAACCATTTCTGACCCTAGATATGCAAAGAAAACTAGAAAAAGTTAAAACAAGAGGTCTTATCACACAAAGACTATGGTGTACTATCTAACTGGAAAGAGAGAGAGAATGAGAATATATACACAAATGAGATAAATTTTTTTTCAATAGTACAGAAAGCAGGTGCTATACTGGGGTTCAGAGGCTAAATTGTTACAGGGTAAGGCAATCACATATAGTAAGCCAGATAGGATTTAAATTTGTAGAGAGGAGAAAGAATATTGCAGGCAGAAGAAAAGAGTGTAAACAAAAATGAGAAGCATGCGAGGGAAAGAAAGGAGTGAGACGACAATAAGTAAATCAGTTTGGTCAAACAAGAGAACCAGGCCAGACATGGTGGCTCACGCCTGCAATCCCAACACTTTGTGAGGCCATAGCAGGAGGATCACTTGAGGCCAGGAGTTTCAGGCTTCAGTGAGCTATAATGACACTACTGCACTTCAGTCCTGCATGACACAGCAAGATTCTGTCTCCAAAAAAAAGGAAAAGAAAAAACAACTTATACGATTTATTCATTCAAGGGAGAAGTAGCCTGGGTAAGTATTTTAGATTTTTCAGTACAGGTATAAACAATACAGAACCACCACAAGTTTTGCGTAGGAACAAAATGGCAAGTTGATTCCCACTCAGAAATGACTACCTTCTTCTCCACATTCGATCTCAAATGTCACTTCATCGAAAATTTTCTCCATTTGTTTCTTTTGTTTCCATCAGGAAACAAGAGCTCTCGTATAAAAAATAAATAAATAAAATAAAAATTTTCAGCCAGGCGCAGTGGCTCACACCTGTAATCCCAGCACTTTGGAAGGCCAAGGTGAGCAGGAGTTCAAGACCAGCCTGGCCAACATGGTAAAATCGTGTCTCTACTGAATATACGAAAAAATAGCCAGGCGTGGTGGCAGGCGCCTGCAGTCCCAGCTACTCGGGAGGCTGAGGCAGGAGAATGGCGTGAACCTGGGAGGCGGAGCTTGCAGTGAGCCGAGATCGCGCCACTGCACTCCAGCTTTACAAGTCATATTATCTGAGTAAAATCAACACATATCTTTATTTTTGATCCTGCAAGCCAAAAAAGTTTATGAGACCATGTATTCTCAAAATGCTCTGGCCGGGCACGGTGGCTCATGCCTGTAATCCCAGCACTTTGGGAGGCTGAGGCAGGTAGATCACCTGAGGCCAGGAGTTCAAAACCAGCCTGGCCAACATGGTGAAACCCTGTCTCTACTACAAATACAAAAAATTAGCCGGGCATGGTGGCACGTGCCTGTAATCCAGCTACTTGAAAGGATGAGGCAGGAGAATCGCTTGAACCCAGAAGGAGGAGGCTGCAGTGAGCTAAAATCAAGCCATTGCACTCCAGCCTGGGGAACAAGAGCAAAACTCTGTCTCAAAAAAAAGCTCTAATCCTTTAATCCTATATAGGTTAAAGTAAAACACTAATGAGCTTTTAGAAGTTCCCTTAATGAGTAAGAATCAGCTAGAAAGCATTTAGGTCTTGCCTAAAGGTTGAACTCATCACATGTTAAAAAATATTTCCAGTGGCCGGGCGTGGTGGCTCATGCCTGTAATCCCAGCACTTTGGGAGGCCGAGGTGGGCAGATCATGAGGTCAGGAGATCGAGACCATCCTGGCTAACACGGTAACCCCGTCTCTACTAAAAATACGAAAAAAAAATTAGCCAGGTGTGGTGGCAGGCGCCTGTAGTCCCAGCTACTAGGGAGGCTGAGCCAGGAGAATGGTGTGAACCCGGGAGGCGGAGCTTGCAGTAAGCCAAGATCACACCACTGCACTCCAGCCTGGACGACAGAGTGAGACTCCATCTCAAAAAAAAAAAAAAAAAATTTCCAGTGACAGAGAAAAATATTTCCAGTGACAGAGATTTTGTAATTCTTTGTAAATGTGCTTGATGTTTGTGGTTAATCGCCTGTATAAAGAATATTTTTAGGCTGGGCACAGTGGCTCAGGCCTGTAATCCCAGCACTTTGAGAGGTCAAGGCAGGTGGATTACGTGAGGCCAGGAGTTAAGACCAGCTTAGCCAACATGGTGAAACCCCATCTCTACTAAAAATACAAAAATTAGCCAGGCGTGGTGGTGGGTGCCTGTAATCCCAGCTACTTGGAAGGCTGAGGCATGAGAATCACTGGAACTTGGGAGGTGGAGGCTGCAGTGAGCCAAGATTGTGCCATTGCACTCCAGCCTGGGAGACACATCAAGACTCTGGTCTCAAAAAAAAAAATTATTGTTTTCAAGTTTTCATTTCTTACTATTGTGTTCAATGAATTACATCCTCCAAATGATGTATTTATAACTCCATATTCCCTTTTTCAACAAATAGTTGCGGAGAACACACTTGTTTCCTTAGAAGTGTTAAAATACAGTTGATAAAACTACTTATCTCTAAAAAACATCTGGAGGGTCCAGGAAATACTAAGAGAATAATTCCTGATCCTTAGGGAAAAAGCATTTATTGAGACTCATTGTACAAAGAAATCAATATGACACTGAAATATATTAACCAGTACTAGACTATGAAAAACAATCTGCTTCAATGACTTCCAGACCTCCTACTTTGTTTGGGAATAACTGGTTTTTACTACTTTCTTTAATTTCAAGAGTCATCTTACAGCTGGGTACAGTTGTTCACCTCCATATCCCAGCATGTTTGAGAGGCCCAGGTGTGAGGATCCCTTGAGGCCAGGAGTTTGAGAAGAGCCTGGACAGCATGGCGAGAGTCTCTCTCTACAGAAATTTTAAAATTAGCTGGGAATGGTGGCATGAGCCTGCAGTCCTTGCTACTTGGGAGGCTGAGGCAGGAGGATCACTTGAACCCTGGAGTTCAAGACTGCACTGGCTACGATTATACCACTGCAGTCCAGCCTGGGTGCCAGAATGAGAACCTGTTTCTTTAAAAAAAAAAAAAAAAAAAAAAAAAAGTAATCCTAACTGATAGATTCAAGACTTTTGAAGATGTCCTTCAAAAAAAAGCTGCAGGGGGAATATATGTGATTATAAATAAAATACAGTAGGCTGTGTGTAAAATATTTCCTGAAGCTAGCTGATGGGTACATGAAAATTCATTAAATAAACATCAACACTACAGTCCGCCATACCCATATGAACGTATATCTGTACTTATTAATACAAGTAATACACAAAAGTGCTGACAACCCTCAACTAGAAACAAACACTAAACCAGAATAAGATATTACTATACATGGTTTATGGGTCACCATGGGGAAAAAAATTACCTACCTCCATAAGCCTGAATTGTGTTATTTTAAATAGTATATAAAATGAATGATCTAAGATTATTCAAAATAGAGCCAGATATGGTGGTGTGCATCTGCAGTAGTCCCAGCTACTTAGGAGGCTGAGTTGGAAGGATCAACTGAGCCCAGGAGTTCAAGGCTGTATTGCACCATGATTGCTCCTACAAATAGCCACTGCACTCCAGCCTGGACAACACAGTGAGACCCCCAACTCTTAAAAAAAATTATTATTCAGAATGACAGAAAAGGATTATTTCCAAAGGGCGTGAGTACCCCGTTTACTATTTTTGAGTATTCTTGTTCCTATTTGCCAAAAATGTTTTAAACGATTAAAGCCTTGGTTTTTAAGGTTTAATAGTAAAATTTTAATTATTCACTGGCAATCTTTTAAAGCACTGTTAACTTCCTGGGCACCAAATGCATTTTTTATTTAGGCAGTCTCTAGAAATAGTTGAGAATATATATTTTTGTAATAGACTGAGAGAAATAAAATACAGCAAATCTGCTTAAAATAAGAACACACTTCAAACCTAAATTTGGAAATTAGCGGGGCATGGTGGTGCAAGCCTGTAATGCCAGCTACTCGGGAGGCTGAGGCAGGAGAATCGGTTGAACCCGAGAGGCAGAGGTTGCAGTGAGCCACGATCACGCCACTGCACTCCAGCCTGGAGTATATATGAAATATATATACATTTGACTAAATATCAAGCCAATAATCAGGGTTAATGCCAAAAACATCAGATCTCCACATCCAGATCTCTTCAAATTTTAATCTTAGTTAAATAATACTTAAACCCTTAAATAATACCAAGGCAGCCCAAAATAAACCATTTATGGGAAAAGAGTTAAACAATTTACAGACTGATTTTTCATACTTGCACAGGTAACCACTGGTGTCATATTTTGATAAGAAATCCAGGCCAGGGCCAGGCAAGGTGGCTCACACCTGTAATCCCAGCACTTTGGGAGGCGCCAAGGTGGGTGGGTCACTTCAGGTCAGGAGTTCGAAACCAGCCTGGCCAACGTGGTAAAATCCTGTCTCTACTAAAAATACAAATAATAATAATAATAATAATTAGCCAGGCATGGTAGCGGGCACCTGTAGTCCCAGCTACTCGGGAGGCTGAGGCAGGAGAATCACCTGAACCCAGGAGGCGGAGGTTGCAGTGAGCCGAGATCACACCACTGCACTCCAGCCTAGGCGAAAGAGCAATACTCCGTCACAAAAAAAAAGAAAAAAGAAAAAAAAAAAGACATCAAGGCCGGGCGCGGTGGCTTTCATCTGTAATCCCAGCACTTTGGAAGGCCGAGGTGGGCGGATCACCTGAGGTGAGGAGTTCAAGACCAGCCTGGCTAACATGGTGAAACCCCGTTTCTACTAAAAATACAAACAATTAGCCAGGCATGGTGGCGTGCAGCACCTCTAATCCCAGCTACTCGGGAGGCTGAGGCAGGAGAATTGCTTGAGCCCGGGAGGCAGAGGTTGAAGTGAGCCGAGATCGCGCCATTACACTCCAGCTTGGGCAACAAGAGCAAAACTCCATCTCAAAAAATAAATAAATAAATAAATCCAATAAAGCCAAGATACTCTCCACTTTGGGAGGCCGAGATGGGCGGATCACCTGAGGTCAGGAGTTCAAGACCAGCCTGACCAACTGGAGAAACCCCGTCTCTACTAAAAATACAAAAAAAATTAGCCAGGTGTGGTGGCGCATGCCTGTAATCCCAGCTACTTGGGAGGCTGAGGTGGGAGAATTGCTTGAACCTGGGAGGCAGAGGTTGCGGTGAGCCAAGATCGTGCCACTGCACTCCATCCTGGGCAACAAGAGCAAAACTCCGTCTCAAAAAAATAAATAAATAAAATAAAAATACAAATACAAAAATTAGCCAGGCATGGTGGCATGCGCCTGTAATCCCACCTACTTGGAAGGGTGAGGCAGGAGAATTGCTTATGCCTAGGAAGCAGAGGTTGCAGTGAGCTGAGGTGACACCAGTGCACTCCAGCCTGGGCAACAAAGGGAGACTCCTCCAAAAAAAAAAAGATACTTCAGCAGTTTTTAAAGTTTGGGTTTGTATGTACCCACATAACTGATTTTTAGATCAGGCTTTAAAACAGAGTCAGGGAAGCAATAAGAAAAAGGAGTTTCAAATCATAAAAGGTGCACCTGGGATAAAACCCGGAACCTACTGGGGCAACATAAAATTCAGTCAGAATATCTGACAACCAATAATCCCATCTAATCACTTCAAATAAGCAAATACATTTTTACTTTAATTACTTTAGGTTGGGCATGGTGCCAAATTCCTGTAATCCCAGCACTTTGAGAGGCCTAGGCTGGTGGATCCCTAGAGCCCAGGAGTGTGAGACCAGCCAGCCAGGACAACATGGTGGAAGTGAAACTTCGTCTCTACAAAAAAAACACAAAAATAAGCCGGCTGTGGCTGCGCGTGGCTGTTGTTCTAGCTACTTGGGAGACTAGCAGGAAAATCACTCGAACTCAGGAGGGAGAGGTTGCAGTGAGCTAAGATAGCACCACTGCACTCCAGCCTGGGTGACAGGGAGAGACTGTCTCAAAAAATAAATAAATAAATAAAGACTGTGACAATATCAAAGTCCCCAATAATATTGACTACGACAATATCAAAGTCCCTAACCCTATCTGTAAGTATTTTTTAAGATTGGTTCTTTTTGGGAGGCTTAGGCAGGCAGATCACTTGAGGTCAAGAGTTTGAGACCTGCCTGGGCAACATGGTAAAACCCAATCTCTATTAAAAATACAAAAACTAGCTGGGGGCAGTGGCTCACACCTGTAATCCCAGCACTTTGGGAGGCCAAGGTAGGCGGGTCACAAGGTCAGGAGATTGAGACCACCCTGGCCAACATGGTGAAACTCCATCTCTACTAAAATACAAAAATACAAAAAATTAGCCAGGCCTGGTGGCGCACCTTGTAGTCCCAGCTGCTCGGGAGGCTGAGGCAAGGGAATCGCTTGAACCTGGGAGGCTGAGGTTGCAGTGAGCCGAGACCGTGCCACTGCACTCCAGCCTGGTGTCAGAGCAAGAATCTGACTCAAAAAAAAAAAAAAAAAAAAAAAAATTAGGCCAGGCGCAGTGGCTCATGCCTGTAATCCCAGCACTCTCAGAGGGTGAGGCGGGCAGATCACCTGAGGTCAGCAGTTCGAGACCAGCCTGACCA